>NC_000001.11:215684587-216309587 GCF_000001405.40 Homo sapiens | reverse complement strand
TTCAACAACGTATTAGGAAGGAATAAAAACAACAACCTCATTTCAAAATAAGGCAGTAAAGGAGAACGAAAGAAAAAGGATATATAGAAAATAGAAATTCCAAATAAATAAACAATCACAACAAATCTAAATGTGCTGAACATATTAGAATTATGAGACTGTCTGGCTGAAAGAGAAAACAACATCCACCTATTGTCTGAGCAGAGGCTGAATTAGGGCAAGAGAATGTCTTAATCACAAACTTTACAAAAGCACCAAAAACACCCTATTAAGCAAGATCTATAATATTTTTATGTTATATTTCAAAAAGTCAAATGATTTAGAAATGTATAATTAAAAATCAAAATTTTAAGTAAAGACACATTAGTGTTGCTTGTTTTATGGTCCTGTGTTATTTTGTAATGGGAGCTGTTGTTTCTAATCAGTCCATAATTCCTACCTACCAGTTTTATAAGGTTGGCATGTACCTGTCTCATAGAAGGTTTTACAATCGTCTAGAAACAGACTAGGCATGATGGGACATTATACACAGCTATTTTTTTAAAACTGTAGAGTGTTTATTAACTTTTTCCATTTGGCTCCAAAGATTGGTAAATATTTTCTAGTTGTATACAGAGGTTCGTATTTTTCCTTTGCCCTCATGCTGCAATGCAGCTCAGCATGGTACTTGTGCTGAGGGTGTGAGAGACATACTCAAAAAACAAGCACACTTCAAGTTTGAAAATTTAAGAAAGCTAGCATGAGCTACATAAATATTAGGCAAAACAGACATTACTGTTTCATTAAAGAAAAAGAGGCTTATTGTATAATTATAAAGTATAAAATTCTAAGTTTACATGCATCTCATAATATAGTTTCAAAAGTATAAAGCAGAATTTTATAGAACCAGAAAGAGAAATTGGCAAGTTCTACCATCAGCATAGAAGAATTTAATACATCTCTTATTAAAAATGTCTTTTTATAAAAAGAAAGAAAAGCTACATACTAGCAGTTGTCATTAGCAAGACAACACATATATAACTGACAAAGGTAACATTTAAATTAAGCAAACTATTTGAAAAACAGACAAAAGAAGTGAACAAGTAATTCACAGAAGAAGCCAGAAGTGGCAACTGAAATGGTCAATATACATGTAAAGACATGTGCAACTTTACTGGTTATCAGTAAACTAAAAAAAAAGAATGTGATAATATTTTATACTCATCAAGTTGTCAAAGATGGCAAAATCTGGAAATTTCAGGAACTGGTAAGTGGGGACTCATACACCACTTATGGGAAGGTGCTGCTGCACTATGGAAAACAATTTGCAAATGTCTACGTGGAACACTTTACAGTAGTGGATATGAAGGAATATAGCTATCACATCAACATGACCAGACTTCTCAAACAATCATACTACAGAAAGCTTGTTTTAGAATAATACATACACTGTATACACTTATATAAATTTTAAAATCATACAAATAGAAAGAAGAAACTGATAAAAGGATAGGAGGCAGGACTAACTTGCAGCTCCCCCTCGGACAGACAGAGCAGCATGTGAAGACACACATCATGAACTTTTCTCCAAGAACTACTGCAGCAACATACCAGGAAAGCCACGAGAATCCACAGATCCTTTGAAGGAAATAGATTGCTGCTGCAGGCTCCAGGAGACAGCCGAAAAACTGTAAGTGCCCAAAGTGTGAAAGGGGGATCTTCCACCCCTGAACACATAGCCTTCCTGGGGAACCTGAAGGTCCAGGTCACAGGTGATGGATTTGGCCTTACCTGGAGCTGAGACAAACTTAGAGAGCTGAACAAAATATAAGGGTAAAGGAAGCAGGGGGAAGAGCCCTGTGGACTCTCTCAGCCCCCAGGAAAACCATTTCTGACTTTGTCTCCTAGGGTCCTTGGGTAGGACTGCCAGTGGAAGTGGGGAAAGACCACAAGGAGAAGGAAACTTCCAGATGAACTCTGTAACAATTTCGACTGAATGCCAACTTTCCTAGCAGAATCTGGGGGTGAGGGTGAACTGGGAGTGCAGACACAGCACAGAAGTTGCATCAGGCAGGGAGGTGTGAAACCTGAAACCCCTGCTTGCTTTTCCAGTGGGGAGACCTGGAGCAGGGGCAAGTCCTCAGCCCTGTTCACCCATTGCCTGGAAATAAACTCAGTGCTGTTGTGGAGAGTATTGTGGGAGTGAGACTGGCCTTTTGGGTTGCATGGGAGCTGGGTGAGGCCTTTCACTGCCAGCTTTCCCCTACTTTCCTGGTGACCTGTATGATGTAGCAGAGGCAGCCATAATCCCCCTAGAAACATAACTCCATCGCCCTGAGAACCACACCCCCAACACTCAGAGCAGCTTCAGCAAGGCCTGCCCAAGGAGAGTCTAAGCTCAGACACACCTAACCCTGACCCTACCTGATGGCCTTTCTCTACCTGCCCTCGTAGCCAGACAAAGGACATAATCTCTTGAGAGCTCTATGGCCCTGACCACCGCCTGAGAAACTTATCCAGGAGACTCTAGAGCAAGCTTGTATCCTCCCTATGCTACTGCCGTTGATGCTCTCTTGAAAGCGCCACCTCCTGTCTGAAGGCCAACCAACACAAAACTAGTGCAATAAACAAAAATACAACAAAGGACCCTCACAGAGTCTACTTCACTCCCCTGCTATCTCCACCAGAGCAGGTGCTGGTATCCAGGGCTAAGAGACCTGAAGACTGATCATATCACAGGGCTGTTTGCAGTTACTCCCCACTACCAGTCTGGAGGCTGCTAGCTCCACTGGGTGGCTAGATCCAGAAGAGAAACAACAATCACTGCAGTTCAGCTCTCAGGAAGGCACATCCTGGAGCACCCACATCCAGGGAGCACCCACATCTAGGGAACACCCACATCTGGGGAGCACCCTGTGGGAAGAAAGAATCTGAACAACAGCACTTGAGCCCCAGATCTTCCCTCTGACATAGTCTAACCAAATGAAAAGCAACCTGAAAAACAGTTCTAGTAATATGACAAAACAAGGTTCTTTATTATCCCCAAAAGATCACAATAGCTTACCAGCAATGGATCTAAACCAAGAAGAAAACTCTGAATTCCCAGAAAAAGAACTCAGAAGGTTGATTATTAAGTGACTGAAGGAGGCACCAAAGGTGAATATGAACTCAAAGGAATTTCAAAAATGTTACAGGATATGAACAGAAAAATCTCCAGATAAATAAATAGCATAAATAAGAAGCAATCATAATTTCTGGAAATTAAGGACACACTTAGAAAAATGCAAAATACACTGGAAAGTCTTAGCAATAGAATCCAACAAGTAGAAGGAAGAACACCAGAGCTTGAAGACAAGGCTTTTGAATTAACCCAATCAAACAAAGACAAAGAAAAAAAAAAATTAAATGAACAAGGCCTCCAAGAAGTTTGGGATTATGTTAAACGACCAAATCTAAGAATAATTGGTGTTCCCAAGGAAGAAGAGAAATCTAAACGTTTGGAAAATCTATTTGAGGGAATAATCAAGGAAAACGTCCCCAACCTTGCTAGAGATCTAGATATCCAAATACAAGAAGCTGAAAGAACACCTGGGAAATTCATCACAAAAAGGTCATTGCCAAGGCACATAGTCATCAAGTTATCTAAAGTCAAGATGAAGGAAGGAATCTTAAGAGCTGTGAGGCAAAAGCATCAGGTAACCTATGAAGGAAAACCTGTCAGATTAACAGCAGATTTCTCAGCAGAAACCCTGCAAGCTAGAAGGAATTGGTGTCCTATCCTTATCCTCCTTAAACAAAACAGTTATTGGCCAGGAATTTTGTATCCAGTGAAATTAAGCTTCCTAAATGAAGGAAAAATACAGTCTTTTTCCGACAAACAAATGTTTAGAGAACTTATCACCACCAAGCTAGCACTACAAGAACTGCTAAAAGCAGCTCTAAATTTTGAAACAAATCCTTGAAATACACCAGAATACAACCTCCTTAAAGCATAAATCTCACAGGACCTATAAAAAAAAAACACAATTTAAAAAAAAGCATTCAGGCAACAAATAGCATGATGAATAGAAAGGCATCTCACATCCTAACACTAACATTGAATGTAAATGGCCTAAATGCACCACTTAAAAGATACAGAATGGCAGAAAGGATAAGAACTCACCAAGCAAGTATCTGCTGTCCTCAAGAGACTCATCTAACACATAAGGACTCACATAAACTTAAGGTAAAGAGGTGGAAAAAGATATTCCACGAAAATGGACACCAAAAGCAAACAGCAGTAGCTATTCTTATATCAGACAAAACAAACTTCAAAGCAACAGCAGTTAACAAAGAGGGACATTATATAATGATAAAAGGACTAGTCCAACAGGGAAACATCACAATTCTAAATATATATGCACCTAACTCCAGAGCTCCCAGATTTAGAAAACAATTACTACTAAACCTAAGAAATGAGATAAACAGCAACACAATAATGGTGGGGGACTTCAGTACTCCACTGACAGCACTAGACAGATCATCAAGACAGAAAGTCAACAAAGAAACAGTGGACTTAAACTATGACTTAGAACAAATGTACTTAACAGATATTTACAGAACATTCTACCCAACAACTGCAGAATATACATTATTCATCAGCAGGTGAAACATCCTCCAAGATACACCATGTGATAGGCCACAAAACAAGTCTCAATACATTTAAGAAAACTGAAATTATATCAAGTACTCTCTCAGACCACCGTGAAATAAAATTGGAAATCGACTCAAAAAGGAACCCTCAAAACCATGCAAATACATAGAAATTAAATAACCTGCTTCTCAATGATTCTTGGGTCAACAATGAAATCAAGATGGAAATTAAAAAAGTCCTTTAACTGAATTGTTTGATATAGTGACACAACCTATCAAAACCTCCATGATACAGCAAAGGTGGTGCTAACAGGAAAGTTCATAGCATTAAATGCCTATATCAAAAAGTCTGAAAGAGCACAAATAGACAATCTAAGGTCACACCTCAAGGAACTAGAGAAACAAAAACCAAACCCACTCTTATTGACTTAATAAGGAAATTAAAAAAAGTATGCTGAGATTGCTAAGATCTATTATAATAATGAATCTTCTATCTGTGAAATAGTGAAAAAAAAAGAAATTAGTGCTAGATTTGCTGTCAAACCACAAAGTGCAAAAGTTACGGCCGCAGTGCTAGATAAGTGCCTAGTTCAGATTGAAAAAGCATTAAATTTGTGACTGGAAGACATGAACAGAAAATATGTACTATATGGAACCAAAATATGTACTACATAGTACACATAGTACCAAACCCAGTTGCTGTCACTTGGCACATAGAGATCTGGCATCTACTGGAGGTCTTCAAATGTATTCCTTGTGGAAAACAGGACTACTTACTATACTACTAAATTCAGATATTATTAGCGGAGTGGAATATATATGGCAGTATCTTGTTTCTAAGTTGAGTGGTACATAAAATGGTACAATTCTTTTTTTAATTATTCATAAATTTATTTTTAATATTTCAGTATAATTTCCCTTAAACACAATAATATGATTGATTAATCTATCAGGAATGTATCACCTATGTAAATACTCATGCTACTACTAAAGACAGAGTGGAGGTGACTCTATTCACAATGGAATAACCATTACTAAATTCATGATTACTGTGTACATTTATAGTTTTACTGTAAAGATTGATCATTTGCTAGCTTTAGTCACTCAACAAATATTTATAAATGCCTTCTATGTGTAGTGCATTATGCTAGAGTACAGCCATTATGTCTTGATTACAGATGCAAGTATTTGAAAATATTGAAGGACCTTCATTTGTGAAATTCAAAAAAGATTCCCTGGCAGACACCAATTACTATAATAAATAGAGATGACTTCAGTGCAAACAAATGATTCAGGCTAACAATTAGTAATTAACAAATAATATAAATAGTATAGACATTTTAAATCTTAAAGAAAAATTTAAATGCAGCAATACTTAAGAAAGGGTTTTTTAATTTACTAATGTAGTAATCAAGTCTAATACTACAAAAAATTTCTAATATGAAATACCCTTTATATTTAAATAATCAAATACCTTGTATACCAGTTGACTAAGTTTAGAGGAATCTTAAATATTAAAAAACATCAATAACGCCTTATACTTCTTAGTATGTGAATTCGTATTTGTATGATGTATATTATTTTGGAGAGTTGCCTGTAAGCACCATATTAATATAATGAATGAAGCTTTTCTTCATTGAAGTCCTTTGTAAAATAATGCAGGTTATCCTGAATAAATATGGTCTCTATTCCAGGCCATATTTCCTGGAATATCAATAGGGTTAAATTATTATGGTTGCAATAAAATAGAATTGCTTTATCTTGTCCACTATCTACAATCTTGAATAAACTTTAAAATCCTCCTTCTGTTCTCTTAAGGGAACGTGGTGTGTCCCCATGTGTCTTTTTTATTTAGTGCCCTGAACAATCCATAAATAAGAGGAAGAAGGAATAAAGAAGGACAGAGATTTCAAAGGAGAAATCAAATACCTAACAACATGCAGTATTGAAAATTAACAAATAAGAATGCAAGGCCTCTCATGCAAATGGTTCCATCTCATTCAACCACTAGACATAATTACTTCTGTATTCACAAGGCCTACAGTAAGGAAATACTGTTTAAAAAAATAGGCTATCAATTATATTTATATATAGACAACATGTAGACTGAAGGATTATCCGAATAATCCTGCCTAGAGTTTCTGTTTTTCTAAATATAGGTTTTATGTCACGTATTACAATTTGTTTCATTGGATAATTTTCCAATCTTCCATTTCACTTTACCCATAGAATTAGACTAGGCATTACTTGAATTAGAATGTTTCTAAAAATAGCCACTTATATTAATAGTTGAAATATTGAAGTAACTATGTATGATGTGTTTGTCGTCATTGTATTGTCACCTATGTTTGATCAGTATTGTCCAACAGTATTAGTAGTTATTTATTTTATGCTATTAATTTCAGTATCTAGAGAGTGAGTAAGTACATTGTATCTGTGAACACTTTAATTATGTAAGAATTTCTAGCCAAGGGAAAGATAATTACTGAAAAAGGGATATGTCATTGAAGGATAAACACGTGGCATTTCTGTCTTCTCAGTGGTAAAGAATAGTATTTGTTTTGGCTTTTCCAATTGAAATTACATAATCTGTAGGTAAAAATTCACAGGTGAAGTATTATTGCATTTGCCTTTAAACCTTTAATGTTACTATTCAATTAAATGCTAGTCACATTAAAGTACAGTCCTGTAATGTGTCATAAATGCAATGAGTCTGTTAGGACATTCACTCACACATTCACCAAATATATATGATCACCTCCCATGTGCAAAGCACAGAGCCATTTTCTGTCTAGATTCTCTATGTAGTTGGGCACTTTATCTGTGTTCCCCTCTGAAATCTATCACTGATAATAAATTAACAAGTTTGTCTAACATTACCTTTGCCATGGGAACATTAGAGCTACCTAGGGACACTTCCATTGGAAAAAAGATACCTGAGTACACTAAAGTTTTTATGTTTATAAAGATGATTTCTCTACCTAGTAGACAAATCACAGTGAAACTGGATCCTTTGAATTACCATGGAATTGCTCCAGCCAGAGGAAAGGGGAAGCCTTGAATAGAGCCGGAGGACAATTACTATTATTAGAGATTTAGGCTCTTAACATTTCCAACATAGGGGGCTGGTTTCTACTGATGAGAAAGGGAAAATGTACAGATTTTCAGAGGGTCTGCAATTCATTCAGGCCATCTGGGAATAGTTAAAAAAATTACCTCTTTTATTCAGTGAGCAGTACTGTAACAGTACTAAAAAGTGATCATTTTATAATCTTTCACTTTGAAGCAGATTGTCTTTCTCTCCTTCTCACATAGGCAGTGCTGCATCCATATCTCTAAATTTTATAGCCAGGAGTGGAATAACTACATCTTTTGGTTTCTAGGGCTTTGCTGTCCAGTTTAGACTCAGCAGAAAGTAAAGATGGACTGAGCCAGAGTGACTCCAGTCAACACCTCTCTCCCTCGAATACTATTTTCGGTCCCTGAAGCCAGTATAAACATGGAGATTAGAAGTGAGGTCTTTGAAGGAAAACATCCAGATATATAAATTGAGTACCTACTATGTTCTAGGGCTCCTTCTAGGCACTTCTTCAACATATTGAAGACAAGTTGTTTTCGATGACTCATTGTGATCATTATGAACTTAAGCTTCCAAAGGTCATTGACACTGGGAGCTCTCAGGACCTTGAAGGGAAATTTTCTCCCTAGCCCCCAGCCTTTTGCAAGGACTTCATATATCTTTGTCTAAGAGGATATTTTTCTTCCTTCTTTTTTCAAAGATACATAGTAGGCATTTAAGATTGTTGTATAAGTGACTGAATAAATAAATTGCTCTTGCAGTTAAATTACTTAAACTTGTATTTTACACAAGTTTCTACTTTCTCTGTAAATTTGAAGGTGTTAAGAAATAAGTAAAATTGAGTGTGTGGCTTGTCATGGTGGCTCCCGCCTGTAATCCCAGAACTTTGGTAGGCCGAGGTGGGCGGATCACTTGAAGTCAGGAGTTTGAGACGAGCCTGGGCAACAAGGTGAAACCCTGTCTCTACCAAAAAATACAAAAATTAGCTGGGCATGGTGATGTGTGCCTGTAGTACCAGATACTCGGGAGGCTGAGGCATGAGAATCTCTTGAACGTGGGTGGTGGAGGTTTCAGTGAGCCCAGATAGTGCCTGGGCTCCAACCTGGGCAACAGAGCAAGACTCTGTCCTTTATCTCCAAAAAAAAAAAAAAAAAAACATTGAGTCTATCAGGAGTGGAGTTGATAAAAATGCTTTGGAGACTATGGGTTATCTTTGAAAGATTGTCTTTGCTGCTCTGTAATGGTAACGAAGAAACACTATACTTCAGTTTAATGATCCATAAGAAATAACTGTCATTGTGTATTATTAGAATATAATGTAATAAAATAAATTTCATCAGTGTCTTCTAGATTCAATGACTATTCAATGATTTTCATACCTGAACATGTCAAAGTATTTGGCTGCAACTTAGCGGAGTTGATTAGTAGCCTTTAAGAAGCTATCAAAATGAAAGCAGTTAAATGAATCAGTGGTAAAGGTCCTTGACCCTGATATAGCCATTGTCTAATCTCATAATTTGGGCATTCAGGGACATATCGGGGGAATCCAGTTGTTACAGAAGAAACCGAAACATAATTGAAAGTGACAAATGATCAACTGGAGATTGGGAAAACATGAAATAGAAAACCATTTGCTTCAGGAGCTGCCTAAAATATAAGATACACACAGAGTTCTTGATTTTAAATCAAACTTTAAAATCACTGGTAGAAAAGGCAGTTGAAAATTATGAGAATTCAAAAATTTACTTATAATGCACTTACCAATTATTATTTCTTCCATTTTGTCATGGTTATCCTTGTATTATCTGAAACGAGTTGTTAAGAACCAATTATGGGACCAAGAATTTAATACTTCATGAAACTTTATAATCAAAGAATAGACTACAAAGTATTCCTTCTGTCTTTGCAAACCATACAAAATGATAATAGAACAGTATCATCTTTAGGATCAAAGACCCAAATAGGCATTGGTGTGTCATTTAGTTGCATATGTCTTAAATCAAATTTTAAAACAAATTTAGGCATCATCTCTCAAAATCTTTGCTTCTGTATATTAATCCCATTGTTTTGGAAAAAATGTATATTTTTTACAAATCATACTCTGTTTACTGGTGGCTCAAAAACTTTTTAGCTTACATAGTAGTTGAAAAGAGAATCATTTTTTCTGCAGATTTTTGCTCATCTGTGTGTAATTTAAAACTGAAACATATTAATTTTCTTAGGTTTTCTTAGTGAAATGTTACATGCAAATGATGTATAATTATCTTGTAACTATCCATGCAGTTACATTTTATTTGCTCTCAATTTTTAATACATTAGTAATAAATGTACACTGTGGAAAAAATAAAGTTATAAACTTTATCTGTAAACCTACCACCCACCGGTAACCCCAGCCAATAATCTTAGTTTATATACTTTCAGGCATTATATTATTGTTATTATTAGTAAACCTGTCTCATCTGTCTCTATCTTCTTAAAATTGCATATTTATATCTATAGATAAGTCCACCTTTATCTAGAATAGAGGATTATACTCTGTATATTATTTTTAACTTGATTTTCAATTCAAGCTGTATTATGAATATATTTCTCTATTTATATTTATAAATGTTAGCCTTTTTTTTTTTAGGAATTGGAACATCTTAAACCACTCTCTTGCTTTTGGGCATTTAATTTGTTTCCTTCTCTTCAGTATTATCAACACCCCATTATTAAAACAGAAAATCTTTATCAAGCAGCTTTAAAAACATATTCTCGGACAGGCACGGTGGCTCACGCCTGTAAACCTAGCACTTTGGGAGGCCGAGGCGGGTGGATCACGAGGTCAGGAGATGGAGACCATCCTGGCTAACATGGTGAAACCCCGTCTCTACTAAAAATACAAAACAAATTAGCCGGGCGTGGTGGCAGGTGCCTGTAGTTCCAGCTACTCGGGAGGTTGAGGCAGGAGAATGGTGTGAACCTGGGAGGTGGAGCTTGCAGTGAGCCAAGATTGCGCCACTGCACTCCAGCCTGGGCGACAGAGTGAGACTCCGTCTCAAAAAAAAAAAAAAAGTATTCTCCTAAATTCTCAGTGGAATTTCTGGGTCCTGTGGAATGTATACATATGTTGCTCCTCCTAAAAGGAGTGGATAAACTCCTCTCCTACAAGCAGTGTTCTGCACTGGCCCTTTCTACAAATTCCTTTCACCCTGGTATTATCATAATCTAAAAAATAATAATTTGAGAATCAAAAAATAACAGCTATGCTTGTTTTCTTCAGGAAAACAGAACAGGTTATCCATATATCTGCAGGGTTTTTTTCTCCACAAAAGAAAGGCCAGCCATTTTCAATAACAAGTAGTTTGGCAGGACCAGAACCATTCCATTGGGTCACTGGTAAAATTTGTCTTTGGCTTTAAACATTAAGGCAGCCAGGACTGTGTCTTTGGACATTGATACAGCATTTAGTCCAGTCTTATTTACAATTAGGCTTTTTGATAATGGCTTTTGGGCTGACGTTAAGTATAAAATCTGAAATTAGATTTTTTAAAGATTATAATCAAAAAGCAAAAATGTCTTCCTAGAAATAGCAAAGGAATGCTTTTGCTGGATTTGCTCCACTAACTCATGTAGGCAATATACCAAACTCAAACAGCCAGCAGTTGTTTTGTAAAAGACAAACTGCATCTGAAATCAGTATGACAGGACCACAGTTTCCATCTCATCACTTCCACCAACTTACATTTAAGAAAGCACAACTTGAATAATAAAAACCACCATAGAGTAAACAAATTCTTCAATGAGAATGCTTTGAAGTCAAGAGAAAAATAGGCTCAGGGCATTGTGTTACAGCAAAATTTTGCCTTTGGCAAAAGTTTTACGATGGAATAGGGTTTTTAAAATATTGGGAATCAGGTAAATTGCATGGCTAATTGAACTGGGGAAGACAGCTTAATGAGCTCATTTCTCTCCTTCAAATCCAAGAAGTCAGAAGGCAAGTTTTCATCTATTCTTTCATTTATCCAATTAGAACATATCGTCCCCACACATAGGGCTACTAGAAGAAGTAATAGTTATGTCTGATGGCTCTTAGGAAGTATTGTCAATAGATAGGACCTCCTCTGTAGTTATAACTACAGATGATCAAATTAACCAGAAATAAATTTTGGTCATAAATTTCTTCTTGCTCCACTCTGTAGGCTACCTCCTCCAAAGCAGATCGTAGACCAGTGCATTTATAAATCACAGAATCACCTTTTAATGGTTATAGACTATATATAGCATAGTGACAGTCATATACTGCTGGTGCTGGTCAAACTTGAGATCAACAATTCTGTTGGATTTTTACCCCTCTCTTCCTTCTTTTTCCTCCTCTTCCATATTCTGACTTTCAGGTTTGAGCATGTAATAACTTCCAGGATTTGTTTTGGGCATTATTTATATATTACCACTTATCCTAAGATTATTTTGAGTCAGATAAAAGTAAGACATTCTATTAAGTTATCTTCATTTTGAAGATGAAGAAACTAAGATTCATAGAAGTAAAGAGGACTCTAGGAGTAACTAACTGTCCATTGTCATTGTTAATGTTACTTAACCTCTTTAATCCTCTGTCGTGAATCCAATAACGATCAAAGTAGTAGGCAAGTTTGCTGAGGGCCAACTGTGTGACAAGCACTTTGATAACTGATTGGTCTTTACAGCAACCTTATGAGAGAAGTATTATTACTCTCATATTATGAGTGAGAAAAATAAGGATTAAAGAGGTACAGGCAATTACTCAAGAACACAGGGCTAGCAAATCAAGAAACAGAAGTTAGATGTGAGATATTGTATCACCCAGGCCTAAAAGATGCAATGAAACAACCCATTTTAAATGTTTAATATAGTAACCAGAGTATACTCTCATTTGATGAGAGTATACTCATCAAATGAGAGTATGCATTTGATGTTACTTTTCACAGTGGCCTTTTTGCAGTTAGGAAACAGCAGCACCAATAATAGAACTAAGCTGTCTGACTCCCAGCCTGTACCTAAATCTCTAACTTTTGATTTTATGAAATAAATTTGATTTGCAGATGGGCATTGCTGGTGAGGGAAATGTAAAGAGGTCAATTTCCCCACTTTAAATTTTTTTGGCTAAAGACCCATAGCTGACAATATTTTAATGGTTGCCACATATTCTTCTTTTATGAAGTGAGTTTCATTTTATATTTGTAAGTGGTTTTTATTGCAAATCATCACCTAACAGTCAATTCTGAAGACTTTCCATAAATGTCACCTTGTTTGTGAATTGTTCTCATTCTGTCTCCTCTCTAAATTCCCTCAAGAACAACTTTCTTTGGACATTAATATCATTATTAATTGTGAATTGTCAGCTAACAGCTTAGCAATTGTCTATCATGCTCCTAATGCATGGATGATACAGAGAATATAAAGTCAATAACTTGTATTTCCTGAAAGATACATATACAGAAGCCAATCATTTCAGTAGAGTGACAGGAGCAAGATTGAGGTATTAATAGAGTACTCTGAGAGATGAGAAGCGGGACAACTACCTTAGCCTAAAGGTTTGCAAATGATTGTGGGGAAAAATAATCTTTATCACTCCAAAAAGAATATTACAGTGATATTTTAATTGACCATAGAGTTTAACTTGACCATTGTAAAATGACCAAAAGGGTGAATTATTTTTTACCAATTATTAAAAAGTAGCACTACCTGATATAAACAGTGTGACCTAATGTTTACATTCTTATTATTTTTTCTCCTTTTTGTCTTTTTCTCTCTCCCCAGCTAAGTAGAAAAAACTCACTTTGTTTTCATGCTAAAATTTTGGAATACCATTAAACAGCAACACACTGGACAACTACATTCTTATGTTTTATCTTCTCCCTTTAAGATTGTTAAAGGAAGAAATTGAACTAGTGGGGAAAAGTAAATACTGGCCAAAAAAAAATGCTTTTGACTAGTGTATGTTCCAATGATGATTATGAAATATGTCAAACTGTTCTAAAATACTAAATATGTGTTACTATTTATTCTGTATTAAAATAGAACAATAGAATAACCTTTGTTGTCCCAATATGAAAATAGTTTTTAACAATGTTAATATAAAACAAAGAGCAAAGGACCATTATCTTGGATAAACAGAGAGACATTACTTTACATGGTTTGACTCCCCTGATTCATAATTTAACATGTAACTCTGGCATATGCTGGGCACTTAGGGAAGTCACATTAAGTATTTCACAGCAAATGGAGAGTGAGAAAAATGATTTTCAGAAATCCTGGTATTTACTTATTATAAATCTTGTCTTGAATTTATTGTACTTTACATGAAATATAATTTGATAAAATGTAATTGGTTTCAGTGTGTATGCAAAATGAGAATTTTCTGATCATTCAGATATCAAAATTAACTTTATAAATACAAATACATATAATTACCTATTAAAATTCTAAGGTGTATTTATTTTAATAAAAGTCTTTATCAAACCTAGATAAATCTCATTTATGATTATAAATGTAAAACTCCTAAATTTTTTTTTACTTGGCTTTATTTACTATTAATGATGTTGGGTTTATTAAAAAATGCAAGCACAGACTCCAATTAGCCTACTAACCTATTGTATAATTTATCAATTCAATAGGTCAAACAATTAAATCAGAACATTTAATAAAATTGACAATATTTTTTTATTTTTTTACAAAAATCCATATTGGTTGTTTTGAAGTAGCAATTTCTTCTTCAAAATGATAAAAATTGTCTATGTAAAATCAATAGTCAATACTATAAAAGCTGCAACATTATAGACATTTTCATTAAAATGAGTAAAAAGATAATTATGCCTATCACACTACTATACCATATAAATTAACTATTATGCTGAAAATTCTGGCCAATAAAGTAGGGGAAGGAAATAAATATAACTGTATATTTAAAATTATGAACTAAATCTTCACTGTTTTACAGGCAAAGGAAAATTCTAATATCTGATAAAATCTTTAAAGTCAATTAAAAAAGAGTATACTAAAGAAAAATGAATAATTTTCTCAAAAAGGACTATATCTAACCAAGAACTAGGTGAAGATTGGCATTACTAGTATCCAAAGACATAAATACTAAAACAGTAATTGACATATTATCTAAAATCAAAATAGTGAAGATATAACAATTATGGGCAGAACACAAGAAAATGGACATTCTCAGATATTGCTGGTGTGAGTATGAGTTTAATTTTTCTAGAAGGAATTTGACCATATTTAACAAAATCTTTAAAATGTTTATACTCTTTGATAATGTAATTTCATCTCATAATTTTCTTAAGGTAATACTTAGATATATATCCACTCCCGATCCCCAAAATAAAATGGAAAAAAAAAAACTAAATGTGTAATGATTGCAGAAGGGTTGAATGTTATTTTATGAGAAATATAAGAAATAATGCAGCAAAATACATGATGTTTAATTATACAAAACTATGTAGTAATACAAAATATATGATTTTTAATAACACAATACCCATGTATATTCATAATTTTGAAAAGAAGAAATATATGCATATACAAATTTGAAAGAAATTATCTCATGTTGACATTTTGACTTATCATTTGCTAGTCAAATTACCAGTGCTTTTAATTTTCTACCTCCTGCCTTTGTTTTATAAAGAATATTTTTATTATGTCTATAGTTATACTAAACTCAGTTCAGTTGAATTGTTATTTAAATCTATGGAAAAAATTTTGCTTTGTCCATAAATTGTATTTATATTAGAAAGTTAAAATAATTAATTATAAAACATATATCCAGGTTTTTTTATTTGTTCCAGTACATAACAGACCTATTACATAATTTGAGTAAATTTTGTCTTACAGTTATACAGGCAGTTCTCTCCTTACACAATTCTGATATGCATGAATATCAGTTATCATAGTTTAGTTAAATGCTAACAGTCCTCCAACAACGTAACTCAAGTGTTGGGTAACATTGAATATTACTGTGAGTAATTACATAAACAAACATTGCTGCTGGCTCTGCAGTCCACAAATTACCACATAAAATAACAGATGCACATTGTGATCAGTGACCGATCACGTTTATTTTTTTCAGTATCTGTTGGTGATTGCGCACTACACATTTATCATTCAGTTTATTTATAGAAGAGAAGCGTGTGGTTGTGTTGCCTCCTTGTGAGTGATAAACCCGAGTGACACTTTACAAACACAGATATTCAAAAAAGAAGAGGAATTGGACAGCAAAGAGGAAAGCACTGCAAAGAAAGAAAATACTTGAAGTAAAATTCAGATTGAACCTAAGTGGAGTCATAGAAGAAATAGTCACTACTGAGGTTTGAGAGATTCTGAATACGTAGCCAGAGCTACTTAGTGAAGGTGAACTTAACATAAGTGAGGGAAGTGCTTGCCACAAATAGGGTGAAGATGTCCTGGAGGAAGTGACACCCAAACACTTCACATTAGAGGAATTCTCACAGGTACTTCACAACACTAAAAGCATAAAAGTTAAAATGTTGGAAGCTGATTCAAACTTAGAAAGGAGCGTGACAATTCACCAAGGCATAGAAAAGAAGTGGCCGGGTGCGGTGGCTCACGCCTGTAATCCCAGCACTTTGGGCGGCCGAGGTGGGCAGAACACGAGGTCAGGAGATCGAGACCATGCTGGCTAACAGGGTGAAACCCCGTCTCTACTAAAAATACAAAAAATTAGCCAAGCGTGGTGGCGGGCGCCTGTAGTCTCAGCTACTTGGGAGGCTGAGGCGGGAGAATCGCTTGAACCCGTGAGGCGGAGCTTGCAGTGGGCAGAGATCATGCCACTGCACTCCAGCCTGGGGAACAGAGTGAGACTCCATCTCAAAAAAAAAAAAAAAAAAAAAGATGCTTGTGTTCAGTGTGATAAGTTATAGGTGAGATGAAGGCAAGCACTGTTCAAAGTACTTTTAGTGAGTATTTTACAAAGGACTAAAACAACTTCTCCAAGTTTTTAATGTTTTAAATTACAGAGTACTAAATAAATGGTCATTTTTACTGGTTTATTTCTTTACATTTATAACCAGCATTGGAGAGTTGTTAACATGTTGAAGTTTTACAAAGTCTTAGAGCTATCATAACCTTTCCTGTTGATTATTAAGATCACTTTGCATGTTTGTAACACAAAGGTTAAACACTTGAGGGGATAGATGTCGCATTTTCCAAGATGTGATGATTACACGTTGTATCTCTTTTTCAAAACATCCCATGTAGCCTATAAATACATACACCTACTACGTACCCACAAAAATTAAAAATTAAGAAAAAAAAAGATCATTTTCCATGGTTCAAGTTTGCATGGTCACTTTTACAATTCCACCCTACCATGCCCGTAAATATGCTATTTCTGACTTACGAAATATTTTTCAAATAAAATCATTGCTGACTTTTAACTCACTGATATGTGCTTTACTTCTGGTGAAAGGCCTAACATATCAATAAAATGAAAGAAAATCACAGCTTTATTTTCTTTACTGTTCTGATATTTTTTGTTCTAGTGTGATCGCTGCTTGCCTCTTTATAATGACAAGCCTTTCCGCCAAGGTGATCAAGTTTACGCTTTCAATTGTAAACCTTGTCAATGCAACAGCCATTCCAAAAGCTGCCATTACAACATCTCTGTAGACCCATTTCCTTTTGAGCACTTCAGAGGGGGAGGAGGAGTTTGTGATGATTGTGAGCATAACACTACAGGTAAGTAGCAAATAAATTCCTGAGTTGGTTTGGAGGCCTGTGTGCTTCTATCTACAATGCATATTATTTTAAATTATGTTATTGCTATCTTATTTAAGGATGTACTTTCATACCTTTAAGTTTGAAAATCAAAGCTAGTTCACCAAATCTTCCTATTTCCAAATCACTAGGTAGTTTTCAGAAATAGCACTCTAGTCTTAAACTATATCTTTTCAGGAAAAGGATTTTGTTGTTGTTGTTTTGTTTTGTTTTGTTTTTTAAAGAGTTCACACCATTTGACTAAACCACAACCATATTTAGAATAACTCGGGAATGCTTACTTTGAACACATATCCTTAAAGTAAGTTTCCTTTTGTCCCCTTTATTGTCCTTTATGTCTGGATTCTCATGTGGAGATGGCATTCATTCAGATTTGGCATGGACACTGGTAGTCTGAGAATACTCTTTTTGAAAATACTAATTAAATGGAGACGATGATAATCAAAGTCCTGTTCTAAAACTACAAAGCCTTTGACTAGTCATTGAAAAATACCATCCTTATTTTGAAAGGCAAGAAATGGCCAACATCTGAATTTGTGAAATATAATAGCATATATCTGATGGGTTTCAAAGTGGTACTCTTAAGCATGAATCCATTTATCGGCTGATTATTGATAACTTAAATATCACAAGATCTTGGGTAGGTGCTGGGGACATGAAGATGAATAAGACAATGAATTTTCTGTCTTTGGGTTATTGTACAGTGGGAAAGACAGACTATTGAAAGGAATGATTACAAAGTTGTCTGATGATTGCTAAGATAGGGCAAGGACAGTAGGAGTTAACCAGTTGAAAGATTAGGATGGTGAACTAAGGCTTACAATTAGGGAAACATTTTGTGCAGTGGCCTAGAGGAGGGAGAAAAATGACACGTTTGAAAAACCATAAGATGGGCAAATGGCTGGTGGTAAGAGATATTAGGAAGGAAGGCAGGACAATATCATAGAGGACTCTGGAGCCATGATAAAGCCTTTGGCTTTTATCTAAGGTCAAGGAGATGACACTTAAGGGTTTTATATGGGAAAGGGGCATAATGAGTTACTTGTTATTAAAAGATACACCTGGTTATAAAGTAAAAAATGGATTGGAGAAGGTTAGAGTGGTTGGGGAAAACTAGTTAGTGAGGTGCTGCAATAGTCCAGGTGAGAAATAATGTCAGAATACATTTCAGATGGTACGGATAGAGAGAAATGGATCCAAGAGATATTTAGGATAAAAAAGTGAGTGTTTTGTGAGCAGAGTGTAGGCAAGGGAAGGAAGGAGAGCCAAGACTGATACCTAACATTACATTCTAGCTTGAGCAGTAGGCTCAACATTGGTGCCAGCCATTGAGATAGAAAATACAGGAGGATTGAGATGAGGGAGGAGATGGCAAGTTCTGTTGTGGATATGTTCACTCGGTTTCTAAGAGACATAGGAGAAACTCCTGGGGGCAGTTGGAAACACAGTTCTGAAGCTCTTTCCTTCAAGGAAATCCTCTCATGATGCTTTAGAGAAGATCAGAATCACTTACACATGTTAGTGACAACTATGCTTATCATGGTTTATAAATGTGTATTACTCCTGGTATTATTTAGTTCAGATTCCTCTTACCTCCTAGACTGTAAGAGAGCTTTGTGAAAGAGATGCAATGGGTATTGTGTATTTAGTTTACTACTGTATTACACAGCACTTAGCACAGTATTTGGTACATAGTAATCACGCGATAAATATTCATTAATTCATAAATAAAAGAGAGATTTCTGGATTGGAGATATGGATTTGGGAGTCAACAGCATATGTAAATGGAAATAGTCTAGAAATATTATAAATCAATTTAATTTTTAACTAGCTCAATAGCCAATATCTATCAGAATATGAGTTTTCATATTATTGATTATTGATTATTTCTGTAGTCTTCAAATATTGGAGAAATTTCAATATTTTTTGAGCAAAGTACATCATGTTTAAAGGGGGAATTGATAGTCTTGAGTTCTACTTCAGCTTATTTCAATTATCTTATACACTAGTCACGTTCACTTTAAAAATTCCTTGTAGTTTAGGTTTTTTATTACATAATATAGCAAAGGAAATTTGTAATTATAAATTATAAACTATGGGAATTACCTGATATATCTAATATGTCAGGCTATTCTAGTATTTAGTATGAAAAGTACTTGGTATCTCTAAATATAATGAATTTCTATTTCAATCTTTGAAATGAAAAATAATGGCCACTAACATAATCATTTGTTTTTAATTGTGTTAACTACAGAATAATAAATTATATTAAGAGAAGTCTCCCATTTTACATGATTGAGTTCTAGAAAAATATTTCCAATACTACATACCTGCTTGCTTCTTACTGTATAAGTATCATCTACCACATATGTAGAAATTTCTCCTGCTGTATTGAGTTTAGATAAAGTGCCTGGCCCCAGATATAAAGTTTTAAGTTTAGGAGCAAACTCTTTCCAAATGTATGGGCCCCTATAAAGCACAGCTTTTTAGAAGTGTGGTATTATATAACAGATGGGAGTTTAATGAAGTAAAGCACAGTTTGTAACAGGTTCATTGTTTCATATGCTCTGGATCACTAAATTGGCAGGTAGAGATGAAAGGTGCATTAAAACGGACGTTCCGAAAATTATAGAATTCCCTCAAAGGAATACAGTCTTTAATTTTGAATTATGCAGCTGATTTTAATGAATTAGAAGTCATAATGCATAACCTTTCCCTGATGCAGGAAGGAACTGTGAGCTGTGCAAGGATTACTTTTTCCGACAAGTTGGTGCAGATCCTTCGGCCATAGATGTTTGCAAACCCTGTGACTGTGATACAGTTGGCACTAGAAATGGTAGCATTCTTTGTGATCAGGTGAGTTTTTCTGAGTATTTAAGGTAAAGGATTACTCTGTCTGCCAGAAACTTATTTGGATGTTATTCCACTAGTAGAATTGAAGACTGCATTTGCCAGGAAATCCTCTATGTGCATTTGCATTTCAAAGAGATGGTTGTTCGTGTGCAACTTTGAGTATGGACATGAAATATAGCACTAGTTCGGTGGTCCTTTGCATATAAAAAGGCTTATTTTAGTTTTAATTTTACAAATGTCAAAAAATCGAAGGGTAGGGGTTCTAAGTAAATTGGGGTATATGTCTTGGAATTATTGGTGAATTAATATTAATACATGATATAAATAAACAAGAATAGTTTCTCCAAAAATTCCATAGAAGATCATATAGCAAAAGTCACTTACACTTAGGGCCAAATGGAAATTATGATAGCCTCGCTTCTCAATTTCTTAGTCTAACTTTCCCTCTTAAAAGTACAATGGATTTTTTATAATTTTAAAACTTTCTGTTTACTTACATCACAAATATCGATGTCTAGCCTACATGCACACAGATTCTAACTAACCTCAGTTCATGTATCCTACCTCAAGCAGGAAAACAGGCTTCTTATTGAAGCTGAAGTTTTTCCTGTTCTGATAATACTAATAAGTGAAAATTGTGAAAATCGGTAAAGGAGAAATTTACTTTGAAGAATCAATTCAATGATTGTATTAATTTTAAACAGTTATATACTCTGTTATGAATAAATAAGGCTAGGAGCATAAACCACAATCCAGTTATAGAATATTTGTTAAAAAGTTATATTGTGAACATAATACACACAAGACAAAATATCTTTCTCCTATAATTTTGAGAATTCATTAAAAATTGCTTTCCCAAATAAAAGACAAATATAAACCAAGACAAAATATGGATTCAAAGACCTTCAGAGTAACCATCATGTGTCAATAAGGGGGCATTACATGCTTCATTAGAAAGCTGAAGAGTAGAAAAATTATTAATAAAGACAATTTCTACTATTTTTATTTTATAATATTGAGGGACTATTTTCTCAGAAAGTCATACTACAGTTTTCCATATATTAATTAGTAAACTCTGACTGTATCTTTAGATTATATTTCATTTTTACACATCCACCCTGAGTTTTCAGCATGGCTATCTTTTGCTTATCATTCAAATATTGATATATCATATTTTGAGATATCTTTGCTGACCACCCAATTACAAAACATTCTCAAGTCTTTCATATCACCATGTTACTCTCATTACAGGCTCTGTAAAATTAATTTATTTGTTTACTTTTCTTCTTCTCTCTTTCCAACATAAACAGAACAGTTTCGATCATATAAAAAGCCCCCAATAAGTATTTGTCACATAAATGTTGAATGAATAAAGAGAGATTATCTGAGCACTGATCTTATAGTTAGATTGTTATTTTAAACGGTCATTACAATAATCTGAGCATTATGTAAATTTTCACTTGCAGAACAGTTTTTCTCCCTGAAAATCTAAGGTCAAGAGCTTTGTTATATAGTATAGGAAGACTGTAAACTATAGTTTTACCTCCCAGAATCTCAGTTACGTGTCTAACCTACACGAGTTACAGTGCATCAGATTTGTCTCTCCATTTCACCATTCAGATCTACAAGAAATTGAAACCTGATTTTTCTGAACTCAAACTTCTATTTCAAGTCCGTTTTATAGGGATGCTAGACAACCTTGGGTGGTTCTGTGCTTGTAAATAATTAACAACTGACTAAGAAAAAAAAAAGGCCACCATAATCAATTTCAATCTACCAGTGAGATGTCACTGAACATGGATTTCAGAAGAAATGTACTTAATCTGCTCTTATGAGCCAGTGCAGTGTACTCCAGCATACTACTGGCTCTAGATTTCTTTCTTAACATCTTATAAAGTGGAGCTAATTATTGGATGGAATTATGAAAGACTGTACCATTTATAAGCAGGATATTAGCTGTAGATAGTGTTATTTTTTAAGTTGGAGAAATTTTTCTCTATTCCTAGTTTTTCTGAGAGTGGTTTTTATGAATGGTGTTGAATTTTGTCAGCTGCTATTTCTGCATCAATTATTATGATCATGTGATCTTTTTTTCTTTAGTTTGTTAGTGAAGTAGAATACATTGGTTGCCTTTCAAATGTTGAACCAGCATTGCATCCCTGGAATAAAACCACCTTTGTGTGTGTCTTTGTGTGTAATTCTTTTCATATATTGTTAAATTTTATTTGCTAAAATTTTGCTAAGGATTTTACATCTGTATTCATAAGAAATATTGCTCTATGGTTTTGTTTTTATAAATTGTGTTTGTTTCATTTTGTTATTAGGATAATACTCTCGTAAAATGAATTATAAAATCTTCCTTCCTGTTGTTTTTCTATAAGAAATGCAGAACTGGTGTTAATTACTCTTTAAAGTTTACCCCATTCTAATACATAGTATTCTAGTAAATACAGTACCCCATGTATTAGTCCATTTTTGTACTGCTGGGAAGAAATACCCAAGACAGAGTAAGTTGTAAAGAAAAATAGGTTTTTATTTATTTATTTATTTATTTATTTAGAGACAGAGTCTCGCTCTGTCACCCAGGCTGGAGTGCAGTGGCTCAATCTTGGCTCACTGCCACCTCCACCTCTGGGGTTCAAGCTATTCTCCTGCCTCGGCCTCCTGAACAGCTAGGATTGCAGATGCTCACCACCATGCCTGGCTAATTTTTTTCTTTTTTTTGTATTTTTAGTAGAGACAGAGTTTCACCATGTTGGCTAGACTGGTGTCAAATCCCACCCACCTCAGCCTCCCAAAGTGCTAGGATTACAGGCATGAGCCACCACACCTGGCCAGAAGAATAGATTTAATGGACTTACAATTCTACGTGGCTGGGAAGGCCTCACAATCATGGCTGAAAGCAAAGGAGAAGCAAAGGCATGTCTTACATGGCAGCAGGCAAGAGAGAAGTGCCGAGTGAGGAACAGGGAAAGCCCCTTTTGAAACCATCAGATTTCATGAGAACTAATTCACTATCATTAGAACAGAATGGGGGAAACTGCCCCCATGATTCAATTATCTCCACCTGGTTCCTCCCACAACACATGGGGATTATGGGAACTACAATTCAAGATGAGATTTGGGTTGGGACACAGCCAAACTCACACTTGGCCCCTCCCAAATCTCATGTTCTCACCATTCAAAACAAAATCATGCCCTTCCAAGAGTCCCCCACAGTGTTAACTCATTCCAGCATTAACTCAAAAGTTCAAGTCCAAAGTCTCATCTGAGGCAAGGCATGTCCCTTCTGCCTACAAGCCTGTAAAAGCAAAAGCAAGTTAGTTACTTCCTAGATACAATAGCGGTACAGGCAATGGGTAACTACACACATTCCAAATAGGAGAAATTGGCCAAAGCAAAGGGCCTACAGTCCCCATGCAAGTCTGAAACCCAATGGGGCAGTCATTAAACCTCAAAGTTACCAAATGATCTCCTTTGACTCCATATCTTACATCCAGGGCATGCTGATGCAAGAGGTAGCTCCCACAGCCTTGGGCAGCTCGGCCCCTGTGGCTTTGCTGGGTACAGCCCTCCTTCTGGCTCCTTTCACAGGCTGGCATTGAGTGTCTGTGGCTTTTCCAGGCACACGATGCAAGGTGTTGGTGGATCTACCATTCTGAGGTCTGGAGGATGGTGGCCCCCTTCTCACAGATTCACCAGGCAGTACCCCAGTGGGGACTCTGTGTGGGGGGTCTGACCCCACATTTCCCTTCCACACTACCTTAGCAGAGGTACTTCATTCATTAGGGCTCTGCCCCTGCAGCACATCCTCTGCCTGGACATCCAGGCATTTCCATACATCCTCTGAAAGCTAGGCGGAAGTTCCCAAACCTCAATTCTTGTCTTCTGCACACCTGCAGGCCCAACACCATGTGGAAGCTGCCAAGGCTTGGAGCTGCCATTCTCTGATGCAATAGTCTGAGCTGTATGTTGATCCCTTTTAGCCATAGCTGGAGCAGTTGGGACACGGCACCAAGTCCCTAGACTGCACACAGTGGGGGGGCCCTGGGCCCATGGGACCATTTTTTCCTCCTAGGCCTCCAGGCCTGTGATGGGAGGGGTGATGAGACATGTCCTGGAGACACTTTCCCCCATTGTCTTGGTGATTAACATTTGGCTTCTTGTTAGTTATGCAAATTTCTGCAGCCAACTTGAATTTCTCTCCGGAAAATGTGTTTTGCTTTTCTACTGCATTGTCAGCCTGCAAATTTTTCAAACTTTTATGCTCTGCTTCCTCTTTAACACTTACTACTTAGACATTTCTTCCACTAGATACCCTAAATCATCTCTTTCAAGTTCAAAGCTCTGCAGATCTCCAGGGGAGGGGCAAAATGCCACCAGCCTCTTTGCATAGCAAGAATGACCTTTACTCCAGTTCCCCACAAGTTACTTATCTCCAGCTGAGACCACCTCAGCCTGGCCTTTATTGTCCATATCACTATCAGCATTTTGGTCAAAGCCATTCAACAAGTCTCCAGGAAGTTCCAAACTTTCCCACATCTTTCTGTCTTCTGAGCCCTCCAATCTCTTTCAAACTTTCCCACATTTTCCTACCTTCTTCTGAGCCCTCCCAACTGTTCCAGCCTCTGCCTGTTACCCAGTCCCAAAGTTGCTTCCACTTTTTTGGGTGTCTTTACAGCAGCGCCCCACTACCCAGTACTGATTTATTGTATTAGTCCATTCTCACTCAACTATAAGAACAAACCTGAGACTGGGTAATTTATAAAGGAAGGATGTTAATTGACTTATAGTTCCTCAGGGCGGGGGAGGCCTCAGTAAACTTACAATCATGGCAGAAGGGGAAACAAACACATCCTTCTTCACATGGTGACAGCAAGGAGAAGTGCCAAGTGAGGGTGGGGGAAAGTTCCTTATAAAACCATCAGATCATGTGAGAACTCACTATCAGAAGAATAGGATGGGAGAAACTGCCCCTCATGATTCAATTATCTCCACCTGGTTCCTCCCATGACATGGGGATTATGGGAACTACAATTCAAGATGAGATTTGGGTGGGGACACAGCGAACACATATTGCTCCAGTAAAA
Organism: Homo sapiens; assembly: GCF_000001405.40. Lineage (NCBI taxonomy): Eukaryota > Metazoa > Chordata > Mammalia > Primates > Hominidae > Homo > Homo sapiens. The sequence goes on along the minus strand of NC_000001.11, from coordinate 216,284,192 downwards.
CTATCTCAGATTTCTTTGGAAACAGAAATAATTTATTATTAATTCAAAATTAAATACTACATATATATGTACATATATGTGTGTATATATGTATATATATAGAGAGAGAAAGACAGAGAGAGAGATACAAGGAAATGAGAGTCATATTAACATCATTAGGAATTTAATATTACTAGAAGACAGTTCAGAATAACCTTAAAATCCCAAAAGAAGACATTTTGAAGAAAAACTTGATACTCAGTTCTATCCAAGCTATGGCACCAACATGAGGTTAAGATTCTTTTTGTACGAGAGATGGTCAAAACATTACCATTCATAACCCCATATTAAAATATTCAATATGCAAAGTGAAAAAGGAATGTAAGACTGGGGACAACATTAAACAAAGGAAATGACAAACAATTATGATCCAAAGAAATAAATACATAAGTCAAAAAATATTTTCAAAGTATCCATTGGTCTTTATGGTCTGCAAGGATAGTTTCCTTACATACATGTTTAGTAATTCAATTTTATTTAAGATCAAATCACAATTTTTTGTGATTTGAGATAAACAAATAACAAGTAGAGGGCTAAAAATACTATATCCAAATATTTCAGTGAGAAACTGGATGCTTTTTTCCTAAGATCAAAAGCAAGATAACAATATCCCATAACATTGTACTGAAAGTTGTAGCCAAGAAAATGAAATAAAAGACATTGAGACTGGAAAAAGAGAAGTTATTTGTATTTGCATATGCCATTATCTTATAGATAGAAAATCCTAAGGAATTAATTCAAAAGTATTAAAACTAATAAATTCAGGCTGGGCGCGGTGGCTCATGCCTGTAATCCCAGCACTTTGGGAAGCCGAGGCGGGTGGATCACGAGGTCAGCAGATGGAGACCATCCTGGCTAACATGGTGAAACCCCATCTCTATTACAAATACAAAAACAAAATTAGCTGGGCATGGTGGTGGGTGCCTGTAGTCCCAGCTACTGGGGAGGCTGAGGTGGGAGAATGGTGTGAACCTGGGAGGTGGAGCTTGCAGTGAGCTGAGATCATGCCACTGCACTCCAGCCTGGGCGACAGAACGAGACTACATCTAACAACAACAACAGAAAAAAACCTAATAAATTCAGCAAGGTTGCAGAGTACAATATCAATACACAAAGATCAATTATATTTCCATATATTTGCACTGAACAATCTGAAAATAAAATTAAGAAAACGTCTTTTAAAAATCACCAAAAGATTAAAATATTTAGAAAAACATTTAGTAAAAGAAGTGTAAAATTATATTCTGAAAACCATAAAACATTGCTGAAATAAAGAAGAACTAAATAAATAGAATGACACCCAATGCTCATGTATCAGAAGACTTAATATTATTAAATTAACAACACTCTCCAATTGATCTACAGATTTAGTGTAATCTTTGTTAAATGCCCACCTTACTTCTTTGCAGACATTGACCATATGATCCTAAAGTTTGTATGAAATTCATGGGACTCAAAAATGTCCAAGATAACCTTATAAAAAAAGAGTTGGAAAACTCACCCTTCCCAATTTCAAAATTTACTATAATCAAGACAGCATGGTACTGGGATAAAGATAGACATAGAGACATATTCACTGAAATAGAATTGAGAATTTACAAATAAGCCCTCATATTTATAGTCAATTGATTTTTGACAACAGTGCCAAGACAGTTCAGTGGAGAAAGTGTAGTCGTTTTAACAAATGGTCCTGGGACAATTGTGTTTTTATATGCAAAAGAATGAACTTGGACTCCTACCCCACCTCACATATAAACAAATTAATTCAAATTAAACAAAATATTGAATATAAAAGCTAAAATTATAAAATCTTGAGAAGAAAATGTAGATGCAAATCTTCATGTCCTCGGATTAGCCAGTGGCTTTTTAGATATGACACCAAACGCCTAAGAAACAGAAGATAAAATGTGTAAGTTGGACTTCATTAGAATTAATATTTCAAAGCACACCAACAAGAAAGTGAAATAAACAACCCAAAGAATTAGTTGCAAAGTATATAATAAATCTGTAATAATGAAGAAAATATTTGCACAGCATATATCTGATAAGAAGCTTGTCTAGTATATATGAAGAACTTGAAGTGAATAATCAAAAGACAAATAACTCAATTTTAAAATGCGCAAATAATCTGAATAGATATTTCTCTAAGGAAGATATAAAATTACCAGCAAGCACATAAAAAGATTTTTGACATTAGTCATCAGGGAAATGCAAATCAAAACTACTGTGCAAGCCCACTTCCCAACCAGTGGGATGACTGCAACTCAAAAAAAAAAAAAAAAAAAAAACAGACAAAAACAAAATTTGGTGAGGATGTGGAGAAATTGGAGTCTTCTCATAGGCTGCCTGTGAGAATGTAAAATGTGCACCGACTTTGGAAAATGGCTTAGTGTTTCTCAAAATATTAAAGATGGAATTACCATATAACCCAGAAGTTTCACTCCTCTGTATGTATCATATATCCTCATAAAATCTTATTGGTGAATGTCAATGCCACATTGTTTGTAATAGTCAGAATGTCCATCAACTGCTGAATGAATAGATAAAATGTAGTATAATCACACAATGGAATATTATTTTACATTAAAAAGAAAGAAATTACTGGTACCTGCTACAAAATGTGCTCAAGTCTCAGAAATTAGAGTAGGGAAAGGAAGACGGACGAAGAATAGAGAAAGCTTGTTTTGTTTTGTTTCCAAGTGCAAAAATCTGTTTTAAAAATATATGGAAGGAAAGACATGCTTTAAAATGTTAACTTTTTTGGTTTTAAAAACATTTTTCCTTTTATATAAACTTTTTTCTCTTTCCAAATCTGCTTTATTTATAACTTTTATAGTCAGAAAAAAAGGAGAATTTTCATTCAACCTGATATATAGCCAGAGAGAATTACACATAAGAATAGGAATGTAAATAAGAATGATAGAACTGTTTTCTGACTTTAAACCCCCACATTGTTTATCTTTAAATCACATTCATATATTATCTTAATTTTTATTATTTTCTCATGCTCCAAGTATAGAGACAAAGTTTATGGAGTATCGTTACATGTGGAGATATTGTGTCAAGTCTACCTTACCTAAATAATGTTATAAAAGATTTCAAAAAATGTTTCCAGACATTGTCAATAGGATAACAGAACACACACTTAAAAAGTTGTCAACAGTGTCAGAATTATAAACTGCAAAATTGAATTCAAGGACATTTAAAAAATTCATGCAATTTCAATCCTTAATAATATTAGGGAGCACACAAGGAAATTAGGCAGTAGTTCAAGTCTCATTTTGTTATAATAACTTAGGAATGAAGCCAGCCCCAAATGGCCTGAGTGACTGTGTCGTGCGCTCTATGTTCTGGAAGGGAACTTTCCCTTTGGCACTTGTCATTTGAAACTCAATCCAATCTCATAAGATATGGCATGTTTGCCTTATTCTTCCATAAGAAATGTTGTAATTCTTCCTTATGTGAATGCCAAAATCTTGAGAGGGGCATAAAGTAATGCTCTGAGTCACTGAATCCTAAAAATACTGATGCCACAGTCAAGACAGAGAGAACATCTAAAGCACAGTACTAATATTAATAGGAGAGAGGAAAATGAAGAGTAATAATGATTATTGAGGAATAACTAACATGGAATCCTTGGATCCCTTGGGTTACTATATGAGTGTATATTTTATGTCTGTATAAATTGAGTAGGATACAATTTATGTCTGTGTCATACAACTGTAAGTCTGTGTATTTTTCCTTTTTTTTTTCTTTTGTCTGTATTTTTGAGGGTGAGAGCTTTCAGTACTTTCATCAGATCCAAAAGGGATACATGAACCAAAAAAGATGATAATTATTTCACCATGGAAAAGAAGTCTATCTTATGAACAGGCTGGGTTATTAGTTCAGGTACATATTATGTGAGTTTTTCAGGATACCACTGCACTTCCTTCTTGTTTGCTTGAACTTAATGCATGAATTACTTGACATGCATCCTGAGTTGGAGGTTAACTGTCCTTTTCCATTTCCTCATCTAGTGTGACTTAAGTTCAGATCAATCAAATAGAGTCCCAGGCCTAGATGATGCCTCTTCTGTACTTTGACATATCTGGAGAAGGGTCTGTGAATCCACACCTAAAGTGCATACATCTAGAGATCTCAGTCTGATCCTGACCCAAGGTGGGAGTGAGCCGCTTGTCTCCATCCTTTCCCTCCACTGACCCCACTCCTCCACATATTTTCTGGTAGCCCCAGAGTCCCTGCTATAGCCACCTCCACAGGTGATGGTGATAAGGTAGGGAGACCGGTGAAAGTCCCTAACATAAGTCCCTAGCATATGGCCTGACTCATGTAGAATGCATTCAAGAAATATTGTCTGAGTGCTTTCTTGCTTGGGACTTTTTTCATCCCTGCTACCTTCTCTCCCGTTTACTTTGCTTGTTATTGGGTTGAGCTGAGGAAGCCATGGGGGTTCAGCCACTGTAGTCAAGATGGTGGTCATCAGCTAGGGTAGTCCTCAAACTTTTAATGCACATGTGACTATCCTAGGTATCTTTTTAAAAGACAGATTCTCATTCAGGAAGTTTGGGGTTGGGGCTCAGATTTTACATGTGTAAAAGTTCCCAGATGATACAATTGCCGCCTGTCTGTGAACCACTTTTTGATAACCAAGGAGTTAGAACACTGTATATCAAAGATATGTAGACCAAAGAAGCTGAATGTAGATGGGGGTAGGGGAGTTGTGAGTGTGTACTCACGAGCACATGTATACTCTTGGTCAGTTGTGGGTTTACTTTGCTCCATCCTCTGAATCCCATCTTAAAAGCAAGGATTTTCCAAGTCATCCAAATTAAGTTAGGCTTGAATTGTGCCCTGGGCTCTACCTTTAAAATTAGAGTATATCACCTAATAGCCATTTTTAAAAGGAAATAAAAACAACAAATAAGGGAATTAAAAAGTTGTGTGAAAACCAAAAATATAGTTGTAATTATATAAAAAGAGAGAATAGCAGATTGTAATGCTCAATAAAGCATCAATAGGTTACTGTAATAGCAACAGAACAGAAATAAATGATTAAGAGATATTTAAAAATAGATTAATAAGAAAGGAAACTGAGGTTGAAATGAATTAGACGAAATGGAAAGGCATCAGTGAAAGAAGCATTTCTAGGTCTGACCTATGGAAGATGGAATAATAAGGAACAGAGACCCTACTCATGAAAATTGATTGTTCTGGTGAAGTGATAATTTTCAAAACAATACATTTAAAATTTGAACAGAATATACTTTCTCTGCATAATGTACCATTTTTCTGCAGTTCATTAATGGTTTCTCTTCTGTTCAGAATTAGGTATTTGTCATTAATTACCATAACATGTCCAAAAGTCATCAGGTGAACTTCCCTGAAGTATATTCTTATATTTTGTATGACTCAAATATTAAAGTGTACAAATAGAAAAAATAAGTATTGCATAAGTTTCCTTAGCTTATGAGAAACCTGACCATGAATAGTATGATCCATGGATATTGGATGTATACATTGAGGTGGTGAAGGATGTGAAAAGAGGAGAGTTTTCCCAGAGCTTCAATAGAGACAGAAAGGTCTTGGCACAAGCCACGTGGTCTCTCCTTCAGAGAATTAGGGAAGTTTAGTAGTAATATTTCTCATAGAGCTGGTAAATTGAGTAATATCTCATTATTCTGAGATTGTAGAGGATGAGATTCACAAAGACAGGAACAAAGGTCCTGGGGTATAAATGGGAAAAGAAGGGAAAAATTAATCTTAGCTGGATAGGAAGGTTAGTATTGAGGGAGTTATCCAAGAATCAAGGTTGTGACAAACTGCCTGAAAGTAAAAATAGATGGAGTTGTAACTGAGATGAGGTCTTAGCCTCCAGTTTATGTTGAGTTCCACATGTTTGAATACATCTGACATCTTTTTGGGAACAAGCTCATCACAAGGGCCCAGGTATACAAAATTGGCCAAATACCAATACCTCAGGCATTTAAGGCTAGATTCAATAGCCCTAAATAGCCATAATAGCACTAGCAGAAGCATTAGGTAGTGTCTGGATATTGGAAGAACTGATTTAACTAGTAAGTGCAAGATAATGTGATACAAGGCCCATTGCCTTGCTACCAATAGCAATGTAGTTAGAATAGGCTAAACAGATGTAACAAACCCCCAAATATCTAGTGGCCAAAACAATATACAGGCTCATTTGTTGCTCATATAACCTCTCCAAGACAGCTGTTCCTACCTCCTTGTTGGATCTTCTCTTTGTGACAATTCAGGGACACATGCTCCTTCCATTGCCTGGATATGCCTTTAACTAGGGAAGGAAAAGACAATGTGGAAAACAACTTCCACTTTTAAAATGCTTTGGTCCAAAAGAGGTGTGTGTCGCTTCTGCTATCATTGCCATTGATGATAGCTAGTCACATTGCTAACTAGTTATATAGAAGGCTGAAGACATGTAGTCTCTAGCTGGGTAACCACTTTGCAGCTACATTTGTGTACTATTGAAGACTAGGGAGAATGAGTCTTGATGGGGAGCATGTCATCTCTGCTTAATACTCATGCAACAGAAGGTAGCCCAAGAGCGAAAGGGGCATTCTCTTCTTTTCTACACACAGAACAGGATAACTTCTGTTTAATGAGGACCTCTGAGAATAGAGTACCCCATGAGCATCTCAGGGGTGCCAAGCCATTAATATTGGTGGGACTACCTGCTTGGAGGTGGACCCTGTAATATTGGTAGATGCACCTGTGAAAGCACATATCATAGCAGCATGTATCAGCAAGAGAGAATTGGACATAGGAGGAGAAACAGCTTGTGTGCAAGGTTAAAAGATTTGTTCATGAGCACATGTGAGAGAGAAGCCCCAGGAACAAGGAAATGAGAAAACAATTACTGCCTCCTACATGTTCCCAGAGGAGGGGGCTGGGAGAGCAATTAAGCATAAAGAGCATTAATTGCATAGAAGATGCTGAGGGATCATAGATTTGAAAGCAATTTCAAAATATGAGTATTTTAAGACTTTTAGCAAGAACAGACACCATAGGCTGTATATAGTTTCCTGGAGTTATGATTAAAGGATGAAAACAACTTTTGTTTAGATATGTAGGTAGGTAAGTAGGTAGATATAGATAGATATGAGAATAGTAAGTTTGTTTAAACAAATTATTCATTACATCATAGTGACCCTTAGTGCTTTTTGATGATACTGACTGATATGGTTTGGCTGTGTCCCTACCCAAATCTCATCTAATAGCTCCCATAATTCCCACGTGTTGTGGGAGCAACCTGGTGGGAGATGATTGAATCATGGGGGCAGGTCTTTCCTGTGCTGTTCTTGTGATAATGAATGAGTCTCATGAGATCTGATGGTTTTAAAAATGGGAGTTTACCTGCACAAGCTTTCTCTGCCTGCTGCCATCCATGTAAGAGGTGACTTGCTCCTCCTTGCCTTCTGCCATGATTGTGAGGCCTCCCCAGCCATATGGAACTGTAAGTCCAACAAACCCCCTTCTTTTGTAAATTGCCCAGTCTCAGGTATGTCTTTATCACCAGCGTGAAAACAGACGAGTACACTGGCTTATTGAGGAACAGAATATAATCAGCCTCCTTCATTCCTCACTCACTAAACCAATGTGCTGATCATTTCTAGAGGCAAGGACACTCCAAGAATCAAGAAAGAGCCGATGATGAGGCTTTCTATTATTCTCCTGGACTGGACGTTGTCTCAGCTTCTGCTGGGCCATAGAACCCTGCCTCTACCTTGACTTACCCACATGTTGTTTTGGTGCCAAGTATTGAGTGCTGCATTTTGGGGTGTACAAGACAGATTGGCATATTGCTAAAAATGTGCGAGGACAGAAATGACAGAAACTAGTCTGTAAGATTCTCATAGGTTCCACTTGTCTTGCACTCGTCATGTACAAAAATATGCCAAGCATTGTAGTTCATTAATTCAGTCCTTACCAAAGCTGGTAAAGCAGTTATTAATTTATCCACTGTAAAGTTGAGGACATCCAGCCTTTTGGAAATTAAATAACTCCTCCAATATCACACAAGTAATAAGGAGGTTGTGCAGAAATTGAAAACTTGTGAATTTCCAAAGCTCATGCCCAGCTGGAGGTTAGAGACATAGGGTTCCTACCAAAAATGTGTTCCTAGCACTCAGCATAGTGTTCAGCACTTAAGAGGAAACCTACAGCAGATTGCTAAACTGGGTATTTACTTACACTATCCAAAAGTAGGAAGGAAACATACCCATTTGTTTGTGAATTATTGTATCAAATCCTATTAATTTCATCCTAAATATTAAATAAAATTCCTAAATAGGAAATAGCAATGTTCATATAAAGAAGCAGCAAATTAATTTATTGGAATCGACACATTCCTCAAATGGAGATTTGGTTGATATTAGAGACTTAATGTACCTCCCTTAGTGCTTAATGTATAACAGAGATTCCACTTATCTTACCTATATAACCTAAGAAATTTGAATATTTTATAAAGTTACTTTTTAGAAAACCTGATTTATTTGTTTTCCTTGTCATCTCAGATGGATACCTTCCTCTCAAAATCTATTTGGAATTTATATTTTCAAGTATTCAATTAACTAACATATTAAGCAGGCATTCTCCTGTGTAAGTTCCTAGCAACTTTTACCACTTGTACTAAAATAAAACAGATAGTTAAGCCAAATGAGTTAACTTTTCTGAAAGTGTATCTTTATACAACATTAACTATAGACATGGAAAATACATTTATTCACGTTAGAAATAAATGCTTCTGTGAGATCTTTCATTTTGATAAAGTCAAAACACCATCTTATTAATAACTACTATATTAATTTTGCAGCAAATTACAATAAGACCACACTGTATAGTTGTGCCATTCAGATGACATTTATGAAATGCTCTAATTTAACATGGTGACATATATTACCTGCATCTTTTACACATTATAGCTTATATCCTCTGAGCGAAATAGACCTAAACCATCCAAAAAAAAAGAGAGAGAGAGAGAGAATAATGCAATGGGAAATTATACCCCTTTGAGAACTAGAAGGACTATAATTACATTGCTTCCTCTTAAAACCATTCAAATATGTAACCATTGCTGGGAACAGCAGTATGTGGGGAACCTCTTTACACTCTTTCTGTCTTGAACACTCAAAAGATTGAGAAAAAAATATTCCTTTCCTACTATAGTTTTATTTGAGCATGCTTCAGAATTTTACCTTTTTGCACACTCCTTAGAGATTATCGTGGGGAAGTTTAGAAAGCAGTTTCTTGGAAATGCCTTTTGGAGGGGAAGAGGAGCTATAAAAATATACCAGCCTGACAAATGACAGGCATTGTAGACTGGAAAAGAAAAGACATCTTGGTTTTACACCAATGTAGAAGCTTTTCTTTGCAAATGAGTATTTTTGACAGCTGAGCAAGATGATAAACAGAAGTATCACAAAACACTTAAATGGAAACAAGTATTATGATGTACTTTATTCACCTGGCATTCTCCAATTCATGACATTTATATGTGGCAGAACCCACTGCAGATTCATTTATTTATTTTTGAAGTGGAATGAGTTCCTTACGAAGGTAGCCTGTTACATTAATGTGGACTTTTCTTCTCTAGATGCAGAAGCTTAAGGAAAAAAGTTATTGTATCTGTACTATAAATAAGTGGTAAGTCTCAGAATCCACATCTTAGGGCTGAGAAGGCTCCTAGCAAGTACAATATACTGTATAAATATAGACAAATAAATATAGATATAGATTTTTTGTGTAAGCACCGGCAGTGTTGCAAATGATTAGATATTTCATAAATGCCTTTTCTAAAAAGGTATTGCTGAAACCAGTCTATTTCTAGAACTTATATTCAGATGTTTAGAGGTATAAATGCTTCAATATTGGCTAAGCTTAGAAAGGCTATGTTTCTCTGAGGCTCAGTGATAGACATACCAACAATTTGATGAGATGCATGACTAAGAAGAAAAAGAGAGTAAGACTGAGTCCCTGTGAATTGATTGACTTGGTGCAGTGGCAGAGTAGGTAGCAAGTATTAAAGCAATAGTTCTTAAATGTTAGTGTTCATAAGAATCATCAACAGAACTTTTTAAAAATGAAGATTCCTAGGTTTTAACTTTAGCGACTTTTAATTCTTTAGGTCTGGTATATTTGGTTGTGGGAAATCAAAAGACTCAACTTCGGAATACACTGAACAGTTGCTGACTATAGATTTGTATATTCAAAATTTTTTGGTATTTAAAAATGGTATGTATGGTTTATTGAGTCAAATATTTTAAAAACTATGAATGTGTGCTGGTTTGTTTTTTTTTTTTTTTCTGGATTGGAGGACAATTTGGGGTAAGCATTCTCTATTTAACAAGTCATAATTAACTCCCTGCCAAAACTAAGTAGAAATTGTGATTTCTATAACTCCTATATTTGATAATATCTCCTAAAAATATTTCAGTGATATAGCATTTAATTGCAAATAATTCATCTAGTCACCAAACAAATGTAGGGACGTTCCTATATACCAGGCACTGTGCATATCAAGGTGTATATTACAGTGAATAACAGAAACACTCACGAAGTGTTCAATTGAATTTAACCTTGAAATGTATTATTTATTATTATTATGTTTAAATAAACTATGTGAGGTTTTTTTTTCATTGCCAATGAGAAACCCACCCTAACTTCAGAATTTTTATCTTTAAGTATATCCTATTTTAACCACCCTTACCCATCCACTCTCAATGATTTCTCCTCAGTGTGGGGCCTTGCCGTGGAAGTGTGCCCTGGTCAGTGAGTTTTGAGAGTCCGTGGAAGCTAGATTGCCCTCGGCTCTTCAGTTCCCACTGCAGAACTCTTGCAGTCACTGGCTATTGGATCAGCAGAACCTCTTCTATTTTCAGTCGCCCATTTTCAAATTGGCTCACTGAACTTTAGGTTCTCCAGTTTTCAGGTCTTTCAAAAGTCCGACACCCCTTTACTATCATCTGCTTTCTCCTACACAGGGGCTAATGCCATGCAGGTTTTGTGACTGCTGGTGGTGTGTTCCTACCTGCTTTTTTTGGGAGGCTTCTGGGCACAGCTGGTCACCTAGTTTCATTATAATCATTTTTAATGGCTTTGCTGTTGTTGTGTTGCTGTTTAGTTCTGTCAGCTTTTATCCTGGGATTTAGAGAGACCCAAGAGTTCTGTGGCCACATAACCATTGATCCTGATTCCCCTGGAGTCTCTTTTGACTTTTACTGCCTAATTTAAGCTGAACATATGAAATACATGAAAAAACTGAAAGCTCAAGCTCGTTTGTTGTTTGTCTTCCTAGGTTATGGTTTCCATTTCTCCCTCTTTCTCAACCTATTTTGCCAATCAATGTCTATCCTTCCTTCACTTTTTGCCTACTCACTACAATATTCAATTACACAAACATAATTTTTCCTCTGCCCACCCCAGCACCAGCATTTTTCTGGGAGTTTAAGTCTCTTATGAATCTGGGAAGAAAGGAACTAAAAATGAGCAGGGATGAATAGCAAAATGAGTGAGTCAACGAGTAGCAGGCAGGACATTAGAGTGAAGCTGTTTTCTTACCCAGAAGACTGATGATGGGAAAGGAAAAAAGAACAATTCAAAATTAGTAGAAGAAAAGAAATAATTAATAAAACATGAGTGGATATTAATCAAATAGAAATTGGACAAAAAATAGTGAAAATGAACAAACGCAATAGTTTGTCCTTTGAAAAGGTTAATAAAGTTGATGAGCAGAAAACACAAAGTACCAACATCAAAAACACAAATTACCAACATCAGAAATTTAAAAAAGAGACATCAATGTCGTTGCACATTTTATAAACATTAAAAAATTACAGTTTTATGAACAGCTCTGCTAATAAATCTGATGTCCTGAATGAAATGAACAAATGAACACAAAACCAACAACAAAAAATAGAAATAGCCTCACATATATTAAAGACATTTAATTCATATCTAAAAACCTTTCAACAAGGAAAATCTCAGTCCCAAATGGCTTCACTAATGAATTTGCCACTAACATAAAGGAATAAATAATATTAGTCCTACACAAACTCTTTCAGAAAACCAAGGAAGGGCATATATTTCTCAGCTCATTTTGTGAGGGCTACCTAACTTTAATCCCATAACCTAACAAAGCACTAAAAGAAAAGCCCATTAGAATATTCCATATGAACATAGATGTAAAATACCTTAACAGCATATTAGCAAATGGAATCCTGCAATATATAATAGGGTAATGCATCATAGCTGATTGGATTTCTCCCAGGAATGCAAAGTTAGTTTAACATCTGAAAATCAGTTAATGTAGTAAGCCACATAAATAGAATACAAAAGAATTCCCAGGTAATCATCTCAATAGATCAAAAAACTTTGAAAAAGAATTCAAAACACTTTCATGATAAATACCCTCTGCCTACTAGGAATACAAGAGAACTTCCTCAAACTGAAAAGGGCATCTGCAAAAACCCTATAGCTAATATTATGTTAACAATAAATGTTAAATTTTTTACCACTACATCAGGAACAAAGCAAGGAGGTTTGCTCTTATAACTTCTACTAAAAATTGTAACAGAAGTCTAAAGTAGGACAAAATGAAAAAACAAAAAGCCATGAATATCAAGAAAGAAGTAAGACTATTATTATTTGCAGAAAATATGCCACTGTATAGACAGTGGGAGTATAAAAATTGCTTGGCAAGCATCAAGTCCCCCACATACAATCCCCTCCTCACACTACTCTCCTTCGTAAAGCCATGAAAAACCGCTTTATATTCTAAGTAAGGACGGGATGTTTGATGTGCAAATGCAGCTGTAAGATAAATCCCTGAGCAACATTTTTGGCCACCCTGCCCTTCCTATAGAAAGTCTGGGGCTGTCACTGAGGTAGGGTTAGTAATGGTATGTGAGACTGGAGAGATATGTGGAAACCACCTCATGGTATTTGGTCTTCACTAGTTAGGCAATAGGGAGCTATTGAATATTTCTGAGCACAGGAGTGACACAGAGGTGTACCAAGTAGGTAAGAGGCAGTGGAAACAATCTACCTCAGTGGGGAAGAGTATTGTATCACAAAATTTGTTTAGAATTGCTAGTACTTGGTGATAATTAAAAGCAAAACAATTTTAACTGAATCTTATTATTTTAATTTTACTTACAGAAAGTGCATCCTCTTTTGTGTACCCAGGTGTTTCATTCTCACCACCTTACCGTAGGATTATTATCATCAGAATTAAAGTAGATGAGGCAAGGCACAGTGGCTCATGCCTGTAATCCTAGCACTTTGGGAGGCTGAGGCGAGAGGACTGCTTAAGGCCAAGAGTTTGAGTTTATGGTAAGCTATGTTCGTGCCACTGCACTCCAGCCTAGGCAGCAGAGTGAGACCCTGTCTCTTAAAAAAAAAAAAAAATTGGAATGAATGAAAATTAATTGATAGCAGTTTATTAAATGGATTAGGGAGAGGAACAGACTGGTAGATATCATTCAGTATACAATAGCTGGTTAGTGATGGCAATTCTGAAAGAAGAAGTGGTAGAAACTGGGAGGTGTTGCTAGTGTAGTATGACCTTTCAAAACTCACAGAGTGCATAGCTTGTGGATGTATAGAACAATGTGAAAGAATAAATTCTCCAGAAAGGAAGAAGAGGAGTTAGAGATTTTATAAAAGAGAAGTCTATGATGTTCTCTAGGAAAGAAAAGAATTTTCTGAAGAATATATGCATTGATTAAATGATTTCCTTTTGCCCTCATTTATATTTATTTTCTGTTCAAATGAAACACTTAAACTAACACTCAATTTCCGGGACAGATTTCCTGTTCTTACATTCTTCAATTTGCTTTTTAAATTTTTACTTTGTTTAGCAATATCAACATTGCCTCATTGGCTTTTAGTGAGTTTCTTGAGAAGATGTAATCTATAGAACATTAGTTCTTCTCTCCCACCAGACAGATGAGTGCATAGAAAGACATATAGTTATACTGCTGCTGTTTTAAAAGTGTTGCTTCAAATTACCTAAAATATAGTGACTATTAGATAATCACTGATAAAAACTGTGTTCATCTAATTTATTCATCTTGAAATCATGCTTCATATTTCCTTTAAGCACAAAATAGTTATGTTCACACATGCACAATAAATCATATATGGATTACTTGATGCCTTGAATTCACCCTCATAGAATTTTATCTCCTAATGTAAAGAAAACTGACTGGGGTAATTATTGCAGGATCTTACTCTTTTCTGTTGTCAGTAACCTTCCCACCAAACTCATTGTGACAATTGTCACCCGGTTGACTGTGCATATCCACCATTGCTCCAGAGCCTAGGCCAGCAGACTTTTGCTGCATGGTCCAAAATGGTGAGGTCCTGGGTGTGATCACAAGGCAATATGCAGCAAACATTAGTGACCATCAGTGCTAACAAAGAAACTTACAAAGTAACAACTTGACCACTTGGCCAATTCTTCCACTGTGTTTTCAGCTCTTCACAGGTGTAGGCCATGCCTTAAACTTAATTGAGTCTAGCACTCTTCCTGTTACTATTATTATATTTGTAGCTTATGATAAGCAGAGTGAATTTAACATAGGGGTTATGATCATGCATTTGAGAGTTGGGCCACTTAGTAACTGTATTAGTCCGTTTTCACACTGCTGATAAAGACATACCTGAGACTGGGTAATTTATACAGGAAAAATTTATACAGGACTTACAGTTCCACATGGCTGGGGAGGCCTCACGATCATGGCAGAAGGCAAAGAGGAGTAAGTCACATCTTGTATGGGTGGCAGCAAGCAAAGAGAGAGCTTGTGCAGGGGAACTCTTGTTTTTAAAACCATCAGATCTCGTGAGATTTATTCACTATCATGAGAACAGCACAAGAAAGACCTGCTCCCATGATTCAATTATTTCCCACTGGGTCTCCCCCCACAACACATAGGAATTCAAGATGAGATTTGGGTGAGGACACAGCCAAACCCTATTGGTAACTGCACCACCTTTAATAAGTAATTTGATCTTTCTAAGGTTTAAATTCTTCTTCTGTCAAATGAAGATTCATGTATTTTCACAAATAATAAAATGACGAAAATTCCTGCCACTATGGAGCTTACATTGTAAAGTGATTTGGGGAGTTGGAAGAGAAAGAACAATCAATAAATATAAAAATAAGTAAGTTTATTTACTAAGTTAAATGCTATAGGAGAAAACTAGACAAAGTAAAATGCCTTGAGAGTACCATATTAAGGAAAGGAATTGCAGTTTTGGAAATGTAGCCAAGAGACTTTTAATTGAAAAGATGGCATTTCACTTGAGACCTGAAGGAGATGAAGGAGTTAGTCATGTGGAAATCTGGAAGAAGAGACCTAGGCAGAGGCAGCAGCCTATGCAAACACCATAAGGTGGAAGCACCCCTGATGTATTCAGAAAAGGGGCTGTATAGCTGAAGTGAGCAGAAGAAAGAGTAGGAATGTCCCAAGCCTACGGGATCCTTGTGCAAGCTGCAAATAATTGGTCCTTTCACTTTGCAAGTACTGCCCCACATCCATCAAATACTTTAGAAGGTTTGAAAAAAGTTTGACTATCAATCACTTGATGAATTTTCCTGCCCACTATTTGCTCTATACCAGTGTGAAATGTACAGAGTAATACTTCCACTTCATCTTTACCGAGCACTTACTATGTTCCAGAGATGATGCTAAACATGTTTACATTAATAATCTCAGTTAATCCTGACAACAGACCTATGAGGTAGATATTATTATGCTCATTTTATTGATAAATACGTGAAGACTTCAGTAGATTTAAGTTGTTCAGAGTATAGTTAATTCTGTGGCTAGTAATTGTGGCACATAATCCTAATGTTCCAGGAATTTATATCATTTAGTTGAGGAGACACTCCTCAACTCCTGTCTCAGGTGACAGGAGTAAGTGAAATTCTAAGGCACAATATAGCATGGTGCATAAGCAGGCAGGACTGCAGCCACAGAACCCTCAATTTTAATTCAGGCTAAGTCACTTACTTTCCCTTTTATGTTAGAGACGTCTGTTAGTTTTTCTACAGGAAGTATAATACCTCACAGGGTAATTTATTCACAAATACGAAAACATGTATAAAACATCATAGCAGTCTGCCTGCAATATCGTAAGTGTTCAAAAGGGTTGTGGATATTATTATTGTTGTTGTAAGCTAAGGAACGCTAGAAAAACATCAAAGATTCAATTACTCAAAATAACTTTTGCTGAGCATCTACTACATGTAAAATATGTATACTGTGGGATCAATGGATGATGTAAAGGTGCAAAAGGTTCTGGCCCTTGGGGAGTGTATGGTACACTGGGAAGTTATATTTTCAGACAAGACATAATAATTCTAATACAAGCTAGACCTTAAGGAATTGAATGACAGAGGTAACAAGAAAATGCTGTAAAATGGCTGAGGAGAGAAAAATCCTCTAATTTGGGAGGAGCTCAGTATTGACAAAGGCTAGAAATGGGTAGAGAACACTTTCCCAAAAGAGATGTCGTGGTGCCTGGTGAGACAGGCTGTGAACTTGACTTCTCCCATCCGTTCCATTATTAATGTGTGTCTCTGTGCTCTAGCATTCATTTCATCTTGTGGACATGCTATTGTTTCCATTTAAAAACTCTCTTGATCACAATTTCTTCTGTGGCGATGGTCTCATGTCCTGCTCTCCTTTTTGGCAAAACTCCTTAAAAGACTTGTCTAGGCTCATGCCTCCAAATCCTATTCTGCTATTATTTCCTGGAAATATATCTGTCAGGCCTTCACTCTCATCATTACTTTGCAACTTTTCTTGTTAAGGTCTCCAAGGACCTCTGTCTTTTTAAACAAAGCTAAATTCTGTCTTCATTGTATTTGACATACAAGCAGGATTTGACACAGTTGATCACTCTCTTTTCATTTAGAGGACTCCACATTCTCCGGGTTTTCCTCCCATATCCCTGACTATTTCTTCTGTATCCTTTTTCTGTGCCCTCCTCTTACCTTTGAACACTTATTGTTGGAGTGCTCTGGAACTCTCTTTAGAGGACTTTCCTGTATCTACGCTCACGCCCTTGGTGATATTTTACTTCAAATACCAATTATACACAGACAATACTCAAATGAATTTCACAATCATATTTCCAATTAAACACTTAACATGTTTTATATATATATATAAAATATTATTTGAATTTAATTATCTTTATCTTCACATCAATACATAATAATCTATCAGCAAATCATGTTGGTTCTATTTTCAAAAATATCCATAGTCTTTCATTCTTCCTAGATTCAATAATTCCTTTGCTTGTCTATTTAGTTTTCTATATGTCATTAATCTTCCTCATGCTGACGTCTTTGCTACATGAATATATACATATATATGGTACACATACATATATATTTTATGCACACACACATACATATTTATGCTCAAGGACCTCCTGCCCTGCTATCAGCCTAGAGCTTTTCATATACCTCTACATCCTCATTTCCTGAATCCCATGCCTTCCATTCTTGTTGCTGTTGTCTGTTTACTTTCTTTTTGCTGGAACTATATTACTCAATAGCTTCCTGATATAGGAAGTTAAAGTTTTGAATCCTTGCAAATCCAGAAAATGTTTGTATTCTTTCTTTACAGGCAACCGATAATATAACTTAGCATAGAATTCTGGATTAGAAATAACTTTACTCATAATTTGGAAGGTACCATTCTTAGCTTTTTAGTTTACTATAATGTTGCAGAATACTGCAGTGATATTCTGTATTTTCTATGTGACTTATTTTATTGGTCTCTGGAAATTTTTGTTTCCTTTTTATTTTTGGAATTTGAATGCTTCATGAGATTGCACCTTGATCTGGGTTTTTCCACCAGCATGTGGTGAGCCTTTTTTTTAACTTTTTAATATTTTATTTTTAATCAATCAACACATAATATTTATACCTATTATGGGATACAGAGAGATATTTCAATACATATGTAAAATGTGTGAGTATCAAATCAGTGTAATTAGCAAATCCATTACCACCAACCTGTATCATTTCTTTGTGTTGGGAACATTCAAAATCCTTTCTTCTAGCTATTTGAAAACATATAATAAATTGTTGTTAACTATAGTCACCATACAGTACTATAAAACACAGGAATTTATTCTTCTTACCTATCTGTGATTTTGTATCTGTTAACCAGCCTCTCCCTATCCCCTTCTCCCTGCTATCCTTCCAAGACTCCAGTAACCACTATTCGACCTTCTACTTTCATGAGATCAACTGGTTTAGCTTCCACATATGAGTCAGAACAGGTAATATTTATCTTTCTGTGCCAGGCTTATTTCACTTAACATAATGTCTTCCGGGCTAAACATAATGCCCTCTAGGCTAATCCATGTTGCTTCAAAAGACAGAGTTTTATTCCTTTTCATGGCTGAATAGTATTTCATTATATATTTATATATGTGATATATGATATATATATATATATCAAATTTTCTTTATCTATTCCTTTGCTAATGAGCACTTAGGTTGATTCTATATCTTAGCTATTGTAAATAGTACTGCAATAAACATGGGAGTGCAGATATCTCTTCAACGTACTGATTTCAAAACGTCTGGATATATGTACCCAGTAGTGGGATTGCTGAATCATATGGTAGTTCTCTTTTTAGTTTTTTTAAGTGACCTTCATACTTTTTTCCATAATGGTATGCTAATTTACATTCCTACCAACAGTGTATAAGAATTCCCTTTTCTCTGCATCCTTGTAAGCATTTGTTATTTTTTGTCATTTTTATAACATATTTTAACTGGGAAAAGATAATATTGTGGCTTTTGTTTGCATTTGTCTGATGATTAGCAATGTTGAGCATTTTTTCGTGTACTTGTTGGCTATTTGTATGTCTTCTTTTGAGAAATGTCTGTCCAGACCATTTGCACCTGTTTTAATTGGATTATTTGGGGCCATTGAGTTGATTTTCTTATATATTCTAGGTATTAAACATTTCTTGGATGAATACCTTGCAAGTATTTTTCCATTCTGTAGGTCGTCTCTCCACTTTGTTGGTAGTTTCTTTTGCTGCGAAAGGGCATTTTAGTTTGATGTAATTCCATTTGCCCAGACCAATGTCCTGAAGCACGTCTCCTAGGTTTACTTCTAGTATTTTCATAGTTTTGGGTCTTACGTTGAAGAGTTTAGTCCATTTTGAGTGGATTTTTGTATATGGTGAGAGACGGGGGTCTATTTTCATTCATTTGCACATGGATAGCCAGTTTCCCCAGCACCATTTATTGAAGAGGATGTCCTTTTCCCACTCTTTGTTTTTGGTGACTTTGTTGAAAACCCGTTGGCAGTAAATAGGTGGATTTATTTCTGGGTTCTCTATTCTGTTCCATTGGTTTCTGTGTCTGTTTTACGACAGTATCATGCTGTATAGCTTTGTAGTAAATTTTGCAGTTAAGTAGTATGATATCCTCAGTCTTGCTCTTTTTGAACAGGTGACTTTGTCTCAAGATTGATTTGTCTAGCTCAGTGGGGTGGCTCACGCCTGTAATCCCAGCACTTTGGGAGGCTGAGTTGGACAGATCACTTGAAGTCAGGAGTTCGAGACCAGCCTGACCAACATGGCGAAAGACTGTCTCTACTAAAAATTCAAAAATTAGCAGAGCATGGTGGCGGGCACCTGTAATCTCAGCTACTCAGGAGGCTGAGGCAGGAGAACTACTTGAACCCAGGAGGTGGAGGTTGCAGTGAGCCAAGACTGTGCCATTGCACTCCAGCCTGGGTGACAGAGAGAGACCCCACCTCAAAAAAAAAAAAATTGCTTTGTCTATTCTGGGTCTTTATGGTTCCATGGGAATTTAAAGAATTTTTTCTTCTATTTCTGTGAAGAATATCATTAGTATTTTGATAGGAATCATATTGAATCTGTAGATTGCTTTTGATAATACAGTCATTTTTATAATATTAGTTCCTCTAATCCATGATCATGGGATGCCTTTCCATTTTCTTATGTGTCCTCTTTAATTTCTATTATAAGTTTTATAGTTTTCCTTGTACAGAACTTTTACCCTTTGGTTACATTTATTCCTCAGTATTTTTGTTTTTTTAGCTATCGTAAGTGAGATTTCATTTTTACCTAGTTTGTGCTTGTTGTATAGGAATGCTACTAATTTTTATATATTGATTTGATATCCTGCAACTTTATTCGTTTAGTTTATCACTTCTAAGAGTTTTTTGGTGGAGTGCTTAGTTTTTATTACATATAAGATCCTGTCATCTGTAAACCAGAACTAGTTGACTTCCTCCTCTCCAATTTGTATTCCTGTTATTTCTGTCTCTTGCCTAATTGCTCTGGCTAGGAATTTCTAGTTCTAGGTTGAATAAAGAGTAGTGAAAGTGGGCATCACCATCATGTTCCAGTTCCTAGAAGAAAAGTTTTCACCTTTTCTCCGTTTAATAAGATGTTGGTTGTAGGTTTGTCATATATGGCCTTTATTATTGAGGTACATTTCTTCCATACTAATTTGCTGACAGTTTTTAGCATAAAGGGATGTTGAATTTCATCAAATGCTGTTTCTGTCTTTTGAGATGGTCATATGGTTTGTCCTTCATTCTGTTGATATACTTTTATTTATCCCATTTATTCAATTTGCTCATATTGAATCATTCCTACATCCTTGGTATAAATCACACTTGATCCTGGTATGTAATATTTTTGATGTGCTGTTGGATTCGGTCTGCCAGTATTTTATTGATGATCTTTGCAACTATGGTCATCAGGAATATTGGCCTGTAGTTTTTGCTGTTGCATATTTGGTTTTGCTATCAGGGTAATGCTGGCCTTATAAAATTAGTTTAGAAGAATTTCCTCTCCTTCAATTTTTTGGAATAGTTTAAGAAAAAATGGTATTAGTTCTTCTATTAAAGTTTGGTAGATTTCAGCAGTGAAGCCATTGATCCTGGACTTTTCTTTGTTGGGAGACTCTTAATTACTGAATCAATCTCATTACTTGTGAGTGTTCTGTTCAGTGTTCTATTCCTCCTTGGTTCAATTTTGGCCAGTTGTATGTATCCACAAATTTATCCATTTCTTCTAGGTTTTTCAATTTGTTGGCATATAGTTATTCATAATAGTCTCCAATGATCAACTGTATTTTTGTGGTTTCAGTTGTAGTGTCTCCTTTTTCATTTCTGATTTTATTTGAGTCTTTTTTCTTTTTTTCTCAGTCTAGCTAATGGTTTGTCAATATTATCTTTCAAAATATCAACTTTTTGTTTTGTTGAGCTTTTGTATTGTTTTTGGTCTCAATTTTATATCCTTCTTCTCTGATCTTTTTTATTTCTATATTGTGCCTTGCAGAGGACCTTTCTAGTTAAATACATTTGGGAACTTTTGAGCTTCCTGGATCTGGGTATCTATGTCTGTCCCAAGACTTAGGAAGTTTTAAGTTAGTATTTCATTAATAAGTTTTTATTACCCTTTTTGTCATCTTGTCTTTCTAAGCTCCCACAGTATGAATAGCTGTTTGCTTAATGGTGTCCCACAAGTCCTGTAGGCTTTCTTTATTCTTTCTTATTCTGTTTTCTTTTTCTTTCTGTCTGCTTGAGTTATTTCAATAGACCTGTCTTTGAGTTCATAAATCATTTTTTTCTGCTTGATCTAGCCTGTTGTCAAAACTCTTGATTGTATTTTTATTTCATTAACTAAATTGCTCAGCTCCAATATTTCTGTTTGGTTCATTTTTATGATACCAATTTCTTGTTGAATTTCTGATTTAGATCATGAATTCTTTTCCTGATTTTTTTCAGTTGCATATCTGTATTTTCTTCTATCTTGCTGAGTTTCCTTAACATCATTATTTTGAACTCCTTTTCTGGCATTTTGAAAATCTCTTTTACTTTGGGGTCTGTTACTAGAGGATTATTGTGTTCCTTTGGTAGTGTCATGTTTTCTTGCTTTTTCATGTTTCTTGTGTTCCTACATTGATACCTGCACATCTGGTAAAGTAATTGCTTCTTTTAATGTTATGGACTAGCGCTTATAGGGAAAGATTTACTCCTGTAGATAAGTTCTAGAGTGTTAAGTAGAGGGTGATAACTTGGGTCCTGAGTGGGCACAGTAGTGTAGTCTCTGTGAAGTTTCTTCAACTGTAATCCATGTCAGTAATGTTTGTGAATGCTTCACTGACCTAACCTGTGGGAGTTTGTGGCAGCAGTGACATGACTTTACTGGAATCAGGCTTATTGAGTGAGTTATCAGGATGGAGGCATGTTTGTGCATGTGATGGGTCACCTAGCTTAGGAACTGGCTTGCTTTGGGTGAAGCCGTGGGCTGTTTCTCAGGCCGGGGGCATGAGTGTTCAGTGGATCAGCTGGTTCTGGAACTGGTTCACCAGGAGTGAGGCTGTTGGGTCGTTTCTCAGTTTAGGGGCATAGGCACATGTTGGTTTGCCAGCCATTAAGCCTTTTAAAACTATGGTTTCATGTCTGGAAAATGTGTATTTTATACTAATTCTTTATTAACTTATTCCTTTAATTTTTTTTCCTTTTGGTGTATTTCTGAAAATTTGTTTTCATCTCATTATTATTGTTAGCCTTTCTGATGTATTTTCTTATCTTTCTCTTCTAATCTTTTAGTTGAGATTTTTTTCCAGCCTTTTTTTTTTTTTTTGGATATAGAATCTTAGTATATTGTCTAGGCTGGACTCAAACTCCTGGGCTCTAACAATACTTCTACCTAAGCCTCCTGAGTAGCTGGGACTACAAGCACATGCCACTATGCCTGGCTGTATATTTTTAATATTTAAGAATTCTTTCTTTCACCAATTGTTTATTCTTTTAGGCTTTTTTTTGTTTCTATATTTTTTAATGAATGCAACTTTTATCTTCTGGGGATAACAGAGATATTTTATTAAATTGTTATTAGTTGATGATTTCTTCCATCTCTAATTCCCTGCATTGTTTGTTTCCTCATCTGGATTATCATTTTTCATCCTCCTCCTTTATTTTTGTTTCTGTCATTCACATTGTATATTTTGCACATTTGATGAATTTTGCCATCTGCTTTATTCTGTAGAGAAATGGTAAAACATTTCCAAAATGGCCTTTACTCATGTTTATGAGCAGCAATACAGCTTTACTTTGCAGAGGTTAAAAGCTCAAATATTAGTTCTAGAGTTCTTATCTTTGTAGTATTTTTCTGCCAGTTTCCTCTTTATGGAAAATAACTCTGGCTCCCGGCTTTCTTTAAACTGTGTAGAAGGGGAGTTGTGGTGGTAAAGGGGAGAGGCAGTGTATACAGACTTTCACTTAATCCTTTCATGTCTACCTTGTGCCTCTTCCAATAACAAGTTGTTGATGTTCCAATATAATGGAGCTGGTTAATTTCAATTATTCTTGACAATAAGACTGATGTCACTGTGGAGTAGGATTAGTTTGGCTGGCTGAGTGGGGTTGAAAAGGGGACCTGAAAATCTAAATACTTTCTATGTGGAATACCTCTAATTCATGATTCTCAACCTTGGCACTATGGCTATTCTGGGCTGGGTAATTTGTTGTGAGGGATGGATATGTGCATTGCAGGATGTTTAGCAGAATCCCTGGCTACATATCAGTATACTACATGCCAGTAGAACTCCTCCCCTCACTGGGACAACCAGAAAGTTCCTCTGGGGACAAAATCTTCCTTAGCTGAGAACCATTGTTTAACTTTAGACCTGTGTGTGTCCTCTTACTTCTCTCAATGTTTCATTATCTTCAAGTCTTAAGGCTCTCAAAGATTCTATAGGAAAAATCAGTTTTCATGTTTTAGGAATCCAATTCAGCTAGCACTCAAGCTGTAACTTCTCTGATTATTCAAGAATGTTGTCAATATTTATTTCTATTTCTTAATTTCATTTTCTGTCTTCAAAATTTTTGTAAAATGTATTTCTTCCCTATTGATTTCTCTGCTGGCCTCATTAAAATTATGGGTTATATTTTTTAAAATTCCTATTTTTTTAATTGAAGTATCAAGAAAAAGAGGAAAAGGCACATGCTTGATCTGAACTTTATCAAAAATTGGTAATTGTTTTCATCTCTTACTATTAACTCTTTTTTAAATCGATCCTCTTGCTTTAGGAATCCAAATCAGCCTGCACTCGTACTGCAGTTTCTCTGATTAGTCAAGAACGTTGCCAATATTTATTTATATTTCTTCATTTCATTTTTCGTCTTTGAAATTTTTGAAAAATATATTTCTCCATTATTGTTTTCTCTGCTGGTCTCATTAAAATTATGGGTTTTACTTGTTAAAATTGCTGTTATTTTAAAGTAGTGAGAAAAAGAGGAAAATACATGTGCTTAATCTAAATTTTACCAAAAATTTTATATTTTAGTAAATGTATTCAGATGCATATTTTTCTGACAATGGGCAGTCTTAGTTAACACCTGTATCCTTTTTCTTGAGCAAGAAAATAAATTTATTATAATTTTTACTTATTCTGCCCTAGTATTCCTCATGGATAAATCGTGTCTTAATTTTATTAATCTTTGAATGCATCAATTCTAATAAGTTGGATCCTTTGTCAGAAAGCAGAATGTGTACAATATACTTATCCCTTAGTTTTGTCTTCCTGGGAACTGGCTCTTGATCACAATAGGATATATACCTACAGATCAGCTTCATTATAATTTAATTTACTGTATTTGGCAGCAACATCTTCTAGTGGTAACCTAGACCGAGATGAAATATTCCATTTCAATTGACAGTTATAAAGCTACAGACCATAGATTTCAGTTATTTGAGTAGTTACTACATTAAAACACATCTTTTTTTCCCTTCCTTTGCTCCCAACCACATGTGCAGCAACCAGTATGTTTCTAAATTTTGCTCCTGTTTATAATGCTATTTCTTAAGCTTCTAAACATCGCAGTGTGCATTTCACCTCTGCTAATCTCCATCCAAATTCTGCTATGTTTTGGAGTTTGTAAGAAAGTGTAGTGCTGATGAGGGGATTGAAGTTTCAGGATTCCAATTTTGGCTGCTTAACAGGAACAGTTGAAGGATGGCATGAGGTTTTTGATCCATGGTTTTCCATTTCCCTGGTATAGTAAGCATAGGTATCACTGCCAAACTTCTTTGGAGCTCTATGTTATTTGGGTTGAGAGCTTGGAGCTATGTTAAACAGCTGAATAAATGTTTCCCAATGCAGCTCTGTCTATGATGCAGCTCCTGAAAATTCTCTCTGAATGTTGTCAACTAGTTTTCTCTTAAATTGAGTTTATAGTTGTTTTGTCAGGTCCAAATGTCTTTTTGAGACTTTACTTTGACTGAACATTGTGATAGAATTTATCCTCCTGCTTGAAATGATAAAAATATGGACAAAATGTATTAAATAATTGTTTGCTAGATGTTGGACATCAGGCAATGAGGACAATGTTTGCTGAGAAATAGGAAATAAATTATGTGAATCTTACAATTGACCCGGATTACTGCTTACAGAGTATTTCTAGACCACGACTTAGGGAGAGAAATCCCAGATGGAGCTCAGAGAGTTCTCCAAATTGAAGAGATATAGCCAAGTGTTTCAGGAATTCAAAGTAGTTAGAGTTTGCAGAGAGCAGATAGAGGAACACAGAGATAATTTCACAGATCTACAGAGCATCTTCCTTAAGAATTCACTTTACTACGGTTCACTGCATGTATGAGGCTGCAGAAAGCACAACTTTCAATTATTAAAAGTAACAATAATTAACACTCATGTAATGCTGGGTATGTGCCTATTTCCACTAGCTGAACTGGCGAGAAAATTTATGATTCGTGGGATATTTGATAAGAGTACACAAAAGGGTCTAGCCTCAACAGTGGAGAATAGCCCTAGGCTGATAACTACTTCAATACCACCTAATAAATCTTAAGAGCAAGACTCAAAAGGAACTGTTTCCAAGTAATTTAACTGCATCCAAGAACAAAACACAAATATATTTGTAAGAACACTGAAATATGTAGTACCTAACAAGAAAAAATTCACAGTCTCTGGCACCAAATCAAAGATTATCAGGCATGTAAAGAAGCAGGAAAGTACAACTTATAATGAGGATGTAAATGCATCAATCAAAATTGATCCAGAATTGTGAGAAATGTTAGAATTATCAGGCCAGTATGTTGAAACAGATATTACAACTCTACATAGTTTAAAAGCTACATAAAAATATGGAAGGTACTAAATAACCCCACAGATCAAAATTCCAGAGAAAAACCTACACTGTATGGAATGAAAATACACTGGATATAATTGATTATACATTAAACATAAAACATTTATGTTATATATAAAAAATTAGTGAACTTGAAGTCATAGCAATATAACCTATCCAAAATGAAACAGAGTTGAAAGAGCATTTGTAAAAATGAAAACAGCATTTGTGAGCTGTGGGACAACTTTTAGAGGCTTGGTATATGTGTAATTGGAGTCCCTAAAGGAATGGTGGGGTGGAGGTGGGAATATAAAAAATATTCAAATAATTTATGGCTGAAAAATTCCAAGTACAGTACACTGAAAACCATAAAGCCACAAACCCATGAATCTCAAGAAAACTAAAAAATAAGTAACATGAAGGAAATCACAAAAGGCATATTATAATTGAATTGCTCAAAGCTAGTGATAAATTTTTAATGATAAAATAAAATACTACAGCAGCCAGAGGAAAAAGACGTGTTAAATACAAAGGCAAAACAGTAAGAATGACAACAGATTTCCTATCCAAAATAATGCAAAGAAGAAGACAGTGGGGCAACATTCTTATAACTATGAAAGAAAATAAATAGTGCACTTATGATTCTATATCTAGTAAAGATATCTAAGATGAAGGTGAAATAAAAACTATTTGCAATACATATAATGAAAGAGTTCATCACACAGAAACCTATACTATAAGACACATTAAAAAGAAGTCCTTCAGTAGGAAATAAAATGGTATCATATGGAAATATGGATCTGCACAAAGAAACAAAGAGCACCCAAAATGGCAACTGCATTGGTAAATACGGAGGGTATTTTTCTAATGATTTAATTTTCTTTAAATATAGTTGACAGTTTAAAAAATAATAATAATATAGTAAAAGTTTTATAACATGTGTAAGTAAAATGTTTGGCAGTAATAACACAATAATTAAGAGGGGGAAAAGGAAGTACCCTTGACCCTTGAACGACATGGGAGTTAGGGGCACTGATTCCCTGCACAGTCAAAAATTCAAGTTTAATTTTGACTCTCCAAAAGCTTAACTACTAATGGCCTACCATTGACCAAAAACCTTACTGATAACATGAACAGTCAATTAACATTTATTTTGTATATATTATTTACTGTATTCTTACCATAAAGTAATCTAGAGAAAAGAGAATCTTTAGGACAATCATAAGAAAGAGAAAATGTATTTACTATTTGTTAAGTGAAAGTGGATCATAAAGATCTTTGTCCTCTTTATCTTCACTTTGAGTAAGATGAGGAGGAGGAATAAGAGGAAGAGGAGAGATTGGTCTTGTGGCCTCATGGCTGGCAGAGGTGGAAGAAGATTCTTTTATAAGTAGACTCATGCAGTGATAACCCATGTTGTTCAAGGGACAATTGTATACCGTTGTAAGATCCTTATACTCTATTTGAAGTAGTCTGTCACTTAAAGCTAGGCTGTGATAAAGATGTAGGATAAAAACCACTAAAATCATAAAACAAAGAGTTATAACTAATAAACCAACATGGAGATAATTTGAATCATAAAGAAATATAAAATAACACAAAACAGGCAAAAAAAAAAAAAAGGAAAAAAGAAATCCCAAGCAGATGGGACAAATAGGAAATATCAAGATAATAGATTTAAACATAATCATATCAATAATAATGCTAAATTTACATATTCTAAATACTCCACTTAAAATATACAGATTGGAAGATTGGTTAAAAAAGGAAAAAGTACAACTTAACTATATGCTGCTTACAGAAAAGATATTTAAGTATAAGACACAACTAGGTTAAAAGTAAATGTTGGAAAAGATAAATCTTGTGAACACTAATCATAAGAAATCTAGGGTGACTTTATTAATATGAGAAAACATGAATTTTTAGAAATTTTGTCCAAGATAAAATATTGCCCAGGATGAAGAAAGTAATTTCATTTTGCAAAAGGAGTCATTTTGTCAATAGGACATAACAATTCTTAATATTTCTGTACCAACAGCAGAGCTTCAAAATGCACAGAGCAAAAACTAACGTAACTGAAGGAGAAAGTAAAATCCACATTTGTCGGCAAAAATTTCAATACCCTTCTCTCAATAATTAATAGAACAAACTGACAGGAAATAAGTAAATCTATAGATTAGAACAACACTGTCAACCAACTTGACCCAATGGCCAGTTATGGAACATTCAACCCAACAGAGCAGCAAACTACACCTACTTTTCAGGCCTACACAAAACATCTACCAAAATAAATCAAATTCTGAACCATAACACAAGCCTCAATAGATTTAAAAGAATTCAAATCATATAAAGTACATTATGGGGCTGCAGTTAAATTAAATTAGAAATCAATAACAAAATAACCTGGAATTACTCTAAATATTTGGAAACTAACTAACAAAATTCTAAATAATCCAAGATTAGAAGAGGAAACCCAAAGAGGAATTAAGAAGTATTTTGAACTGAATGAAAATGAAAACACAGCATAACAAAATTGTGAGATACCCAATATGGCAGGACTTAGTAGTATATTAATAGCACTAAATGCCTATGCTAGGAAAGGATGAAGATTTCAAAGAAATATCTTCTACTTTACAAAACTAGCAAAAGAAGGGAAGACCCAAGCCAGGCTAATGAAAGCTATTTCTGAGTTTCTAACTGCATCTCATGGGGATGATCATTTCTTTTCTCTGCTCTTGTGGCTGAAAGCATGTTAAGGCCAAAATTGTGATTCAGGCAAGACCCAAATTTATAAGACCAAGATTGCATTTTAAGCCATAAAGAGCAGGAGAATCTCCATGGCTTGAACTGTGAATAGATATTTGTTTGTTATCAGAGATAGTAATTGTACTGCTTTATCTGTATTTCCTTCCATGTTAGTAAAAGAAAGCTCAGAAGTAGTTGATCACATGATCATAGAGAATAAACTACATTTCTCAGTCTCCTTGGCAGCTAGGTGTAGAAATGTGGTTTAAGTTCTGGTCAATGATATTTTATCTATTAACGTTTGCTGTTTAAGTTAGTGGCTAAAAACAATAAAAATTGCGTATTTATTTAGGATTCTATGGTTTGGCTCAGTGCTGGTGTGCACTGGCTTGTCCAACCTCTTCTGGGCTCTCTCATTTGTCTGTGATTAGCTAGCTGGTCAAGCAGCAGTTAGATAGGAAGACCTCACTCTCATATGTGGTGGTTGGCAAGCTGGCTGTTCACTGGGACAGTAGGAGCAATTATTAGCTGGGGCACCTCAGTTCTCTGCCATCCAACCTCTAATATTCCAGCAGGATAGCATGAGCTTGCTCACAAGGTGATCTCAGAGTTCCAAGCCCAGCAAGAAAGAATGAACTCTAAATTTGCAGGCATTTTAAATTGTCTGTTTGAATCATATTTGCAAGCATTATATGTGCTAGTATTTGGCCGAAGAAAACCAATAGGTCAATCTAGAGTTATTGTGGAAGGATCGTACCAAAGAGTGTCTTAGTGTATTTTTAAAGGAAAGGGGAATGCCTTTCTCTCTTTCTACTTCTTGGTGGACAGCAATTGGTTTTAGAGTATGAGTAGATTTGTATTTTCTCACATTAAAAAGGTAGAATCTACAACTGTGGAATCTATAGAAGTAAACTGGGTATTTTCAGTTGAATCTTGGGAAACTGACTAAAGTTAACATTTTTAAAAATAATAATGCTTTATTTTATTTTTAAACTACATTTTAAGATATAGTTAATATACAGAAATTATAATCTATATGTGTTACAGAGAGATTAATGAAATGGGAGTAAACTTGTTATTTTATTAATTTGTGGCAGAGTTCATATAGAAAGAATTGTTTTTATTGACAAAAATATCTCGATAAGACTTAGGTTTTGGCAAGAATCAAGGCAATATTATACACTTTTGAGATGTCTGTGAAAAAGTGACCATGTAAAGTCAGGTGTATAGAAAAAAGTGAATATGCTTTATAGCAGAGCAAGGAGGAAGAAGAGAGAAGCCACAGAAGATGGTAGATAATTGGAGTGCAAGATGGTAGGTAATTGGAGTGCCAATGAAAATCTCTAGCTATAGGGAAACTAAAGGGATATTATGAATTGCAAAGTAATGATTTAATTCCTCTTTTACCCCGAATCTTTAATAAGGTTTAACGACTACAATTTGTTTGTTTGTTTTGAACAAGACTTCTTGAAATTGAGGCATTAGCTGAGTTTCACCTCTGGGTGACATAGGGCAGTGCTGGCAGAAGCCAGAAAGACTTCAAAATGGAAGAAGCAGAAGTGTAGGGTCAGGGCGACTACGAAATGATCAATACGCATAGAATTCTTATAAACTTAAGGAGGACTTCTGTCATTCAGGGATGGAATTAGGGTCATAGGCTGCCTTATCTAGATTTCAAAAGGCAAGGACGCTCCAGATGATACATGCATTACATGTAAATAAGAATACAACAAGGCCAGGTGCAGTGGCTCAGGTCTGTAATCCCAGCAATTTGGGAGGCCGAGGCGGACAGATCACCTGAGGTCAGGAGTTCAGGACCAGCCTGACCAACATGGTGAAACTGTGTCTCTACTAAAAAGATAAAAAATTAGCCGTGCCTGGTGGCCCAGCTACTGGGGAGGCTGAAACAAGAGAGTCACTTGAACCTGGGAGGCGGAGGTTGCAGTGAGCCGAGATCGCACCATTGTACTCCAAATTTGCAGGCATTTTTAAATGTCTGTTTCAATCATTTTTCAAGAGTTAAACTCCATCTCAAAAAAAAAAAAAAGAAAAAATAACAAAACATATAAAAGATAAAGGTTTTGCACTTTTATTTCTCTTTACCTTTTGCACACTTCCTTGCTCTTTGAAAAAGTATTGTTTACATGTAATGTTTAAGATTATTCTTTGACGGAAACATCACATATGTCCAATGCCTTAAGGTGTTTACTATCTCTTTGGAGAACAGGACTGATCCTGTAAAGTACCAGCAAAGACTCAGGCCTGAGTTATGGGTTGATGTACTTGAAGTGTTACAAGTATGTACCCACACGCCTATTGGATTTTCATGGTATGCCTATATGTTACACATATCCACCAATAAATGCCATCTATTTTTGTAGGCTGAATCAAATCTCTGTCTTGAGTAATGATTTTGTATCCTTTGGACTAGATCTGAATAAGACTGAGAAACAGCCAGGCACAAGAAGGCAATTCATTGTTCTCACTCATCTTTCTAAACCTATATGCATCTTTGATATTGAGGTTCATTATTAGCTACAACTACATTTGGTTTGCATATAACCATTTATTTTTCAGTCTTAGATATTTTCATATCAATTGTCTTAATTATCCTTAAATAAAGCTTCCAGTGAGTCTCTATTTCTTGGATGAGGACAATTGAGGCAGTGATAGTTCTTTAAAAATTATTTAATTTCTAAGTCCTTCACTATATCTTGTAACTGAATCCCAACCTAGATATTTTTAAATATCCTTGAAATTAAATATAAATCAAATAATATCTTTCCACATGTAGGTTACTTCCCTCTATGGTAACTCTGCCTCCAAATGTGAAGAGCTGGATTCAATCCAAGTGAAAGAAAATCAGTGGGGAAAATGTCAGGGACTATAAAAGAGATTTGAAGTCTGTACCCACATTGCTGTGTTAGAGTCCTGAGTTATTAAATTTCTCATATTTATTTGACATTTTATATACATATGTCCACTTATGAAGAGTTTAGTTCTTATCTTTCTTTAATCAACACAGTATTAACTATGCATGTAGTAGATGAACACTGTATTTTATGTATTTGCATTCTTTTCAAACCAGATGCTTAAAGAATAAAATGACACAGTGTTTTAGCTGTTATTTTGCTTTAAAATGCTTTAAAACAAGAAACATTTTTGGAATTTCTTATCACAATATAAATCAGCTAAGTATATTTAATGTGGTGAAATGAATCATAAATAGGCTGAAATAGTCCTAAAAGGGGAGTTGGGTAAGAAAAAAATGTATTAGGATCAATATCAATAGGCATAAATAATTCTATTAACAAATAACATTAAACATTGTTACACTGTTTATGGGATGATATCATTATATCATTATAGAAAGATTCTCCCTTAATTTAAATACCTAGCATGTACAAAACAAGTTTAAATCAATGAGACAGTAAACAAGAGGAATAAAATAGAGAGGTGGGCTGGGTGCAGTGATTCACGCCTGTAATCCCAGCACTTTGGGAGGCCGAGGCGGGCGGATCACGAGGTCAAGAGATCAAGACCAATATGGTGAAACCTCGCCTCTGCTAAAATTACAAAAATTAGCTGAGCGTGGTGGCGGGCGCCTGTAGTCCCAGCTACTCGGAAGGCTGAGGCAGGAGAATGGTGTGAACCCAGAAGGCGGAGCTTGCAGTGAGCCGAGATTGAGCCACTGCACTCCAGCCTGGGTGACAGAGCGAGACTCCATCTCAAAAAAAAAAAAAAAAAAAAAAAAAAGGGGAAGTGGTGTCCTAAAGACTAAATTAACTGCTGACTATTTTCTATTTTCAGTCTCTACATATTTATATTTTTATTTCTTTATATAGCATTGAATGGTTAATTCCCCATTTCCCTTTTATTCTTATACGACTAACTTCTATGGGTTTTATTTTCATTCAGTTCTGTATATTCCCCCTGCTGAAGCCTCCCATGTTGTGTGTCAAGAGGAAAAATATCTTATTACCTTCTTGTCTGTTGAACATTTAGTTTTCTTCTCCCTCCCTCCCTGTCTTGTACCTAATGAGCAAATTATCTAAAAATAGATACGTTCATCATTCTACAAAATGTTGTATCTTCTCTAGATTGGAGGACAGTGTAATTGTAAGAGACACGTGTCTGGCAGGCAGTGCAATCAGTGCCAGAATGGATTCTACAATCTACAAGAGTTGGATCCTGATGGCTGCAGTCCCTGTAACTGCAATACCTCTGGGACAGTGGATGGAGATATTACCTGTCACCAAAATTCAGGCCAGTGCAAGTGCAAAGCAAACGTTATTGGTACGTGTAACGCAAAAGTTTACAGTCACATCTCTATTACCATCTGGAATAAAATTCTCTATTTGATTTCTTAACTGAAGAGTAAAGCAAATTTCTTTGCTCAAGACAGGCTGGAAAAAAAAACAATTTGGATGAAATTAACTGTTTAAAATGATTAAATTAATAATTCTATCAAACTGCAGCTTGAAGCTTAGTTTAATCAACCCTTTAGAAGTTTCTTTATTCTGTAGATGCATTAATTCCCATGGTCCCATACTAATAAGTCATAGAAAAATATAATTTGCTTACTGCATAGATGTTTCTTTTAGAAAATTAGCACTTTTTCAAAATGTTTTACACTTAATGAGTTCTAAGCAAATCATTTCCATGCTAGTTTTCTTAATAGACCAAAATAAGTGGATTTTTTCAAAATATTCTGTGCTACAGGGTCCTTTGTGATAAATCTTTCCATTTTTTTCTGTTATATTTCTTTGAACTGTTCCTATGAAATGCAAAATAAGTCAACATAATTCTACAGATCATGTATATTGCTAGGGTTACTTACAAAGGGCTACATAATTTTAATTTTGTAATTCAGCACCAAGTTGATTATAATAAACAGCTGCCTTCGGTGTTATTTATCATTTTTTTATACAAGACGTGCTTTTTTGTTTGTTACTCCCACAGGTATTTTTCGGAAATTAGATTTGATTATAGCAATTTATTACATCCAACATTTTTGAGGGGAACCACCGCCACATAAGGACAAAATTTATCAAGTGCCTAAAATGCACTATGTTCATAATGCACTTTGAAATTTTGATATATGAGAATATTATGAGAGGAAAGTTTCCTGATGAAGTGAGCCCTGTATTGTAACTGAATATGTCTTGGTTCCTATAGGAAGTTTAAAAAAGACCTTTGCCTTTCTATTGTCATTCAAGACACCAAGTCATCCATGGTTTTTCTAACACTGACCTGAACCTTACAATAGTAAAAATATGCCTGGCAGTGATTACACACACTCCTCTCTCTCTCTCTCTCTCACACACACACACGAATGCTTACATGTACACATGCATATGTACATATCATTCTGAATACTATTTTCATTTCTGTGATATACCTCTAAATCTAATTCTTTATCTTTTATTTATGTAAGTGTACATCATGCTACACAATTCAGCTAGACAAGCGTTTCAATTTAATAAAGAGAATGTAGGTGTGTTTAGTGGCATTACACGAGATTTCTCTGGTTTAAAGAAACATTACATGAAAATCTGTACCATAATTTACCTATATGCATCTCAAGCATACAGAAACTAATTTTTTAGAAAGAAAGAATAACGTGTAAAGAGAAGTACATATTTGTATGTGCTATCCATGATGCTGAAGGAATTCTAAGACCCTGAATTCAATTTGTATGGCATCCTTTGTTCTTTAATGTGAGATATATTTTAAACTCAAGATGTGAAAACAAAAGTTAAAGCAAGACCTTTAAAGACAGTGAAATAATTACTTCTTTGTATCAATGGAATCTTTCTTGTGATGGTTAGATTCCAGAGCTTGAGGAAGGGAAAAATCAAAATTAATTTAGAATGTATAATGCCATCCCTACTATTTGCCTGTTTTGTTGATTGATCCAGATGGTTTTCTGCAGGAAACATAAATATATATTTTGTGAAGACTAAATTACTTCAGTATTATAAATAATTATTATTTCTAGTGTTATTTCTGCAAATGTAGTACTTTTTATAAAAACAAAAACTTGATATGCATATATATTTACTTTCCTAATGGGATCAGCAAGTAACTTTATTCAATTTCACCTTGTTAATATGAAAAAAAAAGAAGCCCAGAAAATACAAGTGTATGTTGTATACGCTTCAGAAAGCAAACTGTTAGAGTTAACAAAACTGTTAAATCTTACTAATGATTCTATCACCAGTAAAATACATTAGCACCAATAATTTTATTAAAGTAGGTCATTCATCTAGAATAAAAAGGGAGAAGAATGTGAATTAAATGCCAAGTGTGCTAACTCGCCTGTACTTGTTAACACCGAATGTGATGCCCTGTAGGCCTTCCTGACTATCGTTAGGAATAGATTACCTGTCAGGAATATGTATGGCATATTCAAATAAGCACTGTGCATATTTTTAAAACTGATATGATATGAATCCATGTAGACCAATTTTAATAGTTCAAAATGAGTCATAATTCTTGTTAACAATACAGTTATTTTTAAAATTTGCAGCAATAGTGGTCCTTTTTTATTTTCCTTATTGAAATTAAATGATATGCCTTAGGTGAGTCATTCATCACTGTTAAAGAACTTGCCTTCATTGGAGTTCTTGAATTTTTATCCATATATATACATATATATTATGTATTTCCTTCCAGTTTAGGAAATGCTTTTCTACATATGAGTTCCTGAGTATGTTTTTGACTCTTATTTTAAGATTAATTTTTAAATTGCAATTATAGCTTGAAATAAATGTTTCAGTTGATTCAACCCATGCAGTGAGTTATTTAAATTCATGGATATTTGGAAACTATCTAAAGGAAGTATTTTGCATCTAAACATTTACTATTCTAATTTTTTTATTTCTTTGCCTTGTAATACCCTTTTATCTTTTAGAATAACCTTACTTGTCAGAGATTTAAGTTTAGGTGATAAAACATTTTTCTTCATTCGTAAAATGTATATGTGTACTCCTTTAAATAGAAGTAATATAAAAAACAGAATTTACTTAGTGTTTAAAGAGGTATGTTCTGAGTCACACAAGATGACAAGCAATGTGATTGCTTTATGAGCCAAGGAGAGCATGATTTATATTAATTGAAAATGATAAAATAGAGGAGCATACAAAAGGATTAAACCAAAAATTGCCCTGGATAAGTTTTATTTATATTAATTACTTAAATGTGTGGATTCAGAAATAAGTGTATATGCTGTTTTCACAAAAATAGTTATCAGCTGACATTTTTTTCTTTTTTCCCAGCTTCACGAAGGTATAATTAAATAAAAATTGTATATATTTATGGCAGACAACATGATGTTTTGATATATGTACACATTATAAAATGATTAATTCCAGCTAATTAATGTATCCATCACCTCATGTACTTATCATGTTTTTGGGGTGAGAACATTTAAGATCTAATCTCTTAGCAATTTTCAAGTATACAATACATTATTATTAAGTATAGTCACCATGCTGTACAATAGAGCTCCAGAACTTATTCATTCTGTCTAGCTGAAACTTTGTACTCAGCTTAACCTTTTATTAAACATCTTTAGAGATTTCTTATCTTTAGAAAAACAACTAATTTGTTATATGTAATTCTACTATAATTTTAAATGAGCACATTTGTTAAAATAGTTTTTAAGATTTGTTAAAGAGAAAAAGAGCTCCAGCATATGTAACAGAAACAACATTTGCATTAAGCATTTTTCTTTGCATTAAGTAATAATTAAAAATTTATGAAGTTCATCGCAAACAGTTGTATATTAAAGCTAAATTAAATATTGTCATTGAATTTTGAGAGTAAGATTGGCCCCCTATGGCATTGCTTGTGAGAAAACACTCAATATTTTGTGTTCGTATCATCTGCAGTAGCATTGTTTGTGTCTCGTCTATCTTGAATGAAATCATTTTCCCATCCTCACCTTTTAAATATATTTTATCTTTAGGGCTTAGGTGTGATCATTGCAATTTTGGATTTAAATTTCTCCGAAGCTTTAATGATGTTGGATGTGAGCCCTGCCAGTGTAACCTCCATGGCTCAGTGAACAAATTCTGCAATCCTCACTCTGGGCAGTGTGAGTGCAAAAAAGAAGCCAAAGGACTTCAGTGTGACACCTGCAGAGAAAACTTTTATGGGTTAGATGTCACCAATTGTAAGGCCTGTGACTGTGACACAGCTGGATCCCTCCCTGGGACTGTCTGTAATGCTAAGACAGGGCAGTGCATCTGCAAGCCCAATGTTGAAGGGAGACAGTGCAATAAATGTTTGGAGGGAAACTTCTACCTACGGCAAAATAATTCTTTCCTCTGTCTGCCTTGCAACTGTGATAAGACTGGGACAATAAATGGCTCTCTGCTGTGTAACAAATCAACAGGACAATGTCCTTGCAAATTAGGGGTAACAGGTCTTCGCTGTAATCAGTGTGAGCCTCACAGGTACAATTTGACCATTGACAATTTTCAACACTGCCAGATGTGTGAGTGTGATTCCTTGGGGACATTACCTGGGACCATTTGTGACCCAATCAGTGGCCAGTGCCTGTGTGTGCCTAATCGTCAAGGAAGAAGGTGTAATCAGTGTCA
This sequence comes from Homo sapiens, assembly GCF_000001405.40. Taxonomy (NCBI): domain Eukaryota; kingdom Metazoa; phylum Chordata; class Mammalia; order Primates; family Hominidae; genus Homo; species Homo sapiens. The sequence continues at coordinate 216,246,589 of NC_000001.11, read as the reverse complement.
ACCAGGTAAGAAAGAAATGTATTACATTTTCAGTGCACAATGACATTCCTTTTGTTAACTTAGGTAACTTCTCCCTGTTTCTGGTTTGTGGCTTCTACAAATTTTATTTCCAAAATCATTACTGTATTTATATCATTATCCAACACATATATAACTATTTAACTTATTCAAAATTATCTGCATATTTATGTTACTATTTTGAGAGGATACTTTAGATAAAACTCAGCCGATCGGATTTATTTCATAATTGAGACTCAATTTCTACACTTGAAGTAAATCTCCTTTTTAACAGTTTTTTAAAAATCAGATCAACAAGAGTCAATTTTATTTTCCAGAGAAAGGAAAATTTGAGTTGAATATCCATACAATGCCAAATATTCAAATGATGAACTAAATCTCTGAATAAAGCTGGCTAAATGTTTTTGCTGAAGAGGCTATATGTTCTAGTTTTATATAGAAATACCTAGAATTGTTTCCACATGCCATCAAATTAATAAAATAGGCCACTGTTTAATCTCATTATATACAAACTTATCTTTCCATCTCTTTCCCAATTGGGAGAGGGATAGACCCCATCTATGGCTCTCCTTACATTTAAGATTTTAACTAAAATACTATACCTTCTTTACAATAAATTCATTATGATATGATGATAAATATAAGTACTTATCCGTTGTTTAACAGCTGTGCTAATTGTTGTCCTGTCAGCCAATATTAGCTCTGAGTTATATGGGTCTATAAAAATGAGCATGATACCAACTCAAAAGTGTGATTTGCTTGCCAGAGAAGGAGTAGAACAAAAGTTCTGTTAACATAGCAAAGAATCCAGCCTAGGATAATTGGGCCATGCTTTTCCTTTGGCATTGGTCAGTGTGTAAGATCAAAGAGACAAGAAGGAATTGATGAAGAGTTCATTCTTTTTGTGATGTAAGTATTAAAAAACAACTTGAACTGGTTTAAACATAAATGGAGACTATATTATAACTAGATACTCCATAAAAACCTAAGGAGAAGGACCACTGCAGTCAGGACTCAGGAATTAGAATGCTTCCACTGATACATATTCATTTGTCTCTCTCTCTCTCTCTCTCTCTCTCTCTCTCTCTCTCTCTCTCTCTCAGAAGGGGACTTTACCTCTCTCTTTCTCTACATGGGTATATGGCCACCCTATGTCCCCTGAAATTGTTTATAATTCTACCACCAGCCACAACAGAGCGATTTATTAGCTACCTCTTAGTTATAATTTCTAGAGGAAAATTCGAATTGACTCAGTTTTGTTTGGTTGGTTACCTCTGAGCCAATTCATTGTGGCCAGGGGTGTCACGTACTTATAAAATGAGTATAGCTTTTAGGGACCATTTCATCAGGTAGAAGCAAGGTGGTAAGTATCCCAGAAGACAGGAAGATTATGGAGACCTGGGCAGACAGCCTAAATGACAGATACAGCACATTCACTCTTTTTACCTTCAGGTTAATCCTTTCAAATTTGCAATCAATTAACTTTTTGATATCCTAAGATGAGATGTTTTTTTCTCTTTTAGTGTTTATCAATATCTCTAATTTTGGCAACAAAGTCCTTTGTCTCCTACACAGTCAAATAACCATGATTTATACATCCTTCTTTCTAAGTAAACCAAAACAAGCTAATAGATCAAATGTTATATCCTTTTGAGTAATTATCAATTGTTAAAATTTACTGTTCCAGTCTAACTTTAATTGTATGTATAATACAAGTCACATGTTTTAAACAATTTTTCTGATTTTGGAAAAACTCTGAAATCATAGTTACAAACATTTGTTCCCTTTGGTCCTTCCAATGAAAGACCCAATCCATCATCTCAATACTTTGTACACCTACCAGATATCTAAATGATGAACTAAAATTGTTAGAAAACCTTTGTTTTTCTGGTTGTTTTGCATATCATTGCAGAAAAAGCCATGGATAATTTAATCTACACCATGCATAAGACTGTCTCATTTGTTCCCTTCCTAGGATGAAGAAATACTGACTTCATTGCTCTTTCCTTTATCTTTGTGGCTCTCATTGTGGTGATCTCTTTGTTCCCAACTCTAAGCCCTTTTCTCCCACCCAAATCTATGGCTCTTTCCTGTCTACCCTATATAGTATTGGCAGAATAATTCCCCTAAAGCACTTAATTCGTTATGTCATTCTCCTGTAGGGTTACCAAAAATGGGTTTTATTTTGCTTATCATTTGAGTCCAATCTGGGCAAACCTTTATGAGTTTTTATCTTCCAGTCGCAGTCTAGACACCTAGCTTTGCTTCCTGATATTCCCTTTCTCCCATCTTCTTCAGTCACTGCAGCCACTTCACTGGAGCTACACATGTCACATGCAGAGCCGATTTCAATCTACCTGATGCTTTGGTTCATTCTCCTTTCCCGACATGGAATGCAGTATAATCCTCCTTTTCAATGTTAGTTGGCATCCTCTGACTAGTTTTACTACTCAACATACTGCCTAAAATTCTCCATCACTCAGTGAACAACAAAGTTGACATGAGCATCAGTGTTTTAAGAGGTGGTTTAACTCAAACCTATAGAAAACTTGAAAATAAGGTGTTTTTGAAAATGTGCTCAAGCTTCTATTGTCTTCATGTTCAATTTATTATATGACCTTGAAGAGAGGTTTATGTTCAAGAAATAATAATACAGATCTCATTGTAATTACCCCATAATTATGCTTCTTTTTTCTGAAGACCATATGGACCTATAAATGAAGTCAATGAGTTAAGAGTAGGGAGCATTAAACATGGTGAAAATATTTTTATTTACTGAAAAAATTCAACAGCGTATTGTAAAATATTTAGTAGAAAATGTACCAGACTGAGAAAACATATTTGGAGCTCCATTTCTTCAGCTTACTGACTCTCTAAAGGCATTCCCCTGTCCTTCTCTACAGGGAACTTCCATATTTTCTTCCAACTGTCCATTTCTAGCCAGGGGTAAGCAGATTTATCTTTAAGCTGTTACCTGAGTGGAGCCTGTATCAGTTCTACTCATATCCTATTGATCAGAGCTGCTTTGTATATCCATACCTCACTGCAAAAGAGGCTGGCAAATAGATGCTCTATCTGAATATCAAGGTATATATTTAAAACTTGGGGCCTCTTTTATTATAAGGAGTAAGAAAGAGATTGATCCTTGAAGACAGCCTTGGCTATACTAGGAATGTCCTACACCTAAAAAAATTAGCTGGCAGAACATTAGTCAACTTCCGAATAGATGCTTTTAATGACCATGAGTTTTGTACTTTTATTGATAGATCCCATTATTATCATTTTTTAAAAAAATCAGCCAAAGTTAATGAAGGCCTCTTGAGTCCTGAGGAAATATATGCACAAAATCCCTTCTTGGGATCTTCGACTGTTTCTTACATGCTTTGCCTTATAGACTCACTGCTATTCTAGTCACTCTTCCTTCCAAGGACATGCTACAGTTTATAGTGGCCCTGCTGAGTTATTGACCCAGGATATTAACCTGGTTATGAAAAGCTAGAATGATCAAGCTACAGATTTGGATTATTATATTTTGTTGAACAGTGCAGTTATTTTCATATAGATAAACATTTCTCTTACTGAGAAATCATTTTCTTCTGGGTACTGTTGAGTTCTTAATTTAATCAGAGAACATTTTATGTGTAGTAGCAAACGGTACTTTCAGTGAGCTTAAATTTTGATGGGGAAACTGACAGAATAATTTGCAAATAAATATATGATATGAATTTAAATAGTGATGATTTTTGGATCTGTGGCTCTACTCAATTATGTTTCTTTCTTGCTAAGAGTTTAAGATATTATCGAGGTTACCAAATAGACTATTTATTTAGCACTTTTATATCAGTGTTTAGTTTCCAGAAAGGTGAACTGGGTAGCCATGTTTATATTGTACAAGTGAAGTCACATTGATATTTTATTGCAATGGAAACAGTAAGTGGTTTAAAAGGAGGAATGGTGAAGTGAAAGAAATTATCAACCTGTTTCTTTTTATATTATTATCTAAAACTAGTCATTTTTCTGTTTTTCTCTTTTGCATTTTTTCTCATTTAAGATCATAAGTGCCTGTTTTAAAAAGCAGCCCAATGAGATGACCTTGTTAAAACTCCTGATTATTTCTCAGTATCGTCAATTAAATGAACCCCTTATTGTGTGCCCACAATGTACAAGGAATTATATATACATATATATATATTTTTTTTTTCTTTTTTTTTCTTTTGAGATGGAGTCTAGCTCTGTCGCCCAGGCTAGAGGGCTAGAGTTCAGTGGCGCAGTCTCGGCTCACTGCCAGCTCTGCCTCCCAGGTTCATGTCATTCTCCTGCCTCAGCCTCCCGAGCAGCTGGGACTACAGGCCTGGCTAATTTTTTGTATTTTTTTTTTTTTTAAAGCAGAGATGGGGTTTCACCGTGTTAGCCAGGATGGTCTCGATCTCCTGACTTCGTGATCTGCCTGCCTAGGCCTCCCAAAGTGAGGAATTATATTATTATTGTAGTTATGCAAGTTGAATAAGGTAATCCTTGCCCTCAAGATATTGAAACTTTAACAAGGGAAATAAGACATTTGCACAAGTAAATAAAATACGATAATACTTTAAATGTGATCATTGTTTTTCAGTATTAGTGTTGATGCCCATTCTACATCTTCCTCTAAAGAAAAGAAGACAATTTGCAATAAACCTTTGGAAAGGAGTTTTGTTGCGTCTGTACTTAGGCAAATCGTGACTAAGAAGTTATTCTCCTAATGGCCGCACATGGTGGCTCATGCCTGTAACCCCAGCACTGAGAGGCTGAGGCGGGTGGATCACCTGAGGTCAAGAGTTTGAGACCAGCCTGAGCAACATGGTGAAACTCCATCTCTACTAAAGATACAAAATTAGCTGGGCATGGTGGCACATGCCTGTAATCCCAGCTACTTGGGAGACTGAGGCAGGAGAATCGCTTGAACCTGGGAGGCACAGATTGCAGTGAGCAGAGATGGCGCCATTGCACTCCTGCCTGGGCAACAAGAGCCAAACTCCGTCTCAAAAAAAAAAAAACAAAAAGACAAATATATACCAGATAAAGTCCTCCAAAAAAAGAGCCAGGAAAAGAGAAAGGAGACCAGGAGGGGGTTGCATGAAGAAAATTTAGTATTATTATCCAGTATTGCCATTGTTTAACATAATTTGAGTTTTAATCAAAATTTACATTTGCATAATTTAAAAAACCAAATAAAATGTAAAGAGCCCTGCCTTATCATTTTCCTAGGAATTTCCGTGCTTAGAGAAAACACCTTCAACTCCTTTAGATGTTTATTCTGGGCTTTCATGTCTGTAATTCTGGGTTTTACATATATTTCACCTTGATTTTTAAAATGTAGATATTATCTATTGTCTTCCTCCTATAGAAGATGAATGTTTAGCTCCTTTCACCTCCTGCTTAGCAATCCCTTTATTTGGTTAAATCAGTATTCAGAGATTTCTTTATTATGACTATATAAATTTACTGTACAGCTATGCCATATAATATGATTTGACTATATTTTCTTTGCTCAAAAAATTTGTCTTCCTTAGTTTTTCAGGACTCTCTTTGGCATTTCTAGGAAACAAAACTCTCCAAGGGAACTCTGTTCAAGAAATCTATCAGGTTTTGTTTTTTCCCACTAGATATATGAGTGGGAAGTTCAGGCTGGTTGATCTTTAGTTCTGTTGCACAGCTATATCCAAGGGCTAACATTTGCTGCTATACTAGGGATTTCCTTCCCCTGTCTCCTATGTTGGATCCTCCATTTCCTGAATCCTACACGTTCTCTCTTCTTGGTTTATTTGTGTATTTGGTAGAGCACATGTTCTAGTAGCTTCTGAAAAAGAATACAAGGAGGGAAGTAATTTGAGGAGAAAATTTTGAATATCTGAAGTGTCTTTATTGTCTACAAGTGTCTAAACATAAAGAACGATTTGAAATTTTACTATTATATGAAAACTTTTCATTAAAAAAATTTAAATGGTTGTACCATTAGCTGTTAGCAATGTTAATCAGATTCTTTCTTCTTTTCTACTTTTTTTTTTTTTTTTAACGACCTGGAAGTTTTTACCATCTCTATATCCCTGGGCACTCAGTGGACCCTTTTGCCTATCAGTGATGGTTCTTATGTTCTGAGAAAATCTGCAAACACATTCATAGCAACATCTAGACTCATGTTCGACCAAACAGTTGGACACCAAGCCTAGCCAAGTTGATGCATAAAATCAACAATCACAAGCAACCTTTCACATAATGCCTGTTTACATACTTGTTGAGTCCAGACTTTCTTTAGTTTAACTTCTAAAGGAAAAGCTTACTGCATCTTCCTGAAGTGTAAGAGGGACAACTTCCTGGTTGGGGAAGGTATTTAGCACACCTTATATCTGACTTCGGAAATCTCTGGGGCTTTCAATTCCAAACCTTTCTGTCTAGAGTTACACAACTTGAATAAATTAGCTTATTGTCGGGCTCTCCACTGCAAGAGCTTAGCTTTTTCTTATAGGTATCTATAATTGATTGTCATTTTTCTCCTTCTCTCTTTTTTTTTTTTTTTTTTTTGTTTATTTCATCTCTGGGGATTTCAGGAGGGAAACATTATTCAATCTACCATGTTTTACTGACAATGTTCCCCTAGTGTTTTTGAGGTTTTAATCTTTTCAGACCAAATCTTTGCAGACATCCTTGAGCCCTCTCTTTTCCCCACAACCTTTGTCTCATCTAATAAAACCAATTCTGCTGATTTTACCTTCAAGTATATCCAGAATTTGACCACTTCTTGCCACCCTTACTTACACCAGCCAGGTCCAAGCCACCTTCCTCTGTTCCTGGACTATTCAAGTAGCCTCCTACTCCCCTTTATCTTTCTTCCATCACTTCTCAACAGACAGCCAAAGTGATGCTGTTCAAACTTGAGTAACATCCCATCACTCCACCTTCCATTTGCTTTTCACCATAGCTAATAAGAAACAAAGTTGATATTCTTTAATAATCCTCATGGTCTATAATGTCCATGAACTCTCTGACCTCATTTCCACAAGTCTTCAGATCATTTCTTCCTCTCCAGCCAACAAGCCTCATTGCTGTCCTTCACAACTGTTCAATGCTCTATCTCAGGCAGGTATAAAAGTACCTCCATAGCAGTGCTCCCTATATATTTTCTGAATTAATGGATAATTATATTTCAAAAATACCTCAGTGGCATTCTCCTGTTTTTAGGTGTGAGCCTAGCAAAGGTCTGTGGTGTTTTTTTCACAACACTTACGAAAAGCGTTGTGTTCAACCTTGCAAATGAGGAAAAATAACAGTGACCTAAGTATCATATATTTTTTAACAAAACAAGATATAGTCTGCACATATTCATAGCCCACGAAAAGAGCAATGTGTGCTTTGGGGTGGACATTTTTTTATTTTTTATTTTTTATTTTTTTTGTTTTGCTTCAGAAATTCCACTTTAATGTTTTTTTTTTTCCTGGTTTTATGGTCTCTTACAGTAAAACTTGCATTGAAAAGAGAAACCCTTATCCTGAAGTATCTTTATCATAAACAGATGTTTGCAGTAGCCAGCCCTGCAATGTGCACAGTAAAATGTGCTGCTACAATCTGAAGCTTTCATTTACTTATTTAAACATGTCTGAGAGACCTAGATCATATACCACAGGGGCAGACAGCATGCTGGTGTGTGAGCAGTGGGGCATGGAGGGAGAAGGATGGGGTAGGAAGGGATGAGTAGCAAGCTTAAGGACTTCTGCCTCCCTTTCATCTGTGATTGCAAATACTGCTGACCCATAGTAGATGACTGCACATAGATTCTTGTCCCACTTTCCTAAAAAACATTATTAAGGAAGGTGCATGTAATGAAACCTCATGTATTATTAACCTAACCTTACTACGAATGTACAAGGAATAGGTTTAATTCAAGTAAAATTTATAGGCAATTTGTTAAAGCAGCAGTGCACATTAGAAGGTACATTAGAGACACATTGGTTTTAATATGCCATTCAATAACTTGAACAGAGGTTAAAAATGCTGCTTAACCTCCATTAAGTATTTTAAAAATGCTTTAATTTAAAATTATTTGGAGTGTGTGTACATATATGAATGTACACATATCCACACTAATAAATATAACACTAAATATGTTTTCCCAGTTCCCTTTTTCAGTGCTGGATGACCTTATAATGTTCAGCAGTAGGCACTTAATCAGAGGCCAGGCCGAGGAAGGCAGGGAAGGATGTCAACGCATCCCGAGCCAGTGACCCACCCTTGTCCTTGAGAACTAGAGGCAGAGAGTGCATATTGAAGACTCTGTAGCTTTGGAATAAAACAAAGGCTAATTTATAATGAAAACAGCTTCCTATGACATGTTTTGTACTAATAGGGCAGTGCCTCCTGCTTCCCCCTAGTATTTACTTTTGGTTTTCTTTTACAATTCATAAAACAAAGTATCTTGTTTCATTAAGTAGCACATCATATTTATTAAGTAATGAGCTCATAAACTAGAATTGTGTACAAGACCCTGCCAATGGAATTGGAATCAGATGCTGATGTTCCATTAAAAATCAATGCATCAAAGTTGATATCCAATTATGCCACATTTCCTAGTGTTTGGTGAGACAACTTTCTAGGTTAACATGTTTTTCACAGAGAGACCTGAATCTAAAAGTAAGAACCTCTTCCTTGATAAATCATCAGGAAGGAATCTTGTCACAGGAAATACAGACCACAATCTTAGGTACATCTGGAAAACAAAAAAAAGTAAAAGACACTGATAAGAAAAATTTCTCTGTCATAGAAAACTTGCTAATTGACAATTACAAAGATGATAATAGATAATGTTTACTGAGAGTCCGCTGTGTGCCAGGCTCTGTGATAAGGTTTTGCCTGCAAACTTTCATTTAATATGCACAATATTTCTAAGATGGAGGTGCTGGGATTATTCTCATTTTAATCTAATTGGGGGAATGAAATCTAATTAAGTAGAAGAGCCATTTATAAGTCCAGGTCCATCTGACTCCAGAATGTATACTCTGAAAGAGTGGAACTTTTTCTTTTTCTTTCTTTTTTTTTTTTTTTTTTTTAAGACGGAGTCTTGCTCTGTCGCCCAGGCTGGAGTGCAGTGGCACGATCTCAGCTCACTGCAAGCTAAGAGTGGAACTTTTTCTAAATAACTAACTCAATATTTATCTTACACATTCACACAACAAATATTTGAGGGTGAGTTAGATAAATACTGTTTATTTCATCCACTTTCAAGCATACCTCAACTCATGATTCTGGCTTACTGCTTCACATTCTGGGATACCTCATTTGTTGTTCAAAACCCAAGTAGTAGGCATAAAATGAAAATTAACAGAGTCCTGGGAAACCACAGAGTTCAAATAATGATGAGGTAAATTGAAGGGGTCTAGAAATGGAATTATCTCCGAGAACTTAGTTGGAGAAATTCTGGAGATGGTTGGAATGGCACAGGAGACAGGCTTTAGAGCATGCATTTGATAAACACTGAATGGGAACAGAGAATATAAGTTTTGCTGTGGATTTTGAATATGCATACACATACATATATTAATTATAATCTCCAAGATGTAATCAGAGTTGTCATTATTTGGGTTATTTGTTGTTATTGGATTTGATTCTTAGAGAATATGTTAATGAGGGCCTTTCATGGGTATTCACATAAATAGAAAAATTGGATTATTTATGAAACAGAAAATTCCAATAATGTTTTCCCTTACATGAGCATATTATTATGTCCTTTGTTTAAGAGCTAAGATATAGTTTTAGGGTGACATTTTCTTTCTGCAGCTCTGTTCCATCTGTTGCTGTGACGAGCACTATATTTTAAATTTATTGTGTCTGATCCATATACACTCCTCTCTAGACTCCCTGATAGGACAGGCCACTCTGACCAACCACTCTCATGACTCACAGATTTATGTTTACCATTTTCCTTTTCAGTGTTAAAGGGATCATCTCATATTTTAGAGGATAGAAGATATTTATCCATCTATCCACCCATTCATCCATTCAGCTATCTATCCATTTCATTCATACATCTGTTTTTCAATAAACATCTATTGAGTAAATTACCAGAGACTATGTTGGTGTTAAGGTATACAATCACAAATATACTAAGACATTGTGATTTAGTAGGGGAAACTGACTCACATGTAAATGTATCACAATGTGATGAGAGCCATATTAGAAATATACAATATAGAGAAGTAGTAAAGTGAAGGAAATGATTAATTCTTGAAGGATGAGGGGTCTTAGGAACTTAGAGAAAATGATTTCTGAACTGACTTTTAAAAGGAAATAGGAATCAGCAAGCTGCTCAAGAAGGGAGTAGCAGCCCAGAAAAAAAAAATAACAGCAGAACATTTAAAGCATACCTAATTTAATTGAAAAACCCTTAAAAATTGTTTTAAAAAAGAGAAATTATACCTTGGGATGAATAATATTAATATTTATGTATTCACTTGATCAAGTCTAGAAGTAATTTTAGCGTGATTTTATATAAAACTACCAAATGGAGGAAAATTATTATTGTTTTAATTTGAAAACTACCATCATCAACTATACTGAAATATAGTTTACAAACAATACAACAATATTGAAAATATTGATTCATAAAGCCATTACCAAGATAGTCTTTTGTTGCATGGATATAGGTGAGCCACCCATCCCTCCCCAGGCTCTTGTGTAACTATTATGTCCATTTTCTGCCTTAAGGTGAGAGTAGTTTCTTCTAAATGTCTTACAATTAGTGCTTAGCCCCAGCATTGCCCTCCTTTCTTGAATAAAGCCTAGAGGTTACACTTCTTTTCTTTCTCCCTCTCAAGACCTTGGCAAAGCCTAGTTGTTCATGGTCCTCAGGAGAGACATTGCTGGGAAATGGGCTCTTCTTTTATGCCCAGGACAAGTACTGTGCTATGCAAATAGCCGCTGCAGGAGATAATACCAGCTGCCTTGCTAATAACTTTGAACTCTGTAGATTCTTCTCCTAGGCAAAGCCACACTATTTTACAATATGGGTGACTCTTTGTTTTAGCTGGATGATACATTTTTTTCCACTTGAGATTTGTCATGTCTAAAACCAAGGGTCAGCTAAATAATATGGGAAAATAATAAACTAGCGAGCTGATTTGGACCATGTATATGTGAACTCTCAGCACTACGTAATGCAAGGTAATAATGTTGTCCTAATGACCATGCTTAAGAATGTGGTACAAAATCATTCATGGAATGAAATCTCAATATGATCAGTTACAATGCTACAGATATATAAAGATTTGGAACATGAAGAAGAGCTAACAAAGGGGTATCAGAAATGCATTACATTAAAGTAAATTGAGGTCAGTTATAATTAAGCCACATTCAGGAGTTGATGTTTAAGTGGAAGGGAAGGGAAAAGATTGTTTTCTATAGTTGGAAGTCATAAAAGGAGGTAATGGTCTAGAATTAGGCACATTCAGGTAAGGCAAGAGGTAATCTTTAAGCAGGAAGTTACCTGAGTCATCCTAATTAGAACTGCTTAAAAATAGGACAGCTAAAATACTGGTGGGATTAACCTTTATAATCAGGCTCCTGAGAGGAGGAGGGGAATTAACCCCAAGGCAAATTCCCATGCAGTCTTTTCCTGGAAGCCCTACCTTCACTTTCAGTCTCCCTAGGTGCTTTAGCATCTTTTTAGTTCTTCTCTGCTTGTACTTCTGATTTTTCTGTGACATTCTTTATTCCCCAAAACTTGGACTACCCAACTTCTGCACCAAAATGCTATCCCCTACTTGTACTTACAGGTTTATCTAATACATCATTTCTTCTAAAAATCACCCTTAATTTTTCCAAATTCTCTGTGGCTTGGAGCTATTGCAGTAAGTCTAAATTAATTCTACTTGTAAGTATCTGTGCTAATGGGTAATTTATCCAAATTGGAGAGCTGTTAGCACATTCATGATGCCATCATCATGGATTTAAGGGCCTAGATACCTTCACAGGAAGAAAAATACAAAGAATCACAACCACAGTGGCCTTGAATTTAAATGGAAGCCTTCTGAATTTGACTTTGATCATGTGATGAATCAGGTACAAGAATATATACTAATTGTCATGGCCATGCTCTATTTCTGGATATGTATATATAAGGGAAATTGCTGTCAGGTGGTACAAATAAACAAATAGCGTAACCTGGCTGTAAATTATGATAAAAATGATAGTATTAGTTGATTTCCGCCAACTGAATGGCACATATTTTGAGCTCTTTCTTTTCCTCTCATTGAGCACAATGTTTTCTATTTTGCTGCCCTTGAAACTTTGTAAGACAGAATGTATAGGATCTAGGGGAAGGAAAAAAACCCAATTGTTGGTAACTATAAGAAAATGGCTTGTTTTCAACAAGAGCCTGGAATGAGTTTTAGAGTATCCTAATTACTTTTTGCTGTTCCCTATATAATAGATAAGAGAATAGATTCACTTTTTGCTCATGCTCTCCTTCTTTCAATATCATTGCTATTTTATGAACTTTAAATTAGTGTCATGACAATTGTACAATTCATTTTTATTTGCTGTAACTGTATTCATTAGAATCCTTCTGTGATCCTTCTACCCCATTGTTTCAGTAAAATTCTTTGCAGCATTTTGCACGGGCTTGTGTGTGTACCCATGGGTCTGTGCATGTGTGTATATGTATATGTACACATACATGAACACACACATCACACAACACTAAGAACCATTTCTCCCTCATATGCCTGCTCCACATTCAACTGCCTGATAACTTTCTAATTCTATAACAGTTAACTTCCATCTCCTGGGTCTGAAGAGATTTTAAGTAATTTGAATAAACTTTTGAATCATATTTGTATTTCTTTCCTTTTTCCATAAGAAAAAAAATATGAGTTTTAGAGGTAAGCTAAAGTCTCTAAATTCTGCAGGCTTTTTTTGTGTGTGTACTACTTGCAGGGCTCACAGCCTGTTTAATAATTGAACTCATTTTTATTTGTTCATCGAATGTGTTTGGAATGCCTACTATGTGCCAAGCAGTGTACTGGCTGCTAGGGAGACAATGATGAATGAAGCAGATGGGTTTTCTGCCCTTATGGAAGTTAGATTTTGGTGGAAATGAGATTGATTATAATTTTCATGAACACTTAGGAAACAAACAGGATGCTATGCATTTGTAACAGGTATACCTAGCCTGGCCTAGGGAAAGTTGCCTGAGGAAGTCACGAGACCTGACTTACATGAGTGAACTGAGCAACAGAGATAGGTCAAAATCATCCCAGCAGACAGAACGGCCCATGAAAAGGCCTTTAGGTCTCAAGAAGAGGAACAAATATGACTGCAATGGACTGAGCGGGGGGATGAGCCATGAGCTAAAGCTAGAGACGTAGCTGGGACCTGACTGTAGGATTGAAAGCTGAGTGAGAGATTTGGATTTATTTCCTAAAGGGAATAGGAAGTCATCAGTTAGTTTCAAATAGAGAAGTGAAATGTCCAAACTGCACTTTGGAAAAAGACTGCTACGAAGAATAGATTGGAACAGGACAAGAGGGATGCAATTAGAAGAGATGGCCTCCGGGACTGGGTGGTCTGGGTGTAAACCTGGGTTTTGCTATCCATTAACTCTACCATTTTAGGAAAGTGTGTTAACCTTCTCAATCTTCTGTTTTCCAATTGACAGAATAGATGTAATAATAATTCATGCATTATTTGCATTTCTATGACAACTAAATGAGATGCTCAAGATAAAGCCCCTACAGTAGCATCTAGTTTGAAGTATTAGTTATAAAAAAAGTGGTTGGTGACTTTATCTGGGAGGTCGTAGCGGGGATGAAGAGTGGAAGGTTTAAAATTGTTAGGAGGCAACATCCATAGGACTTGGTAATTAGCAAAATATAGGGGGTCAGAGAAGTGGAGGATGCAAGCTTTTGTTTTAGTAAAATACAGAATTAGTTTAATTTGAATTTCAGATAACTTTTTTTAGTCTGAGCAAATGCTGCATGGGCTGCACCTTTGCTAAAAAATTTCATTATTTGTTAGAAATTCAAATGTAACTGGCTTCCTATATTTTATAAGTCTGCCCTACCAAAGGTACCTCAGTGTTCTAGGCAAAGCAACTGAATGACTGGTAATATCTGTTGGAATGGAGCTGATTAGAGGAGGTCAAGTTTTTTGTAGAAATATTGAAATATTGCATGGTAGATTTTAAATACATTGAATTGTAGGACCTGGGAGGCACCCAAGTCCAATGTAGATAATTTACTCAGTTTTTCTTTGGTCATAATTGACACACTGAAGGACAGATATAACCACATTTGTATTGGGAATTAGTGCCTTGGTAGAGTATTCTGTTTTTCTGTGTAATCAATTATTATGCTTTAAATAAAAGAGTGGATAAAAAGTATATATAAAACTTTTAATTTCTTTATTTCTAGGTTTTTATATTTCTCCAGGCAATGCCACTGGCTGCCTGCCATGCTCATGCCATACAACTGGTGCAGTTAATCACATCTGTAATAGCCTGACTGGTCAGTGTGTTTGCCAAGATGCTTCCATTGCTGGGCAACGTTGTGACCAATGCAAAGACCATTACTTTGGATTTGATCCTCAGACTGGAAGGTACATCTTTATAAGCTTTAATAATTTAACTCTTTCTTTAGCAACAGTTAACTTTTTTTGGCAGTTGCAAAGCAATAACTTCTGTAAAAAGTATTTTTTTTGCCCGGCTTGGTGGCTCACACCTGTAATCCCAGCACTTTGAGAGACCAAGGCAGGCGGATCACGAGGTCCGAGGTCAAGAGGTCGATATCATCCTGGCCAACACGGTGAAACCCCGTCTTTACTAAAACTACAAAAATTAGCTGGGCAAGGTGGCATGCACCTGTAGTCCCAACTACTCAGAAGTCTGAGGCAGAAGAATCGCTTGAACCGGGAGGGGTAGGTTGCAGTGAGCCGAGATCGCGCCACTGTACTCCAGCCTGGGAGACAGGGCAAGACTCTGTCTCAAAAAAAAAAAAGTGTTTTTTTGTTATTGATATGTTTTTTGTTCCGTGACATCCACATTTACTTAATGTATGCTAATCTTTGAATATTTCCTAGAGTGGGTTGCTATATATTGATAGATGTGGCCCATCCTAGCATCTGGGAATGTTGAATGAGATAAAATATATTTTCTCTCAAAAAGCTGAGAGTCTGGATGTGGAGAAAGACAGGAAAAGACATATCTGAAGAAGAAAATACACATACTCATACTTTCTCTCTCTCTCTCTCTCTCTCTCTGTCTCTCTGTGTATATATATTATATATATATATTATATATATAATATATATATATATATGGGATATATGTATGTGCTTTGTTCTTCATTGCCCTTGAATTTATTGCATATTTATTAGTTCATTGCATCTATTTATATTTTCCTTGCGTTTCTAATTTAGCTTTAAAGACTGGCAGATGAGAAACATAGCTTTGTATTCTGTGATATGATTTTTTTCAGTATGTAAAGTATATTATGAAAGTAAATCATTTTTCAAAGTTACACTCTCTTTAATATTCTACTTCTTATTCTCTGGGTATCTGTGGCCATTTGCCTTCACTCATTTGTGTTTATTGCTGTATTTTTGAAGATGTGCTATAATGCCAATTCTGTGTCTGTGTGTGTGTGTGTGTGTGAGAGAGAGAGAGAGAGAGAGAGTGAGATTATGAGCTTGTCTAAAGTTCAGACTAAATCTATGAATTCTTTGAAGCTCCTATCCCTGAGAAGCTAGTAGTGTGTGCTGAACTCAGAAAGCATGTAATAAAATGAGTCAAATCTGTCTCTCAATATGTGTATATTTATAAATCTAATTGCTAATTATTTCAGGGTTTGTGATTATCTGGGCTCTTTTAAACTCATTGCCCCCCTGCTGCCTGCCTTTTGGCTGTTCCACTCCTCATTAACACCTCCATTAGAGGGTGGACAGGTGACAGGGTAATTACTGAAAAAGAACTTAAACTAGTTCATTTTGACTTTCTTTTAAAATTTGATGTGATTTTTAAAAACTACAAAAATCATTTAAAATTTTATTAAAATAATTTTTGTTTTCTTGACATACATGCATATATTTTAATCTGTGACGCTCTACTTCTATCACCGTAGAAATGTTACCTTGATGGTCTGAGACCATTGTGACTCTTTTCTACAGATGTTATTATAAATCATCTAAATGAGTATACAAAGCGCATGGTACAGTAAATAGTAAATAAAAAGCACTGTCAGGATTTTGATAGTAAAATAGGAGCCAGTTACTGCACATACTAGCTCCTAGATGTAATTTTTTTGAAATAATATTCTACAGATTCCCCAGTTGGAACTCTTGGGCTGGTTTGTTTCACTCCTGGCCACCTCTGTCTTTTTCATAGTTCTGACCACATTTACCAGGAGAAAAATATCTTCCCCAACCCACTGTCCTCCTTGCAACACTCATTCCCATCAGTGCCATTTTGTGACATTCAATTACCCATTTTTGTTCTACTCATCCCCTTTGTCAGTCTTCCCAGGGTTATCAGCAAAACGCCTGCTCAGTGACCTGGGGATGTCTGATTGTCTCAGCTTTTTCACTTAACTTTTTTTCTTTAAGTGAGATCTGATTCCCTTCATTACACTGCTTCCTCTACCCTACAATGTTCTTAAATTCGTGGCTGAGCCTTTTACCCCATTCTGTTCCTCTCCCATTATCTACCCATCTCACTCTCACTCCCCACCTTACTTTAGTCCAGGAACAAGAATTGCTTAATAAGTACTGTTCCATCACCTGTCACTCTGCAGTAGGCCTGACTAGCACTGGAGCTAGATTCCCTGGGTTAGAAGGTGGATTTAAATGTTTACATAAATTGATAAGGAATAGGAAGGACCAAAGAAGTGGGTATAAGCTACATTTTTAGAAGATACCGAAGTTACAATAAAGAAAGAATTCAGTCTAGGCACTATGGCTAACTCATGTAATCCCAGCACTTTGGGAGGCTAAGGTGACCAGATCCCTTGAGTCCAGGAGTTTAAGACCAGCCTGGGCAACATGGCAAAACCCCATCTCTGTAAAAAATAAAAAGTTAGCCAGGTGTAGTGGCTCTTGCCTGTAGTCCCAGCTACTTGGGAGGCTGATGTGGGAGGACTGCTTGAGACTGGAAGGTCGAGGCTGCAGTGAGTCAAGATTGTGCCACTGCACTCCAGCCTGGGCAACAGAGCGAGACCCTGTCTCAGAAAAAAAAAAGCAAAAAAGAGAGAGAGAAAGCAGACTTCAGATTCGCAAAAAGAATGAGGGGCAGGTTGGAGTCTAGAAAATAGAGCTAAAGTATGAGAAGCTGAGTAGATTTCTAAAAATATGAATGATTCAGATTAAGTGTGGGGTTTTTTTTTTGGACAGAGTCTCACACTCTGTCGCCTAGGCTGGAGTGCAGTGGCGTGATCTCGGCTCACTTCAACCTCTGCCTCCCAGGTTCAAAAGATTCTCCTGCCTCAGCCTCCTGAGTAGCTGGGATTACAGGTGCATGCCACCATGCCTGGCTAATTTTTTTGTATTTTTAGTGGAGACAGGGTTTCACCATGTTGGTCAGGCTGGTCTTAGACTCCTGAACTCGTGATCCGCCCACCTCGGCCTCCCAAAGTGCTGGGATTACAGGCTTGAGCCGAGTGTGTGTTTTAAACAAAAAGATCCACAAGTTTTATATAAATGAGTTTGGATATCTTTACATATTAGTTGGCTCCTGTTATATTGATGGGGGTGGTGAGATTACCTTTTTAAAATTACAAATTGTCCTTGGAAATGGTCGCACTTTTCTTCCATCCCTGTATTAGTCCGTTTTCATGCTGCTGATAAAGACATACCTGAGACTGGGCAATTTACAAAAGAAAGAAGTTTACGGGACTTACAATTCCACATGGCTTGGGAGACCTCACAATTGCAGTGGAAGGTGAAAGACACGTCTCACATGGTGGCAGAGAGAAGAAAGCTTGTGCAGGGAAACTCCCCTTTTTAAAACCATCAGATATCGTGAGACTTATTTACTCTCATGAGAACAGCAGGGGAAAGACCCTACCCCATAATTCAATCACCTCTCACTGTGTTACTCCCACAACACATGGGAATTGTGGGAGTTACAATTCAAGATGAGATTTGGGTGGGGACACAGCCAAACCATATCAATCCCCTTTGTTCTTATCTTTCCAGTTCCAGGTTTTCCTTTTCAGAGGGATTCTATTTTTCTCCCTTTTCTAACTCCTGCCATTATTTTAAACTACTTTGACATGTACTGATGCAGTTCTTTGGCCTCTTCATTCATTCCCCACTCCAGCAACCCATTTCCATGGCTACACCCTGGATTTTGTGATCACTTATAATTTCTCTATTTCTCAAATCTTCCTAATCCCATGAATGCTATTCTATGGATATATCACATCTTTCCAATTCCAATTCACCCTGGAAGCCTCACATAACCTGCTCCTTAACTTCTCTTAATCTTTATCCCATTATCCCTCCTTAATCCTCTTTTGATCAACCCCATCCCTAACTTCACTGTCTTCTACTTCTAGCCTGAGGCAAAACCTTTTTAATTATGACCCTTTTGAGTACCTGATTGTGGGCTCCCTTCTGCTGTACTGTGGGGTCAGCTCCAGAGACGATCACCCTACACCTGCCCTGATCTGTGAGGACGTGGGGAAAGATCATGTGCCTATGCTGATCTGAAGCACTACCATGTATGTACTTCTTATCAATTTACTTTCTTTCCCCCTTTAAACTCCTACCAGTCTCCTCAGTTTTAATTCCATGCTCTTGCCCTTGCAGATAATCTGGCCCTCTGCTCATAGACAAAATAAAGCCAGATATATGTATCTCCAGATTATCTTTTCTCCACCTCCAGCTTGTCTACATTGTCACACATTTTTAATTTTTTATCTAGTCTTAGAAGAAAATCCTGTGTATTTTTGCCTAAAAATAACCTGTTCCCAGTCCTTGATATGATCCCTTCCTGTTTTCCTACTCTTGTTCCTCCATTCCATGATCTTTGCTCCATCAAATCCTCCCTTTATTTTAACTCAAACATCTCTCTATAGGTAATATCATAACTGCCTACAAAAATGCTATTCATTCTACAAACTCCTTCCTTTGATTCTGCCCTGCTTTATGAGCCCTGAAAGTTATTGTCTAATCTCTCACTCTTCATTCACTTACTAACATTTAAAAAGAGCACTATGATTCAAGAAAACATGATTTAAAAAATAAAAGATCAGATTTTTTTTCTTCTTCATTTTGTTTCTTTCTCATTCATTCTTTATTCACCATGTGTGGTACATACATGTTAGCAGAACATACAAGTTAGCAGAACTTGCAACATGCAGACATTCAAGAACTAGTTATGTGACTATTAAATTCTCATCCAAATCAAAGACAAGGTCTATAAAGAGATATAATAAACAAAAATGGGTTAAGGAAAAGACAGAATGAGGGAACAGGTTTCACTGGTGGGAAAAAGGGAGGGGTCAGTGGTGCTTTCCACTTGAGTCCAGTGAGAAGGTCTTATTTGATCCCTTGAAGGGTGACATGTGTCTCCTGCAGTTGGAGAGACCAGTGCATTGATATCTATCTTAGACCTGGCAAATCTAACTGAGAAGAGACAGTCTACCCAGGTTTGGATAGGTAAGCTAGAAGACAGTGCCCTGCATATCTTAGACTCCCAGAGTTCATCATGACAAGGAAGACTACGTATTTCTCATGACCGGATGAAGACCACAAGGAAGAAAGACAGGGTAAGGTTGTCTTAGTCTGTGCTCAAAGTACCACTTAGAAGATAAAGGGGCCTGTGTAGAATAAAGGACAAGATTACTGTGGACTACAGGTTAATAAGCAACCAGTCGAAAAGAAAATGCATCTGACTGCACTAAAACAAAAGGTGAGAGATACCTAATGGTGAGAAAGATCAATGAAGAAGTCAGGAATGTACCACTGTCAGTGATAAGTCAGTTTTATGTATATGCAGGACCAGAGACAATAGACTGCTTTGGGTGGTTCTAGTCCAAGTGAGTTTCTACCCTTCCTGCAGCCTCTACGTGAGGGAGGAGGCTAACCAAGCTACCTTCTCTGATTATAGACTTGCTGCCTTTATCATGTCCTAGCTTGATGAAAGGAAGAGAAGTATGTTCTTGAAAATGTCTGTTCTTTAAATAAAGATTGGAATGTTGACTAATATACAGGATTAGACTTTCTATTTTCTGAATTGAATTTGTATTTTGCAATGTAAAGTAACTGTAGGACATTCTATTGCCTGAGAAAGACCAGAAAAGCCAAGTGACTAACTCATTTTATATCCACATGGAACATGGGGGAATTAGCTCCATATTATATGTTTAAAGGGTCAGTGAAAGACAAAAATAAAACTGATTTATGATTGCTTCTCATGACTTATGGTTTCTCAATGTGCTGGTCATTTCATTGTTCCCATTTATTTCTTAAAATTACCTCTTCCTTTGGTTTCCAAGATTCTACTTCTCTTATTTGTTTTCTAACTCTTTTTTTGGCTACTCCTTTTTAATATGTCCTTTCAATTTCCACAACTGTGTCCCTGATTTCAACCACTACATACATGTTAATGGCTTTCAAACACATGATCACCCATTCAGATGCCTGCCACGCACTCTAGGCCTGTAGCCAGCTGTCTCTCTGAGTTTTACGCTTGCAAGTCCCTCGTGCATTTCATTTTTAATATAGTCAGCACAGAACTAACCATTACTTCCTCATCTCCACCCAAATAAAAATAAGTCTTATGCCATCTCATGCTATCATCATCTTGGTGAAAAAGACGTAAAACTTCAAATAATTATTCAAGTCCAAACTTCCCAAGTTTGAGTGGGGCTTAGATTCTTCTCAGGTTTGGCAGAATTGGCTCTGTTGTTGAGTAGAATGAGTCTACAGGCTACTGCTGGAAAGTGCTATGGAAAGCAAGAGCTACTGTATATAATGCAGCTTCTCTAAAAAGAATAGAAAGAATAAAGCTTCCCATGGCCATATGGGACCCAAGGAGATCAGCAGGATTTGTCTCTTACTAAATCAGTCGTGTGGAATGCTGGTAACTTGACTTGACCCTCCTATCCCACTGATGAATTCAGCTGTCTCTTTTCACTTCAACATTGATAATCATTACACAGGAAATCCTGTAGCACAGAAGGGCATGGAGAAGGATATTTTAAAATGTGACAATGAGAATTGCTTGAGTTTGGACTTTTGTTCAACATTGAAAAGAGATAAAAGTGGGTTCTTTTTAATGTTTTTCCATTCCTCTTTTGAATGATACCGTTCTTGAATCTTTTTTTGACTTCTGGTTGTTATTGTATATACACCAACATTGGCTATATTGAAAATGTGTAACAATTGACTAAGATATATGGGATTCCATCAAGTATAAGAAATTTTTGTTTTTTAAAGGAAAAAATTCACATGTAATGTAAATATATACAGATATGCAGTATAGGAAAACAGCTATGTCCTAATGTTAAAACAATGTTTTTGAAAACAAAGTAGATTCAAAATCATTTGAATCTACTTTGAAATCTAGGCACTGTGGTAGGTTATTACAAATAGAAATGTTTACATTTATAAAAATTACATTCCAATTATAACAAATGGAAATTAAAACATTAATTTTCAAAATATACAGTAGATTATAAGTAACTTATTATTATGAAAGGGGAAGATACAAGTATCATATTATTTCTTCATCAACTTGGAAAATAACCTCACTTCCTTATCTGCCTGGTTCACATATTCCTTACCTTCTTCATGCTCTATTTGTTGGATATAGCAAGGTTTGCTATATTGTTTTCTCTTGGTTTATTTGCTACACAGTTTTTTGTATTCCCAAGGGCAAAATAAATAAAATAAAATAGACCTCGGCCCTAAACTACACAACCAACAACAAAAATCCAGGCAACACAACAATGACTTTTTGTGACCAAGCTGGAAAATCATTTGCCTGTTTCCATCTAAGTGGTTTATTCTTCAAAAGTTACTGACCAGAAAAAGGGGGCATGTATTTTAAAAAGCTGATCCTAGTGCAAACATTACTCCATTTACCTCTGACACATAAAGCAAACATGATTTAATCAGTATCGAAAACAATGAAGCAAAAAAAATCTGCCCACTGAAAAATCAATAATGCAAAAAAGTATATAGTGTTTGTCTAACCCAAAAACAATGAGACAAAAATGGGCCATATTTAATTCATCTCAGTTGGTAGTGGAGACCCATATTTGACACCCTGCACTTACTGGCACTGTCCTCAAGTTGACCTGTGACTATGACTACTCTCCCCCATAGCCCCCAGGACTGCTCCAGTTCATCTGGTACCCCACAGTTTTCTTACATAACAACCACACATCACAACCCCCAAAAGTTTCTTCCCTAATGATATACCCTCTCTATATTCTATGTTACCTTGTTTTAAGCCTTAAGGAGTTAGTGGTATCACTATTTGTCCCATTTACTAGCTGACACACACTGAAGTTGTCCATAGAGGGTAGGACACCAAGGCTGGTTAGGGAGAATAAAGGCTCAGACTTCTGGAGCATAAAATACAGGGAAGTTCTTCTATGCCCAGATTATTTTTGGTTTTACTGCAAATGTTCTACATTTCAGCACTAGGTTATAGATTTGGTCCAGTAATCTTTTCACAGGCCTTTATCCGATTGATCTCAATTGGTCTTTTCTCTGAGAACCAGGTCAATGACTTCAGATGAAAGCAGATAACTTCCTTGTCAACTGATTTCCTTTTATGGTGTGATAATGGAAAAATTAGGGAGTGTGCCTCATAGATTCCCTCTCCTCAGTGACTCTTTGTCAGACAGCTGGCTGTCATCTGGGGTGACAGGGTAAATGGGCCACAAGCCTGTCATCATCTGGCAGCCAAGGCAGGGCTTTCTCACAAGGCAGTGGCAGATTTCCAAGAAAGAAAGCAGAAGCATGCAAAGACACTTGAGGCCCGAACCGTCAGGATGTTACTTTTACCTTATTCTACTGGCCAAAGCAAGGCACGAGGCTTAACCATGTTTGGAAGTGGTGGGGAATAAACAGACTCTCCTTTTGATGAGTAGAACTAATTATACAGTTAGCTGCAAAGGACCTGCACAGAGGGAAAGGTGAAGAGTTGTGATTTTTGCAATCTCCTATGGCTGCCAAACTATATATTCTCTCTTAGTATAGATGATATATGATCTGATAAGAAGTATCAGTTTTTATATATTAGTAGCATTTATTCAACGTGATGTAATAGGAATAACATGCAACTGGACATCAGGATATCCAGGTTTCAGTTTTGTCTTTTCCACTAGACCAGATACAGTAGCTTCCTATTATTGGTGGAATAAATTATCTCAAACTCAGTGGCTTAAAACAACATGAATTTTTATTATCTTATAGTTCTGGAAATCAGAGGCTCTAAATGAGTTTCACTAGGCTAAAATCAGGCCTGTGTTTCTTATGGAGATTCTAGGAAAAAAAAAAACATTTCCTTGATTTTCCCAGCTTTTAGAGGCAACCTACAATCTTTTTTTTTTTTTTTTTTTCTGAGATGGAGTTTTGCTCTTGTTGCCCAGGCTGGAGTGCAATGGTGCAATCTCGGCTCACCACAACCTCCGCCTCCTGGGTTCAAATGATTCTCCTGCCTCAGCCTCCCGAGTAGCTGTGATTACAAGCATGCAGCACCACCCCCAGCTAATTTTGTATTTTTAATAGAGACAGGGTTTCTCCATGTTGGTCAGGCTGGTTTCAAACTCCCAACCTCAGGTGATCTGCCCGCCTTGGCCTCCCAAAGTGCTGGGATTACAGGCGTGAGCCACCGCACCCATCGTACATTCTTTAGCTCATGGCTCCTTCCTTCATTTTCAAAGCCAGCAGAGCAGTGTTTCCTTGGACCTCTGCTTATGTCCTTACATGTTTTCTCTCTGACTCTTACCCTCCTGCCTTCCTTTATAAGGACCGTAGATTACATTGGGCATTCTTGGATAATCCAGGATAATCTCCCCATCTCAAAATCCTTAACCACATCTGCAAAATTCCTTTTACCAAGTAAGGTAACATTCACAAGTTTGGAGGATTAGAACTTGGATATTGTTGGCGTGGGCATAATATGACCTGCTCTACCAGAGTTCAGCAATCTATAGCCTGGGGGTCAGCCACATGTTTATGTAAATAGAGTTTTATTAGAGCACACCAATGTTAATTCTTTACATATTTTCTGTGGTTGCTTTCCTGCTACAGCAGCAGAGTTGAGTTACAATAGAGCTCATATGGCCTGCAAAGCCTAAAATATTTACTATCTCATCCTTTATAGATAAAGATTGCTGACCTTGTAACTAGATTTACTGTCACCTTGGACAAATTAGTCTCACTAAGCATAATAGAATCATAACTTTATAGACTGGGAAAGAACCTTAAAAGTAATTTTGGTTAAACTCTACCCTATACATTTCTCTGCGTAAATCACCTTTTCAGAAAAACTGGTGAATGGCCATTCAGCTTCTGCTCCAAAACATGGAACTAAAAGGAGCTCACTGTCTCATGAAGTAGCTCATGTTTATTTCAAACAGCTGTAATTCTTCAACAAATAGAAATATATTATTTATATTGACCAAAAAGTTGCAGTCTTTTGACTTTCTTGCCTAGTCTTATTTATGCCTTCTGAGACCATAGAGAATAAGTGAAATCTCTCTTCTATCTGTGAGCACTTTAAAAATTTGATTCTGCTATCATATCTGAAAGTTATTTAGTTATTTGCATAAATATGTGGAGTGTCAACAAAGGAGAAAGAGACAGTGTTCTCAGATCAGAACCTTGCTGAGCAAGCTGCCTGGACTTAGCTGTCACTATTGCATGGATGCAAGGGAGTCACTGCCCCTGGTCCAGCTTTTATGAGTTTCTCTATTTGTGCCTGGGAAATTCACCAAAGAGGGTGGGGTTGCACACTGTTAACGTCTCCCTTTCAGATGAGGCACTCGTATTTCCTTGTTCAATAAGCCATGTAAATATGGCTTTCAGTTCACACAGCGTGGATGCCCAAGCCTCAAATCCCTCTCCTATAATTCTGATTCCATCTCCAAGAGAATTCAGATGCTGTTAGTAGTCTGTAACTAAAGCGAAACTAAGAAGCTCAATGAAACCACAGCTCCTCTGTTAATCGGGGAAAACCAAACTCCTCTAGAGGGCACTGTAGCACTCACCGAATTCTGTGAACTGAGAACACTGGTTTAAGAGAATCTGAACAGATACCAGCTCTTAAAGAAAACTGTCCATTCCCTGGGAGTGAGGTTAGCCAGGGGGACAGAGTTAAGCCAATAAAAAGGGGCTCAAAAGAGCTAACTTGTTACTAGAGCTACAAACCATGTTTGGATTAATCTCCGGTGTCCTATCCTAAGTCTAAAGCTTCCCTGGTGCTTTATTCACTATTAATTCCTGTATCCGACAATATTTACTGAATCCTTACTGTGTGCTAGCCTTTGTGTTAGGGACTGATGGAAAAAACTAAGACAAAAACAAACAAAAAAACTCTGCCGAATTTCTCCAATTTGCCTTGAAGTCTCATTCTCTTTTGTTTATTAATAATCCTTATCTAAAATCCCTTAGCAATTGGAGATCTCTTTCTCCTTCGTTCTTTATGTTGAATGATGTCTTCATCATCCCCATTAGCAAGTTAGAAGACCGGGAGTAACTTTATACCTATCCTCCCTTCTCTTTTCAATTCGGCCTCCCATTCTACCAATTTTACTTAACATTTCTCAGGTCTATCCTACTCATTTCCATTGCTCCTTGCCACTGCCCCAAGGTAGCATTATCTTACTTCTGCTCACCTTTCCAGGTTTATCTATCACCATTTCTCATTATGAATTTACATCCAGGAGTACTGAGGTGCTTGCAATTTCATACCCTCTTCTGCTTTTTCTTTTTTTTCTCTATTTTTGCCCCTCCCCGACTTCCCTGGCTTATTTCTACTCATCTTTTAACGTTCAGCCCAAGCATCTCCTCCAAGACTTCTACTTAAAATTACCCTTCCCATCCCTTCTTCTGCTACCAGACTAGTTAAGTTGCCCCTTTTCTGGACCTTTAGAGTCTGGATACATCTTTATTAATGCTGTTTCCGTTTTTTCTTGCATACGAGATTGTGAGCTCCTTGAGGACCGGGGCAATTCTATAAGATTCATCTCTACATCCTTGATGTTTATTCCAGTCCTGGAACATAGCTGGCCCTCAATGAATGTTATTTATGTCAATCAATATTTAAATCAATTTGATAGTACCCATGAGCTGAGGCCCCATAGAGAGGAGGGGTGTACAAAGAGAAATGTCAATAAATTGACCTATATATCTTGGGATATATCTCTGGGCCTCCTACAGCAGTTCTCCCTCAGATGATGAATTTTCTGACAATGATGTGCATTACTGAAACATATTCCTTTCATTAATAGTTAGGTTTCAACAGTAATAATTAGGATAACCATTTCTCTCACTGTTTCCACAACTGGAAGAAATTCCTAAGAAAGGAAGGTATATGAAATTTGTGATGTAGGAGACAGAGGCCAACTTCTTTCCCATTGTAACCAGCAAATACTGAGTTATGTAAGGGTCCAAAGAGAACTATCATAGCAAAGTGCTGGCAGAGATTAGTGATGCTTTACTCCTGTTTTGTTTACCATAATGAACTGGTCAATAAACATCACAAATTGTTTATCTATATAAATCTTGACAGATTACTCTTTATGAAATCCATTTAGCAAGCGAGGTTTTCCCATAAGGATGAAAAATGAAGATTTTAAACAGATTGCGGGAGAAGCTCTGGCTGTACCAAGAGAGTCAGTGTAATAAAGGTTTCTTTATATTAATATTACAAAAACCATTTATCCTGGCAAAATCAATATTGCAATTCATCTTAGTTTGGTGTTTCTCTTTCTAAGCTTAAAATGTCTTTTCCTTTATTATGTATAATTTTGTTTTAATAAATGTGAAATATATTTCATTTAGGAGGTACTCTTGAGGAGGGATAACTTATAAAATGACATCAAATTTGTAGCTTATTTGCTAAAGAGTCTTGGAAGTGTTTAAAATTATATTTGAGTGGCTGAGAAATCTAAAGGAATCATTTTGCTTAATCCTTAATTACAAAATTATCCCTGTGTCCTTTGGGGTAAAAACAAACTACAATTTTCAGAAAAGTCTTCGCTTGTGAACTTCATTTAGGAAAAATTCTCTCTTACTGAAGTCAAGTGATTATAACAAGTCAGATAAGTTGACTATAACAATGGCTTGGATAAGAGACTATAAAATCAAGAATAGACACATTTAATTGCTCAAAACATTGCGTGCTTTGGCTGGAAGAAAATAGAACTACATCAAGGAACGGAATTATGTTATACATTGGAAGCTATTACTCTAAATGTACTGTATGTAAAATAAGTGTGATTGTCTCATGAGTGAATGGTAATAAAAACTGAAATACTCAAGAGACACTTATTCATGAGTGGTGCAGTTACACATACATATATACACACACACACACACACACATACATTGAGAGAAGCTTTTCTCTTATTGTTTATGCTCACTAATATTATATTAAAAGCCTATAAACAATAGACTCTACATAATAGCCTATAAAGAAATTAAGAGCAAATCAAGTATTTTTGCATCTATAATTCCATTTTAATTATAATACATAATTTTCTTCAGCTCTAAAACTTAACCTAAACAAAACATCTATTTGAAATGGAATTCTGATGTAATGTGTATAGATAAAAGACCTAATATAGTTGTTTGAAGGGGGAAAATGTCCTTTTATCATGACCATAAAAACGGCAAACTACAGTACAGTGGTTTTCAAGAAAAACTGTACTTTATTTATTCCCAAGGGGATATTAGTCCATAAAACAAATTTGCAGCTTATTTGGCAGTCTTAGCTTTTATCAGCCTTTTTAAGGGTGTTGAATGATTACCCAAGAGATCACACTGTAAAAATGGCAGTGGGGAAAAGTAACTCCATCCGTTCAGCATCTTTATTAGAATATATAGGTGAATCCATTTGATGTTGTTTTAAACGTACCACAAGGAGAGTACCTTTTAAATGGTGAGTGGTCTTCTTACATGTGCTGTTTTGCTTCTCTAATACCTCATGGCACCAACGTTGCTTATCCTAATTAGTGCCATTGGCATAGGCTACATGTTTGAATAATTCACTGTGAAGAAACAAGTTTTAGTTTCTATCATGGCAAAATGCCACTACTGGTATTTTTACAAGCAACTTTGGGTCCAAGAAATTTAAGTTGCACTAAAGTTATCTTACTATATTTATGTCATTAGCATCTTTTCATAAATCAGAATAATGCTGTATTCTCCAACCATTATGGATAACTAAGTTTAGTTCATAAAACAGAAAATGAAATATAACCCATATTAAGGCATCAAAAATATTTGAACCTGTCTTTCTCAAGCAATTTTCTTAGTGAAATTTAGTCTTCATCGAACTAACTATAGAATTTTAAGATTTTTAGGGAGAGCAATGATTTACCCCTGATTTTCTATTTCGCAATTGGAGAGTCACTTGAAAAGATAATTTTATGGGTACCTAATCTAAATGTTTAGCTGACAGGAACACTGCTTTTGTAAAAGCAAAATTTACAGCATTCTTAATTGAACAACTGGATTCAAACTAATCCATAAGATATATTGTGGGATGTAAAAAAGCAATATAATATCTTTTTTTGCTATTAATTAGTTTATAAAGAGAAAGCTTTATACGGGTTTTACCAGGAACAGTAGTTTTATAAAGATCTTTTCTATTTTCCTTTATTTTATGTTGATTCTTTGTTTGTTTAGCTCAAGCATTCTTTTCAATATATTGGCTAAAACAAGCCGTCTTACTCTACAATGCTATTGGTAGGTGTAACTTATACTATGAATTATTAATCAAAACACTATTCTCTTTGATGGTTTATTTGCCTTGTTTTCAGATGTCAGCCTTGTAATTGTCATCTCTCAGGAGCCTTGAATGAAACCTGTCACTTGGTCACAGGCCAGTGTTTCTGTAAACAATTTGTCACTGGCTCAAAGTGTGATGCTTGTGTTCCCAGTGCAAGCCACTTGGATGTCAACAATCTATTGGGTTGCAGCAAAAGTAAGTGAACTCTGGTTCAGTGCTGGTGTGTGAAGCAGCATCATACAGGGGACTGCATCTCATTGTTTTCTTTCTCCATTTAGAACCCATCAGAAAGGCTTAGTACAATGTGAAGAACGTAGGTAAGAGATGGAAAAAAATACACTGAATGAAATATGTCTGCTTTTCCTTGATTAGACAATTGGAAATGGTAATATAATTATGTTCATGGTGGGAAATTTACAATAGTTTTTTGGAGTGAAATCAACAATGAGGTGATTAAAGTCCTAGGTTTTCCCAGACCAAGGGTCTTCCCAGGACACAAGACTTTTAATGGTAAAATCAGGACTATATTGGTTAAACCAAAACAGTTGGTCACCGACACAAAGACATTTCCAGGTAAGTTATTTTTTTTTGACAAATAAAGGGTGAATTCTTGTTTATTATATGTTTGATATTCTTCCATCCCCCAAATTTTGTGGGCAGTATTATACCATTAGTTGTTTATCGATATTGTAATAATTAGTATCATTCGTCACGCATATTATTCATCCCATAATTCATGTTTCTTTCTACTTTAAGTTTCACTCATTTAAATATCTCTCACATTTATATTTTTAATTCCTTAAAGCCTAAGATTACATGTAAGTATCTTTTGACTTTTCAACATCGCTTTTCAGTACCTTGAATTGACCTCACAAGGTCACCTGCAGTTCTACAATTTCATAACATATTGACCGTTTTCCTATATTTACTTCAAGATCATACATCCTTACCCTTTCCAGAATCCCTAAGAAATGCCTGCTGGGAACATGTGGTAGGAGCCCTCTACAACATATTGTGCTATGCATATTCTCCTTGGGGTGTCCTGAGACTGTCATGAGTCACAATGATAGGAAACGCCACAAGTCATGACAGATCATCACAAACCAGCATGCCTGGAACTCTGCTATCTACATTTAAGGGGGGAGGGAGAAAGATAAGTAATGGGATATTGGACTCCACAACAACTGTACTAGATTTTGAGGTAATGGAAAGCAGGATATAGCTAGTGATTAAGAAGACGTATTCATATTTTGTACCTGTGTAGTTTCTCTTCAGCATCCCGCATTTCATCAGTCCCTCTGGATTTCAGTATAAGTAAAACTGTAGGTATTTATGCTTCTTTTGGGAAAGAACTGTCATAATTCCTTTCATGTATAAATACAGTCTAAACATAAATCTGGACTTCATTGGCCACTTAATTACTATGTGTCATTTATTGATTAGCAATACAATTGATTGCTTTGTATGCAACAAAAATTCTAGCATATTCCTTTTGGATATGAGTTATGGATCGTCATTTATAATGGAATTACAATACCTAATCTTAGTGATTTCTGATTGGTTCTGCCACTAATTTTGTGACAATATTGGCACCTGCTCTACTTTTTGCTACCTATTCCTTCTTGCATTTGAGACATAGTCTGGGAATTATCTCTCAGGCAAAACTGGATAGTCATGTCACTGGAAAGCTAGCCTACAACTCTTAGTAGTGGTAGACATTTAATTTTATGTTTTATTAACTGGACATTCTTTCCAAGTGTTTCTGATTTGTTAGAATTTTTAAAAACTCTCACATTCCTAATGATTCTTCCCTGGACATATTCCTTTTGGTTTTTTATCTCTTTAAAATTATGATATATCATACTGAGCACAGTTCTTCAACTCTTGTGGTTGTTGCTGCTTCTGTTTTAGGTTTTTATTTAACAAAATTTTTGAAACACTGTGTAAAGTTGGAAGCTCAGCATCAGCAGAGGCAATTTATTAGAAACAAATGAGACAACTTTCCTGCCTTCAGAGGAGGTCAAAACATAGCTAGAGTGATGGACACTGATAATAGGAGGGGAGCAGAAAAATGTAAATGGTGGGATGAGGATGAAGGGTCCCAGCCTTCTCTCCTGTTCCAGCTTGATTTTCACATGGTACTTGTGTTTGATCCTAGCAGAAGCCAGCCAGAACAATTGGCTTCACAAAGATATGATGAAATTGAAAGGAATGTAGTGCTATCTATTGCTGACACAGTGAACTACCTCTGACTAGTATTTGTCTCTGTATCCAACAGATGTCAAGAAATATTTTCATTTAAAATTAAAATTTCTCATGGTACCCCACCCCCTACACAGTTTGGGAACTGCAGGATTATAACCCTCATTATATCTTCTAGGGGCCACTAGCAATAATTTAGTAATATCATCTGTGATTTTTATTTTTGGTGGGCTGTCAGGGTGGGAATCCTAGGATGTAATTTCCAAAATGCAAGAGGATTGAATGAAAATAAAGTAGTTAGACCTTTTCTTATAGTAAATTTCCCTTTTGGGTGATTCACTTCTTTCCTTTAAATATTGGTATCATGCTTTCAAAATGATAGTCATTCTTCTTGATAGGAAGCAAAACAAGAATTAACATAAATTAAATAGTCCTATTTTCTGTATGCTTTCCTAGCGAATGATATTCTAGTTAGTTCAACCATCTATGAACCTAACTAAAATTATACACATACACACACACACGTATACAATTAGCCACTTATTGTTTGATAGTGTTTGTCTTCTTGACACTATTCTCATTGTTATTTATTCATCTTTATATCCACATTTTTTCTTTATCTCTCCTTGCCAGAGAGCCTCTTCTAGCTCTCCTTTTATTAACAGCTTTATTAAAGTATAATTTACATATTATATATTTAACAATTTTAAGTATATGGTTTGATGGATTTTAGTAAATTTAGACTTGTGCAATCATTACTATAATCCAATTGTAGAACACTTCTGTCATTTCAAAAAGTTCCTTTGTGCCCATTTCCAGTCAATCATGACTCCCACCTCTAGCCCCAAACAACTAGTTATAGGGTCTTTGATGAGATAATTTTGCCTTTCCCATGAGTTTTATATAAATGAAATTATACAACATTTAGACTTTTTGCAATGTATAGGCTTTTGTATCTAGCTTCATCTTAACAAAATGTTTTTGAGGTTCAGTCATATTGTTGCATGTCTCAGTAGATTCTTTTAATTGCTGAGTAGTATTTTATGGATACACTATATTTTGTTTATCCATTGATCAGTTGACATTTAGATTGTTTTCAGCATTGGTCTACTATGAATAATGCATCCATGAACATACAGTTACAAGTCTCTGTGTGGACATGCATCTTTATATCTCTTTATATCCTGAGAATAAAAAGGCTGGTTTGTATACCAAATATATTTTTAATGTTTTAGGAAACTGCCAAATTATTTTCCAACATGGCTGTATTATTTTACATTTACATTAGCAACTTATAAGAGATCCAGTTACTCTATGGTCTCAGCAACATTTGGCATTGACTCTATTTCATTATAGCCATTCAGTGAGTGTGTAGTAGTATCTTGTTGTGATTTTAGTTTGCATTTTTCCTGCTGACTAATGTTGAACAACTTTTCATGTGTATTGTCATTCATGTGATTTTTGGCAAAGTATCTTTGAAATATTTTGCCCGTGTTTTAGTTGTTAGTCCTCTTACTGAGTTAAAGAATTCCTTATTAATTTGGGATAAAACTTGCAAATAGTCCTCTCATTCTGTGGATTTGTTTTTCATTTTTTTTATTGGTATACTTTAAAAAGCAAAAGCTTTTACTTTTCATGAAGTCAATTTACCAAGCTTTTCCTTTATGGGTCATGTTTTTGTGTCCTATCTAAGAAATTTTGGATTGACTCAATGTGAAAAAAAAAAATTCTCCATTTTTATCTTACAGTTTTATACTTAAACATTTACATTTAGATCCATGAAATAATTTGAATTAGTTTTGTACATGGTATGAGTTAAGCATCTAAGTTCTTTATTTCATTTTTATTTTTTGACACATAGGTATCCAAATGTTCCATTAACATTTGTTGAAATTGCCATCCTTTCCCCATTGAATTACCCAAGCATCTATGCAAAAATGCAGTTGACCCCATAGCTAACATCATATTCAATAATGAAAGACTGAGATCTAAGATCAGACATAATACAGAAATGCCCACATATTAGCCAGAGCAGGTAATCAAGAAAAAGTAAGTAAAAGTCTCCCAAATTAGAAAGTTGATTTTCTTTACTTGTAGATGATAT
The DNA here is from genome assembly GCF_000001405.40 of Homo sapiens. NCBI lineage: Eukaryota > Metazoa > Chordata > Mammalia > Primates > Hominidae > Homo > Homo sapiens. The sequence goes on along the minus strand of NC_000001.11, from coordinate 216,213,275 downwards.
GATTCTATATGTGGAAAATCCAAACAAATTCACAAGAAAGCTACTAGAGCTAGTAAACAAATTCAGCAATGTTCTATGTTACAAGATCAACACACAAAATTAGTTGTGTTTCTATAAGCCAGCAATGAATAATTTGAAAAAGAAATTAATAAAGCAATTTCACTTATAATGCATCAAAAATTTAACCAAGGAGATGAAGACTTGTACATTATCTGTTTTCTGTGTTTCCAGGAAACCTATAGTATAATTGCGCAATGTTATTTCTATGCACTGTTCCTTTTATGCTTAGCCATGTGCTCTCCAGTGTCTCATGAGTTTCATGCAGGATCTGTGTGTGATCACTTTTCTATTAGGATGCTAAGATAGAAGTAATTTTCCCATTAGTATATATTATCTGTGGTAATAAATATATTACTTATTGCCAAATAAGCCATTTATAATTCTTGGGATGTAAGAATCAAGGATGCCTTCCAGCACACTGGAGGGTAGAGGAAATAAAGGTGATATTTATTGAACAATTACTTTATACACATATACACACACACACACCCCTACATACATATGTGCATGCACACACACACACACACACACAAACACACACACACCTTATCTTCAAAATAACCCTGACGGGGAGACATTATCATTCTCTTAATATAAATGAGAAAAGGTTCAGAGAGTCCAATCAATATTTGACTATAATCATACAACTACCAAAGTTCCAAAGCTGGAGATTCAAGCTGGTGGTTCCCAAAGAGATGGATCTAGTCACAATATTATACTCTCATCCCATAAAAGAGAGTCTGGCATATGCAAAGACCATTCTTGGCAATTTTGATGAGTGAATATGTGAACATTTTTTAGGAATTCTACTTCAAGCACATAAAGGTTCAAGTTCTCTCATGCTCAAGATTTAATAATATTATTCTCAAAAGTGTTGGTAAGTCATCTAAACCTTCTGGCTTATGAAAATTTCAACTTAAATACCAAAGAGGTACTATTTATTTATGCTGTGGAGTCAGACAAGATTGTGGTTGACATGGTCATAGCAAGTAATCAGCTTAAATGTTTGGAAAGAGCCTCTGTGTGTGAAGAACTTTTGTTGCCAAGGATATTTTCATGTAATGCAAATCATTTTCTACACCCTTTGACATGGGAGTGAAACATCTATCTCTCTTTCATTTTCATTCATCCCCAAAGCATTTTGCTGCCTTAGAAAATCATCTGAAGGTCAGTTTTGATTGCTCTAACTCTGAAATCTGTTGTGTTCCTGATAGCATGCAGAGTTTTAGATGAAATCACTAATATTCACTAAAAAATGTTAAATTACCATGAATTGCAAGGTTCTTTGAGAGTGCTGTAAATGAGGCAGTTGATGATATTTGTGGCTCCACCAAGAACAACAGGATTTAAAACCCTAAATTAAAATCCACTGAAAGGGTCAAATGCATTTTCAGTGTTCAACCGATCAAAGTGACCATATCAAATATGGAAAATTCATGAATTCAAAAATGTAAGGTGTTATTCGGAAATAATTCTTTTCTCATGTGTCATTATGAGATTGTTGCTACTCTTTTCCTATGTCTAAATAGGCATATAGACTGTTGGAATGTTAATAGAACAATGCAAATTCCAAAGAAGAAAAAGACAAAAGGAGGGCAATGAGCATGTATCTAGTTTGAATATTTTAAAACATATGATGTAAATATTATCTGCCTTAGGATCAGACTTTGTCTTTAGGAAGCCTATTCATAGTACATGGAATTTTATATATTTTACATTCAGTGCTGTGCAGAATAAAACAACATTTTCCCCCTCTGTTCTCACACCACCATCAACATAGTTGAACAAGCAATTCTGCAGCATTAATATCCTACAATCCAGTTCAACTCTTGCGCTATATACCTGGAAGTAGTGGCAGATTCCACGGGTGAGGGGTCAGTCCCCAAGGCTGCCCCCAACTTCTAACACCAATCACAAGCTCCAGGTTATTTTGCCTGTGCTTGTAACCCACTGGCTATAAATTGGGGCTCCTATGACTCCCTCCTTGGGTTCAATTACTTTGGCAGCTCAGCTCAAAATAAGGAAGCACTTATTTTTACTGATTTATGATACAGGATATTGCAAAGATACAGATGAAGCAATGCATAGGACAAGATACGTGGAAAGGGGAGCTGAGCTTCCATGTCCTCCCTAGGTGTCACACCCTCCAGGAACTTCCACGTGTTAAACTACATGGAGCTCTCCCTGTACCCCCACCACCCCCCACCACCCCAAACACCCTTTTTGTTGTTGTTGTTTTAGACAGAGTCTCGCTCTGTCGCCAGGCTGGAATGCAGTGGCGATCTTGGCTCACTGCAACTTCCGACTCCCGGGTTCAAACGATTCTTCCGCCTGAGCCTGCCGAGTAGCTGGGATTACAGGTGTGTGCCACCATGCCCAGCTAATTTTTGTATTTTTAGTAGAGACGGGGTTTCACCATGTTGGCCAGGATGGTCTTGATCTCCTGACCTCGTGATCCGCCCGCCTCGACCCTTTATAGCAACTTCATTGGATAGGCATGACTGAAGCATGGATGTGGCAGACTACCACAATTACTACTTGAGACCATCACTACAACAGTTACTACTGTTACTATTTGAGACTGTCATTACAAGACTGAATGAAGGAGGATGAACGCAGAAATGAAAACTTAAAACAAAAATAACTATTTTACAGGAAGGGTAACATGGGGAAGAAGAAGAGGGGTCCCTGCTTCTTGTGAGCAAGGGCAGCTGCCTGAGCTGCTTCAGCCCTTCATATTTATTGGGTAGAAAGAGCAGGGAGGAGGAGGGCATGATTGGTCAGCTGCTTGATTGATCACAGGGTCATATTATTACTAACAGGCTTCAGATTTGCCTAATAACAAGAAACACTTGTGCCTGGGTCATGACTGCCCTCAGCATTCCTTCCGGGTGCAGACGCAGTTTGTCAGCTTGCCAACATCCTGCTTTCATGAGAACAGTTTGCTGTTTACTCATATAGCCTCCAGTGGTATACTTAGTTGATCACGACCCTCATTCTTTTGGCCTTCAACACATGGACAACTATGTAGAAATGTGATTTAAAAAAAAAAAGGAGTATGATTTCATACTAATCGACTGAGTGGGGAAACCCTGCAAGGCTGCCTATTCAGAGTCTTCTTGGCCTCTCTCTGCAGTATTCATTCCTCCAGGGCATGGGGCAGGACTCCTTCTAAAATGAGGGTCTCATGACCCACAGTCAGACAAGGTAGGTCAGAGAATTTCCTTATGGCCGGCTCTAAGACAGAAAGGTGGAGGAACATTAGAGTATATTTTTAGTTTCCCTGGCCTGCCTTGGGGAGAAAAAGGAACAGGTAGAAGCAGAACAGAACAGAGACAGACCCTATTTTCTGAGGCCTACTTCTGAAGCCTAAATCTCCCCAATATTGTAACAAAAGACTGTCCTTCACCTGTATCACTCTTAAATTGTTCTGAAGCTGCTTCAGGACCCTTGGATAAAAGACCAATACTTCAACAAAAGATAGGCTTATTGTGTTAGTCACCAAGGAAATAGCAAAGGCTATGGAAGTTATGAGCCAGGAACCATGGACAAAAACGTGTGTGTGTGTGTATGGTGTATAAATATCAAAGTGCTCTTGAAATCCTGTCTTAAAATGTAATAATTTGATTATATTATATCTTTTAGACAGAGTTCATATATTATATCTATTAAAAAGAGTTCATCACTCATGGGTCCTGGTGAATTAGCAATAGCTCTGGGGTGGAAGTCTTTGCTTAGTTTGCAGAATAACTTCACTTTACTGTTCCCTACTTTTCCACTTTGCTCTGTCCTCCAAGATTCTATGTGGTTTGCATCAGCAGCCTCCATTGCCCTCTGGCCATCAGTTAGTTGATTTCAGCTGCTAAGAGGGACCCACCAAACATCTGGAGGGCAGGTGGAAAAGGAAGTCAGGATATTTAATTCCCCGCTCCCTGTGTCCATGTAGAAGCAGCCTCAAGCTAACTGCATCCCTCCATGAGTGGTCATAGCTCCTGTCAGGTGATGCTCTTCATACAGTCATTTCTGTCCCTGAGTTCTGTCCCCATTTAAGCTAGAGATAGTGTGCAGAGAAGAGTTAACATAGCAAGCCTGACTGCTTATTTTTAGAAAGACCTGCTTACAAAGTTGGCCTTTGGCTGACATCTGGATCCCCACTATCCCCAGAACTGATAAGAGAGGACCACTGCACTTAAACATTTGTACAAAGTACGGTTTATGCTTAACACCTGCTTTCCTTGTGGGGGTCTTAAATTTGGGTAAATGCCAGATAGAGGCTGCTCATAGGAACAGCCCCCAATAAAAACCCTGTGCACTGAGTTTCTAAGGAGCTTCCCTGATTGGCAACACATCACACATATTTTCATAATGCATTGCTGGGGGAATTAGGCCCATTCTATCTCTACTGGAAGAGAATTCTTGGAAGCTTGTGCTTGGTTTCCCCTGGACTTCATTGATATGCCTTTTCCCTTTGTTGATGAATTCTGTAACATTTCACTGTAATAAATTTTAGCCATGAGTAGGACTATATGATGAGTCCTGAGTCTTCCTAGTGAATCATTAGACCCAGGGTTCAGGGTTGGCTTGAGAAACCCTGACATAAATAGCAAAAGAGCTCTGCAGTTCTGTACCTGAGAGTACTGGACCATCTCTTTTGCCCACCCTTTTGAAAGTGGTTCCTTTATTGAGCTCTCCCCAAGTTACTTTTTTTGAGTGTGCTTTCTTTTACTGAGGCTTCTAGTGACTGTAGATATTTCATATAAAAATATTAATTATTTGATGGATTCTTTTCTGTACCTTACATTTACATATTTCTTAACAAAAAGATGAATGGTTTAAAAGTAAGGTAACACAGCAACCTGTACCCTTGACATCTTATTTAAGGAGAATGTTTGATTAGGTTGTGCTTCTTTAAATGGATGGGGGATTGTGCATCTTGTTTAAACTAGAAAATAGTACGTAAACTGGTGGTTGATTGTCCCTAAAAATATTTAGCTGTTGTTTTTCTCCTTTATCTTTGCGTATTCTGGTGAAAAAAAAGAAAATTCACTCTCAAAAGCAGGGAGACTAAGAAAAATTTACAGTGACAGAACACAATGTTTTCATGGTATATATTTATATTATAGAAAACATCACTTAAGTAGTGAGATGAATGTTCTTATTTCTTATGTGCCTGATAAGCAATTGTATTACATCTTAAAAACACCTCTAACAGGTGATGGTACATTCATATAGTATATTCAAATCGTTTCTTGATAATATTTAGATTATTTAACATCCATAGCTATTTATATCACCAAATATTATTCTTTCTTTTACACTGTGCTCTCTGAAGCAAGATAAAGCATTGTGCTTAATGGAATGGAAAGCTTCCTCTCAAAAACCCAAAGATTATGCTACTTAAATTTCAAGTTTCAATGGAACTTATGTCAACTTTTAAATTAACTATGTAAAAAATAAATGTTGTGCATCCTTGGATGGTTTCTCAAAAAAAAAAAAAAAAAAGGCAAAGAAAGAAATGCTTAATGTAAACTATGGTGGTTTTTTACCCCCAACTATATTTATGCCAGCTGCTTTGACCTAAAAAGTTTTTTTATGCTTATAGATAAAAAGCTTTGTTTTAGAGAACTCATGAACCCTTTGTTTATTAATGTCTTGGTAAACCACATGTCTTCTTGATAAAGCAATCCTGAATCAGAAAGACCTCTTTGCTGGATATCTTACTTCAGTTTGCTTTTCTGTTTATTGATTGCTTTGCTAATAAATGCTCTCTTCATTGTAATTTAGCTCCATTCCAGCAACCTCCGCCCAGAGGACAAGTTCAAAGTTCTTCTGCTATCAATCTCTCCTGGAGTCCACCTGATTCTCCAAATGCCCACTGGCTTACTTACAGTTTACTCAGGGATGGTTTTGAAATCTACACAACAGAGGATCAATACCCATACAGTGAGTTTAAGGGTTTGGTAATAGAAATAAATATTCTGAGAATTGACACATTAGTTAAGTTCTTTGACATTGAGGATAAATGCTGTTGTGGTTTCCTCTGTCTGGCACAGAGTGTTTCAAACAGAGATAAAATTACAAATTTCACTAGTAATCAAAGAAATACAATAAAAATGAGATGCTTATTATCTGATAAATACTAATGCTTATCACATTCTCAAAGATGAAAAAAAAATGACCCCATCAAGAATTGATGGGAATGTGGGGAAGCTGGAACTTTTATAAACTGCTGAGGTGTCTGTGTGAGTTCATTAGTACAACTTTTCATGTACAATAATTTGTTAAAATCTATGAAAAAATCTTTCCTTTTAACATAACATTTGACTTAGCAAACTTATTTTAGGAAGTTTATCTCAAGTGAACAGTCATTAAGTAGACACACAAGATGTCCATACCTATTCTATTTGTAACATCAAAATATTGAAAATGATTCAGATGTTCAACAATGTTTCAGGAAATTATAGTATATGGCATAACAGAATCCTGGTACATTGTTAAATAAATTATAGGCTATGATAGCATATAAACTGATACCTTAGTTCACATATCAATAAATGGAAAATGTTCATGACATATTGTTTAAGGCAGGGGTCCCCAATCCCCAGGCTGTGGACAGGTACTGGTCTGTGACCTGTTAGGAACAGGACCACACAGCAGGAGGTGAGCAGCAGGCCGGCGACATTACTGCCTGAGCCCTGCCTCCTGTCAGTTCTGTGGCGGCATGAGATTCTCATAGGAACAGGAATCCTATTGCGAACTGTGCATGCGAGGGATCTAGGTTGCACGCTCCTTATGATAATCTAATAATAAATATAATGCGCTTGAATCATGCCAAAACCATCCCTCCTCACCTTCCCATCCTGGGTCCATGGAAAAACTGTTTTCCATGAAACCAGTCCCTGGGGCCAAAAAAGTTGGGGACCACTGGTTTAAAGTAAATAAAGTTATTAAAATAATCTGAGAATTATACCATTTTAATTTACAAATACTGGAAGACATAATAAATAGATCTAGTTTTCTCTAATTGTAAATATTATAGAAAATGTATCAAATATTTCTATTATAATGAATTCAAGTTTTTTAATTCTCAGGTTAAAGAACTATTAAATCTGGCAGTGGAGTACTAACACTCAAGCAAATAGTGTAATTTAATACACACATTGCTGTTTCCGCAGAGATAGAACACAGCAACATAAACTTTTGAAAGAGAAAGGATATAAACAAGCCATCAAGCCTATCTTTGCCTTTGTAACTTTTATGAAGATTTTAAAGGAGCTTATAGAAATCAAATTATTAGAATTCATTGACTTTAAAAAACATTTACTCAGATGTTTTAGATACAGTTTCCCTAAAGACAGAATGAAAAAAATAGGAATTTTTACATTATTCCAGCTCTATCTTCTCTGATTTTTGCTTCTAGCCATGTTTAGCTACACACTAGTTTAAGAAACCTCGGAACAGCAATTCCAATTCAAGTTTCTATTTTGTTCTCTTCATTTAATACACAGTTTTCCAAATTCTACTTTAACCATGCTTAATTAGTTGGAGAACTGTTTAAAGCTCTGTCGAAACACTGAAATTCCATAACCTTCCTTAAAATGGTTAGGAGGATGCCTTGTTTTAACATTTTAATTGACTTTAAAACTCCTGCATCGCATAGAGTTTTATTTTGTATGCATTATACTGGGTTTCATTTTGCACCTAATTCATATAACTGGAATTTAGTTTCTTATGTCCACCCCTTTCTCTTGGCTCTACATGTCTCTTCAGTATTCCAAGTCTTCTTTAAAGTTAATGGAAACTCTGAACTTCATGATGCAGATTGCAAAGGGAAATGAACATCTGTCTACATCTGCCATGTTGGCAAAGTATCCTGAAAACCTGCTACTAGAATGTTTATTTTCTTCCAAATATCAGCATGATCCAGGTGTCCTGAAACTTAAACTTTTGTGACAGAGAAAGAGAGGAGTTATAAAAATATTGAAAATGATTTTGAAGATGACAGTACCACTGATTATTTCTGAAGTTGTGAATTAGGGTCACCCTACTTTCCATACAGCTTAATGCAATAGCAAAATTAAACTTAAAACTATCAATGATATTATTCAAGCCAGAGGCATGATTTCCATAGTAACATATTGTGATCTATTTTATAGAACATCACATGTTAGTACAACATTGGCTGTTTTTGACGATTGCACTAATAAGGAATCCAAATAACATTTTCTTACATAATAAATGTGTATTCATTCACTAATCAGACATTTATATAATCCTATTAAACAAGGTATCATTTCCTAAAACCATATTTTTCATTAAAAAATGCCACTTCTGGCATTTCTTGACAATCACTGTAATTAATGATGTGAAAATTATCTGCATGATGGCATTTGAACAGTAAGAACAATTGGTTAACACTGTCAGAACTTTGTATCATTCTAACAATAGCCTCATGTTTATTACTCTATTTCTAGTGCGTGGCTAGCATGTGTAACATGTAAAGGAAACACTACTTATATTCAGCTGGATGAACACAAATCTTTGGGTTAAATAAAGGCATTAGGAATTATAGGTGGAGAATCATTGAACTTTTCAAAGAAAATTAATAGTGTTGTCTTCCAAGCAAGTTTGATAGTTTGTTTGAGACCTTTATAGAATTCTTTTTTAGAATGGAAACTTTTTCTAGCTGGCCTAATGTACTATGGGATTCTCTAAGACATATTTTCCTTCTTAGGATCATGATATACTGGTGTACCATCTTTAAAGCTTTCAAATTATTTGTTATTATAATAGCATGCAAATAATGAATAATTTTAAAGATTGTGAATAATTAACTTTAAAAAACAAGGTATATCTTTACGTTTTATTTAAGGTAGAGGTCAAGCTAGCGCTTCGAGAATCATACATAATCAGCCCTAACAGTATCTCTATTGTAGCCCCCTTCTGGGTTGCTCATAGGTATCTTACGTGTCATAGGAAGGAAGTGAACAGTTATTGGAGGAAATAGCACTCTTCTGTTAGTGTTGCAGGTTTAGGGAGTGGACAGTAACTCATACTGTTTTTTGGTGTTGTTCCTATTTGAGTTTGGAATCAAAGGAGCACTAGACATAGTAGGCAGATCAAATTTAAAAATAAAAACGATCTTCATTACTGATGAAAGTCAGATTAGAGACTATATCCTTTTTCCTGCAGGAAGACAAATTAGAAGAGAGAAAAATCAATGGGCTGATCTGCACATAATTTGCTCCCTACACCCTGACTCCCCAGATTCACAGTCAGATGAGTTGTTCCTCATTTGGGATGGCATGAATGGGGAGATAGCCCTTAAATGTCACTTTAGAGAAATCCTTCCACAGGAACTAGAGGATGATTATTTTTACATGTAACAATGACTTCTATCACCTACAGATATTATCGTAGTTTAAGCTTAGAATTTTAGACAACCAAATATTTTAATGAGCCCTGGGATTTCATTTCTACCCTTATTCATTTCCATCTTTAAAATTATAATTTATAATCTCATACTACATCAAGGGATCAATGTAACAAGTGGTAAGATGATTCAGTTAGCTCTGAGAGGAATAAATGAAGAAATATAAGATATAGAGACAGGATGAGAAAACAGAAGAGAAGATGACAGGCAACTGTTTTTATAAGGCTCTTAATATTCTTAATGCGGTAGTTTCCCCTTATCCATGGTTTTGTTTTCTGCAGTTTGTTACTCATGGTCAACAATGTTCCAAAAATAGGTGAGTCTACAGTACAATAAGATGTTTTGAGAGAGAGAGAAAGACCATATTCACATAACTATTATTGGGGTATATTGTTATAATTGTTCTATTTTATTTTCAGTTATTGTTGTTAATCTCTTACTCTGCCTAACATAAATTAAACTTTATCATAGATATGTATGTATAGGAAAAAGAACAGTATATATACACACATATATATGTATGTATATATATGTGTATATGTGTATATATATACATATATGTATGTGTGTGTATATATATATAGTTTAATACTATTTGTTGTTTTAGGAATCCACTGGAGATCTTGGAATGTATCTCCTGTGGATAAGAGGGGACTACTATATTCTTTCCTGGAACAATAGATCAAATATGTATAGAAAAATCATTCATGTGTTTAATAAAATTTTGTTCAGTGCTTATTCCAGACCAGAAACTGTATCAGTCATTAGAAATACAAAGATGAAAGGAATAGTTCTCCTTACTGAGTGGGGAGACATATAAGTAAACCAAAGTAACAATAGAATATATAAATGTTGAAGCAGAGTAAACTTGGGGTGTTAAGGAAGCACACGGTGGCTTGGGAGGTGTAGGAAATGTAACCATGCCTGTGGTGGCAATGATGTGATGGAGAACCACTGAAAGTTTCCCAGTAAAGAAAGAATATAAGCTGAATTAGCCAGATACTGTAGTTGAGGAAGCGTGATGGTCATGAAATAAATTTTGTATTAAAAGAAAATAAGGTATATTCAGCAATCATGGGCAGTTCCATGTAGCTTTGGTAAGTGGTACAATGGGGGAGTGCTACAAACCAGGAGGGTATCAGCCAAGATCACAAATCAGTGCTGAGCCAAGGACTGTAAATGTTTCTCTGAAAATGCAGAAGTCTGTAGTAACAGCAAATTTTCAAATTCAGTGTTAAAGATCCGTACCCCAACCAAGGAGAGCAACTACCTTGAGATAAGCACTCTTTTAACCTGAGTATTATTTTTTTGTTATGGATCATTAATGGATATCCTATTCATACCCTTTCAAATGCTTTTATATCTTTCACACTATAAATTGCCTTATATGATATTCCTACACAAATGCATATTTCCATCCCAATTCTATCTGATTCTAATTTCTTATTAAGTAGACTGCTCTTGTATAATACATTCTGATCTATTAGGATTATATTCCACTTTTCAGATGCTACAAACATTCAGCAAGTACTGTACTTCTTTTAATTGTCATCAGGTTATAAGTCTTCCAACTTCCAGTTTAAGCTTATGCCAGACAATCTTTTGGAATATTCAGCACTGAAATTTATTTTTTTCTTTTAGGTTTTGGCTTTTGGCATGCTAAATTATTTTCCATCGTTGTTCTAGCCTTCAGTGATTTTTCAAATTTTGTTAATGTTTTCAACAACCTTATTGTGGGATAAGGGTAACTTTAATCTAATCTAGTAAATATTTATTGAAATAACAATGAGCCACAGCTGCACGCTCTCTAGAAAGTCTGAATCTCAGCCCTAGGGGACTTTTCCAAATATGATCCTTCTTTGGGTGCTCTGCCTTAGCACTAAGGATGGTGACTTTCCCCTGTCTCTTCTATTCCTATATTCTTTAGAGTTTTCTGTACCACTTAGAAAGTAAAACCAGGCGACCTCTGGTACCCATGGTACAACTGAAAACAGCCACCAGAGAGAGAACTGTCTCACCTTCCTCGGCTCTATCAGGGTCATCTCTGATAAGACAGTGGCCCTCACCTGAGTCAGTGCCCAAGGTGCCCCCCACAACACCAGCGGAGGCCTCCTCCACTGAGCAGTCGGACCCCAGAGTGCTCTGTAGGAGCTGTAGACTGGGAAGAAGGGCCGGGTGTGGTGGCTCATGGCTGTCATCCCAACACTTTGGGAAGCTGAGGTGGGCGGATTGCTTGAGCCCAGGGGTTCAAGACCAACCTAGGCAAAATGGTGCAACCCTATCTCTACAAAAAATACAAAAATTAGCCGGGCGTGGTGGTGGGCACCTGTAGTCCCAGCTATTCTATTTGGGAGACTGAGGCAGGAGAATCGCTTGAACCCGGGAGGCAGAAGTTGCAGTGAGCCGAGATTGTGCCACTGCACTCCAGCCTGGGTGACAAAGTCAGACCCTGTCTTCAAAAAAAAAAAAAAAAGAAAAAAGACTGGGAATGCCTAGGTTTACACGATGGGTTATCACTCCAAAGATTTGTGTCTTTTGTGGCCAATGGCAGATCCAGGAAAGAAATGAAAGTTGCCGATGGGGATAGGCTGGGGGAGAGCAATACAGATGTGTATGGGAAACCCCAACCCATATATATTGTAAATAGATGGACTAGGCTAAACATTGTTGCTGTTTCAGTCTTCTGCAAACTCAGCTTTTCCACAATAAAGCTCTATCTCCTGTCGGAAGGAAGGAAGGAAGGAAGGAAGGAAGGAAGGAAGGAAGGAAGGGAGGGAGGGAGGGAGGGAGGGAGGGAGGGAGGGATGGATGGGGGGAGGGGAAGGGGAAGGGGAAGCACATAAATATGCTGGGACCTTCATATTGCTATAGGGCACCCCTGCTTAATGGAACCCTCCTCGCATCTCCAATGCAAACAGCCCCATGGCGGAGCAGGCAGCAGCCACTCTGGTATTTGTGTGTTTCGCAGTCCTACAGTGTGTTTCCTGTCCTTAGAGAACAAGGATTTCCAGCCATGTGCCTAATCACCTCCACTCCCTATCTTATTTTTTAAAAACCTCTTTGTAGCTGCTTCTCTTTGCCCTCACAATCCTTCATGCATAGAAGTCCTGCTTATCTAAAACTTCTGTTGTGTAAATTCCTCATTGCTGATAACAAATGTCTCCAAAATTTAGCAGCTTAAAACAATAAACATTTATAATTTCTGTAGGTCAGAAAATAAGAAAATTTTCCATTCAAGATGTTGGCCAGGTGACAGATTTACCCCTTGGTGGTAGTTTACTGACCCTTAGTCTGGTGTGTTTAGTGTTTAACAAGCAAACAAGTTACATAGAGGAAACATAGTTACTTTTCTGTTTTGGAGAACCGCAAGGACTTTCTCTTAGACCTTCTAACAAAAGGACACTATGAAAAGCAAAAGAAGAACTAAAACAAACATCTAAACATTCTTTATTATGAATGATACTTTCTTATACTCAATAATAAAAGCAATCAACCGGTATTTACATTATTTCAATTTTAAAAATATGAAATGTATCCTTAATCAAAAGAGTAGATTGGTATAGTTTATGTAATTAAATAATATGATAGGAAAGCAGTTAGCAATGATTCTTCACCAACTTGTGAAATGTAACTTTGTTTTTTTTTTTTCTTTTCATTTCAGGTATTCAATACTTCTTAGACACAGACCTGTTACCATATACCAAATATTCCTATTACATTGAGACCACCAATGTGCATGGTTCAACAAGGAGTGTAGCTGTCACTTACAAGACAAAACCAGGGGTCCCAGAGGGAAACTTGACTTTAAGTTATATCATTCCTATTGGCTCAGACTCTGTGACACTTACCTGGACAACACTCTCAAATCAATCTGGTCCCATAGAGAAATATATTTTGTCCTGTGCCCCTTTGGCTGGTGGTCAGCCATGTGTTTCCTACGAAGGTCATGAAACCTCAGCTACCATCTGGAATCTGGTTCCATTTGCCAAGTACGATTTTTCTGTACAGGCGTGTACTAGCGGGGGCTGTTTACACAGCTTGCCCATTACAGTGACCACAGCCCAGGCCCCTCCCCAAAGACTAAGTCCACCTAAGATGCAGAAAATCAGTTCTACAGAACTTCATGTAGAATGGTCTCCACCAGCGGAACTAAATGGTAAGAATCCAAGGCTGAGATTCCCCTTTTTGGTCAAGACATGAATGAGAATCTATTGTAATTGTGCAATTAGGAATTTGGCAGTTGTATTCCTTTTTATAACTGCACAATATAATAATTGAGAAACAGTTTCTAAAGATATAAGATAGTATTTGTCCTGGTTAGTGGAACAAGTGTATTTCTTCTAATCTAATAACAAATTCCATTCAATTAAATTGCCCCTTAAAAGGCTAATATTATCTTTGCTCTTAATGACATCTGCCATAACACAAATGATGTTTATAATTTGAAACTCACTTATGAAATGCATTATATTTGACTGTGTCACAAGTTAGGGCACCCACAAGCAGTACATTTTTCTCTTCTAAGCAAGAAAAAGATATAAAATGATACAAAAAATATGTATATAAGCTAACTGACTCCATTAAGTTAATTTTTGCATTCATGCATTTGAACCCTTGGTTATATAGGCCAGACACACATTCACAGATTTTTAATCATTTATATCATGTACATATTATAGCAAAATCTTTCTTTAGATTTGTAAAGTTATTTGGTAAAACTGGGTAGAGATTGACTATAACATTTATGCAAACAGGGCTTATGTTAAACAAGTTAAATTAAAACCTCCAAATTTGAAAGGATACAGACTGGAGCTATAATGATCAAATTCCCCAAAAGAACTGGCCATTCTTAACAGAAATTGTGAATATCAATTCTGAAAAAGATTGAATTTACCTATGATAAAGTGTAGTTATTTTTTGTCTATGTGTTATCCATTTTGGTTTGTTTTCCTCATGAGTATGCCTTTAATAGTATTTTATACATTCATCTATATAGCAGTTTGTTGTCTTCTATGTACCTGTCATCTAGATTACTAAACTACTAAATCACTACATTTTGAATGCTAAAGAAATTGACAGTAATCTAATTAGAAAGACAATGAATATCCAGCACTCTTTAACTGACCTGTCCCTACCCTACCCCTAAAGTAACCCCTTTGTCTGATGAGTTACGTAGGTTCACTATTTAATTTCTCTAGGAATAATTATAAGATATGAACTATACATGAGAAGACTGAGATCTACTAAAGAAACCACATCTGAGGAAAGTCGAGTTTTTCAGAGCAGTGGTTGGCTCAGTCCTCATTCATTTGTAGAATCGGCCAATGAAAATGCATTAAAACCTCCTCAAACAATGACAACCATCACTGGCTTGGAGCCATACACCAAGTATGAGTTCAGAGTCTTAGCTGTGAATATGGCTGGAAGTGTGTCTTCTGCCTGGGTCTCAGAAAGAACGGGAGAATCAGGTAAAGATCAATGTTTTAAATTCTACTTTTAAAACCTCTGAATGCAAATGTTTCCTCAAATTAAAGTCAAAGTACTGTGAAAGTACATTTTGAAAAGCAAGAATTAGAAACTTCCATAGACCAAGGAAAATTTTCATATATATGGATTTGTTACATAAACAACTCAAGGTCATAAAGTACTTGCAGCAAGTTCTAGGGGGCAAAAGTAAATGCTTTAGTTATTAATTCATGGGGCGAAAATGGCTTAACTATAGTTATAGTCTTCTGGGAATGTTTGTCAAAAATAGCATTTGGTTTCCACTCCTGAAGTGGATTGGACACATGTCTCATCTTGCTCCATATACAGCCTAATTTATGTTCAATGAAAGAGATAACTGTCACCAATTCCACAAATTTGTCTTTGTTTTTATTTATCTTTCCAAAATAAATAGTTTAGATACTAGATTGTACATAATGACAGAATCGTGGACATCAAAATCTATAATTCACAAGTGTGCTTGTAAGCAGTTGGCATGATGATAAGGAAGGAGGACAACATATCTAAATTTTCTGGATTATCTTCATTAAGGCAAAAATTTTTAATCCTCCACTTTATTTTTTATATTAAAACACTTCAAATTTCATGAGCCTTTAAGAAAAAAAATACACTTTTGTTATGTGTTTAATCTGTAGATATCAAAGAAACCCAAACCCTGATCTAAACTTGACCTGTTAGGAATATGGAGGATGAGGGTAGCTTTAGGTTGATGTCCAAGGGAATCATTTCATGAATAAAATACGCATTGTGCTTGAGCATCTCTTAATGACTACCAGCCATCTTGGACAAATAATAGAGCCATGATAGCACAAGTGATGAGGCATGGCATTCTGGAAGGGGAAAATCAAGGTCAGAAATGAAAAGTAATGGGTGAAACTGCAATACTGGTCCCTCGTAATCTTATGGGTCACTAGCTAATGAAAGTGCAATGAGTTCCTTTGATAATACACCTTTGGTTAGCACATTTAAAATCCCTGTAAAGAGCTCAGGAGTGGCAGGGGGGAAAGGGAAATGCATGTGTATGTAACCTGAACATTTCAAGAAAAATTTAACAAAAACTTTGAGACATTCATTGGGGTTATTTAGAATGCTTTAGGTTTACCTCTTTCTGAAGAATAATATTCAGCCAGCTGCATTGGATTGGCTCAATGACATATTTCCCTACATGGGAAATCCAGTACATCACCATGCATTTTTCTGAACTTTTTGAACTGAGATGTTCTATTTTTGTGACGTTTTTTAGATACTCGTAAGACTTATAATTTCCTATCTATCCACTTTCCTATCTTTATGAACATGAGCAAATTCCTATGAGATTTTTATTTTGCAAGTAGAAAGTAGCTGGTAATATGAAGATGGAGAATATACTTTCAGATAACATTTTAAAAAGTGAATACCTTTTACATATACCAGCATATTCTTGGACTTTTTCAAAGCAGAATATTTTAAAAGGTAAAGGTATTTCAGAAACTAAATGAATGTGTGAATTAAATTTAAAAATATATAGGGACGACATTCATTGTTTTGATGTTATTGTTATTGTTCTCATTGATAGCACCTGTATTCATGATCCCTCCTTCAGTCTTTCCCCTCTCTTCGTACTCTCTCAATATCTCCTGGGAGAAGCCAGCAGATAATGTTACAAGAGGAAAAGTTGTGGGGTATGACATCAATATGCTTTCTGAACAATCACCTCAACAGTCTATTCCCATGGCGTTTTCACAGGTATTGTTATTTTTAACTAATGTCCTTTCAGAATTGGCTTAGGGCTTCATTTGGACATTTTTTGAGTTTGCAGAATTCTGTGACAGAATTCTCCCTCTATATTGATTAAACAGGGCATTTTTTCTTAATATAATATTATGTGTACAAGCCTCCCTCTTTGTATGTCACTTGTATTTTTCCAGTATAATCATATATTGAAACTAAGTTGGTATAATTTATTTCATAAGACTTGTTTTTTTTCCATTTATCATGTATCCTTAAATATTTTACATGAAGTTGACTTTCATTAACTGTGTACTATCATGTTATTTGGACACACAATAATTATTTAACCAGTCCACACTCAGTTGATATTGTATTGTATTAATTCTTTTGGAAATATAAATAACATTGATAAAACTTCTTATATGTACATTTCATATACATTTCTACTTCAAAAATCTGAA
The DNA here is from genome assembly GCF_000001405.40 of Homo sapiens. Taxonomy (NCBI): domain Eukaryota; kingdom Metazoa; phylum Chordata; class Mammalia; order Primates; family Hominidae; genus Homo; species Homo sapiens. The sequence continues at coordinate 216,196,106 of NC_000001.11, read as the reverse complement.
GAATTGAATTTATCACAGCTTATAACAAAATGAATTATGAATATGTTCAAAGTTTTGAATATACAGTCATATATTGCCTTCTAGTAATTCATCCCCCAGCTAGCAGTAGTGAGAATAATTATCATAGCTAAAAGTTACTGAGGCTTTACTGTGTACGTGAACTAATTCATCTGATACATACAGCAATCCTAGAGGATAGGAGGCTCTTGTTCTCTCCAGTTTACAGTTGTGGCTGATATACCTCTCTGCCCATTTTACCAGCATCCAGGTGGCCAATAGCAGAAGCTGATGGAAGGATGTCAACCGAACAAGTTCTTCTGTGTATTTGGCTGTTCAGTGCCTCCTCTGAGAGAGATGCTCTTCTCTGGGCATTAGCATAAGATAAAAAGATCTTTACACTTTATACCTACTCCCATAGATCTAGCCACATTTTTCTTTCCATGAATTCCTAGTTCCTGATCCTTCCATCTTTTTTTTTCATGCCCTTGGCCAATATTTCCAAGCCACTGCCATATTGTCCAGGTACATTTTACCTTGAGACACGTCTCTTTCCACACAACATGGGTGACCAGGTGAACTGCCTGAAGTTCTGCCCACTAAGAGGATTTCTTCGCTCTGCTGTTTCACAGGGTCATCTCTGACAAGGGTTTTAGAGCAACAGCTACCATTTAGACTTGCAGCCACATACCAAGACATCCTATCTGTAAACTAAATTCTGCTTTTTTTCCACATTCTTTCAGCTCTTAAGGGACCTCCCATGGGTCATAGGTATGAGCTGAGGTTGAGCCACCAGTATAAGAATGGTGGATGTCATGGGGGCCTGAACCACCTGCTTGCACAATGTATTACGGCTTTTGGCTCTGCTTATACCCAATCTCAGACATCCACTTCCATTTTATGATGAATTTCTGTTGGGCCCTTCTAACCTCAAGACTTGGCTGAGACAATTCCAAGATTATAAAAAAGTAGCTCTAGCTGCATGGCTATTTGGTGTTCCATGACCAGATGTTCTGTTTTTACTGAAGCCTGAAAGCATGCTAGGGCCATTTAGCAAATGGTATATAGTTTCCATTACATGTTATGCCTTTGTTCCAAGCTCTTGGGGTCTATCTGCCCTGTGATTCTCTTTCTATGTGTGCCTTGCAACATTTTTTCCCACAATGCTTACCTCTAGTGCTGTAAAAATTACTACATGTTATGTCCCAAGTGGCTCATCTGCCTGTACCACAGGCTGGACCTGGTGCAGAGCCCTTTCCGCCTCTGGGATACACTCAAAACTGGCAGCATTCCATATTACTCAGTAAATTTCTCAGAACAGTATTCTCAAATGTGGAATATGCTCCCTTCAGAATGTGAAGAGGTCAACTAGACATTTTGTTTCCTTCTTAGTGGTGGTAGAAGCAAGGTGCAATAATTTGTCCTTTATTTTGGAGGGGATATCCTAGCATGTCTCAGGCCACTTGAACTCCTAAAAACTTCACTGATATGGTAGATTCCTTAATCTTCATAATATTGCTGTCTCACTTTCTAGAACACATATGTCTTACCTCTGCATACCTACCATTTCTTGTTTGTCTGATTCATTTAATATGATGCTATCGATATAAAGAATACTGTCAAGGTGGCATTTATAGTTTGTCTTAAATTGGTGATTAATCACCCTCAGATTTCCTTTGTCTTTCTTCAGTGCATTGATGGCGACCAGCAAGATCCATGCATTGTCCTTATAATTACTAGTTTCCCCAGAGTAGTCCTTGTAATTACTAATTCCACCAAACCAGTGAATTACCTTCTACTGGTAACTCATCGCAGTTCACCACTAATGGAAGTTTAAGCATTGCACCACTAGGGCATGCTGTGGACTGTTAGTACTCTACCTGCTGTCTATGATGAGATCATTGTAAACCAGCAAGTGGATGATGGAGCTCCAAAATATCATTTTAGAGTCTCCTTCCTAGGGCCAGTCCTGTTACGACTATCTTAGGGCAAATTCCCCCGGAAGCAGACTCTTGGTAGAGGACTGAGTACAGGAGGTTTATTGGGGGAACTCTTTCAGAAACAACAAATGTGAAGTGATAAAGTATGTAGGATTGAGCAGCAAAGAAGCTGAACTGTGATGCAATAGTGGAAGCAGCCTCAGCGGATTCCGTGGGTAGTTCTGGAGCTGAAATGACCCTCTTAGCTTATCTCAAATTAAGCTAGGAAGTCAGACCTTTGTACCCTAGAGTATTTGTGTCCTCGGGCTGGTGTAACAAATTAACATAAACTGAGTGTCTTAAAACAACGGAAATTTAGGTGTTAGTACAGCCAGGTCCCCCACAGGCTCTAGGAGACAATTCTTCTCTTCTACCTACCTGTGGCTCCTGGTGTTCCTTGGCTTGTGGCAACATAACTCTAATATCTGCTGCCTCTGTCTTCACAAGTCCTACTCTGTGTCTCTGTCTCCTCTGGGTCTGTGTGTCCGTCTCATTTCTCCCATAAAAATACCAGTCATTGGATTTTAAGCTAACCTGAAATCCAGGATGACAACTAATTAATTACATCTGCAAAGACCTTATTTCCAAACAAGGTCTTATTCTGAATTTTTGGGAGACACTATACAATCCACTACTAATAGGTTTGCCATTTTTTTCTAAGCCTTTTTAGGAGACCAGAACCCATGTACAACACACAATTTTATTTTCTATACTGATGAAAAAGAAGAGCCAATAAATAATTTATGATTACTTATTTTTCATTAATCTGTCTACGTGTTCACTCATTTGCAATTATCTCATGATGAATACACAACTGGCATAATATATATATTTTGACTTAAACAGGTTAGTCTACCGATCTGGTATACCATGGGATTTAAGGTAAAGTTAGTTGTAACTTTCATGTGGTCTTTGCCATGTTGTATCTCATTTATACTCAATGTTTTATTTTGTTGTTTTTACTATTCTCTGGCTTTATAAACTATTCTTTCTTTGTAAAACACAGTTTTGATTTATCTATTACTTATATTATAGTAGTTGTTGTTCTAAGAAAAAAATAAGGTGAGAAATATTATTTATAAAATACAGCCTTAGAAGTCAACCTGTTTGTTCATATTCCACATCTCCCAATTATTAGCTGTATCACACGTCTCTCTGCTTCTGGTTTTATTCATCTGTGAAATGGGAAAACCATTTTTGCTCACCTACCTGCTTAAAGAGCCTGATAAATATTGACACATTATTATTAGTGATTATTATTAATGGTGTGGAACTACATTATACTTTATAAACTAGCTATCATTTAATGGGGCAGGAAAATAAATATTTTTATTATTGTTGTTGTTATTTAAAAGGCTGTTCCTTATGGCTGAACTGGAATAAGGACATAGATATATCACCTTATTCTCTTTTTTATTTTTATTTCTTTGAGACAGAGTCTCGCTCTGTCACCCAGGCTTGAGTGCAGTGGCGCAATCTCAGTTCACTGCAATCTTCTCTTCCTGGGTTCAAGCAATTCTTGTGCTTCAGCCTTCCAAGTAGCTGGGACTACAGGTGTGTGCCACTACACCTGACTAATTTTTTTTTTAATTTTTATTTTTAGTAGAGACAGGGTTTTGCCATCTTTGCCAGGTTGGTCTTGAACCCCTAGCCTCAAGTGATCCACCCGCCTCGGTCTCCCAAAATACTGGGATTACAGGCATGAGCCACTGCACTGGGCCTACCTTATTCTCTTTTGAACTCTCTCTCCTGTGCAAATATTCTCTGTTCAAGGAAATGAAATCAAAAGTAGCAGAACAAAGTCCAATTTTTTACCTTCTCAATGATTAAATTTGTATCTGAACTGACCTGAGTATGTCTTGTTATAATCTTTGTAAATAAATAGCCAAAATTCCCAGGGAAAATCTACTATAAAAATAACTAGTAAGAAACCTTTGCCTAAGAATGAGACAGGGGGGATACGTAAAAGTGGTGATGATGTAGGATTCATTGTGGGGGATCAAGCTGCTGTAGAATTTTTCCTACCCCTTTGAAGACTTATTTCATGAAAAACTTTCAATTAGATAGATTTTATAAGACTTATAAATTGACTCTATGTACATGATAAAGACAAAGTCTATCCAAGTGATAATTTTATGCTGCAAGTTCTGGGGCCAATAATGTATTTTTAAAATAATGTAATTTATAATAATCATCTGTAAAGAAGGAAAAGCCTTTTCAAAATAAATATTAGTGTAGATTTCTTCTTTCTTATTTTATTTCATCGTGGGTTCTTGCTACAAAGAATATTTTGCTTAAAAAATAGTTGTACTTCCTAAATTAAATAAGAAATAGCTTCATGTACTTTATCCTAAAAACAATACCATTTTCTAAAAATTTACATTGAAATCTACCAGGATTATTCTAAAAGGGATGAATATTACAGCAATATTCATAAGTTTAACTCAGTTCAAGGTTTATTTTACTTAGAAAATTTTAAATCACATTTCACAGAAAAGTTTGTATCTTCATTATATCAATAATGATTTTAAAATTAGAAAAATAAAGAATTACTTGGTATTTGATGTTTTTCTTATTTCAAAATGTAATTGCAAGGAAATGGTTTTAAAGTTTTAAATTTAAATTATTCCTAGAGTTTTAGAATCTTTAAAAACACCTTTATTTCTGAATGTTATTGAAACACTGTATTCTACATTCCAATCTCACTGCTTTTTAGAACAACTCATGTAACTTACGAAATTTTAAAGTCAACACCTAGGCAAATATTCCAAATGAATTTTATTTTACCCCTAAAGAGAAAGTCTCTAGAAAACTACTCCAAATGTTACTGAACTTTACATTTATCTGTATTTATATTTATGGAAGATTATTTTATATGACTATGTATCAGTAGCCCTAAGAAAATTAGTTTTGTACTCATAGTTACTGTCATACTCTCTGTTTTAATGACTTTTATTTTCTGAATATAATTTCTAGTGGCCTTTGTACCTACAACCTAAACAAATTTACATGGTTGCTTTTGATCACTTCAAATTATAATGACAGAACCAACTCTCAATGTTAATTGTTTAATAATTTATTTATGGACTGTGAGTTTCCTGTCAGTCTTCTTTGCTCAAATCTGCTATTTTCATTTGAAATTATATGATAAAGATAATATTTCAAATAACGTAACTGTTTGATCTAATCTTTATATGTTTGTTTATATAAGAAAGATGATTGAGAATTGACTTAACGTGGATGCTCAGTAATATGCTTAATGTTTAATTTTTTCCCCTTTTTCTTCTGTGACTTTTTTTCATAAAGAAAATGATAGTATCGATTTAACATAGCAACGGCATTTCTTTCTGTCCTAGCACCATCAAATAGCTTGGGTATTACTGCTCTGGGTTACTTTTGGCCAAGCCCCATGGCTTTGTTTGGACTTTATCATGATAACAATGACAATGTCACCGTCTTTATCTCTACCATTGGTGACAATAACCATACCACCATGCTGCTTTATGAGGCAATAACTTGGTTTTCTCATTTATCCACTCAGGAACTGGATTATTACCTCATAAAACAGTGTGATTGTACAATAATCAATTAAATCCTGGCTTGTCGAGACTCTTCAGAAAAAAAAAAAAAAACCCTTTTCCTAATGGTGGTTGGCAATAATTCCCTCTGTCTGAATTCATGGAACTTTGACTGCCAAGGTTATATTTTCACACTGATTACCTATTATCTTTCTTTCTTTCTTTCTTTCTTTTTTGCCTTGAAGCTGTTGCACACTGCTAAATCCCAAGAACTATCTTACACTGTAGAAGGACTGAAACCTTATAGGATATATGAGTTTACTATTACTCTCTGCAATTCAGTTGGTTGTGTGACCAGTGCTTCGGGAGCAGGACAAACTTTAGCAGCAGGTAAGCAAGTTTTAATGGATATGAAAAATCTGTTGCCTATCAAGAAAAAAAACTTATAATATTCAACACCTTCTCTACTTGAGACTTTATATTTGTCTTCTCCTCCCTCACTAACTCTGATTGCTTCTTACCTCAACAGTTTTAAACAACAACAACCAAAACGTAACTTAAAGAGGTACCTAGGAGCTACGAGTTACAGCTGTGTCATAATAAGAAATATAATTAGTGGTAGAGTGACTCCACTCTACAACTAGAAATATATAGAATATACAACTAGAAACATATACAAATATATAGAACTAGAAATACATAGAAATGTAATTAGTTGTAGCGTGACTCCAGGGCTTAACTACCAACCTGTGTCCTAGCAGTGTCCTGACAATTGTGAGAAACAATCAGGAAGCTTCTTATGAGGACGTTAGGATACCTCTTCCCTCAGTCCAGACATTTTTTGTAGGCTTGGCTCTACTCACTCCTGATCCATGGGAACATCTAGAAATTACTGTGTGGCCTGGTGTTATATTTGGCTTTCATGAAATAGGTAAATGTTTATCTATTGTTTTATTAAGAAGAAGCTTTTAAGTTAATAAAATTTAAATAAAAGAATTGTTATTAAGTATAATCTGAGTAGAAATGGTTTGTATAATTTGTGCTTGCTTCATTCAGGACTAACTGGATTCATACAAACCTGATTACATGTATTAGTAAGACTTATAAAACCCAATTATTTAGCATTAATATATTTTCAAATCAGTGTTTTTCTGATTCTAGATAAAAGCTTAGTTTCCTGGTTATCTTTAAAGAAATGTCCATGTGTAAGGAGGTTAAGACACTCTAGATGAATTACAGATATTACGAAAATTCATGTTTACCTGTAAAAACATTTCCTAGACCTCCTCCCCAAATCCCTTCATCCTATTATTAATAGGTCCAATTATGTAGGGTTTTTTTTCTGGTTCTGGAAAAAATTGCTTAGCTCAAATGATCTCATCCAAGTAATTTATTTTTTTCAAAATTTTCATTAATGCAAACAACTCTGAAATTCTAAGAAATTATGGTTTACTAAATTTATAACTGAACACTTTGTATTTTTATGTATTTTATAGATGTGCATTTCAGATGCATGAATACATTGATGGAGTACCTAGCTTGTACAAAACACTCTTCTCCTATAAAACTATCTGTTTTTGTATACTGTATTATTAAAGGTTTACTGAATGCTGAATATGGACAGCAGAGGAGGACTCTATCTCCTTTAAATGATACAATTTCAGACTAGAAGACAAAAATTAAAATAAGAATCAGTCTTACAAGTTGGAGAAAGTAAAAATGGAGACAACGGAGGGTGAAGACTGGGTGTGTTATAGTAGGGGACATAGGGATCCCAAGCACGTGGCCATGCAAAACTGGAATCACATCCTCTCAGGGTTGCAAAACATGTAAAAATAATCTAGTGTTACTATATAGCCAGTATCAATATATTCTTTGTAATATTCCCCCAAGTGTTCATCTAACCCATGTCTGATACCTTCAGTGTTACAGAAACTACTACGTCTCAGACAAAGCTATACCATCTTTAGATACCTCTTTTAGAATGTGATTTCTTAGATTGGTCAAAAATATCTCCTAGTAACTTCTACTCAACATTCTTATTCTACTTCCTTGGGGGCTGTCGTTAACCTAATTTATCATCCTTCCAATAACATTTTCAATAACATTATATCCACCCAAGTCTTTTCTCCTTTAGGCTGCATATCATGGTGGTTCCCATCTGAACCTCATATGCAATAGTGTCTAGAGCTGTTATTAGTATAATTCTTGTAGATGAGATCTAGTCTGCCTTTTCATAGATATAAGCAAACTAAAGAACCTGAAGAGAGACATGCCCGTCCCTAGAAACTAGCTGGATCATGGAGATGGGAATAGAAGAGCAGGAAACATGTCTACAGAATAGAATCTGCCTGCCCTATGCATTAGTGGTAACATCTGTGCTAATAGTATCCTCATTGGTTGCAGTGGCAAAATCCTGTTGCGTAAAAGATGATGTACCTGGGTGCTCTGTGCAGCTCTCATTTTAGTTACTGGTGAGGCGATTAAAACGACTCCTGTCCACTGGCAGGATTGTGAAGTAAAACTAACTAGTCAGAGCCCTCTGAATCCTCTCTCTATTTTTTTTATCCTTGAAAAATAGAACTGGAAACTTATATTCGCTAAAAGTCATGTGACGTGAAAGTTAGTTGACTTACAAAAATAAGAGTTTATTCATATATGTGAGGGGAAAAAAATGGTTAGCCAAAATGCCAGGGTTTCAATCCGGGCTCTGCCATTGACTAGCTGTGTGACCTTATATAAATTATCTAACCTCTGTGCCTTAGTTTTCCAATTTATAAATAAGCATAACTTATTTGTAGGGTTCTGATGAGGATTAGAATTAGTTAATACATGTAAAATATTTAAAGCAGTGCCCATCACAGTTCATTCTCAATAAAAATTTATTGTCATGATTTTTATCATAATATTATAGAAGACTTTTGTTAGTCACAGTATAAATGTTATGGAATTTCTAATGTTATCAAAATCAAGGAGAGTTTATTTTACAACTTTGATTTTCTAACATTATTATAAAATATAAAATGGAGAGTTCTAAAACTAAGGATTGTATTGTGAAAATAAAACTTAGAAAGGCTTAAAATCTGAAAGCATTATTTATTATTTCTGTAAGAAGTATGTCATTCAGAATTATTATGCACATTTCAAAACTTTGCTCAAAAACAGCAAATTTCACATTTGTTGGTTGCAATATAGAGTTAATAATGTGCCATAAATGTATTATTACTACATTTTATTGTGAATGCTCAATTCAGAACCATCTCTTGAGGGCTTACTATTTAAAGCACTGTGGAGGATTCTAAGATAATTATACTCAGCATTTGGGTTAAGGAGTTGAGATCCAACAGGTAGGATTAACACCATGGCGACATGTGCTAAGGGCTGTGAGAAAGGTGAAAAAAATGCTATGGGAAGGTAGAAAATGAGATAAATGATTTTGATTTGGGAGACTGAGTAGATACCTCATTAAATGCTATTTCAGATAAACTATAAAAGAATGGTAAAGACTTTCGCAGATATTTACTGAGCACATACAATGTGCTAGTTTCTGTTTTAGGGGCTGGCACTGTTCCAAGTACTGATGTAATGAAAGCAGAGATTTATGAAGACTTCCCTGGTGGTAGAGTACACAATAGATTAGAAGAGGGAGTGTAATAAGTGTCTGGTAGACTTTTTTAAAAAGGCAATAAGAGAGTAAATCAGACGAGTAGAAGTGAAGATTGAAAGAAGGGAATGGAGTGACTTCAAGGAAGACAGACCTGGAAGTTAAGCAGTGGGAAGGATGGACAATGATAGCAAATATTGCAGCCCATGGTGGTGCCATTAAATAAAAGGGGAAAGATGAACAAAGAACAGATGGGAGAAATAAACTCGTGAGTTTATTTGATCATTTGATAGAAACACATCCATGCCAATTATAACCATCCAGGAGCAGAAATTGCAAATCTGGGGCTTAAAAATGATGCAGATTTTGTATTCATCTGCATATAGATGGGAGCTAATGCTATAGGTTATAATCAATTAGTGAAAGCAGAGAAAATGCAAAATGGAAGCCCAAAGAAAACACCTTAGTGAATATTCTATCTGGGAAGAAAGAAGAAAGGAAGAGTGAAGTGAACAGAGGTATGGTCAGAATTAGGAAAAGAACTGAGAGGAAGCAGTATCAGAAAAGTCAAGGGAAGAGAGAATTCTAGAAGGAGAATATTGTCTGCAGTGTCATATGGTATAGGGAAAGCAAGAGAAATGTGACCTAAAATGGATGCGAGGTCACTGGTGACTCTCTGGGGATTACCCTAATTAGCATGGTTGAAGCAGAAGCTGGAACATGAAGGATTGAGCAGCGGCAGGAGGAGATATAGTGGTAAATTTCAAATGTGTTTTTTTTTTTTTATTCTTTGCTAAAATTTTTCTTCTACCCAATTTTCATTCTTCAAAAAATTGTATTACCTTTTGTTTCCATATAAAATCCTTTCTTTTCTAAAGAAAAATTTATTTTAGTGTTTGTTTTTTTCTGGAAAAAATGTTTATTTTCTAATTCCTTAATATATTTTGTTAGAACTATCTGATTCTTCACCTGCCCAGCAGAAAAAGAAAGTCTCTTATATGACAAAAGTATGGAAAAATAATTTTTACTTACAGTTGGGTTTATTATAAAATACATCATTTTTAGGGTTGTTCAGATCAGTGAAAATAAACTTATTTGCTTTTATTTGAATACCAGGAAAAAATTATAAATCCATCATTCTTTTTGCCTCCTTCCTTATTCAGTAGATGAATGTGTATTTCTAAATGTTTTTCCAAAACAAAACATCTGAATAGAAAGTATAGACATTAAATCATAGAAATACACTGCAGACCTATAATAAAGCCAGTTCTTTAGAATGGTCAACAATTTTGCTATAGGAGAGTAATAAAAGTTGACTTGCAACTTTACTGTTCATCCTGCTCTGTTTTTTCTACTATTAACATTGCAATTTGGAGAGTATATATTATTCCAATGAACTCCAATGGATTTGTGGGAAATTTAACTCTTATGTCTAATAGCTCATATGAGCTCATTATCAGACATCAATGGAAACGAGTGACCATTCAAAAATTTTGAAAAAGAGCACCACAAATTAGAAGTAGTAATTAGCCTTTTGGAAGCATTTGAATCATGAAAAGATATGTTGCCCCCTTAAATCTCGGTCTCAAAAATCAGAAAGATACTTGTGAAGATTTATCTTGCTGTTTCATTAAAAAGCTTGAGAATTATAATTGGCTCTCTCTTGTTTTAAACATTTTTTCAATTAAATATATGATTAGAATGGGTACATTTCATCCAGAGTATTGCACTGCTGCTTCTTTAGTTTCAATGCCTGTGACAAAGTCTGAGAACTGATTTGAGAGAGGTGTTCTCTCAGGAGCAGCTGCATCTCTCTCCATTGCAAAATCTTCAAGCAGTGTTATTAATGGCTTTGGAGTTGCTTCTGGGTGTATGAAGGTAATGAGTTGATGAACTGGGCCCTCTTAAAATCCTTGTTACACTTTTCTTTAAGATTCTCCTTTTAATCCGAGAAATTTGTGCATTTCCACCCATTGCAAATTGAGTTTAGTTTAAACCCTTCTTATGAGAAATTACTTTTGGAGATCCATTCCTGAAGGGACAATGTGATATTTCCCTTGCCTGTCATAAATTGACCTCCATACTACAAGCTTAGAAGTGCCCATCTCGCATAAAACAAGTAATTGGTGTGCATTAAATTTTCTTTCTGAATGCAAAGTAAAATGTATAGGCTGTTTGCTGCTGGGTTGAAAACACACATTGTTTTGCATTCGGGTACATAAGTCTTTTCCTTGTGAATAGGAGCCAGAGTGATTAAACAAGCACTCTTAATATGTTAATTTATAATTTTAATTACAACAATCTTGTATATATAGTCATTAGTGAATACTAATATAAATATTTTTCTACCTTTTTATTCATAATGCATAAACCAATCACCCAGTTACTTCTCTGAGGTTGCCTGTTTTTGTTTCATAATACAATCTTTGTTCTTAGTTATGAATGCATTTTGTTCATTCCTGTCTTCAATAATCCCTCATTAAGCTAGTCACTTTCTGCTCCATGCTAAAAAGGAAAAATTATCATGCAAATGTGGCATGCCATATTAAAAAGCACATTACCAAACACTTTTGTTGCTGTCCTTCAATTAGTTTCCCTTCTTTGAATTTAATTCCATTTGTTGTTAAACTACTGACTTGATGTATGGACTCATGAATCTGAGGCTGCTGCCAAGAAAGTGGGGAAAAAAAATCAAAGCCTCTTCGAAGAGCTGCAGAGGCGAGCTGAAATGAATTTGCTTCACCTTTGACAAGAACACTTGAACAGCATTGGAATCCTCTGATGATTCAACTTGGCTAATTATCCAATTATTTATTTCAAGAATAAAGGCACCATTTTACAATTAAGGAAGTGTAAAGTAGTCTGAGAAATTTGGTAATGACAGATGACTTAAGTAACTTCTAAGATAAACAGTATCTGTGCAAAACTTGTCCCACCAATTGTTTTCAGGCAGCAGTTGGTGTGTCTTAGCATCAGTGAAATCCTGAGTACACTGAAGGTTTTTTGTTTGTTTGTTTTGCTCTTTCAACAGAAATTATTTTACACTTGTAACCAACATGTCAAATTTCCATGGCTCTTAAGCAATGTTTAAGTTATATTTCTCTTGATTAAAAGCTTTCGGTTCAAAGCAATACTTTTTAATTGCCTAATGATATAAGTCAGTTCTTAGGAAAGAACCGCACATTTAGGAGTTCATTTGCAATATAACTGAAAAATTCATTGCATGGCAGTAAAACAATTTACTGTTAATTACAAGGAGAAGAATTTGCTGTAGCATGCTCGCAGATTGCCATGAATCATGCAGCACTCCTAGAGATTTATAACAGATGTGTAAATGGGATGAATTAGCAGGGTTTAATAACAGAGACACAAATCATGCAGACTTCAAGGAGCTTTAATTGATATACTAGAATGTGACGGGCATGAATCACTCAGCCATTCAACAGCACTGTAACATATGGTCAGCTCAATATGCCGCATCTTAAATCGGTTGGTGAGTCGTAGGTTGTCCCATATGGTGGAAGCAATACATTTTTCATGATTAAAAAAAAGAATCCATTTTTTAAAGAAATATGATTGCAAAGCATGTTATTGAACAGTCTTCTGAATGCCAAACTGCTTTTTTTAAATGCTTTTTTTTTTCTTTAACATGGCAGCTTCTCAAAATAAATAGGGGCTACTCCTTGTAATACCAGATCGCTGGAGGCATTATAAGAACCAAATCGGTGCTTGTTGGCACACTCGATCCACAGCAAGCCTATAGAAAAGCGCAGCTGATGATTGCTGTGATTGTCAGGGAAATCCTTCAGGCTGGGGCAAAACAAACAAATGAAAGGATGATGTCACTTTCAGAGAAGTTCAGGAATGCCCAGCTTTGTAAATTGAAGAAAATGAGTTGGATGAGAGATCCCTGCTTAGCAGGGTAAGAAAGTGGCTGTGATAAATAATACCATGACCCCTAAGGTAACAATTGGATGTAACATTTTATACTAACTTCTTAATTAAATGCTCAGTCCTACAGGGGCATGTGAAAAGAAGCACTGGCTGGTCATCACATAGATGGTAGCACCAATTCCAAGTCATTCTTGAAGAATTATTTCAGTATCTGCAAACAGGTACCCTGGTTGAAGACTGGTAACTGGTAGTGTGCAAACATGTTTTTATTGGAACTGGGATCTGGCAGCTTTTGGAAAAGCTTTTGCTGCATTAGTAAATCTGACAGACTTGAAAAAGGAATATTGCAGCCTTAGAACTGTGGCTGCCAGAATTTAATGTCAACAATTAAAATTTATTTTGATCCTTACCTAGTGTTTATTACTGTTTGTATACACAACAGACCTTACTAATACAGAGATGCACTATTAGATGGAATTACCATCTGTTCAGAGTGAAATGCTGGCATCTGTCTTAGATGCTAAAACTAAAATGATATTATTTCTAACAAAACAAAATTAACTGCTTTTTACTCACCAACTTTAATTTGTAGTGTGTAGTTGTATCCAAGGAAAAGGCTTGATTTTGAACTATGTGATGACCTCTGTGGCCAGGTCTATATTTAGATATGCGACTTTATCAGGGGCTCTACTGGCCTTTTTGGCATATGAAAATGGCATGTAGAAATCACACTTTCAATACACAATTATAGCTTCATAATATACTATGTATCCTATAAGTCATTAAAACAACACAACCAAGCTATGTAAAAATTGACTGAATCAGAGAGACTCTACTATGCAAAATATTTTGACAGATACGCCCTAAAAAACTGCAAGGAAAGAAATTAAATAGGCAAAAAATCATCTGAACAAAGTTGCTATAGGTCCCACAGTGACATCTTTAGGAAAATACAAACTGTATCTTTCTTCTCTGTTAGACTATTTTAAATTTTCTCCCACATGGACATATATAAAAAATTTACATTCAGTGCCCCCTCCTTTTAATTTAAAGCCTAAGTATCCTATTAAAATAGGTCTTTAGCTTTTGGAAGTTAGAGAATTTGGAGGATCAAGGACAATGGTAGTTTCCATACTGATGTTAGATCAGTGACGCTACTTTCTGAGAAGCCAGACTTCTATTCTATATATCACAAAATAATAAATTGTGTCACACCAGCATTTAATGCATGTACACAGTGCATTAACTGTAACTGTAGTACATTTATTTGTGCTGCAGGAGACTTGAAAATGATGAAGAAATCGATACTTTGCTGTCAGAGAAGCAAGTGTTACGATGCATTTAAGTAGTTAATTGCATAAGCCCCATAAAAGCTTCAAGTTTGGGTAGCAAGGATGCCATAATTACAGTCTGAGCAACTACCTTTTATTAGTGGTGGACTTTAGGGAATGGTGGTTGCTGTCATCATTGCTGCTATATGTGCAGTTTAGAAATAATGGATCCTCTTCTCTCTTCATGTGTAGGATGGTAGTTTTGTGCAAATTATTGTGATCGCCAGAACAATAACTGGTTAAGGTAGTGTTTGTTCACCATGTTCACTGAACTTCTCTAAAAGCAGGGTTTTCTTTATGTCACAGAACACATAGACAAATCATATTTGTATGCCATGCTAAGGTAAAGGAACAAGGTGGCTGAGAGCTGAAGGGGATAAACCAGAGGGGCTCCTGCTGGCTTCCCAGGAGCAAAGGGGATCAGGATGTCTGGTACCCATTCGTGGCTTATGAACTTAGAAGTACTGTTTTAAATTATTCAACCAAAGAATTTTGAAACTGGAAGAGGTCCTAGACATAATCAAGCCTGTCACTCTAACAATTGAAGTAACCGAAGAATAGAGAGACCTAATAATGGATTAACCAATGTTCCATAATCAGGGTCTTAAAGAGCCAATCTAGAGCCTACATTTTCTCCTTTCCAGATCTTCTAGTAATATCCTCTCCTGAAGGTGACTTGTCAACAAAGAAGAAAGTGGCAAAATATATTTTATTCTTTCTTCCCTGGTCAGATAATAGACAGTCAACAAGATGATGCTGAGTCACCCCTGAGAGTTTCGGGGGAAAACTTTTCCTCTTTAAGACACTGATTGGTGAGCAGCTGATTCTGCAGCAGTCTCTCTGCAACAGAGAAATCAGGGCTCATGACCTGGACTTCTTGTTTGCGTCCTGGTCCAGTGCCCTTTTGCAAGTGTTCTGGCCTAGCAGTGTTTGGCAAATTGTATTTCCTGGCATAGTTTTGCATTTCTGCGAAAAAGTCAAAATCATATTCTATTGACAGGGTGCTTATTAAGAATGTCTTATGTAGTCTGCTCCCCACCCACCCCTGAAACATAGAAAAATTGTTTATTCTTAAATTCTTGTCATCATCATAGAAAGCTGATGATGCTTTAAGATATTGACACAGCCATACAGTCTTCATAGGCAAAAAATGAACAGATTCCTTAAAAACAAATGAACAGATTCCATTTTAAAGACCAGTACCTCAGAAGAGCTTTGTTCAGCTTTTAGTTCTTATCCTATGGTGCTCAAAATGCTACACTACATAAATTTTGCAAGTCTAAATGTATTCATTTGGATATACTACTAATTATGTTATAAAGTAATAAATGCTGCATAAAGAATGCATATTATAACATTTTATAAAAATATCTATACATCGAATAGATAGACAAGAAATTAGATTACCCCTATTAAAAAATACAAGTGCTATTTTAAAAGTACAAGAATTTTGTACTTTTATTCAAATAGACATTTTATTCTTAGAAATGATGGATAATGAACATTCATTTTAAACTTTGTATATTATCCTTAGAAATAATGAATATTGAAGATTCGTTTTAAACTTTACATTTACAAGAATTTTCTGGGTAAATACAGATAGATTTTGAATATAGATGAATTGTATTCCTTAATCATACATAATTTGAAAGATTTGTTCTTGTAATGATAGCACCTTATATTTGTATAGAAACTTGTTTTCTAAAACATAAAGCAAATATGTATATTGTTGTAGAAGCAATTGTTGTCAATGTATGTCACTGAAAATGTATCCTCATGTTGCAGATGGGAAAGTGGGAGCAGATATAAAGGGATTTTTCTAAGATCACACAGATTTAGACATTAAAAAGTGAAATATAATTTTTAAAAGTCTACCAAATCCCTTTCATTATTCAGTGTTGTCTCTTAACGAACTGTTTTGTAAATTAACAAATCTTTAAAAGTCATATCTACTTTTACCTATAGTTCCTTTTCCTTGAAAATCTGACGAATAATTCATCATTACCCCAATCTCTTGGTGATTCTATGTGCATGTATGTGTGTGTGTTTAATGGTTCAGAAGTATCTATTTTTCTTCTTATTCTACTTGTGTGTATGTGAGACCAGTCTAGTTTAATTGATTGACAATTTCACTTAATTCCCCCTTCCAGCCTTAGAAGAACTCTGAAAAGAATAACTCAGTAGGATGTTCACCCTTTCAAACAGGCTTAGTTGACTCCTCCATGTGAAACTGTAAAACACACCTACTGGAATGTTTTTTGTTTTGTTTTTCTTTTAAGCAAGAGAATAAAAAATGTACTCTAGTTCTATTCATTCTCAGGAATTGACTTCTAAAGGACAGTCCCATTGCTAGATGGAATAATTCCTCTGGGAATCAAGAAGTGCTCTACTACTTAAAGTTTAAATGGTAAACATTAACTTTAATGGACTCTCAAGAATTTCCCTATTGATTAGAATCACTTTGCCAAATTAAAAAAAAAGTGTGCTCTAATTTTCAATAATTATTACACAAAAACGACAGAGTTGCCAGAATTCCTTTTGTTTAGTTTTGTTTCCTATTACTCTTAATCTATATTCCTGTTTAAGACGTAATTTTTGGATTATGCTACTGATGGGGGAAGGAATTTGATTTCTGTGGTGGTGCTGAGCTTCAACATTATCTCCATTGAGTTGAGTGGTTGGAGTAAAGTAGAGATGTATCAACTTTCAAACAAATGGGACCTGGAGAAAGGCTGCTTTCAAACAGCAATGAAATTCTTCAGCTTTTAAGAAGCATAGGAGGCATATTCATACTTCTTCTCAACATTTAGTTAAAATGGAAATCCTATCCTCAACACACCAAATATGTATAATTTGTGATGCTCTGTCTACATCTTTGGTGTCCAGTATGGTAGTCATGAATCATATGTGGCTATTTAAATTCAAAATACAGTTAATTAAAATTAAGAAATTTGACATTCAGTTTCTCATTCTCACTAGCTACATTTCAAGTGCTCAATAGTCTTATTATAAGGCTAGTGGTTACCGTATTAAACATTACAGTCCTAGAACATTTCCTTCATTGGAGAAAGTTCTATTGGACAGTACTGGTAAAGTAGTTTTTGGCTATTGGATATTACTAGGTTAGTAGTTTATGAAACTAAAAAGTTCAGGTTTCTGTGTCCCAAAACCCTAGGGAATCTAGCAAATTTCAATTTAAACATTATGTAATTGGTTCTCCATTGCTTCCCTGAGCCCAGGACTAAAAAATCTTTGGCAGCTTTCCTTTCCTAGTTGAGATTATAGCCAAGAATGGCCTGCTAAAATCTTAATACAAATATGTAACTCTAAACTCTGAAGAGAGACTCTGGGTGAAGAAATTTCTGAATGGCTTAGCCTTTTATTTTGTTTTGGATTATTTTGAAGTGAGATCATAACTTGTAGAATGAAATCTTTGAGAACCTACCATTTAACTGATTTTTAGCAGAAAAAAATGCTAAGAGAAATTATGCATATAATTCACAGATTCATACATATATAAAAATAAAATATCACATGGGCTGCAGTGGCAGAAAATAACCAGAATTGTTAATTATCCTTCTAACTTGATGAACTTTTTGCTCAGTGCCTTTTCTTTTTTACTAAAAGTTAAAATAGAACCAAAATGAATTGTTTCTTTTTGAAAAGCTGGCCGAAGGTCTAAAAAGTAACAAATACTAATTGTTCTAAGCTGCTTTACGGTGAATTTCCTTTCATGGTTTAAGGGCTTCAATTCTTATATCCACATCATTTTGATTTATATTTATTGAAACAGGCAATGACTTTGCGTCTGTGTATGGCTGTGTTAACACAGGTGTAAATTGAAAGTCCACAGATGTAGTTTGGGCCCTTAATAAATAGGCTCGGTGATTATGACATTTGTTCCTTTCTCCACATTCACCTCTCAAATCCAGCAGACATACTTAAAGGGGGAATAAATCTCAGCTCACAAACTCAACTGTTTAAGGGAAAAAAAAATCAAACCAAAACAAACCTTCATTTTCAATAAATCAGCTGTTAATCTGAATGAGCAAGTTGTAGGGAAAACCTTAATCTCCGTGACTCCTAGGGTTTCCCAGGAACCTTCAAAGAATTGCCAGTGTCCCACCACCTGAAAGGATGGCAAGGTCCCAGTGTATGCAAGGGCATGAGGTCACTACTGCTCCAAGGCTAAGCCCACTGCTGGTGGTGGGGTCACTTCAGGGCCAGGGTGCTCTCTAGGACCAAGAGGCTGACCAAAGTTAGTTGCCTGGACCGTTGTGTGTAAACTGCTGAACTCACAGGCTTGTTATTTTGTGCTGATGCTCTGTTTAACATTCAGAGTGCTATTGCTTGTTTGCTTTCATTTAGATCAGTTTTTAAGCTTTAAAAATAGAAAATAGCGTATAAAAGGAGCTTTTTTGACCAAAGAAGATATACAGATGGCAAATACACATATGAAAAATGTTCTATATCATATGTCATAAAGGGAAATGCAAATTAAAATAAGATACCACTACACACCCATTAGAATGGCCAAAATCTGGAACACTGACAACACCAAATGCTGATGAGGCTGTACAGTAGAAGGAATGCTCATTCATTGCCAGTGGGAATGCAAAATGGTACAGCCACTTTGGAAGACAGTTTGGCAGTGTCTTGAAAACCAAACATGCTCTTACCATATGATACAGCAATTGCACTTCTTGGTATTTACTCAACGGAGTTAAAAACACAAAACCCTGATATATAATTAGATGTACACATATATATGCACATCATAGCAGCTTTATTCACAATTGCCAAAACTTGGAAACAACCAGGATATTTCATCAGTAGATGAATGAATAAATAAACTGTGATAAACTATGCTACATCCAGACAAGGGAATATTATTTAGCATTAAATGAGCTAGCAAATGATGAAAAGACATGAAGGAAACTTAAATGCATATTACTCAGTGAAAGGTCAGTCTACAAAGGCTACATGCTTTATGATTCCAACTATATGACTTTCTGGAAAAGGCAAAACTACGGAGATGAGTAGTTACCTGGGGTTGGGGGGAAGGAGAGATGAATAGGCAGGGCACAGAGGATGTTTTGGGTAGGGAAAATTTTCTGTGTAATAGCATAATGATGGATGCATGCCATCATACATTTGTCCAAACCCAGAGAAGGTAAACACCACGTGTGAGCCCCAATGGAAACTATGTACTTTGAATGAAAATGATGTGTCAATGCAGATTTATCTACTGTAGCAAATGAACCATTTGGGTGCCGGATGTTGATATTGGAAGAGACTGTGCATGGGTGGGGAGATATGGTAGAACTCTGTACCTTCTTCTCAATTTTTCTATGAACATAAAACTTCTCTTAAAAATTAAGTCTACTGGGCGTAGTGGCACCTGTCTGTAGTCCCAGCTACTTGGGAGGCTGAGACAGGAAGATTGCTTGAGCCCAGGAGTTCCAGGCTGTAGTGAGCTATCATTATGCCTGTGCATAGCCACTGCACTCCAGCCTGGGCAACAATGTGAGACTCCATCTCTAAAAAAAAAAATAAATAAAGGTTACCCCTGGCACATTGCCTATGGTGTAGCCGTGCTCCACAGGAGCAATCAAAAACAAAAATAATGAAAGTCTTTTTAAAAATGACTTTCTGATGTATTTTTACACAAGCACAAAGTTTTGGCAAACTCGTGTTAATATTCCTTCATTACCCATTGGTTGGCACGGATTATGCTTTGCCTGTGTAAATTACAGCACGGAGTTGATGCCTCTTTAAGGCAAGGGGCTCTGCCCTATGGGTTTAGTGCTAGTCATTGGCTGTAGGTTTCACTGCGGGATCCTGTGGCTCCTGGGTGAGGCAGCTCTTACTCAGCCAAGGGAAGTTCTACGCAGAAGGGGGCAGCCATGAGCCATCAGAAACCAACGGGCACAGAAACTGGGCCATTGGGGTACCTGCTTGGTAGAGGGACTGTGGTTGGGGCACCACCCAGAGTACAGCAGCTACTATAATATATAAGATCTATTATTTAGCTAAAAAGAATAGAGAAGTTATTTTCAAGAAAAAATTTAATTTGAAAGTTTTGTGTGTAGTATATTGGCCATTTAAATTTTGTTTCACTGCATTTAAGATAAACTCTATATTGTGTTTTCAGTTCCTAGAGCCATACAGATACTTGAAACCACAACTGATTTGATTTGAAGTGTGATATATACAAATACATATATACGTATATGTGAATATGTGTGTCTAGAGACAGAAACCAAATTCTTGAATATAACAGGTGTTTTCTAATATTTAGCACCAGCACAACTGAGGCCACCTCTGGTTAAAGGAATCAACAGCACAACAATCCATCTTAGGTGGTTTCCACCTGAAGAACTGAATGGACCCTCTCCTATATATCAGCTGGAAAGGAGAGAGTCATCTCTACCAGCTCTGATGACCACGATGATGAAAGGAATCCGTTTCATAGGAAATGGGTATTGTAAATTTCCCAGCTCCACTCACCCAGTCAATACAGACTTCACTGGTAAGTGTGTTTGACATTGCTTTATTTAGGAGACACGAAGCTCCAAAATGTTTTCTATATTTTCATATCCCTTTACAATGAATTTTTATTATACCTACTTAGAGAAATACTAATTCAGCCCTTTGATAGCTTTTGCCTGATTGTTTCAGCATGTCCATCTTTTTAGAATTCTGGGGAAAAAAGTCAGGTAAGTGAAGGAAAGGAAAAATAAAAGATGAAGATGAAGAAGCAGCCTTATTGGATCAAAGTATGTGCTTTGTATTTGTCTTTTTGTGAAGTATGTGCCAGGACATGTTTCTTGAAATATTATTCACTGTGTTCTCTGAGCAAATGAGTTTGCAAAATGCCCTCATGCTATTGGAGATTCTCAGTATGCACCCCGTTACTGAAACTCCAAAAAGCATTGTAAGAAAGCTATTCAACTTTGCTTAGCTAATCATGCCTAACAGATATTTGATGTAATGTTTTCTTTTTCTTTCTCTTGCTGTTTCCTTCTTCTTTTTTTCACTGTGACAACTTAATATCTCATGTTCTATGAAGAACATTGTGGGGAAAACTAATCCCAGGGAAAAGATAACTTCTCTAAGCCAGGACTATGGTAAAGCAAGTGAGGCTCTTGTTTCGGTCACAAAATTTAAAGGCACTAAAAAACTCAGTGTTAATGTAAATTTTAATGCAATATTTTTAAAAATGAAAATCAATGTGAAAGCACTATAAAAATATTATCAAAAGCTTAAATAAAGACAGATTGAACTCTGTACCAGCACAATCCTGCCTCACTGGCCTTACCCTCCTCCTGGCCTTACTAGTACCGCAATATTTTGGAAGTCCCATGACCTCTGTGACTTACAGCTTCTAATAGCATGATTTCAATATAGCTGTAAAAAAACTCTACTTATGGTACACCATTTTTCCAATTTTTAAAAAAATTTACAAAGTATAAGATATATATTATTATGTAAACTCATAAAGATGTTCATTTAATCATCCATGAGAAAGTCATTTTGGAGCAAATAGCTAGTCTTTAAAATATTGCATATGTGAAGACAATGAAATGGAATTCGAGCTATAAAAATTTGTATTGTTTTATTTTTACTTAAAATAGTAAATAGTTTGCTTTTCATTGAGACTGGCTGCTGATGCACCTTGGTAATGAATCATGATTATATTCTAACTGAGATATATTGAGATTAATGCATGATTAACTACTCTCTCAGTACATCAAAATCATTGCAGAGTATTAGAAATTGAACCATTGAGCTAAAAATGCTCAACTTCTGCTTTATATTCTTAAAATGGCAAAAAAGAAAAGAAAAAAAAGGTAAGGAAAAGGAATACATGAATAATAGTAAAACTCTTTTCTCAAATGAAAATGGAAACTACCTCCCTGATCCAATATTTGGCTTGAGATGTGTTTCTTCCAAGAAATAGCATCCGTTTCCATTCAGCTGGGCATAGCTGCTGCAAGGATGTCAGCTTGGATTTGCAGGCTAGCCAGCAGACAGATTTTTGATGGGATCACCTACTGTTGTTGCAGTGAAAGATAGAATGGCCCGTCCACCGTTAATAAATTTGGTCATCCTCGCTATCTCCCTTGCTGGCCTTATACTCTGAGGTGCAAGGGCTAGGGGCAGATGCAGTGTCTGGGAAGTTTTCCAAATTCCTCTTTAAAAAAGTTAGGCTGTAAACACTGGCCTCACTAAGCAGGATCCTTCTGTCTATAACAAAGCCTCCAGCTGCACAGAAAATATGCTTGGAGTACACACCATTTGAAGGACAAGGCAGGGAGATCACAATTTTGGCTTGAACTACTCCCTGGAGCTTTGGTGATTCCTGGAGAATGAGAAGTTCTTCTGTGTTCAGGCATGTTCTGGGACATTGCTGATGCCCTTTTTAGTGGTAGCTTGGCTTTACTTTTAAGACCCCTTTAACTTTTAATATAACCATGTATATACTAAGTTATTGGTTTGATCCTTTGGCTGACTTGCCAGGTTTGGCTGAATGATTTTATTGAGTTGTACCGAAGCCTAACTAAATGTACCCAATTAATGAGCTAGGACAGGTTTTCAAAACCAACTCAATAACTTTCTGTAAACTTGCATCTTTCCTAAATAGAGAGGTAAGCATATAATTAGCATCTTACATTATTCTTACTGATATATTATCCTATTTAATCCCTCTGCAACCCTATAAAGTAGCTCTTTTTACCCTCGTAGTACAGGAGGAAAAGAGGCTCCAGTGAGTGACTTGCCCATTGTGCCACAGCTATTGAATTTCAGGGTGGAAACGTGAATTGGAGCCTTCCAAATTTAAAGGCAAGGTCTCTGCTACAGGGTGGAAAGGAACTTTTGTAGACTGTTCTTTGGAAGTGATAGAATAGGAAGTATACAAAAGTAAGAAAGAGGGATAGGAGGTGAAATAATTATCACCCAAATATTCCTTATCTGACACTGCTAAACTTTTTGGATTTGTCTTTCAGTTAGTTTCAGCTCACAAACAGCAAGTAGTGTTGGCATTATTTATTCATTTATTTGTATCCCCAAAGACATGTAGGCATCAGGTTTTTTTTTAATAGCAATTAAACCCAGAGTGTTACTAGAAGCTAGATGTTTAAAATATAAATAACATTATGTGAAATGGGCTGAAGTGTTATGCGTTAAAACAGTGCTTTCAACTCACATTCCTTTATATTTCATTCAGTTTTTATATTCTGAGGCAAATTTAATGAGCAAATCCTTGAAACCTCTAATATGATGAATTACATTTTAAAAGTTAATAACTTTAAGATAAACTAAGATGTCCTTTGTTTTGAATTATTCAATTCAAAATCTCAAACTTCAACTAAAATGACTTCTGAATAGAAATATCAATTAGTACTCAAATACAAATATAAGGTTGATGTACATAATTATACATATTTTATATATGAAAAGATAAGTTAGATTGTACCCATCAATGACAGGAATTATAAACGCATTCATAACACATTTCATGGCCATGAACATTATGTTGCAAGTCTCAGTAAGAAATATCTCATTATTGTAGTACAAGAAAGGGATCTCTTACACAACTTATGCCTCTTTCATATTTGCTTTAAATATTTTTATCTTACACAATAGAAAGAGAATAATTCAAGCATATGAATATATGTCCTAAAATGTTGTTTAATATTGTAAATTACCAAGCTTAATACTGTAAATAAACCCTGTCAATATCTACCTTTGGGCAGAATAAAGAACCAGATAAAGCTATTTTGGGACCTATTTTTGCTTCCTTTTCTTTTCTGATACAAGTGTTCTTTTAAAAAATCTAATCTTCAGGAAGAATGTATTATCAGTCATTTACATCATAGTTTAAATTTAAAATAATTAACTCTCTGTATATTATTATGAGGACTTCGAAGAAGATTAACTGATAAATTACTTTCAAATCCAGGCCCCATTATTTATTAGCTAAATGTAATTAGACAACTCATTTAATCATTTTTTGTGCTTCTGTTTCCTTTTCTTTAAAATTAACATAATTCCACTGACAGTATTGGTATCTAGCAGGTAGGTGAGGATTTAAAGTAGATAGCCCACCTAATGAACTTTGCACAGTGCCTACCACACAGATTATTTAGTACTCATTAAACATTAGCTATTAGTTATTATTCATTTAATAAATATTTATTAAGTGCCTACTATGAGACAGGAGCTTTCCTAAGTGAGAGTATTCTGCAGTTATAAAATCAGCATTCTATTAATTTATTTGCTGTTACACATGCAAAATATGTTTGCTCAAATGTTATATCTAGGGCATGAGTAATATGCAATATTCCATATTAAAATGTGATACTTAATTTTGCTATTGAAAATAGTAAAATTAATTGACTTAGTGGTGAGGACTTGGGCAAACTACTTTTCTGAGTGTCTAATCTTGCTCATCTATTAAATTGAGGATTTTGTTGCATGATCAATGTTCTAACCTCTAAAATTCCAATTCTGTGAACATAGAATGTTTAGGAGGCCCCACAATCCAAAATACAGGCTGTAATCATGGCATCTGTGAGTTAAAAAAACACCTAGAGTTTAAAATAAATTGTTTTCTATAATATTTTGTTTATTAATACAATTTAAGATTGATACAAATTTACTGCTTTTCTCTAATAATTTAAGAAATTTAGTGATATGGGCAGAGTTCAACATAAAATAGATATTCAATTATTGGGTCATATCAGATGTTATAAAAAAAGCAGAAAATTAAAATAGTTTCGTGATCTTGTAATTGGGCAATGATATAAACAATCATGGTGAAACAGTGCCCCAGTTACATGGGGTTAAAAATACTTTCTTCTTCCAACACAGAAATAGCAAATAGAGCCTCCCCTCCCATATGCAACTAGAAGGGGATATCATTGTGCCTTTGGAGAGAAAAAAAAATCATGCTCGTTTTTTTCAGGAATGCAGAGTAAATCTACTTGATTTATACAAAGAATTTAGTTCTTTCCTTGTAATGCTAGTAATCCAAGTGGAACCTGGTAAAAACAGCAAGTAAAATACTGCTCAGATTGGCATTCCAAAGGTGACCCTCTTTCTCCTTGTCACTTATTTTTTCCTATTAGCGAAAACAGGTCCATGATCATTTGGGGGAAGGTTTGACTATTGTAGTATCCAGATGCCAATCACACCAGCCTTTTAAACTGCCTTTACTGGTGACCCTGCCCAGAAATCAGGAACTGCCTTTGGGGAGATCTTTGTAGCAAACCACTGGGGAGATGAGCACACACATGCACCTGGATATAATTCCCTTTTATTTGTCTTCACGAGAAATGTGATTACTGATGTTGAATATCTTGCAGATGAGAACTCTATACAGTTTCTTCATAATAATGATGTTCAAGGACACTAAATGATTGTCATACATTTTTGTATCATAGTATTCACCTTCCCAAAAATGGTTGAACTAAAATGCTTTAGAATACGAAATGCAATTAATTACCAAGGGATGAAAAAAGAAATGCAACCACCAAAAATCAATATGTTTAAGAGCATATTCTTTATTTCTTTTACTCCATAATATTTATGCCTTATTGTTATTAGTCTTCTTATTTTTAGTGAATTGGGACATTTAAGCACTTCATTAAAAGAAAGCTGATTATAAGCATTTATAGTGAAGGTGCAAGTAGGGCAAACTTCTTCAGATAGACTAATTAGTAAAAGCATATTAATTCTGACCTTCAACACCCTTGGTGTCCCACTATTTGTTTTCCTTGGAGTGGGAGCAAGTATTTTGACAGAAAGCGCTTGAAAAAAATAAAAAACAAAACAACTAAACAAAACCCCAGTTCTTTTCAAGACAGATTTAAATCACAAATTTTACCTAACCTTTGATGTTAGATTTCAGCCCTAGTTATTGAAAAACAAATATAATAATCTACTATGTGTCCTAGAAGTTTAATGAACAGGCAGTAATTATACTAAAAAAGTAAAGGAAAGAGTAAGAACATGGTATGTGGCAGCAAAGTAAAGGAGAAATAATTCTCAGGCAGTGACAAAACTCTGCTGTGTTTTCTGATTATGAAACAATCAGAAGAGATGAGAATGGTTGAGTTAATCAGTTTGGACTGAGGACAAGGATCAAAATGCATATCTTCTTAGAATAACAGAAGTCACACTGACTCATGATAACTAGAGATATGGAGATGTAAATGTCAAGACTGTTTATTTTTTATTATATTTAGTAGAGAGGTATAAGTAAGTTCTCAGGAAATGCCTTCAGGTGGCATTGATGGCACTGCGAGATGGGAGAGGACCATTATTTCCCCATTCATCAACTACATCATAAGACCAATTTAAGAATGCATGTGTTTTAACCCTTGCCTTTTAAAAGTGACTTATTTTGAAGTACATTCCTGTAAGTCTCCCTTTTTTTTGAAATATTAATGTTAGGTAACTGGTAAGCTGAGCCAACACTGAAAACAAACTGTTTTTGTTAGCTGTTAGCAGTATTTTAGTTAACTTAAAGCATCTGTTTTTGTCCATCACTGTTAAAATTTTTCAAAATGCATTGTCACCTGATATATAAACCACACGTGTGTTCCTATATACTCATCCCACATGCATAAACATATGTTTTCCAGAAGGTCTCTGGGTTTTCCGCAACCACTCAATGGGTTCTCCTTGCCCACTGCCTAGACAGAGCCAGTTTATCAAGACAGGGGAATTGCAATAGAGAAAGAGTTTAATTCACATAGAGCCTGCTGTATGGGAAACTTGAGTTTTATTATTACTGAAATCAGTCTCTTGGAGAGTTTGGGGATCAGAGTTTTTAAGAGTAATTTGGCTGGTAAGGGGTTGGGAAGTGGGAGTGCTGATTGGTTGGGTCGGACATGAAATCCTAGGGAGTCAAAGCTGTCCTCTTGTGGTGAGTCAGTTCCTGGGTGAGGACCACAAGATCAGATGAGCCAGTTTATCAATCTGGGTGGTGATAGCTATTTCATGAGTTAAGGGACTGCAAAATATCTCAAACACTGATCTTAAATTTTCCAACAGTGATGTTATCCCCAGGAGCAATTTGGGGAGGTTCGGAATCTTGCAGCTGGAGGCTGCACGGCTTCTAAACCATCATTCCTTATCTTGTAGCAAATTTGTTAGTCATACAAAGGCAGACAGGTCCCCAGGCAAGAAGGGGGTCTATTTAGGGAAAAGGCTGTTACCATCTTTGTTTCAAAACTAAATTGTAAACTAAATTTTTTCCCAAGGTTAGGTCAACCTTTGCCCAGCAGTGAACAAGGACATATTAGAGTTTATAAGTAAGATAGAGTTATTTAGGCCAGGTCTCTTTCACTGTCATAATTTTCTTAGTTATAATTTTTGCAAAGTCATTTTCATTTCTATATAGTCTCAAATATACCTGCTCAAATTGTCCAGTGTCTTTTCTGCCAGTATGTTGGCATTTTGGAATCTTTTCAAAGACTTCATTGCTTAAAAAAAATGCTGTTGCTTAATGATATTTTGTATCAATATAACACATTAATTTTAATTTCCCCTTCATTCAGCTTAAATGGGTTGGAAAAGGAACTTTGAGCAGAAAAAGAATCATAATTGGTCAGCAATGGTAGTGAAACTAGCACCTTTGAAGATGATTGATTTTTGATTTAGTAAGATGAATTATTTTGTGTATGTTTTCTTGAAAAAAATTAGTTAAAACATTTAAAAATGTATAGTTATAGTTATTTTATACCAGTTACAGCACTCTTGAAGTGTATAGATTAAGTTCCTTTCTATTCAGATAGAGAGGAATCTGGGAACATCATTGTCAAAATGCCATCTCTTTCAAAACTTGGTTCCAGTGCTCTAAAGAAATGTTTTAGAAGATTATGCACTAATGTTACTGGCGGCAAATTCATATAGATCTGTAGCCACCTCAATTTTTGCATTCTCAGAAGAAAGAATTTGATTGAGGGGACATAAGGCATATTAAGAGACCAAGACAAATTTTAGAGCAAGAGTGAAAATTTATTTAAAAATTTTAGAGCAGGAATGAAAGGAAATAAAGTATACTTGGAAGAGGGCCAAGTGGGTGACTTGAGAGATGATTTGACCTTTACTTGGGGTTTTATATAATGGCATGCTTCCGAGGTCTTGCGTCCCTTCTCCCCTGATTCTTCCCTTGGGGTGGGCTGTCCAC
Source organism: Homo sapiens (assembly GCF_000001405.40). Taxonomy (NCBI): domain Eukaryota; kingdom Metazoa; phylum Chordata; class Mammalia; order Primates; family Hominidae; genus Homo; species Homo sapiens. Next base: position 216,167,580 of record NC_000001.11, on the reverse strand, counting down.
GTGTACAGTAGTCTGCCAGCAATTGGGAGAAGTTGAATGTCCAGTGTGTTTACTGAAGTTATAGGCATGCTCACTTAAGGCATGTTTCCTTGCCAGTTAAGTGTTCCCAGAAGGTCATATACCGGTTAAGCGCCAACATTTTGCCTCTTAGTGCGCATGCTTGAGCCCACTCACCCATCTCCTGAGATCTCATTGGGAAGCTGCTGATCACCCGTCTCAGGTGTTTCTATCTATAGGGAGACTGCCTTTCCCTGGCACTGGCTGTGACTGATTCTTATTATTTTAGAGAGATAGTGTAACAATTATCACCTGACGGTTGCCTGACATTTCTGGTGGGGCGTTGTGGGGGGCGGTGCTTCTCTGACCCTGCCCATAGTCTAACTGCCAACTGTAACACTAACAGTTTCATTGAAGTGGGGGAAATGTTAAGTAATAATATGAAAACCATATTTAAGGTATATATATATAAGGAGGCTCACAAACATAGCCATAGGCCGTTTGTTTGGAGCTTTGAAAAGGGAGGCTCAGTTCCTTGACTGATGAGCAGTTTCCATTTGGAAATTCTTTGACTTTAGTGCAACTTCAAAATAAAGGCATGAGACAGAAGGAGAGAGGAAGAAACCCTCAAGCCATCTAAAGTCATCTCTGGCAATGGTGGCCATATCATTTTCACAAAAAAGGGGCATCCTTGGGGAATATCATAAAGGAAGAATAAGGACTTAAGGGAAATGTGTGGGAATGATTGACTGATCCTCCCTCCAGCAGAAAATTAAAAATCAATGTAGATGCATTTTTCTCAGCTTCTTCCCTTCATTTTTTTCCTCTCCTGAAACCTGTTCCTCCTTCCGTGTGTACCATCTACAGTGAATATCACTATTGCCTTAGGCGGAAACCTTGGAACTCTCCTTGAATTGGCACTTGAACTATTCACTCATTTCCTCCCATTCTATTAATGATTCCTCCTCTGGCCGTTCTTCCTCGGATACATCTCTTGGAACTACCTGCTGGTCCTACGCTACTGCCTAGTCCAGACCTATGTTGTGGGCTTCTCTGCCAACAGTTTCAATCTTCTCCAGGCTGTTCTTCAAACGAATTATTTTTATTGGCATTCTCTTGTGTAAAACCTTTTAATGGTTTCCCAGCGAGAGATGCCCTTCACAAACCCTTTTCTGCTTACCTGCTTTCTACCTATATACCTCCTCATCTCTCCCACCAAGGACTGGTATACTCTCTAGCTCTAGACCATTTTTTAGTCCCAGTGCTTGAATATAGCACACTCTCTCAGATGCCCATCTCTTTGAACATATTGATACCTTTGCCGGGTATGCCCTCATCTATTTGCAAGTACTTCGCTTTCCTTTCACCTGGCTAATTGCTACTCATCATGAAAGGGTTAGCTTAGCTGTTCCCCTAAATAAACTTCCAGCAACCCCAGCCTCCTCCCATGCCAAATCTGGGTTGAGGACCTCTCTTATGTACTACTATAGAAACCAACAATTACTCTATTTTAGCTCTTACCGCATTCTATTAAGACAGGTTGTTCAGGGAGCTAAGCTATGAGGACGCAAAGGCATAACGATGATACAATGGACTTTGGGGACTCAGGGGAAAGTGTGGGATGGGGTGAGGGATAAAAAAAACTACACATTGGGTACAGTGTACACTGTTCAGGTGATGTGTGTACCAAAATCTCAGAAATCAACACTAAAGAACGTATTCATATAACCAAATACTGCCTGTTCCCAAAAACACCTGTTGAAAAAAAAAAAAAACTGGTTGTTTGCTTATCTATGTTTCATGTAGACTGAAATTATGACTATCTTTTTCATGCTTAACACATTTGTGTCTTGCACGGCATAAGACATTTACCAGATACTCAATAAATATTTATTAACTAAATGAGTGATAGAAAAGAGGGAAATCCAAAAGATGGATCACTTAGCTGTAAGAATTATTTAATGGCAAAATTCATTATGCTTTTGAATATAGTTCACATTTTTAAATCCACGTTTTTGAAAGTATTGATGGTTTAGAGTGATAACTCAATTTGTTTAGTCTCTATTGGCCTTAGATGTGTAAGAAAATACATTTTAAACTGTATAGTACCAGAGACAAAAAGAAATTTCTTGTTAATGGTCCTCAGTTGCTGGCAAAGTTACTTGTACACCAGTTGTTATAGCTAGAGTGTTATATCAGAAATTGTTTTCTGCCCCACCATAGCTATCACATTGTGTTGCTGAAAACTAGGTGGTTGCACATCTCTTAGATACATGATCTCCTTAGGCTTATTAAATTTTGAGGTTAATGAATATTTTGACACTTTTACCTATACATATCATTAGGGCTTATTGCAATAGGTTTAAGATGACAGTCATAATAAACATATACAGTACAATAAAAAGCACTTTTAATCTTGAAAGTGCTTTAAAAACAACAGTGATCAATGCTATGGATGGATTAACAGCATCATGCTGATTGAATTCTATTTCAAGGACAATGGAGGTATTGATGTTGGCAGTCTAGTTCAGAAAGTGGCAATGGCTGTAGTAAATGGTGCAGGTTCTGGAGTCAGACTCCCCAGGTTTCAAATCTGGCTCCCCAACATGCTGGTGTGCGACTTTGCACAAGTCATTCCCCCAGTGTGAAACTCAGTTTCTTCATCTGTTAAATGGCTTATTGTAAGGTTTCAATGCAATCACTGTAAAGGATTAGTACACAGTGTCTTAGTATTGTGTATGCATTTGTGACCAGCATTCTGTAATTCTGGACTTCAATTATGTGCCTTTCCATTGCATACATATATTTTATGTCCCTAAGTCACATAAATCTTGTTGATACTTCTTTATGACCTCTCTCTACTACACGGTACTCTGATCATTCACTTTATTTTACTCATTCTGTGAACCTCTGACCTGTTTTTTGTTGTCATTGTTACCTTTCTTCTTCCACTAGAAGCATACATGTTCTGCATCTCATTTCTCCACATCTATTTAAACAGCCAACTTTAAATGTTATGTGTACTTATAAACCTAACTCTATTATTCCCCCTGTCTTCATAATCAGTCTTCTCGAAAACTAAGACTCTCTATGTGTCATTTTCTCATGGATCAATTACTCCTCAATCTACTGTCATTTGGATTCTTTTCTTCCACTTCTTTATTGTAAATACTTTCTTCTAGATTATCAATAGTTTTCAAGTCAGAGAACTTTCCTTAATCCTCACCCTATGTGCCAATAAATAATATTGGTGCCATTTTTTCCTTTTAAAAAATAAGAAGAAACTAAATATTTCTCACTAGGTTTCTCCTTCTATTTTCCCTAAACTGTGTTTCAAGCTTTGATATTGCTTTCTACATCCACCTTTAAATGGAAGAGTTCAATCACTCATTCGGTTCGTATGCAGTTTTTCCTTATTTCACTCCACTAGCTGATGTTATGATTGCTGTCGTAAAAAGGATACTGAGCAACACAAGAATGATTCCTAACCTTAGGGAGCTTAAAGTCTTGCAGTGAAATCATGCATCAAACATGTAATTAAGTAATTACAAGTGACTTCTGTCTCCAGCTATGAAGCATATCAAAAAATCCTCCTGCTGAGAAAAGAAATAGAAGCTGGAAAAAATTTCTCAAAAATATGGTTAAAGACATAAGTGAGTAACAAAGGCTTCTAGGACTTGTGGGATCAAGATCCTAGATATAAGAAAAACCATGTAGGTGAGCCTTTTAAATTATCTTTGTTTTTCCTTCTGTTTTGTTTGTTAATTCCTCTATTGCATAGTCTTAGGGAAAAAAAAAAGACAGGCAAAAAATTAGAGTCTAGGTGGGGTCCTGGTATACATGCCAGGTTTTCAATTGAAATCCTAGAAGAGCAAATCATTAATAGGCTCTTCTTCCTCAGATAAAGCCTCAATTATTCTTAACTACTAATTATACTGAGATAAAAGTTATTTTTTTACCAAAAATATTTAGATATTTGCTGAAAGATCACATCAACCAGAGTCCCAGAGTGTGCAATTTTTTCCTATACAATGTCGGGCATTCAATCAAATATTAACAGGCATACCAGAAAATAGGGCCAAATAACCAAAAGATAAGATAAATAAAATAAAAAATAGAAACATATCCTCAAGTAATTCAGATATATGGAAATATGTATTTGCATACACACATAGGCATATACACACATATACATGTAGATATATATGCATATATCCAGACACAGACTTTAAAATAACTATAATTAATATTATCAATAAAATCAATGAAAATGTTCAGAATTTAAGTAGCAAATGGGAATATATTAGAATAGGAATTTTAGAGCGGAGTAACAGCTGAAGTTAGCAACTCAGTAGATAAAATACCAATTCCATCCCTGATAAAGTAAATAGCCTTGTTCTTAATATCGTATGCAACAATGTAAGTTGGGAACAAAATATATATGAAACACCTATTTGTAGCCAATATATAGCAACAGTGCAGAGCTATTATGCTTAAGTGAAGAAAAGCAAATGAACTGAGTTGCACACACCTGGAATTATTGAGCTCAAGCAGAGACATTAGTATATCTGGTAAAGGAATAAAAACTGGAATTCAGGGCTACAAAAGTAGATTTGGAGGGTAGGTTCCCAGAGAGAAGATTGATGCTGAAAAATAATTCAAAAATTCTGTGTAACAATTCTTTTTTGGGTGCTTGGCCAACATTTAGAATAATCCTATGAGAAACATAGTAGAGAAGATCTGCTTGGTAGTTGGAGCTAAGTAGAGATTTCACAGGCAACATAGAGCTAAGGATGCACACATGGAGTTTGGACTTAACCACAGTAGAGAAACCTTGGTGAATACTCTGAGCTTTCACTCGACTCTCCAAAAGTCCGTCCTTTATGAGTAAATTCCCATGCTTTAGGAATAAGGGCTATTCTTTAGGAACATTGAGATAATTGAAACAGATTCACCCTAGTGAAGCCTAAAGCCAAGGCTGAGTAAGGTCGAGGTAATCTGGTAATTTTACTTCCCGTCAAAACAGAATTTTGTATTCATTAGTAAAAGGTAAAATAATCCAGAGGTTTTACTATGCGTCATCCATGAAGTGACCAATAATGAAATGTTAATAGTCGATAGAGGCAGACAAAGACTTCAAAATAACTTCAGTTAATGTTAAGAGAAAATAAAGGACAAGGTGGACAGAAAGGATGATAAGATAAAAAATATTTCAATGCAAAATTGAAATCTGTACAGTAATTAATAGGAAAAAATGGTATGTAAAGTAAAATACCTGAAATGAAGAGAATATTGATAAGTTTTGCCAATGAAACATTGCAGAAGGCAAGATTAGAGAACTCAACGGTCAATTGTAATTGTCCAAACTGAAGCATATCGAGAAGGAAATGAAAACATGAAAAAAAGAACAATGAGGTATTTGAGGACCCAGAAGGAAAGAGTGAAAGAATGAGACAATAGTAATATTGTAGAATAGCCAAATATTATCAAATATGAAAAATAAGTTCACACATAGTTTAACAAAGTTTAGCAAACCATAAGGAGGGCAAATATAAGGAAAGCCATATCCAGGTATATTACAGTCAAATTGCTTAAAATAAAAGACAAAGAAAAACCTTCAAAAGCACCTGGGGAGGGTGGGGAGACTTATTACCTTCAGTGGAGCAAAAATAAGAATGATGTCTGAGTTTTCAACAACAACAATAAATGAATGCCAGAATATAATGGAATGATACTTTTTAAATGCTAAAATTATTTTTTTAACAATAATAACAACAAAAGAAAACTACCAGTCAAGATTTCTGTACCCAGGAAACATATCCATCAAAAATGATAAAATAAAATATTTTTCTTAACAAAAGAGTTGAAAAAAGTTATCATCAAAAGACTGGCATTATAAAAATCATAAAGTGTATTAGGACATAGGAAAAGATCCCAAAAGGAAGCACAGAGCTGCAGGAAAGAGTGCAAACCTCTAGAAATGGTAACTAGGTGTGTAAATAAAAAGTAATATTTATGATAAAAGGCATAAAAATCATACTTTGAAGTTGATAACATGTAAGAAAAAATGTATGACATCAATTATTTTGTCACAAATGATGACGGGGTCTATATGGAGCTAAACTGTGGTAAAATTCCTAAAAAGTTATGGAAGTTGAAGAATTAATAATATGAAGTAGGCCATAGTAGATCAAGGATTCAGATTATGATGCCAAAGGTAACAACCAAAAGAATGATTTAGAAAATTAATGTAAGGAAACACTAAATGTTAAATAAACACAGGTTAAGCTGATAAAGGAGTTTGAGGGTGGCAAGAAGAAGCCAGAAACAAAGAGCAAATGTGGGGAATAAAAGGACAAATACCACTGTGGTGAACATAAACTCAACTATATCAGTAGTTGCATTAAATCTAAATAGTCTACCCAAATAAGCATAAAAGTTCTCAGATTGATTTAAAAAATAAAAATATATGTTGTTTATTCTTATAAACATACTTTAAATATAAAGACAAAATTCGAAAACAAAGAAAGAGATAAGATGTATTGATATATAGATAGATTTTAAGACAATAAATGTTAGTAGACAAAATGGAGGACATTTCATAATGACAAAAAGATCAATTCAATAGAGGGACATATAATCCTAAATTTAGGTGCTACTTATAGTTTCAGATATGTATATAAAACTGAAGTTGACAGAAATAAACAGAGAATAAATATATCCTCATAGTTGAAGATATAAATCCCCATCTAATATTTTGACAGGAAAAGTACACAAAATATTAGTATAACTATCAAAGATTTGAAAATGAATAAACAATTACATCTGTATATAAAACATGTGACATTTTATAAGTGTTGTCATATGTAGAACATCACTTCCAACAACTATATAATATGCATTTTTGAGGAACACATAGGACATTTTCCAAATAGTTAATATCCTGGGCTATAGAAATCGCATAATTTTTTTTTTTAAGAGACGAGGTCTTACTGTGTTGCTCAGGCTGGTCTTGAACCCCTGGGCTCAAGCAGTCTTCCCACTTCAGTCTCCCAAAGTGTTAGGATTACAGATGTGATGAGCCACTGCATTCAGCTTGATCTCATAATATTTCAAGTTCTCTGACAACTGTGAGATTAAACTAGAACTCCAAATCTAAAACATAATCCGATTGGAAAATATCCCTGGCTCAAAAAGAAATTATGGAAATTAAAAATTATTTTTATCTAATGATAATAATGCCTTAATACATATAAAAACATTGTAGGATGGACAATATCAGGAATCTGATATTGCTTTATAGCTTTAAATGCATATATTAGAAAAAGGGAATAGTTAACAATCAATTAGCTTCCCACTCAAGAAGAAACCAGGAAATTAAAGCAGCATATGACACCCAAAAAATATTTGAATAAAAGAAATTATAAAAATAAGAGAAATCAATGATATAGCAAACAGAAATGTAATGGAGAAAATAAGACCAAGAATTGATTCTAGAAAATTTGGGGAAAAATTTCTTTGCAAGTGATCAAGGAAAGGAGAAAGTACAGATTACTACTCTCAGGGATGCAAAGAGCCATTACTAGAAATCTTACAGACATTAAAAAAAATAATAATGTATTAAGAACAGCACTACGCTAAAACCTTGACAATACAGGCAAAATACAGAGATCCTTTGCATGGGAGAAAAATCTCCAAATTTAAACTGACACAAGAAGATCTAGAAAATCTATGTGGTCCTAGATGTGTTTTAAAAATGAAATCTATAGTTAAGTCTTTTACATAAAGAAAACCCCAGGGAAGGTGGCCCGATTGGTGGATTTCATCAAACAATTACAGTAGAAATAATAGCAATCCTACAAAAAAACTCTTACAGAAAATAGAAAATTGCAATGGTTTCTATCTCATTTTATGAGGTCAGAAGAACTTATACACTAAAATCTGACAAAGAAATTAACATAAAGGAAAACACAGGTCAATAATAATCACAAAAGTAGATTCTAATATTCTCTGTGTGTGTGTGTGTGTGTGTGTGTGTGTGTGTGTACATAAATAAAATGTTATATCATGACCATGCAGGTTTTATTCCAGTAGTGTGTAATCTTTTCAAAATGTATGTGATTCAACACATTAACATAGTAAAAATGAAACATTCTAAATTATCACCACAGATTTAACAAATGCATTTAATAAAATATAATAACTATTCATAACAATTCTCAGCAAACTAGTAATGAAAGAACACATCCTAATAAATTGTTTTTGTAAAAGACCTCTAATAGTAAAATATCAAGTGCTTTTTCCCAGAGGTCAGGTACAGGACAAGGAAATTCACTATCACCACTTTTATTTAATGTTGTACTGGAAGTATAGTACTAGCCAGAGCAATATAGCAATAAAATAAATAAGTATTAGGTATGTCAAAGAAGAAGTAAACCATCTTTATTTGTAGATGTCATTATTTTTATTGATGTCAAAATAATATATAAACTATTCAGTTTACTCAGTAAACTTAGAAAAGTGTCGAATAAAGGTCAATGTACAGAAATCAAATGTTTCTATTGAATAGCAAAAAACAAGTAGAAAATGAAATGTTTAAAAGTACCATGCTTACTAGAACTAACACACATAAATGACTTAGAAACAAGTCTGCTAAAAGGTAATGTAGGACCTCCACTCTGAAAACTACAAAAAATTACTGTGAGAAATTAAAGACCAAATAAATGGAAAGTTACGCCATGTTCATGGATCTAAACACTTAATATTGTTAAATAGCAAGTCTTCCTAGTTTGATCTGTAGAATCCATATAGTCCCTCTCAAAATCCCAGGATTTCTGTAAAAATTTACAAGCTAATTTTAATATGCACATGAGAGAGGAAAGTACTTAGAGTAGCCAAGGCAATACTAAAAAAGGGCAAAGTAGGAAGGCTTATGTATCAAGACTAACTATAAGACTGCAGTAGGTAAGCATGTATAGTATAGGCAAAAGAACAGATAAGTATAGTAATAACATATTGCCACATAAATACCCCAAATAAATACATATATATGCAGGGCACAGTGGCTCACACCTGTAATTCCAGCACTTTGAGAGGCCAAGGCAAGAGTATTGCTTGTGCTCAGGAGTTCAAGACTAGCCTGGGTGACATAGTGAGACCTCATCTCTACAAAAAGCTGAAAAATTAGCTGGGCATGGTGAGGCACCTGTAGTCCCAGTTACTCAGGAGGCTGAGGTAAGAGAATCTCTTGAACCCAAGAGTTCAAGGCTGCGGTGAGCCTTGATTGCACCACTGCACTCCAGCCTGGGTGACAGAGCAAGATCCTGTCTCTAAAAAATAATAATAATACATACATACATATGTGCTCTAAAAAGCACATGCAAAGTTGTTCATAGCAACTTTATTTCTAATAATCAAAAACTGGTAACAATCCAAATTTCTATCAACAGTAGAATGGATAATAAATTATAATAAATTTATTCAGTGGACTGCATATAGAAATAAAAATGAGCCAACTATTGCTTCAGAGAACAATGTGGGTGAATCTTATAACCTGTTAGTGAGTAAAAGAAGCTAGAATCTAAAGAGTCTAGTATTCTATTTATATAAATTTCTTCTTTTTCATTTTAACATTTATTTTAGGTATAATGGGTACAACATGCGGGTTTGTTACTTGGCTATATTGCATGACGCTAACGTTTGGGCTATGGGTTCCATTACGCAAGTAGTGAGCGTGGTATCCAATAGGTAGTTTTTCCAATTACAGTCCCCTCCCTCCCTTCCAGTGTCTGTTGTTCTCATGTTTATGTCCATGTGTGCTCAATGTTTAGCTCTCACATATAAATGAATATGTAGTATTTGGTTATTGTTCCAGCATTAATTCACTTAGAATTATGAACTCCAACTGCATCCATGTTGCTGTAAAGGAAATGATTTTGTTCTTTTTTGTGATTGGGTAGTATTCCATGGTGTATATGTACCACATTTTCTTTATCCAGTCCATCATTGATGGGCACCTAGATTGATTCTGTGTCTTTGCTATTGTGATTAGTGTAGCAATGAACATATGAGTGCATGCGTCTTTTTGGTAGAATGATTTATTTTTCTTTGGGTATAACAGGATTGCTGTGTCAAATGGTAGCTCTGTTTTAAGTTCTTTGAGAAATCTCCAGACTGCTTTCCACAGTGGCTGAACTAATTTACATTTCCACCAATCGTGCATAAGCATTCTCTCTTTTCCACAGCCTTACCAGCATCTGCTGTTTTTTGACTTTTTAATAATAAACATTCTGACTAGTGTGAGATGGTATCTCATTGTTGTTTTGATTTCCATTTCTCTGACAATTATTGATGCTGCACATTTTTTCATGTTTGTTGGTTGCTTGTATGTCATCTTCTGTGAAGTGTATGTTTGGCTGGGCGCGGTGGCTCACACCTGTAATCCAGCACTTTGGGAGGCCGAGGTGGGTGGATCACGAGGTCAAGAGATCGAGACCATCCTGGTCAACATGGTGAAACCCTGTCTCTACTAAAAATACAAAAATTAGCTGGGCATGGTGGTGTGTGCCTGTAATCCCAGCTACTCAGGAGGCTGAGGCAGGAGAATCACTTGAACCCAGGAGGCAGGGGTTGCAGTGAGCCAAGATGGCACCACTGCACTCCAGCCTGGCAACAGAGCAAAACTCCGTCTCAAAAAAAAAAAAAAGAGATAGAAGTATGTGTTCATGTTCTTTCCCATTTTTTAAATGGAGTTGTTTTTCTTTTGTTGATTTGTTTAAGTTCCTTATAGGTTCTGCATATTAGAACTTTGTCAGATGCATAATTTGTATATTCTGTAGGCTGTCTGTTTACTCTGTGGATAGTTTCTTTTGGTGTGTGTGCAGAGACACTTTAGTTTAATTAGGTCTCAGTTGTCCATTTCTAAAGCTGCAAAGTGAAATCAGTGGTGACAGAAATCAGTAGATGGGGTAATAACTGAAAGGAAGCAAAAAGAAGCCCTCTGAGATTCTGGAATTATTTTATAAATTAGTCTGAGAGGAGTTTATAAGTGTAGATTTATTTTGTAAATGTCCATCAAAATATACCTTGATAATTAGTGCACTTTATTTTTGTTATACTTTACTTTGAAAAGTTACTGAATAAATGTTTCAAGCCTGCAAAGTCCAAAAATAAGATGTGAAAAAATACTGTAACATAACAGAAGCACTCAACCCAGTCTAGAGGATTAGTGAAGACCTCTCCGAGGATGAGGCAAGTTGAGTTAGCTAGGCCAAAAAAAAAAAAAAAAAGAAAAAAAAAAGAAAGAAAGAAAGAAAAAGAAAGAAGGAAAGTAAAGGAGTCCAGGTAGAGAAAGTATCATGTATCAATGTCTTAATGTGGGAGATGACATGTACATAAATAAACAAATTAGTAAGCAAGAAAAACTTGGAAATTCTAATATAAATTAGATTCTTGCCAGAAGGGTGCATGGTGAGGCTGAAATAAAAAAGGGGCCAGATCATGCAAGGGCCATCACATTGAAAATTTTGAACGTAATTTTATTCATCTTTATAAGACCACTGTGGAGGTTACAGCCTGATACCAAGAATGTTTTTAAGAAGGGCATGCTGATATTTTCACTGATATTGTACATGTACCATTCATAGATTGACTCACTAAAAGTTGCAATTTTATTTAATCATCTAATAAGATTATTTATAGAATGTCTGCAAAATGTTAGAAGATCTTCCTTATAAGAATTAGCATAGCTGAATGGTTTAAAAAAAAATGAAATTCTGAATCCCAGCATGGATCTATTGCATTCTTGCAATTGTCCAAGGCAAAAGGTTCTGCTTGCCTGCTTCATAAACAAAATCAATTAACCGAGACTGCAGCATTGCAGTAAAAAGTTTAATTTAAGCCAAGCCAGCCAAGTGGAAGAACTGGAGTTATCACTCAAATCAGTCTCTCTGAAGTCTTGAAGGTTAGGATTTTTATGGATAATTTAGTGGGCAGAGGGGCTAGGGAATGGGTGCTGCTGATAAGTTGAAGATGAAATCATAAGAGCATGGAAAATGGTCCTCCTGTATTAAGTCTGTCTCTGGGTGGGGCAACAGGATGGGTTGAGTCATGAGTCATTAGTCCAGGTGGGATCAGTTTGAAAAACATCTCAAAAAAGCAATCTTGGGTTTTACAATAGTGATGTTATCTATAGGAGCAATTGGGGAAGTCACCAATCTTGTGACCTCTGACCACATTATTCCTGAACAGTAAGCAATTATAAAAATTACACCTACATTTTAGCAGCATTCAGGCCCCTCCCGTAATCCTATTCTTGTGGCCTTTCATTAGTCTTATGAAGGTGGTTTTTAGTCTCTGAGAAGGGAGGAGGTTAGTTTTAGGGAGGGATGATCATCTATGATCATCTTTGCTTTCAAGTTAAACTATGAACTAAATTTCTCCCAGTGTCCAGGAATGGCCAAAGACAGCTTGAAGGTTAGAAGCAAGATGGAGTCAACTATGTCAGATTTCTCTTACTGTCGTAATTTTGTAAAATCAGTTTCATCCTAATCTCTGGAGAAGTACCTAGAAATTTGCATTTGGATAAGATATACAGATCTACACTATTAAAGACAGAGCTATCTTACCCACCCCCACCCCAGCTATTTGTCTAAGGGAAATGAAACAATTTGTACATACAAAAGGCTGGCACACACATACGCATTGCGCCTACATTCACAAGAGCCAGAAACTGGAAACAACTCAAATATCCATCAGTAGGTGAATTGATTAATAAAATGTGGTATATGTATGTGATGAAATACTAGTAAGCAATACAAAGGAAAGAGCAGAAGAACACTTAATCGTAATTCCACTTATATAAAATTCTTAATAATAATTAATGTATAGTGACAAAAAGGAGATCAGCAGTTGCCTAGGCCTGAGGAGGAGGGGGTGATGGAAATGCTGTGTAACAATCAAGGTAGTGGTTTTACAAGTGTGTACATCTGTCAAAACATATCGAACTGAACCATTTAAACAGATGTGCTTCAGTATATATGTAAATTTTTATCTCACTAAAATTAATAAAATATTCTCCAAGTGATTCTTGCAACATTCAAGTATGGGAACCATTGATTTACACTGTAATGAACAAGTTGCTTTAACTTTGTTTGGAAACCAAACAATTTTAATATTATTTTACCATTTAAATTCTGAGCTCTTTCAGATAGAAACTTAAGCAGTGTGTATACTGCTTATCACTCCAAATTTCACCTGAAACAAATTGGTATATACTGTTTGTCATAAAAATAAGAAAATGACTTTCATTAAATTATGCTGACAATGAGAATCTTGTACAATTTCAATGAAATAACTTTTTTTAATGAAATAGGGTTTCTTTTGATCTCATTCACATTCAGAAGGGAATTTTTGTAAATAGAAAGGACTATATTTTATTTTATCCTAAGAAGGAATTTAGTCAGTAAAAATATGAAATAGACACTTGAGTATACAGTTGACCAGTTATTGCCTTGAAGCTACTGCACCTCTGTAATGTATTTTTCATAGCTTATATAATCCGTGTTAATATGCTACATTATTAAGTTCAACTGTGAGAAATATAGTTGCTTGAAAACAGATTTCTTCTGCATACTTATAAATTCAGTAGTTGGAAAAAAATTAAAGAAATATAATTAAAGATTGCAAAATCAATTTGACCCTCACTTAAAATGTGTTGAGTGGAGGCAGCAAGCAGCAGCCTACATCTGATGCTGTTCTCTCCTTGTTTACTTCACAAAACTGTGCAAATTAGAACTTTAATTTACAGAGCTGTTAAAGCCTCATTAAAAACTTTCAGCAAGTATCCTATTTTGAGGGTTTTTTTCCCCTTATATCTAATATGCAGCATTATCTCTGTTTTGTGGGCATGTATGAGGCAATATCTATAGGCATATTAATGTAAACTGCATATATGAAATGAAAGTTTTTCACATGGAAAGGACACTAGTGGTGTCTGTCAATTGCTTCCCAAAGTGATTAATTTCTCCATTTACTTGGTGTTTATTGGCATCTACTAACACTGGATCTCTGTTGGATCATAGGAATATAATTGGGCTCCAGTGAAATGGGAGAATTCCCTGACACCCTGTTGCAGGATATGTGACAGAGGTGTGGCTTGTCTGCTTGACCGCCTTGCACTCAAACTCCTTGCAGGAGAGGGAGCATGCAGATGGGCAGGTGTGGGAGCCAGGGCAAGAACTTTTGGGCTCCAGTCCCATGGTAGTATCTAGGGGTGGGTGCTTGTGACTCCCAAAGCCCCAGTGGGTGTGTTACAATGCCCTTTTAGCTGTGCCATCCACATATGGCTTAAGTGTTAACCAGCTCAGTGCTTTCTTGGTACCTGGGTTCTTGTCCGGTGTCCAAGAAGAATCAGGTTACATGGATAAACTGAAGGATGGTAAATGTGGGGGATTTTATTGCTGGATGGAGGTGGCTCTCAGTGGAATGGATGGGAAACTGGAAAGGGGATGGAGTGGGAAGATGATCTTCCCCTGGAGTTTGGGCATCCGGCGGCCAATCTCCTCTCTGACTAACCCCAGCCGAAATCCTCTCAATGTTCAGATGCTCCTTTTCTTCTCTTCTTCTATGTGGCACTGCTCTGCTATTCTCCTGTTCCTCTGCTCTTCTGCTCATGGAGCCTGGGGTTTGGGGTTTATATGGGTATAGGATAGTGGGGCATGGTGGGCCAAAAGGCAACACTTGGGTGTGAAAACAGAAGTGCCTTTTTTTATTTAGGGCTGTGGGTTTCCAGGCTTCAGGGTGGGGCCTTTGCCAGGGAACTGCCCTCTTCTACCCAGCATTTCCCTGCCTCCTGTCTTTATCACCAGTAGACTTGTTCCCTGCTCTTACAGGATTTCATGCGTGTCCGTGTGAAGAGACCACCAAACAGGCTTTGTGTGAGCAATAAAGCTGTTTATTTCACCTGGGTGCAGGCGGGCTGAGTCTGAAAAGAGAGTCAGTGAAGGGAGATAAGGGTGGGGCCGTTTTATAGGATTTGGGTAGGTAAAGGAAAATTACAGTCAAAGGGGGTTTGTTCTCTGGCGGGTGGGAGTGGGGGTCGCAAGGTGCTCAGTGGGCAGGAGTGGGGGTCGCAAGGTGCTCAGTGGGGGTGATTTTTGAGCCAGGATGAGCCAGGAAAAGGACTTTCACAAGGTAATGTCATAAGTTAAGGCAAGGACCGGCCATTTACATTTCTTTTGTGGTGGAATGTCATCAGTTAAGGTGGGGCAGGACATATTCACTTCTTTTGTGATTCTTTAGTTACTTCAGGCCATCTGGGCGTATACGTGCAGGTCACAGGGGATGCGATGGCTTGGCTTGGGCTCAGAGGCCTGACATTCCTGCCTTCTTAATAAGAAAAATAAAACAAAATAGTATTGAAGTGTTGGGGCGGCGAAAATTTTTGGGGGGTGGTATGGAGAGAGAATGGACGATGTTTCTCAGGGCTGCTTCAAGTGCGATTAGGGGCGGCGTGGGAACCTAGAGTGGGAGAGATTAAGCTGAAGGGAGGTCTTGTGGTAAGGTGTGATATTGTGGGGATGTTAGAAGAAACATTTGTCGTATAGAATGATTGGTGATGGCCTGGATATGGTTTTGGATGAATTGAGAAACTAAATGGAAGATACAAGGTCCGAATAAAAGAAGGAAAAAAATGGGTATTAAAGGACTAAGAATTGGGAGGACCCAGGACATCCAATTAGAGAGTGCCCAAGGGGGTTCAGCGTAATTACTTGCTTGGTTGGCAAGTTTTTGGGCTCTATCCTTGAGTTTTTTTATGTTGTCATACACCAGGCCAGATTGATTTAGGTAAAAACAACACTCCTCATTTAAGAATATGCAGAGTCCTCCTTTTTCAGCATTGAGTAAGTCAAGGCCTCGGCGGTTTTGGAGGACAACTGCAGCTAAAGAGTCAACTTGGGCCTGGAGGACTGATAAAGTTTGTGATATGTGTGTGATGCTAGCAGAGAAGTCATTAGACAGGCTACAGAAGGTCATGACAGACGTTGAAATGCCTGCTATTCCAGTACCGAGAGCAATCATGGAGGCAGAAAGTCCTAAACCGACCATCAAGGGAATTAGTGGAATAACTCTTTTTTGTCATGTCGGTGTCATGAGGGGAACAGGGAGCTCTTCGGTCCCATTTGCAAATTGAATTTTGGGGGTAAGGAAGACTAGTGTACATGTGGCTGTCCAATTGGCAGGTAGACACATGTAGGTAGAGGATCCACAGAGGAAGAAGAGACCTTGTGCGAGGCAAAACTGGAGATGTAAAGTAAAAAGGTGAGAAGGAGTGCTGAAAGGGGTGTCTTGTACCCAGACTCCTAGGGATCCACCTAGGGCGGCAGCTGTCAGAGGTTGTAATGGGGACTGATGGGGTAACTGCGTAGAGGGGGAGGTTCGATTTTCATGGTGTATGAGAAAACGTTGAGTATCTACGAGCAACCTTTCACTGTTATTTTCGGGGCTGGGTATAAGTAAACAAGAAGAGGGCCTGGGAGGAGAGTCTGATGAGCAAGGGGAAGGTAGCCAAGGATGGAGTGAAATACAGGGCACGTGTCTTCCTAAGCAATAATTACTGCTAATGTTTTTAAGTTTGTCAGTATTGATAGAGGGCTTGTCTGTAATATGGAGCTGGAAGGCTCCAATTGTTTCAGTGATGTGTGTAGTTGGACTTCGGAGATGAAGAGTAAAGGAACATCGAGAAGGTGAAAGGTTACCCAGGGGAATTCCAGTGGGTCTTTGCCGAGAGATACATAAAGGAGCAGCCACAGGAATAGTAGTTTGTGTTGTGAGAGGTCCAAATATGGGGGGAGTAGAGTTAATATAAGGAGAAAGGTTTTTTAAATAAGTGCGAAGGAGGGCGGCAGCTTGCTGATGTGAAATGTCTGGGGAAGTCTTGCTGAACCTGTCTAGAAAGTAAATGAGTTCTTCAGGAGGGTAAAGGTGAGGGCTGTTAAAGGAAGTTCGGAGGTGTAGGGAGACGGGAGATGTTGCCCAGTCTGTCTGTAAGACGGGGACAGCTGTGTAGGCACTGGAAGAAAGGGAAATGCAAAGCCAGCAGTTGTTCGCTAAGGAGGGATTAGAAGCAGCTAGGAGAGAATGGGTTAAGGTTGACAGTGTGGTGGAGATAGCTGGGGAGAGGTAGAGGGTGACATAAGAATGGGAATGAGAATAAGAGTGAGTATAAAAGTAAAGAATAGAACTTCATCAGGGTGGAAGTATTGGAGGGTGCCTTGCCAGCAAAGATCATCTATCCACTTTAAGAGGGAGTTAAGAGTGGCAGTTTGGGGATAGCACCAAGAGATATCAGCTGTGATGGCTTGAAGAAACAGTGTAAACCAGCAGTGTAAACAAGAGTAGGGCATTTATAAGTAGTTGAGAATGGAGAATAGGAGTATGACCGGACAGAAGATAGTAGGGATGACTAGTTTTTTGGGGCTCGGCCTAAGTGGTGGGGTGACTTCGTAAAGCCCTGTTGCAAAAAGTAGGGTAAGGACGAACAGACCTAATAGAATGAAGGGATGTATTAGGCTCATAAGGGTTATTACTGTTCTTCAGAAATACGAGTGAGTTTAAGGGAAGTGGGGGAGAGTACTTGCGACTTCCAGGAGGAAGAGGAGGGATTAGGCTGGCTGTCCGATGGACACAGCTTTATTCTGGAATGGTGAACCCAGTGGGGAGGATCCTGCAGGCGGACGGCAGTCGGGGTACTATAGATGACTAAGTAGGGTCCGGTCCATTGAGGTTATAGAGTTTGAGGGGTCAGATTCTTAACAAGAACTGATCGTCCAGCTAGGTTGTCTTCATATGGCTGGGGATCTGGAGTAGGCAAGAGAAGATTAGCAGCCTGGCGAATTTCCTGTCTAGCCTGCTAGAGCACTGGAAGATAGTAGCCTAGAGGGCTGGTGTCTGGGATGAGGTTGGGGCCAAGCAAGAAAGTGCGTCCATATAAAAGTTCAAATGGACTGTACCCTGTAGCATCTCGGGGACAGGCTCTGACTCTGAGAAGAGCAAGAGGTAAAAGTACTGTCCAATCCTTTTTAAGTTGGAGGCTGAGCTTGGTGAGGTGTGCCTTTTAAAAGACCATTAGTCCGTTCTACCTTTCCTGAAGATTGAGGACGGTAAGGGGTATGAAGGTTCCACTGAATACCAAGAGCCTGAGAAACTGCTTTGGTGATTTGGCTAGTAAAGGCTGGTCCGTTATCAGACTGTATAGAGGTGGGAAGGCCAAACCGGGGAATTATGTCTGACAGAAGGGAAGAAATGACCGTGGTGGCCTTCTCAGACCCGGTAGGAAAGGCCTCTACTTATTTTGAGGGCCTCTAACAGTATTAAAGCAGCGGCAGCCGCTGCACACAGACATGAGGGCTAGGTTAAAACAGTAAGGTCAAGTTGTTTGGACAGAAAGGCTACAGGGTGTGGTCTTGGCTCTTGTGTAAAAATTCTGACCGTGCTAACCATGCCTAGGAAGGAAAGGAGTTGTTCTGTAGAAGGTGCTTGGGTTTGAGAGATTAGTCGGACAGGATTGGCAGGGAGAGCACGTGTGTTTTTATGAGAATTATGCCGAAATAGGTAACAGATGAGGAAGAAATTTGGGCTTGATTGAAGTAATGGGGGCTGTCTGTGAAGCTTTGCAGCAGTACAGCCTAGGTAATTTGCTGAGCTTGATGGGTGTCAGGGTCAGTCCAAGTGAAAGTGAAGAGAGGCTGGGATTAAGGGTGCAAAGGAATAGTAAAGAAGGCATGTTTGAGATCTAGAACACGATAATGGGTTGTAGAGGCAGGTATTGAGGATAGGAGAGTATATGGGTTTGGCACCACAGGGTGTATAGGCAAAACAATTTGGTTGATAAGGTGCAGATCCTGAACTAACTTGTAAGGCTTGTCTGGTTTTAGGACAGGTAAAATGGGGGAATTGTAAGGAGAGTTTATAGGCTTTAAAAGGCCATGCTGTAGCAGGCGGGTGATAACAGGCTTTAATCCTTTCAAAGCATGCTGTGAGGTGGGATATTGGCATTGAGTGGGGTAAGGGTGATTAGGTTTTAATGAGATGGTAAGGGGTGCATGATCGGTCACCAAGGAGGGAGTAGAGGTATCTTATACTTGTGAGTTAAGGTGGGGGGATAGAAGAGGAGGATGCAAAGGAGGCTTTGGATTGGGAAGAAGGGCGGCAATGAGATATAGCTGTAGTCCAGGAATAGTCAGGGAAGCAGATAATTTAGTTAAAGTGTCTCAGCCTAATAAGGGAACTGGGCAGGTGGGGATAACTAAAAAGGAGTGCTTAAAAGAGTATTGTCTAAGTTGGCACCAGAGTTGGGGAGTTTTAAGAGGTTTAGAAGCCTGGCCATCAATACCCACAACAGTTATGGAGGCAAGGGAAACAGGCCCTTGAAAAGAGGGTAATGTGGAGTGGGTAGCCTCCGTATTGATTAAGAAGGGGACGGGCTTACCTTCCATTGTGAGAGTTACCCGAAGCTCGGCGTCCGTGATGGTCTAGGGGGCTTCCGAGGCGATCGGGCAGTGTCAGTCTTCAGCCCCTAAGCCGAGAAGATCTGGGAAGGAGTCAGAGAGCCTTGGGCCAGAGTTCCAGGGGCTCTGGGAGTGGCTGCCAGGTGAGTTGAACAGTCCGATTTTCAGTGGGGTCCCACACAGATGGGACGCGGCTTAGGAGGAATCCCGGGCTGCGGGCATTCCTTGGCCCAGTGGCCAGATTTCCAGCACGTGTAGCAAGCTCCTGGGGGAGGAGGTTCTGGAGGAATGCCTGGCCGCTGCGGTTCAGGCGTTTGGAAGTTCTTGTGTGCTGGAGATGTGGCTGGGGTTTGTCTCACAGTGGAGGCAAGGAATTGCAACTTTTTTCTATTATGGTACACCTTGAAGGCGAGGTTAATTAAATCCTGTTGTGGGGTTTGCGGGCTGGAATTTAATTTTTGGAGTTTTATTTAATGTCGGGAGCAGATTGGGTAATAAAATGTATTTTGAGAATAAGACGGCCTTTTGACCTTTTAGGGTCTAGGGCTGTAAAGTGTCTCAGTGTTGCTGCCAAACAAGTCATGAACTGGGCTGGATTTTTATATTTGATGAAAAACAGCCTAAACGCTATCTGATTTGGGATAAAGAAAAAGGAGCATTAACCTTGACTATGCCTTTAGCTCCAGCCACCTTTTTAAGAGTAAATTGCTGGGCAGGTGGGGGAGGGCTAGTCACGGAACGAAACTGTAAGCCGGACCAGGTGTGAGGAGGGGAGGTGATAAAAAGATTATAGGGTGGAGGAGCAGAGGCTGAGGAAGAATTGGGACCTAGCTCGGCCTGGCGAGGAACAACCTGGGGAGGAAGGGAGAGGTCAGATGGGTCTGTAGAAAAGGAAGATTAGAAAGACTCAGCGATGCTTGGGGTTGGTACTGAGGGGACAGGCAGGAGGGAAAGAAGGAAGATTTGGGATGAGTTTAACTGGTCACAGAGACTAGGAAGGGACTGATGTGTAAAAGAATGCCTGGATGTCAGGCACCTCAGGCCATTTGCCTATTTTATGACAAGAATTATTTAGATTTTGCAGGTTGGAAAAATTCAAAGTGCCATTTTCTGGCTATTTGGAACTACTGTCGAGTTTGTATTGGGGTCAAGTGGCATTGCAGAAGAAAATAAGGCATTTAGGTTTTAGGTCAGGTGTGAGTTGAAGAGGTTTTAAGTTCTTAAGGACACAGGCTAAAGGAGAAGAAGGAGGAATGGAGGGTGGAAGGTTGCCCATAGTGAAGGAGGCAAACCCTGAGAAAAGAGAGCATAGAGACACGGAGGAGGGGAGTGGGGTTCTTGCCCTCCAGAAAAGCAGAGAGGGGGTTGGGACACGGAAATAAGGGATTGGGGCACAGAGATAAGAGGTCAGGGTGCGGAAATAAGGGATTGGGGCACAGAGATAAGAGGTTGGGGTGCGGAAATAAGCGATTGGGGGTTTCTTGCCCCCTAGGAAAGCGGGACTTGCCGCTAAGGGTGAAGGAGAAGGGGTTGAGGGGTACTTGCCCCTGCCCCAGGAAAGCGGGACTTGGCGCTAAGGGTGAAGGACCAAGGCAGGTGTCCCTGCGTGGTCTGACACCCTTGAAACGTGAGTGTATAATCAGAGAGGTGTCCCTGCAATGATTAAACACCAAGGGAAGGCTGCCTTCCCAGTCTGTGACCAGCGCCGGAGTTTTGAGTTCACGGATAAAACATGTCTCTTTTGTCTCTACCAGAAAATGAAAGGAATTGAAATTAAGAGAAGGGAGAGATTGAAGTGTGGCACCAAGATTGAAAGGAGAAAGCGGTTGAGGGATAGTGAGGGAGGTTGGAGAAGAGAGTAAAAAAGGCCGCTTACCGGATTTGAAATTGGTGAGATGTTTCTTGGGCTGGTCGGTCTGAGGACCTGAGGTCGTAGGTGGATCTTTCTCACAGAGCAAAGAGCAGGAGGACAGGGGATTGATCTCCCAAGGGAGGTCCCCCGATCCGAGTCACAGCACCAAATTTCATGCGCGTCCGTGTGAAGAGACCACCAAACAGGCTTTGTGTGAGCAATAAAGCTGTTTATTTCACCTGGGTGCAGGTGGGCTGAGTCCGAAAAGAGAGTCAGCGAAGGGAGATAAGGGTGGGGCCGTTTTATAGGATTTGGGTAGGTAAAGGAAAATTACAGTCAAAGGGGGTTTGTTCTCTGGCAGGTAGGAGTGGGGGTTGCAAGGTGCTCAGTGGGGGTGCTTTTTGAGCCAGGATGAGCCAGGAGAAGGACTTTCACGAGGTAATGTCATCAGTTAAGGCAAGGACTGGCCATTTACACTTCTTTTGTGGTGGAATGTCATCAGTTAAGGTGGGGCAGGACATATTCACTTCTTTTGTGATTCTTTAGTTACTTCAGGCCATCTGGGCGTATACGTGCAGGTCACAGGGGATGCGATGGCTTGGCTTGGGCTCAGAGGCCTGACACAGGACTTGTGGGAATATAATCCATGGCTGTTTGACTACTCTGAACTGTTATACTGCTGTTTTTCTGCCCAGGGGGATGTTAAAGCCAAAAGCAAGTAATCAACAAGATTTTTTTTAATCTTAAAATACTGAATTAAGCCTTAACCTTTAAAACAATTTTTGTTGTAGACATAGATTTGCTATTTGTTTCAGACATCCTTTAGGCTTTTGATCTAGCACATGACTACCCCTTCTTACCGCATTGCCCCTGGATCCCCCAAGGAGAGACACATGGCTACCTCCTTTGTACCTTGGCCCTTGCTGTACTGATCACAGCTAGTTAGGACAGCTATGAAAGCCTGCTCCATGCAGAACTGATTCTGTTCGCATGAGAATTTGGAATTGGAATTTAGAGCTAACCAGTTGGTCTGTGTTTGTCCTGAACATAACATAAAAATTAATTGAAATGAGAGACAGAGAGAGGTGTATTGTTGTGGGGGCGGGTGAGAAAGTAGGGTGAGGGAAGGGAAGGAGGGAATGCTGAAGTATAGAGCAGAGAGCAGCAGAGAGGTGAGAAACAGGAAAACATTCCTCAAAGCTTCTCCACTCCCAGTCCAGGAATCTTGCCTAGCCTTGAGTTACAGAACACACTGTTATCTCTGGATAATACATTTCCTATTTTGCTCAAAGTCCTGGTGTGAATATGCAACCAGAGATTTTTAACGTAAAAAGAAGCTATGAGCATATGAATGGAAGTTGAAGACCTGAGAATGGACTAAGGGACTCAGGGTTAGGGACAGACCCTAGGAGGAAAGATGGCATTCAGAGATAGATAGTTAAAAAACAATCAAGAAAAAGTAGCCAGATAAGTAGGTGAAGAACTGCTTGACAATCAAGGAAAGATTGGTGAATTAGGTAATATTCATTTGCATAAAATGTTGCCCAGTGGTCAGGTAGGCGAAAAGCTGAATATAGGCAGTTAGATTTTACCATTTTTATGTTTCTATCCCCTGCTACCTGACTAAACTATTTTCAAAATGTATTTTATAGCTTAGAGCCTTCCCAAAATTCCTAGTATTATATATAAATTTCCAATACATATTGATAGCTGAACAATCATATTTTCCTGGGGTTTATTTTAATAATATATGCATTTATTTTAGCCAATGATATTCACAAAGCTTTGCTGAAATGTGTTTTGTTTAACTTGGTTCTGTATATTTTTCCATGAAAAGCCATACTAAAAGGACATTTTCCAAGTATTAAAAAAAAAAGCAAAAAACCCTGCAGTCCAGAATGCATAATTTGTTCTGGGATAGTTAAAATTCTAAGAGAAGTCTTCTTTGTTCTTTCCTTGCTCTTTCTTTGTTCTCCAAAAGGGTCGTATTTAAACTATGGGTCATTTCTCATCTGAATAGCCAGGGAAGATTAGCTACATTGCTACTGATGCACTTGATATTTTCTCATTACATAACATGTGGCCACAGATTCTAGCCAGTCTGATAAGATAAAATGTTCATAATACTTAGAAGATAAAAGGGAATCATCACTACTTAAGATCCCTTTAAATCCAATCTGTTGATCTGTATGAGATTACATTTTTGGCTCTCATTTACTAGTTCCCCCTAAAGAAAGTCTTGATATAGCTACTGGGTTCCTGGCTTGTATTTTGATAGTCAAAACGGCAGTCTGGATATTTTTCTACTCAGTAGATACAATAGAAGACCAAAGCTTCTTGCATTGTAGTCACTGACCTTGCCATGTCATTTCATATTTTCTGTAGATTTGGTCCTGGAAAATCAAATATTAAGCAAGTTTGACAGTTCAGCTAAATTCCATAAGGTCATCTATCACATTACATACAGTAATTGATTTTACGTTAATTGGTCTTTAGTTTCATGGTTCATGTTTCTGGTTTTCTGGTAGTTTCCAGAAACTTTCGTGTTAAATGAAGAGCTATGCTATGTAAATAAAATTCAGTAAAACTTCCCTTTCATTTTAATTATGTGCTTTTGAAAACTAATTTTATTGGGTTCTTTAAAAAACTCCGTAGGAGTCAGGCATGAATTTTCTACTCTTTAGGGCATTTCAATCATGAAAGAAAGAACCATCTATATTTTTCATCATCTCAAAACAATTTTAGACCACTACTATTTGTAGGTACAAATAATGTTCATTGATTTGCTTTATATTTATTAATCACCTAATAGTTATGAAATGGTGCCCTAAGTACTGTGACTAAAAAATAAATATTAGTAAGTTAATTTTACTAATTTTTATCCTTAGGAGCTTTAATTTATGCTAGATAATATCTGAGAAAAAGTCAATAGTATGATGCTGTTTAAAGAAAGAAAGCAACTGCTATCCTGTGTTGTTGTATTAGCAGAATTGTCAAGGATAAAATAAATAAGGTGAAGATTAGACTCCACTTGGCAATCTTTAGCCCTTGATTGGAGTACCATGTTCCATTTGGGAAGGCACACTTATTACAACATAGACAAGTTTGGCAGAGGTTTCAAAAGAAAGCAACAAAAAAATGATGAAGGGCCTTGAAAATGGGGCCTGTAAGAAAAGGCTGAGAGACGTGAGAATGTTCAATCTTGAGGAAAAAAGGCAGAGGGGACACATGATAACTGTTTACAGATGCGTAAAGAGGTGTTATGGAGAGAAGAGGGACCTATTTTTCTCATTAGTCAACAAAGACACTTCAAGAAGTAATGGGTTTAAAACACGTGGGGGGAAATTCAGGTTAATTATTAGATTAAGTTAGGTAAAATTTAAATATTTAAAATGTTATGATTCCAAGCATAATTAGGCTGTGGAGACTAAATCACATTAGAATTGGCATAGGAAAGTGAGATGAAAACAAATTCAATCTGAATGCAGAGGGTTAATTATTGCAAGTTTATATTTGCATTAAATGTTATCATATTTCAAAATACTTTCACATATATTGTTTTACTGATCTCTGGACATTCTTAGGAAAGAGAGAGTGTATCAGCTAGTTTTACAGCTGAGAAAATGGAATTTCAGAGAGGCAAAATGTTGCTTCGAACCCCCACACTCCAGATTAGATAGACAAAACTGCTAAGTGCATAGGATTAGACAAGCAGGACTAAAAGCCAACTCTTCACATTTTCTGTCAATATGTTTCACATGGTACCTTGCTATCTTTTCATTTGTAATATGATTTCTATTGTGGAGAAATATTGTTTACATAGAGGAACAAGAAACATGATTGAACTTATATCTGCATTACCTATATCTATTATTTATCTCTCACTACTCACAATTGTGAAATAAACTCAGCACTTTGGTATTATATTTTGACAAATCATTGCCAAACGTAATACAATCTCCAGTTGGTATGATGTGGTGAGACCCTACCTTCTACCATTACCTAGAGGTGGAGACACATTTCATCTTTTATGAATTTCATATTCCTCATCTGTAGGAAGAAAATTATAATATCTTCTGGTTTCTTCTAGTTTTACAATAAGGAGTGAATGAGAAAATACCTGTAGAAGTACCTGAACTTGTTCAAAGAAATAAACTTGTTCAAAGCATAAACTTTGCTTGGGGGGAAATGTGTGTTGTTTTTGGTGTACTGTGGATTTTGATAATCCCTTTCCAGTTTTATTTTCAATCCTACCTTTTTTTTTTTTTTCATTTCCTAATTTCAGATTCCTGAGGTCAAGGCCAATGTCTTTGTTGAAGCACTTAAAATTTGCTAGTCTAATGTAGGTGTTCAGTAATAGTTGGTGGGTGACTGAGTTAACAAATGGATGAATAAATACTTTCAGTTGGATATTATGTCTGGGATATGAGCAAGAGGTGATAAATGCCATATATAATCATCTTGTTATACTCCTTTATGTAATGATGTATGTTTAAAGTATTTTATAGAAACATGGTATGCCAGATTCTCAGTTAGATCCTGAGAATACAAGCCACTCAAAGTCTAAAGGGGTTTTGCAGACCACTCCAATGCTAGGTATAGACAAAACTCTTCCCAGCAAAGCAAGGTAGCTGATGCCAAAATGTTACCAAGGAAAGACCCATTGGTTGGTTGCCAAGACCCTTATGGAGTCTGAGAAGATGTTTTAGACTCCCTCAACCATGCACACAAATTGTGTAAAGTAATCCAGGAGGCAGCCTAAATGGAAAGGCTGTTAGTATGCTGAGCTTGCTAGGAAATGGAGGAATTTTACGGAAAATGTCAGCCTCTGTAGACTCCTGTGATGCTCGCTAGGGTGCCAGCCTTCCCCAGGGAGCCCACAGCACCTGGCAGGCAGACTGCAGCAGGGAGTCTCACTGGGAGGATACAAAAGAGCTTAATGGCCCCCTGTGCATAATGTTGAAAGAGGCTGCAATTTTTGTTTTCTTCGGAGATTAACGTGTGTGTATTGCAGGTTCAAAATGGTAAGAATCTTAATTAGAGTTGCAGGAAGTTGCATAATATACTCCATGTCTTACTTTTTCCGCACACCAAATAACAGAATCTATTTGCCAAATTATGAAGGTTGATGGAGAATGAAAACTGTAATTTGAGTAAATGGGAGCCCTGCCCCCATTTTTTCCAGTTAGTCACAAAGTTTAAAATGCAAAGAAGTAAATCTCCCAAGGGAGCAATTCTATTTCATCTGTGGAAGAAAGACATATGTTGTTACTGATGAAACCTCTGTTGTGAAAGCAGAGCCAATGCTGGGAAAAACTTGAAGGAAAAACTAGCTGAGAGCCCTCTGTCTCAGGAGCCTGTGGCCTTTGGGTCCACCCAGGGCTGCCTGTGCCTCTTCCTGAGGCTTTTCTTGAAGGCCTGCTCTTTCCTCTGATTACCTTAGGGCAATTGCCTGCCTCTCTTAAGAGAAAATGTACCTGTTTTGTGCCACATCCCTTCAGGCCCCTGAGCTGGACAGTAGATTGATCTGACAGATGTCACTTTGATATTAAATCAATAGTACCAATATGTTTCTGGGTTTTCCTGGCCTTAGCAAGGTTTTATGTTCACTTACTTAGAGACATTCTGGAGAATATCTCAGAACTCAAAACATGAGATCAAATTGGAGTTCTATGGGAGAGAGGATATTGAATTACTTGGCTTTATTATGGCTGCACTCATAGGGCCAGCCACGTGTAAAAGTTTCATTCTCTTTTTTTGAACAAATATTTATTGAAAACAATAAATTACCAAGAACTGTGTTAAAATATACAGATGTCTAAGCAGACACGGCACAATCTATGGCCCTAAGAAGTCTAGGAGGTACAATATTTTATATAAATTATTCATCTTCATTCAAAGTTATTTATTGAGCATCTACTATGTGCCGTGCACTGTGCATGCCCCTGGAAAGCATAAGAGACAAAATTCCTTTCTTTGTGGGAGCTGTATTCTAGTGAGGTTCAGCAGGTGAACAGCAATCCGTGTTAATTATTTCTTCTTCCACTGAAATGAAAATTCTATGTTTCTAAAAAATATTATAAAAGTACTCTTCAAACCTCATATTAAGAAAGTCAAATTGTCTTTAGCCACATTTGATAAGGATTAAAGATAATCTTACTATTTTATTTTAAACATATTTAGAGCAGTCCTTGTCTGAAGGAAGCTTGTGTTGAATTTTTTATAAAGTGAGTTAATTACCTTCTAATTAATTTTGTGTGTGTGTAGTGCTCACCTAACACAAGATTTTCATGCTGAATTTGCTCCCCCAAAAGAAAAACAATTCCTATATATGTTGTAAAGGGTCGCAAGTCAGAACTGAGATGGAGGCAATACAAATATATAACCAGCGGCCTCAGACAAGTTCCCAAAATTGGGAAGAATGAAGAGATAGGGAATGACTGCAGAGCCTTTTTCAGGAAAGCATGAGATTGGAAGATGAATGCTCAAGTAAATTAGAACTCAGGAAAAGTACTGAACAGCAGGATCATATCATCAAAAATCTGGCTGATAGGTTTTGAACTCACTGAACTGAATCTATTTAGAAGTACATTTTGGGAAGACTAAATAAACATCAACACTATGGTCTATTCTAATTCAGGCTCTTGCTTTGTCTATTTTCCAGGTGATAAAACACTGATTGTTATTAGTGTTATCATCAAGCATATTGAGCAGTCAATCTGTAAGTTAATAGCAATACACAGCCATATAGTCCTGGAACTAGAAGGAAAGAAAATGAATTTTTTCTTTTTTTTTTTTCTTTTTTTTTCTGTAGAGGGGAAGAAAAATTCAACACCTTGAGTCAGCTGCGACTCAAGGGTCCATTATAACTTCGAGATTTTTAACAGCCTGTGCCTAGGGTATGGGAGATGAATTTTGTTCCAAAGTGGTGACATGGGCAGATATAAACCCCTGGGAGCAATTTCAGGCAAGTTGAGAGTCCATTCTAAACAAAAATGGACAGAATGTGGAAGATGGAATTCCCACACTTGCTTTCTGACCTTGGCTGATATTCCTCAGCAGTTGGTAATTAGAGGAAATACTGAAGCTGAGAGGATGAAAGAATAAAGAAGAGTAGAATAATCAGAATTGAAAGAATGTAAATAAGTAATAAGATGGGGCAAAAACAGGAATGGTGTCACTGACAAAGGTGGCCACACTTTGCAGTAAGATGTGAGTGGGACATAGAAACTAGATTTGGTTGAGTAAGAGGAAAACCATATATACACACACATATATATACACACACACACACACACACACACATTAATATATGCATATTTAAAAATATATACATTTCAAAAGCTCATTTATGTTGAATACTAAGTGGGAAATTCATCAGCTGTTTGGCTTCCTGTCTGTTTTATTCTTTGCCATTGCAGACTTGAGTTGTCTTCCTGAAATCTTTCTGGGAGATAACTGCATGCCCAGCCCTTTTCTTTCATCAGAAAAAGGGTATTCTGCCCTGAGTCAGAAGCAGGGGGAAAATAGATGATAATATCTACATGTTATTGCTAGAACAGAGTCAAATAAAAATTAAAAGTCCATCAAGTGATCAGGTTGAAGTCAATAAAAAGGTCAATAAAAAGCAAGGATGAGCCAAAAAAGAGGACTTGGTGTACTGGAAAATGCCAGGAAAAATAAAAGACAGAAAAAACACTGTGGCAAGATCTTCTCCTGTGGCCTCAGGGAAGTGCATGATAAAATTAATTGAAGCTTATCACCCATGAAAAAGGGCTACAGTTGGAGCAATAGCTGCACGGACTACATAACAGTACAGGTTCTTTAGCCTAAGACAAAGATAACAGATTTTTGTTTTACTTTTGCAAGCTTTTTTAATATACTGAGTTAAAACTCTCTTTTTTTGCCTTTATTCAACTGAATGCTGCATTTTTTGAGCAATACTAAGTGTTGATTGGCTTACTTGAACAGCAATTTGTTAAGAGGCCTGCTGTGTACCGGCCATTATCCTAAATACCAGTGTACAAAGATTAGTGATGTGTCTATCTGCTTTCAAAACTCTTATAATCTGTAGCAACATGAGATTAATTTTTACATATGGTTTATATATAACAATCTAATTCCAATACAATCATATCATTCTCCATATCTCATAAGAAATTGTTTTGGGACATTATTTAAAGAAAACTTTATACAATAAATCTATAAATTGTTAGTAGATTTGACTCCTCCTTTAGATGAAAGTTTTCATCTTGTCGTTTTTTTAAATTCAAAATATGTTATTTTAAGTTGATATAAAACAATCATATTAGCAAAATGCATCCACATTGAAAACTTAGCTGGATGGGTAAAGATCGCTCTATTAAACTGTGATGTTTAATACTGAGTGTCAACTTGATTGGATTTAAGGATACAAAGTACTGATCCTGGGTGTGTCTGTGAGGGTGTTGCCAAAGGAGATTAATATTTGAGTCAGTGGGCTGAGAAAGCCAGACCGACCCTTAATCTGGGTGGGCACAATCAAATCAGCTGCCGGTTTGGCTAGAATATAAGCAGGCAGAAAAAGGTGAAAAGAGAGACTGGCCTAGCCTCCCAGCCTGCATCTTTCTCCTGGGCTGGATGCTTTCTGCCCTTGAATATTGGACTCCAAGTTCTTCAGTTTTGGGACTTGGACTGGCTCTCCTTGCTCCTCGGTCTGCAGGCGGCCTGTTGGGAACCCTGTGATCATGAGTTAATAAACTCTTTTACATGATATTCTCATGATAGTGAATAAATTTCATGAGATCTGATGGGTTTATCACGGGTTTCTGCTTTTGCTTCCTCCTCATTTTTCACTTGCTGCCACCACGTAAGAAGTGCCTTTCACCTCCCACCATGATTCTGAGGCCTCCCCAGCCATGTAGTACTGTAAGTCCAATTAAATCTCTTTTTATTCCCAGTTTTGGGTATGTCTTTATCAGCAGCGTGAAAACAAACTAATACAGGCACTGTTCCATCTCCAAATGGTCATAATTTATCAGTTCAAAGGAACGTACTTTGCATGCCACCAAAGGGTTTTCTAAGAATTGGGTCAGCAATTTTAAGTCAAGGTTGTTGGTTCTGAGTTGTACCTTTGAGTCAGTCTTTCAGCATTTTAGTTCTCAAATCTAGTTTTCTACTCTTTCCAATGGGGTTATTCATCCAATAGACATGGGAAAATCATCCTAATCAAAACAAATTTATGATCATTTCTCTCTGGCATGACTGCATCAGGTAGCTTAAACCATAGAAGTTTATTGTCTCACAATTCTGAAGGCTAGAAGTTCGAGAAAAAGATATCAGCAGGATTGATATCTTCTGAGGGGCTGTGAGGAAGAATCTGTTCCATGGTTCACCCAGCTTCTGGTGGTTTGCTGGCAATCTTTGATGTTCCTTTTGCAGTGTCACCCCATTCTCTGCCTTCGTTGTCACATGGCATTTTCTTTGCATGCACATCTGTCTCTTCATATGGTGTTTCTTTTATAAAGACACCAGTCATACTACAGTAGGGCCTCACCCTACCCCATTGTGACTTCATTTTAATTTATTACATCTGCAAAATCCCTATTTCCAAATAAGGTCATATTCTGAGGTATGAGTGGGTTGGACTACAGCATATGAATTTTGGGGAGACATAATTCAATCCATTATAATCATACTGCATAACTGACGAGAAAGTAAAGAATCAATCTGATGCAGGAAAGATAACCTAATCAAAAAGAGGAATTAAACAACTCCAACTAATTCCTTACATTTAATCTATTTAATATAAAATTATAATTTTGCAAACACAGCATGGTGCACTATGGTAACTAAAGCAATTGGATGATATTTCAAAAGCTTTAATAACTAGTATTTAATCACAGATGCTGTGTGTTTTTACCTGAAATTCATCCTGGTAATGCAACATAATTAATTGCACAATTTATTTTAGCATGAGTTTTCTTATATTTATAGAGATAGCATAGCAATCTTGTTTTCAAATTTCCCTCAGAATGCTTGAGATCAGACATTATTAGCATGGAGACAATAGTTTCATTGTCAACTCCTGCTGGTTTGGGTACATTTACAGTAATAACCACAATCCACTAGCTTGAATTATTGTTCAACATTCTATGTGACTTCATGAGGGTATTAATATGCAAGAGAGTTATTTGATACTAATCAAAGATACACATTTGTCTTCACACTTATTACAATATGGTAAGGTAATCACATAAAATACTTAAGATGGTAGACTTCATACATATATATATATATACTTTTAATGAATATACTAAAGCTAACCGTTAATGGAAGCTTTGACAGAAACTCATTGTTCAATATCCAAGCAAATCAATTTTGGACTATAAATGCAGAATTCTAACAAGCAAAAATTCTAATCATTCATTTTATTTTTCTGTTATTCGTGGCTTCTTATATTGTTAAGGCTTAACATATTAAGATGCACATAGGATTTAATCTTCATGAGAGAGCAATGAATACATCATTGAATACATACCAATCATGTGTAATTGTTTTCATATGTATGTAAGCCCAGCGGAAAAGAGTCGTTCATTGACAGTACTCATTTTCCCATTTGGTGTATTTTCCTAATTGTACAGTATAACAGTTATAGTAAATGGTTATAAATATTACCCTTTAGCTGTAACATCTATGACATTTTTGTTGATCATGATAATATGTGATTGTTTAGTCAACTGAGTTTATTGTAATTGAGATTGGAAATCACTATAAGAGTGAAATTGAATATATAGATAGAGAAATAGGATAAGTTAATATGGCAGCTCAACACTGAACACAGACTACAACTTCTTGACCACCGAAATATGCAAAATATTATATAATAGCTTGTATCTGGACAGCGTGCTAAGCTGTTCACTTGTTCTTTATCATTTAATCCTCTTTTCAAATATGTGAGATATGTTCTGAGAAGATAAGCACCTTGTTGAGTCATACAGGTAATACATTTTAAAGGAGGAATTTATATACACTTAAGATTGTGTGTGTGTGTGTGTGTGTGTGTATGTGTGTGTGTGAGAGAGAGAGAGAGAGAGAGAGAGAGAGAGAGTTTCAGGCTCCAAGACAGATATTAATGGTAGACTGCCTTTGTTGCATAACTGTAGCAGTGGTGTACAACTGCTACTCCCATCTTCTCAGTACTTCATCTCTTTCTTTGAATCAACTACAGCTATTCTGATGGCTAGATTATGATCTGCCAGTTTGAGAATCCAACTCTTGCTGGCCAGAGACTTACAGTTAAAAAATAAATCATTTAGAGTCATATGCTTATGTACTACTGGGCTGTGATCCTCACCCTAAAGCTCACTTTGGCATAGCTCTTTACTTGCCATCGATTCTTGACAGCCTTATTTCAGAATTCTTACAGACACAGTGTCTATTTAATTTTAATACAATCAAGCAATGGTTTCTGGACATATTTGGCTATTTCTTTGAAAACAATGGAATCTGTCTTATGGGCAAAATGACTTTTTTCTGCCCTAAATGCTGACACTGAATTGCGTTCAATCATGACAGAATTTGTGCAATATGAAAAGTTTGTCCACTGGGTGGACAATTTCTATCTAGCATTTTTCTCTCCTTCAGGGATGGACTTTAAGTTGATTTGACAAAATTGGTTTCATATGAACCCAAATGCAAACCCTATATTATCTTTAAACACTGGTTTCTGTGAAGTTGTTTGATTAAACTAATACTGTTGACTCCCTGTTTTCTGTTTTATTTCTTTAAGATGACATCCCTTATTCTGTTCTGCTACCTGGGACATTGCTCTTCTCTCCATATTAATTAATTAATATTGTTTCCTAAATCTGTCTTCCTAGTCTCTGTGTTTGTCTTCACCATGTGTATTGGGATATATTCTCGAAGGGTTTCATGTGTGAATTCCCTCTTGAGTCAAATTGTACATGTAATTTCCCTTCATTTTAAAAATAAATAAGAAATATGAGAAGAATTTTCAAAACTTTTATGTTCTATATGCTTTCCTCTGGTTTGGAAATTAATCTCTGAATTTATTTATATTTTAGGTATTGCAATTTGAGAATTAGAAGAGTTGTTTTTACAAAACACAGAAAACAGCTTTTGTTTTAATTATTTTTCCCAGTGTGTCTAAGAGTCAAAAAGACTCTGTATTAGTATTCACTGGCAAACAGAACACAATGCAGAGCAGATATCCTAGAAGCAACATGATAGATCCAATCATCCGATTCATTATAGTACAAATATTGTAATCAATCATAATATTCAGTGTTCCATAAATCCACAATTCTGTGAAAGGGATAAGAAAAAAGAAATTAAGCTATCAGTGAGTTTACTAAAAAAGGAAAAGAGATTTCCTGATTATCATCATTCAGAATTAGTCAGACATATACATGGTAATCATTCATATTTTAAGCAATAAAAGGAAACTCAACACAAAGCCTGGAAAGCAACAGCCTTTTATTTTTATTTTCTCTAAGATGTGAAAAAATAGACCTAGGTGCTAATTTAATTCCCTTTTAAGTTAATGACATAATGGGTTTGTGGAGCATTAAATAGGGAATAAATATGGCCTTACATTTCCATGTCGGAGCTAAATGCTTTCTCTTCCCTCAGCTTCTAATTCCTCAGCTGAGGGAAGTGATCAGCAGTCAACGATCACAATGAGGGAGCTACGCACACATCCTCTGGTTTCCTGAGCTTTGGAACACTTAATGCTTAGTGCAGCTTCTCTATTTTGAGTTCTACCATGAACCCCTCTCTGATGACTCCCACATATGTCTTTTTTATGTAAGCACACCAAGTTCAGCTATCCCTGTAGGTAGACAGCATTTGAGACTTCTCAGTTGGGTATGATTTGAGAAGATAATGGAGCTGATCCTCTTGACATAAACTAGCCTATTGGTCCTGCCCAAACTGGTGTTCCCTGGAACAGAGGCCTAAAAACAAAATATATTTAAAATGTTCAAATATATTTAGAAAATATTGTGTTAAATCAAGTTAGCCAGATTTTTGTTGCTTTCATTGTCATTTTTGTTAATATTGTTGCATGATTTCCAGAATATTCAGTATGCAAATAAATATTCATTATGAATTTAACAAAATAGGTATTTTCTAAACTTCTTTGACCTTGGAACTCTTGTTCTCCCTTCCCAACCCCACCATTGCACTTATTTTAACATTGCACTCAGCAGGGCTATACGCATCAACATTTTGGGAATTTGAGGATGAAGATATGTTTTTCCTATTAAAAATGAATTCTTATCCCACTGGGAAAGAAAACACATTAAGCTTTTATCAGTCTTTAACATTTTAACATGGATTAGCCATTCTGCTCTTTCTGGATTATAAGCAGCTGAGAGCAGGCTTTCATTATAGGGAGAGGGAAAGATGATCTGAAGTGTCATGTGTCCCCAGAGAGGATTTTCAAGTGGAATGCCACCATGAGAGTTCCTGGGCTAGCAGAGGACAACTTCATATAGTGCAGGGTTGCAGCAAGGCCACTGACACCAGCTGTATATAGAAAGTTATGTTTGCCTCAGTTTCTTCAGCCAAAACAGAGGAAATTTACTAGATAGTAGCTATCTCCCTCTTAGCTCTAACAATACAATCTGATTATCTTGATGGCTAAGTGTGGGAACTGAGAGAGTTAGAAGAGTGGGGGTCACTAGTTGAAAAAGCAAGGTTAGAAATGAATGTTTTCTCAGTCATGGCTGGCCTAGGGCTGGCTCTGCAGGAGTTCATGATTCTCATCTCCCCAAACAACAAAGAGCCATGGAAAATTCATCAGATAACAGTAATTCAACAGATAACAGTATAAAGACTATACATATTTTTAAGATAGATTTAAAAAATGCATGACATATTTCTGGCCTCCAATGAGTGTTCAGTATGAAAAAATACCAACTAGATGAATAAGTATAGGCAAGCAAAAGATTCTAAGTATAAGAAAGTGTGAAAAGTAAAATTTATTTTATTTTTCTTTGAAAGAGCAGTCTTCCCAGGTCAAGAGATTAGAAAGACAAGTAAGGTAATGCCTCTTCTCTGAAGTTTAGAACAGATGAAAGTGACACATAAAAGCAGAATAAGATAAATATTATATCATAGTAAAAGGAATGAGAGGTTGTATGTAGAGTGGTTGTGGACTTGGACTCAAGAGCATGTGGACACAAATTTCTAGGTTAAATTCCCTGGATTCAGAACCCATTTCTACCATCTTACTAGGTCTGTGTCCTCTTGTGTAAATGGTAGTGGTGATGATAATTACCATGCCTTTCTGCTAGAACTATTATTAGGAGGATTAAAGAAAATTAATATGTATAAAGCATCTAGAAGAGTGCCTCACATAAAATAACAAACATAAGTATTTACTATCATTAATAATAAATTATATCCAACTAGAATCATTATAAGGGGTTTTAGAAAAGAAGTAGCAATAAGATAATAAGTGAAGAATGAGTAAATTTTTGAAGCTACAAATGGATTGAACATAGTACTCTAGGGAGAGGGACAATCATGAATGAATACATCAAGATGAAAAGTCAAAGGGTAAATTTTAGAAATAGCAAATAGATTGGTTTGCTAATATAACATACTGGCCCTTTACTGATCATGTTGATCATTTTGTGAGAAAACAGTAGGAAATGACTTCAGAAAGAATATAGTTTGGTAAAAACCATTTTAACTGTAGGAGAATGAAACTGGATTCTCATCTCTCACCTTATACAAATATCAACTCAAGATGGATCAAGGACTTAAATCAAAGATCTGAACTAAAAATTCTAGAAGATAACATTGGAAAAACCCTTCTAGGCATTGGTTTAGGCAAGGATTTCATGACCAAGAGCTCAGAAGCAAATGCAGTAAAAACAAAGATAAATAGATGGAACTTAACCAAACTAAAGAGCTTTTGCACAGCAAAAGGAATAGCCAGCAGAACAAACAGAAAACCCACAGAGTGGGATAAAATCTTCAAAATCTATCCATCTGACAAAGGACTAATATCCAGAACCTACAACAAAGTCAAACAAATTAGCAAGAAAAAAATGAACAATCCCATCAAAAAGTGGGCTAAGGACATAAATAGACAGATCTCAAAAGAGGATATACAGTGGCCAACAGACATATTAAAAACATGCTCAACATCGCTAATGATAGAGAAATGCAAATCAAAACCACGACACAGTACCACCTTACTCCTGCAAGAATGGCCATAATCAAAAAAATAAAAAAATAATAGATGTTGAAGTCGATGAGGTGAACAGGGAGCATTTCTTCACCGCTAGTGAGAATGTAAACTAGTACAACCACTATGGAAAACAGTGTGGAGATTCCTTACAGAACTAAAACTACCATTAGATCCAGGAATCTCACTCCTGGGCATCTACCCAGAGGAAAAGAAGTTATTATATGAAAAAGATACTTGCACACACATGTTTATAGCGGCACAAATCACAATTGCAAAAATATGGAATCAACCCAAATGCCCTTCAATCAATGTGTGGAAAAAGAAACCACTGTATATATATATACGTGATATATATTGCATATATATATGTGTGTATATGTATAGTATAGATATATGTATATATATAGTATATATACACATGATATATAATGTGTATTATATATTATATATTATATATAATATATATAAATATATATTTTATATATATAAATATATATGATGGAATACTACTCAGCCATACAAAGGAATTAGTTAATAGCATTCACAGTGACCTGGATGAGATTGGAGATTATTATCCTAAGTGAAGCAACTCAGGAATGGAAAACCAAACATCATATATGCTCACTCAAAAGTGGGAGCTAAGTTATGATAATGCAAAGGCATAAGAATAACACAATGGACTTTGGTGACTCAGGGGGAAAGGGTGGGAAGGCAGTGAGGGATAAAAGACTACAAATAGGGTACAGTTTATACTGCTTGGGTGATGGGTGCACCAAAATTTCACAAATCACCACTAAAGAACTTACTCATGTAACCAAACACCACCTGTGCCCAGTAACCCGTGGAAATAAAAAATAAAAGAAATTTTTGCCCAAACCAATGTCCTGGAGTGTTTCTCCAGTGTTTTCTTCTAGTAGTTTCATACTTTCTGGTCTTACATTTGAGTCTTTAACCTATTTAAATTTGATTTTTGTTTATGGCAAGAGATAGCATTCTAGTTTTATTCTTCTGCATATGTATATCCAGTTTTCCCAGCATCATTTATTAATGAGACTGTATTCTCCCTAAGGTATGTTGTTCACACTTTTGTCAAAACTGCATTGGCTGTAAATATGCAGATTTATTTCTGGGTTCTTTATTCTGTTCTTTTGGTCTATGTGTCTGTTTTTATGCCAGTACCATGTTGTTTTGGTTACTATAGCTGTGTAGTATAATTTGAAGTCAGGTAATGTGATGCTTCCAGCTTTGTTATTTTTTGCTCAGGATGTCTTGGACTGTTCTAGGTCTTTCGTGGTTCCATATACATTTTAGGATTTTTTTTCGATTTTTATAAAGAACTTCATTAGTATTTCGATAGGGATTGCATTGAATCTATAAATTACTTTGGGTAGTATGGACATTTTAGCAGTTACTGATTCTTTTAATACATGAACATAGAAAATGTTTTTATTTTTCATATCTTTTTCAATTTCTTTCATCAATGTTGTATTGTTTTTATTTTAGAGATTTTTCACTTCTTTAGTTTATTCCAGGTATTTTATTTTATTTGTGGCGATTACAAATGGGATTACTTTAATTATTTCTTTTTCAGATTGTTTGCTGTTAGCATACAGAAATGCTACTGATTTGAGGGAAACTCTTCTACACTGTTGGTGGGAATGCAAATTAGTATAGCCGCTACGAAGAACAGTGCAGAAGTTCCTTAAAAAAGCAAAAACAGAATGGCCATATGACCCAGCAATCCCACTGCTGGGTATTTATCCAAAAGAAAAACATCAGTATATCAAAGAGATATTTACACTCTCATGTTTATTTCAACACTAGTCATAATAGCCAAGATATGGAGTCAAACTAAGTGTCCATCAATGGATGAATGAATAAAGAAAATGTGGTACATATTCATGATGAAATATTCAGCCATTAAAAAAGAATAAAATCCAGTCGTTTGCAGCAGCTTGGATAGAACTGAAGGACATTATGTTAAGTGAAATAAGCTAGGCACAGAAAGACACATATTGCATGTTCTCCCTCATAGGTGAGAACTAAAAAAATTGATCTCATGGAGACAGAGAGTATAATGATAGTTATCAGAGCCTGGGGAAGGAAATGGGGAGGGGGATAAAGAAGTGTTCGGTAATGGGTAATGGGAACGGAAGTACAATTAGATAGAAGGAATAGGATCTAATGTTTGGTAACAAAATAGTGTGACTATAATTAACAATAATTTATTGTATATTTGAAAATAACTAGAAGAGTGGAATTGGAGTGTTCCCAACACAAAGAAATGATGCTTGCTTGGGGTGATGCATATCCCAATTATCCTGATTTGATCATTATACATTGTATGCATTTGTCAAAATTTCACGTGTGGCCCATAAATATCTACAACTATTAAGTAACCATGAAAATTAAAAATTTTACAATTTAAGAAAAGTTAACTTGACGAGAAAAAGAATACAGTTTGGAAGTCTTCGAGGATAGATAGGAAGAGATTTTCCATTTAATTTGGTTTTAAATGGGATCTTGTCTATGTTTGCTCAGGGTAATCATATGAAAGGCATTATAATTTGAAAGCTTAATCTCAAAATAGTACTTTTTTTGGTAACCAGTTGTCTTGCAGCAAAAACAAAAGCACTGAACTTGGGTCAAAATACGTGAATTCAAATCCATACTTTATACCTTCAGAATCAAACACTCTAAGCCTCATTGCGTTACTCTTTAAAATAAGGAAAGTGCATCTAAATTACACATTGTTTTTAGTAGCAAATAAGTTAGATGAAAAAGCATCAAATGTAATGTTGGGCATACATAAATTTTCAATCAACTTTTAACTATATAATATTATCTGAACAAGACAAGTGAAGAATACAATTGTAATTTTTTAAATTGCAAGGCAACAGTTTCTACCCTAATAATATCTACATTTTCCTCATAAAAGTCAGTGCATCAGATTCTATACAGTATGCTCTTCAAATTCTTGGCTCCAAAGTTAGCAAATTAAACATCCCATCTCATTTCTAGTTTGCAGTGAAATTCTCAAAAAGTTTCCAGAATCCCTGATGTTACTCATCCTGAGCTACATCTGACTTCTAATCAGCATCTTTTACTTAGAATACAGATAGCAAATCTGGTTGGCAGTTATTTTCCAATGATTCTTCTGCCATACTGATGCTTTATAATGGCTCCAAGGAAAGGCCATTCTACAAATAAAAGCAAAATTAATAAAAGAATGCGGGATAATTGACAGTTTTGCTACAACAGCATTTAATTTGAATCCTTTGAAACTTACTCTTCACTCATTGATTTTTAGGCTCACAAATTCTTTGTGTGAATTCTCTCTTTTACTTTTGCATTGTGAAATGATTTATCATTTGGGTAATTTTCCAGAATTACACTTTATTATTTTGTAAATGGCATGCAGCACAGATGGATATTAGCAAGGTCTCTGTATAAACGCCAGCAATAGAGGTGGTAACATTGCCCTGAGAGTTTTCTCCTGAAACAAATCAAATAAAGAAGAGAAAGCATTGCCAAAGCTGGCCATGACAGAGGAAGTGGATCCAATAATAGACATCTCGATGGATACATATATATGATTCAATATTGTGTGACCTTTACTTTCAAACTCACTTTCAGAAAATATATTCTAAAGGGGTGCCAAGGATATTGCTGTCTACTCTCTACTGACTTCCATGAAAGGAAACACCATTCCTCTGTATCTCAGTCATCAATGAGTACATTTATGAAAGAGTTTGGCCATTGTCAATTCTAATGCCGTTAAGAAGAACTTGAGCATAGCTTACATTTTTTTCCTCATTTTACTCCTACTTGTATATTGCTTTGGCATATACTATTAGTGCAATGCTGTGACTTCCAAAACTTCTCAGAAAGTAACAACTTGGACTGTTAAGAGACTCCAGCATTTGAAATATATTTTAATGCAAACTGTCTCCCTGAAGACCTCTATCCATAGCTAAGATAGTTGTATCCGAAAGCTTTGCGCTTACTTCTTTGCAGTGCTATTTGTAAACATTGGCATAGTAAGAGTGATAAATTTCTATGGAATCATCTTTATCAAACATACATTATAGAAGTAGAACTTATTCCAGCTAACCACATTATCATGAATAGCATTTTCCATATTTCTTTGAAACAATACAATAGAAACAATATTATCTTAAACATTAAGTA
The DNA here is from genome assembly GCF_000001405.40 of Homo sapiens. NCBI lineage: Eukaryota > Metazoa > Chordata > Mammalia > Primates > Hominidae > Homo > Homo sapiens. The sequence continues at coordinate 216,126,827 of NC_000001.11, read as the reverse complement.
TCCCCATTGATTGGTCCAGTGAAATACTGCTTGGAATGAAGGCTTCAACTTTAAATCTATTTAATCAAATTTGGTAAAACAATCATGGATCAAATATATTATTAATGTTACGTGGCTTTTATTATTATTATTATTATTGCAAAAATTAGGAGCCTTGGTTTTTGTGGCCTTATTCTATTTCAGTTAGATATAATATCTCCTGGCCTTGGGTGCTTTTTACATACAAATGGGGTAAAATAGTTATTATAAAGAATAGAGATTGAATAGATGTGCTTAGAGTAATGTCTGACACAAAGCAAGCACTCGGCCCAGCACAGTGGCTCATGCCTGTAATCCCAGCACTTTGGGAGGCCAAGGCAGGCAGATCACGAGGTCAGGAGTTCAAGACCAGCCTGGCCAGCATGGTGAAATGCTGTCTCTACTAAAAATACAAAAAATTAGCCAGGCATAGTGCCATGCACCTGTAATCCCAGTTACCCGGGAGGCTGATACAGGAAAATTGCTTGAACTTGGGAGGTGGAGGTAGCACTGAGCTGAGATCCCGCCATTGCACTCCAACCTGGGTGACAGAGCAAGACCTCATCTCAAAAAAAACAAAAACAAAACAACAACAACAAAAAAAGCAACGGCTGTTAATTGCCAGGAAGAAGAGCTCCTACAATTGTTTCATGTGCATTTAGGCACTCTCTTCCATGTGAGACCCCAAGCAGTCAGCAGGACTATCAAAGGAACCCTTTTAAGACTTAGATATCTATTTTTAATTCTTGCACTGCATTTCTACTTTGATAAGGGGAAAAGGCATTAAAACACATTTTTGAAATGTAAATTTCCAAAGTTACAAAAATTAACCCAACACATCATATGCTCTTTGAATCACTTAAATTGGCAGCTGTCTTATAATGATAAAAGACCTACGGCGTTCTTAGATGATGTCTACATGATGCCAGACAGCTAATTGAATTAAGGAATTAAGGAAGATATCAACTAGTCCTTCCCCTTATTTGCCAGATGAAGAAATGGAGGCCAAGAAATGTGTAGTGATTTATTTACATCAGGGGTTGAGTCTGTTGGTCGTGAGAACTTCTAGCCTAGTTATTTTTTCCACCCCATCTATCTGTCCTGAAATTTGGTTTCTTATTGCTGCAGCATTGAAGAGATGGAACCACTAAAAAAATACTGATAAAAAGATGTTTATCCAGAGGCAACTTTAATGGCAACTCAAACTATTTGAAATATGATGGAAAATTTGTTACTGAGTGAAAAGGCCATCGCACAATCAAAATTGATGTTTAAAGCTCGCCTACTAACTCTTCCACACTATCCAATGTAGTGGTCCTCCTTCATTTTGCTCTTTAGAGTTTCCCTAATTTTCTTTATGCATGCATCTGATTTCATCTTACTTTAGAGAAAATACTAACAGTGTATGTCTAGAACATGGCAGATTGGAGCCTTATAGCACGAGAGGCAGGGAAAAGACAGCTAATAGCGATTCACTGATAGGAGAAGAAGGGGTCCCATATTGTTTGAGTTTTAGATAACGTTTAATGATCTTCCTGGATAACAGATTCTATGAGGATTTTTTTTTTTTGCTTGTTTAAATAAAAGCTGATTCAATGATAACAAAAGGAGAGACAGTAACTTCAGAAAAATATAGATATGCTAATTCTTACATTTGTAGAGCCCTTTTGATATTAAGGTTCAAGATCTAAAAATGTAATTCTCATTCAAGACCGTATAAAAATTGTTAGTTCTATATAAGCATATTGAATCACTGATAGATTAAAGCACATTCATCATACTCTAGAAAACAAGGAAATGTGTAATATATTTGATGTCATTTTTATTACAATTGTTAAAATAGTGAAGAATAAACCTGTTAACTAGAAATCTATGCATGCAGAATGTCTTATTACCTAAATAACACCAGATAAATGAGGTGTTACTGTCCACAGTCTCACAACAGAGACATGAAAAACCCTTCTTTACACTGGTAACCCTTAATTAAACTGAATTTTTGGTGTGTCCCTTCAGGAGAAGGTCACCATATCAGCAATAATTAGGGGAAATGGCATTGTGAACATTACTGGATGAGATGTGGTGTATTTCTTACTTTCAATTATTGCCTCCTTGTTTGAATCATTAGCATTTGGCAGATTTGTTGCTGAATTTGTTGTTCTGATTTAAAACTCGGTGTAAGGTTGAATATGTTCTTATCTTGATCTTATATTTCTGCCATGACTTGCATTTCTTGCTGAGTTTCTGACTTGAATTGCTCTATGTTTTTGCTGAGCTTTTGCTTTGTCTTGTTGTATTTCTATCTGGAGGGGTTTCCCTCCGCCTTTTTCTTTTTGTTATATCTCTTCTTTGGCCTATTGTATTTCTCTGGCCCATTCATTAGCTTTTTTTTTCCTTTAAAGTTATTCTCTTGTTCAGTATATGCAGTACCTAATCAATACGCTTCCTTGCTTGCTGCAGGATTTCCAACTTACTGTGTTTTCTGTCAGCTTTGATACTGCCTGAGAGGGGTTTCTGTGCTTTGGCTAATATATTGTTGTCTGAATTCGCAGTGTTTTCAGCTCATTACACTGACTTTAATTTTGATGTATTTGTATTTTATCCAGTTCAAGTCATGTTTCTTTCCTCTGTCAATTTAATTACTTTCTGCCTGGGCAACATTGTGTTTATACAATTGCTGCTAAAGCGACAAAAGGTTTCTATTTAAATTACCACCCAGAGCATCAGCAATTCAGCCTAAAAAATATGCAGAACTCCTCTGATTGATGTCTTACCTTTCTGTGGATAAGGAAATCTAGTCTATTGAGAGGATCTTCTTTATAGAACATAGTCAAGCCTGGTTTATAGCTGTAGAGTCATTAACAGAGGAGATGAGTGTAGGGCTATGGGGTCACTGTATGACTTCTCTGTAAGAAAAAAATGTATGACTAGGTTCTATTCAGTACAAGTCATGTCCTAACAGCAGGAAAAAGAAAACTTTCTTAGGTGTTTAACTTATATTTAGGTGGGCTACCCAAGCTCCAGCTCTTATTTTTCTATGTGTTATATATATTATACACATTTCTGGGTTTGAATCTTGTTCTTTCTAATAATTTTGCATTGGGCTGTGTAAGTCAGGAACATTGAATTTCCATTGTGTACATAAAACTATAGCAACTGGTCTAAAAACAAATAATGTGGGAAACATAGTAACTGTTCCTGTTTTCAAAGGCTTACAATAATGCGAAAAAAAGGGAAAAGCTTATGAGCAATACATCTTTGAAAACAGAAACAGTGAAAACACTCCAGTAAATACATAATTGGTTATTAATAGAATTTTAAATTGGAGAGGCATAACAATTGCAACAGCTCTTGGAAATGCTTAGGAAACTGAGGCTTATAGGTTTACCCGAACATATGTCATAGATAACATTAATCAACTAGCTGATGAACATGACCAGCAAATGCATTGATTGCCTGATCAGCAAATGCTTCAACTGTTTTGTTTTACAAGACTTAATATGTTTAAACAACAACTTACTCTTTACCTACTTTTTAAAAATATCCTTCTGTATTTTCTGCAACAAACCATTGTTGAGTCCCTGTGCTTAACAAAACTGTGCAACTGTGCTATTTACCCAGAGGAAGAAGAAAGATTTTTTTAAGTCAGTTCTTTTCTGGTAAGTGTAACTTTTCTAGTATTGGATAATCTTTCTGAGCCTCAGTTTTCTTATCTGTATAATTGGCATAAATGAACCATGAGAAACAAATAAAATGACATATTCAGCTCAGTGTGTGTCACATGGTGAGAGACCCATTAAGTTTGCTCTTTTCCTTTTGCCTTTCTCTTTTCAGTGTTCAGTCATTATACTGTCAAATAAATTGGAGTTTCTGGCTTTTCTCACACTCAAGATTATTATGATATACTACACTAGTACATCTGACCTTGATAAAAAGCAATTTTCTATAGTTTAATTGTATAGCAATAGGATGGGAAAGTCTCTGATTCTCACTCTGTAGCTTCTTCTTCCCAGGGCTGGAGTCATTTAATCTCTACCTTTAGGCTCATTCTACCCTGGTCCCTTGGGTCATGAATTCATCTGGAAGATTCAGACTTATGCTTTAAGGCTCTCAGAAACTCAATCTTGCAGAAGAATCTGGCCTCCATTTTGTACACACTTTGTTCAAAGAGCCTCCTAGCACCTTCCCAAGACCCACATATACCACTCCCATTTTCTCTCTTGGTTCTGGTGATTGACTCTCTTTATGTTCTTGGAAAGCTGCCTAGTATCCTAAAACCAGTATTGCTGCCTGGCTGTTACCAGGCTGCACCCTCGACTAAAGTTGATCCCCTGCACTCATCTTTGGACTCTAGATTTCTATTACATGCACATCCCTTGTGCCAAATTATGCTGGCTTGTCTGGCCTTCCAAGTTTCACCTATTGTTATGCTTATTTGTCAGTTCAAGTCTCTATTCCAGCTCTATCCCACTTCCTTCTTTCTTTAGCCTGTGTCCCTCTCTTGGATCCCTGAAACATTTTGAGTACTAGCTACTCCTATGTCCTGCCCATGTGATTAAGAATGATACTTTTCTCCCGTGCTTGCAGCTGGGTAGTCATACTCCATACCCACCCAGGTAAAAATGTCTGGATCCAAATCTACCTTTCATAACAGATCTGATGTGCTATTCTAGACAGCTTTACTCCATGATATATTGCAGACTTTATGTAGGTTAACAAAGCATTATGGTGTCATTCTTGTGACAGCCCTACATTTTCATTATGATTTTTGTGTTTGCGGTCCTTTTTGTGACAATTTCTTTTAGATGAAAATGCTTTTAATGAAGCCCTTTTGGTACTTGGGAGCCTCACTGGAATGGATTTAGTACAAACTTGCCTTATTTCAAATTTATGTTCAATATTGAACAACACTGTTACCCATATTTAGGACAGTAGACAGGTAAAGGTTGCAGAATTTTTATGAAATATAAAGCAATATCCACTGTTATAATGAAGCACTACATAAAATTGTATAATACGTGAGTTTCTTATTCCTCAAATAGTCTAACTGATTGTTCATTGGGCTCACTCAGCCAAAAGTAGAGGGAAACTTTGTACAGACATCATTAGTTTTTCTCCATTTAGAGATTAATCATGAAGAGCTCTGGCTCTTTAATTCTGTAATTTGTATATTTAATGGGCTGCTGCAGAATCTATGACAGTAATTAGCATAGCCTGAAAACTCATTAATACGCAACAACATGATTAATGCAGCATTAATGCAAACATGACTGAAGTTATTTGGGTTATGTAGTAAGAAGATTAAAGCTAAAATGTCCTGTTTGTTTTACCAGTGGTGAGTATAATAGAGTGGCAAAAAAATAAAATAAAAACAGGTATCAAATTAGCTGTTTAAAAAAAAGAAAAAAACCAGCAAAATTTAAATCAAGGTGATTTTATTTTTCCCTTAGGTCTAAAATTTGGGATATAAGTTATGTTCTTTACTTTTATATTTATTCATTTATTCATAAATTTATCATTACTGAAGGAAAGTTCATTCAACCTTTTAGTTTAACATAGTTAACCTTTTAGCAGCTTTAACATAATATTATTAGTCTTACATTGGAAACAATTTTAAATTGTACTAATCTTTGACCAATACATTACACATTTCTGTTTTGAAACTAATATATATTATTGGCTATGCCAAATAATTAAAGGATTTGTTCCTACTTATTCAGAAGTTACATATTATGCCCTCTTCTCACTGTGTTCACCTCTTAAATAAATGTTCAAATACTTTATAAAATACTACCATAAAACTCATTTTTTTAAACAAAACTATCAAATATGACATGTTAAATACTGAAATAATCAATAATGTTTGGGGATGTAAAAGTATATAAGTTTTGCTTGTTCTTGCTGTCTCATGTAATCATATTGAAGTCCTCTCATTCTTACTTTTTTTTGGCTTTTCTTTTTTGAGACGGAGTCTCACTGTGTCGCCCAGACTGCAGTGCAGTGGCGCCATCTCGGCTCACTGCAATCTCCACCTCCCGGGTTCAAGCGATTCTCCTGCTCAGCTTCCTGAGTAGTTGGGACTACAGGTGCCCGCCACCATGCCCGGCTAATTTTTGTATTTTTAGTGGAGACGAGGCCGGGTGCGGTGGCTCGCCCTTGTGGTCCTAGCACTTTGGGAGGCCGAGGCGGGTGGATCATGAGGTCAGGAGTTCGAGACCAGCCTGGCCAAGATGGTGAAACCCCGTCTCTGCTAACAATGCAAGAGATTAGCTGGGCGCTGTGGCGGGAGCCTGTAGTCCCAGCTACTCGGGAGGCTGAGGCAGGAGAATGGCGTGAACCCGGGAGGCGGAGCTTGCAGTGAGCTGAGATCGCGCCATTGCACTCCAGCCTGGGTGACAGAGCGAGACTCCATCGCTAAATAAATAAATAAATACATAAATAATACAGACGGGGTTTCACCGTGTTGGCCAGGCTGGCCTCAATCTCCTGACCTCAGATGATCCATCCACCTTGGCCTCCCAAAGTGATGGGATTACAGGCGTGAGCCACAGTGCCCAGCCATTTTTTTTTTTTTTTTTTTTTTTTTTTTTTTTGCTATTTAGTATGACCTGTTTTAATAGCGGTCCTAAACTTTAAATGACTTATTTTTCAATCTTATAGTCAAATGTCAAGAGTCATTAATAGTATCTCAAACAAAACTTGCATTTTAAGGTTAAGCAATCCTGGATGACTGAAAAAAATATGTATCTGCTTTTTTGTACTTATTTTATTCTAAATCCACATTAGAAAAATGTTTATGATTTTATTCTTTTTCAATAAAAAAAAACAAGTGAATATCCACGAAGTACCTGACTCTTGGCTAGGTGTTGAGGAGGAAAAGCAAACCCATCAATGTCTGTGCACTTGGAAATAACCATCTGGGAGAAGAGAAGCTCCTTTCAACCTAGGGATGTCTATAGATAAGAATGAAATTGCACCATAGAAAGAAAGCATATCAACATTGCCTGCTACCAACAGATGGCACTGTTAATGGTTTGTATCACAACTGTATTTGTGGGACCAATAGATTTGCTAACATTCTCAGAAGGTAGTCTGGAAGGAGAAGAGCCTCTGTTAAGGCAGTGAAATGATATACATGCTCAATTTTGTTTAATTATCTTGTCAAAATTCCTGGAAAAAAATAAAAAAATATATTTATATGGGATATTTCGTTTAATTAAAATACATCATCTTTTACCAAAATTAATATATGTGAAATTAAATTGTAGTAGAACTTTAAAACAACATAGAGTTCCTATTGCTTTGAATAATTGGTCTTTACATTTAGTATTATATTATATGTTATATTGTTATGTATACCATATATATAATGTTATATTATATACTGTAATATTAGAGTAGCAACTGATACTCACAAAGCTAAACAACTCAGTTCCACTGAAATATACCAGATTTTGACTTAGTTTTAAAAGGGAGGACCTAGAAACAGAGAGAAAATGCATCAGTGGGTAAAATCATTTACCTCTAATGTTTTATTTCACCTCTATGGTTTTTAGTGTACTAGAGAGCTGTTTAATCAGACCATTACCAAATTGAATAAATGGCTACTTAGTGATTACTGAACTATTTAGTGATGGGGTTGGGGAGAACTCCTTTTTTAAAAATAAGCCTTTTGAATAGTTCATATAAGACCATCCTAATAAATAAAATGGAACAGAATGTGTTTGCCATGTAATAGCTTAGTGATTTTTAATTTCTGTATTGTGATGAAACAACCAGCTTTTCTAGAATGTAGCCAGTCCTTTGTTTCTCAGAAGCTGTGCACACTTGCGGCATTCAGTCCTAGTGCTGCCATAACAGAGTTTCTAAACACTAGTTCAGAAATGAGACATTTTTGTTTAGTCTCTGTTTGGGCACAGCCAAGAGTTTAAGACTGTACATGGAGAGAAACTTGCTTTTTTCTGTGGATGTAATCCAGGGGACCTGTTGAGGTCTTTAATGGGTGGCTGACAGGATGAACTGGGCATTCAATATTAAAGGGTGGTATCATAGCAAGGGGGTTACCCCAGCAGAGTTTGTAGATCAGGAATTGTTTAGAGCCTAGATCTTGGGAAAGTGAACAAGAAGCATGTTAACTAAAGATAAAAAACAGAAACCAGGTATTGTCTTTTTAAACTCTGAGCTCTTGGAGTGGCGATCATGTCTTTTCCATATTAGTATCTCCAGTGATGAGCATTGTCTGTTGGAGACACTCAATATACATTTCTTGAATAGAGTAAGGATTTACTGGACTTTGACACAGAACTAAGGTTCTGTGTGATAGAGGTCTGTGTGCTTATGAGAAGCTGGACTGTGTAGGTGAGGATGCTAAGGCTCCTGTTCCCATAGAGAAGTCCTTGAGATGGCTCAAGCTGCTGGTTCCCTTTTTTCTTGGACTTTGCAGGTATTCAAGGTGTCTCTAGTTAGAAGCTTTATGTTTTGTAATGGGTAAAAATAGTGCTAAAATATATAGCTCTTTGCTATTTATACCAAATTGAGGGTCTCTCAGAACAAATACAGTGGACGGATTTTAATAATAATAGCTAATACTTATATAGGGCCAAATAGTTCTGAGTACTTTTCATGTATTTAACTCATTTAATCCTCCCAAAAGACTTGTGAAAGAAGAAACTCTCGTTGCCCACTTCTAGAGGAGGATATTAGGTGTAGAAAAGTTAAACGATTTGTCCAAAGTTACATATAAATTAAGTGCAGAAGCTAGTTTTTGAAAGCTTGGCTCTAGCATTTGTTTTTTAATCATTAAGCCAAACATCAAATTCCCCTTCCCACACTTTTTTTTTCACTTTTACCAAAGAAATATCTTAACAAAATGACTCCTTTGGAGGAGGAATACATGCATATATATATCTGTGTATACATGCATATATATATCTATATATGTGTATACATGCATATATATATCTGTGTGTGTATATATATATCTGTGTATATATATATACATATATATATGTGTGTCTGTGTGTGTATGTGTGTCTGTGTTTCTGTGTGTATATGAGGTCAGAGTGAGGGCCAAGAAGCTATTTTTTCTCTAAAGTGGTTCATATATTGCAAGTGATTTAATTGAGGGAAGATATAGTTGTATTAGCTAAAACACTTAAAAGTTTATAAATAGGTGTGTCTACACAAAGGCAAACATTCCTCTAATTTCTAAACAGTTTTTACTTCTATTGAATTGAATATGCCTAATATTTTAGTGTCCTGATGATTAAAGTATGAGGAATGAATTAATAACCAGGTTCAAATATGTGTATTGTTACCATGCAGATCTGTTAATACTTATTAATTCCCACATCAGTGTGAACTAAGGAAAATGAAATTAAGTTGCATTAAGAATGTGCTCAGTTATATATAAAGATTTACTTCCTGTAAGAGTGATTATATAATTATATGGTTTACTAAAATAGTTATGAGATTTTATTCTTTCATTCATTTGACATGCATTATTGGAATCTTAGTATTTTCAAACTACGTATTTGGAGATAAATATTGCAGTCTGACCATAATGATAGTTTAGGTATTCCTTGGCCTGGAAGGAGGACACTAGTTCATTTTATTAACATGTTCTTTGTCTGTGGAGAGCCTCCACAATGCCATTTTAGTAAAATACTGGATCTTTACTAAACCATGGCTACCAAAGACAAAGTGTCATTCTAGGCAGCCAACAGACTTCTTGCCCTACTCCTGACAAGCAAAATAAAATAGCCTGGGGTAAGAGAGGTAATGGCCATGAGTTAAGTCATTTTCATAGTTATGCTAAATCAGCTTCCCTCAGGAGCACCCCCTTCCTTTCCTTTCTCTGTTTAAATGAGGTGGAGTATGATGTGACTATTCCAGCACACTCAAAATTAGATGTGTGATCAAGTATTGATCTTCAGGAAGTTCCTAATCCTGTCTGATGTTTTCTGTGTTAGCTTTTTTTTTCCTTCTGTCATAATGTTAGATTAGCCAGCACCTTCATTTTGTTATTCCCTTACTTTTTAAGGCAGGATTCTTCTGTACAAGAACCCTGAAGCGACCCTAATATTGTATCCAAAATGTAGGGTCAGAATCAGGAGTGGAGACTGTGAGTTCATTGTGAGTTAACAGTCTATTATTTAAAAGTGCAACAAGAAAAATAGTTTTGCTTTCATTCCATTTCTGGGACTCTAATTTTTTCCAAGGGAGTCTGGCATAAAGTATCGTATTGGTCCAATTGCTTGGGATCCACTGAGATTGTTACTAGAGAGGGCTTTGGTGTAAAACCCCAGAGTAAAATTCTTTAATGTCCTTTTGGGTCATTGAACACTTTCTACCATTATGCTTGACATGGACACCATTGAAATCATTCCAAGGTCAAGGTCACTCAGCAATTTTACTAATGCTTCAAGTTAGTGGAATTTTATTTTTCCCCCCATAATGCTTGTTTTACAAAATAAAATACAGTATATTTTAGTAGATATTGTAAGATCAATTTTTGAAATTTCTTTTATCAAAATAAATATAAATTTTATGAAGTATCTGTATGTTTATTATATGTAAACGTGCAATTACAAATATGAAATATAATTTATATACATGTATCTATGCATGCACCTGGATCTTATTTGAGGTATAAAACATGAAACTAGAACTAATGTGTTTTACAAATATACGTAAAAAGTTATTATTTTTTTAATTTTATAGAAACACAGAGTAAGTAATGATAAAAATTCATTTGTATTAAAAATATTTTTATAACTACAATTAGTACTAACATTTTGCTTTAGCCTAAGCTTAAATGCTTTATTTGCTAGAGTCACTTGTTAAAATACTAAAAATTTTACAAGGTATGAAGGTAAAATAGAAATTATTTCAAAAAAACAAAAATGCATGCTGAATTTTCTCTTTTCCTTTATAAAACAAGCAAGTCCTTTATGTAGATTTCTACAATTCATAATTCAATGTCATTAAATGGCATTCAATTTATATTTTAGACTATTATGATTTCAATTTGAGACACAATTGTTTTCCAAATGAATTCAATGTGGGGTATATTTATGTAATAGATGAAATGTATTTCATCTATTTTGGAATTGAATAAATTCAATTTATTCAATTGTTTGGAATTGAATAAATACAGTACGTATAAAGGGAGGATGAAAATGTACAACTATTGGATGTTGATAGAAGCATTCTGAATAAGAAGCATTTTTACAATAAACTCAAGTATATTTTTATAATGTACTTTTTAATAATACACTGATTTTAAAAGTCTTTTTTATAATGTACTTTCATATATTTTTTCTTGAGAAATCTTGATCTTGTATTGACAATTGCATAAATATATTTGTGCCCAGCACAATGGCTTACGCCTGTAATCCTAGCACTTTGGGAAGCTGAAGAGGGAGAATTGCTTAGTCCAGGAGTTCTAGACCAGCCTGGGCACTGTGGTGAGACCCTGTTTCTACAAAAAAGTCTTTTAAAAATTAGCTGGGTGTGATGGCACATGCTTGTAGTCCCAGCTACTCAGGAGGCTGAGGTGGGAGAATTGCTGAGGATTGTTTGAGTTCAGGAGGTCAATGATGCAGTGAGCTATGATCACGCCACTACACTCAAGCCTTACAACAGAGAAAGACCTTGTCTCAAACAAAACAAAACAAAACAAAACAAAACAAAACAAAAATAAATAAATATCTTGGTATGTAAGGGCAATTTGGGGTTGATAATTTGGAGAGGGATGGAAAGATACATAGATGCCTATATCTACATAGATAGAGCTCTCTCTATACATACGGATACAGATATAAATAGATATCTATATGCAGATAGATATATATCTATGAAAATACACATCTAAATAACCATAGATATCTATTAATATCTATGTATCTGTATCTATCTATACATTTTAACTTAAAACTTTATATACACATAAGCCTATAGTTCTATATTTGTAGCTAAGTTTAAAAAGCTATTCAAGGGAAGCCCTGAGTTGTTCTTTTATGGCATCTGGTGGCATTTCATATTTGACGTGTTGGTTGCTATTGGTGTTTGCACTGGTGAATCCTTCCACTGGAAATTTCATTTCTTCAGGGTTTACCAATCACCTAAAATGTTTTCTTTCTGGATAATATCCCCTGACTGCTTTCTTCCTCTTTTAGCCTAAAGTTTCCTAAAAATTTAAAATGCATTGTAGTCAGCTTTACTTACCTTTCACAGAATAGCAACTCAAGAAGTGTATGCTAAGAGGAGGAATAAAATTATGTAAAAAATGAACTAGAAACATAGTTACCTAAGACAAAAATAATAAGTGGACAAACCAAGAGTAAACATTTTACTTAAGGGTTTAAAAATGATATCAATTTTTACTAGTTAGGGACAATGAATAATGCTTATCACCTCCACTGTTATTTAGTGTTGTTCTGGATGATATAACCCATGTGTAATGACAGAAAAAAGAATTATGGCTGTTGAAAAGGAATAGATGAAATTTCCAGAAAATAAGTTTATACCTAAAAAAGCCATCAAAACCTATTATAAATAACAGAAGTACAATAAGATGGTTAGCTATAAATAAATACATAAAAATAAATATTTTTTCCATAATTCAGCAATAACAAATCTGAAAATGATCTGATTCTTAATATCAATTAAATATATAATAAGTACTATAGCTTAACAAGAAATGTGCAGGATCTATTTAAGGAAAAGAGAAAAGAAGAACTTATAATAATCATTTTAATACAAAAGAGTGAATTAGTTGATAGGTAGCTAAAAGCAGAATTTTAAAAATTTACTAAAAAAAGCAATTTTGTAAGTAAATTTGTAAGTAAGAAAGAAAACTGGAATATATCCCTATCTCACTTTACATGTCAAAATAAATTACAAATTTTATATTTAATACTTTATTTTTTCCAGAAAATTAAATATAAAAATACAGAAAATGAACAGAAAAAATATAAGTAAGTTACAAATTCTGGGCTAGGAAGCCCAATTATAAAAAGCAAAGGAAGACGCCATTATTGAAAACATTTAGATTTTAAAACAAAAATAAACCCCCTTTTTACATTTAAAAATAACATTTAAAAGTCAATTGTTAAAAAAAAGTAAATGACTTTAACAAGTGACAGACAAAGAAACCATACCCTTAATGTGGAAAAAACGCTTACAGATCAATAATAAGGATGCACAAATGACAAAAAAGTATCCAAATGAAGAACTACGATGAAAGTTCAAAATCACTATTCATCTTGTAAATACAAATTAAAACTAGAATAAGATTTCATTTTAAATCTATCGAATACTAGTTGGCGTCTTTCAGAAATGCCAGGCCAAACTATTCCTGATGCTAGAAATGTTTTGCCTGACAGTGGCTGAAAACTATTTATAACATATGGAAAGGAAATTACACAACTTGAGAAATTTCTTGCAGTGAACTCAGAAATGAAAAGGCGGTTAGATGACAATTTCAGTTCATTAATTTATAAATTCACATGCTACCACAGATTTTAGAGATCATGCAATTCAGTATCTCCATTTAAGAGTAGGAATCTATGGGCTATTCTGCTCAGGAAATCAGCACTATAGCATGTATATGTATTTCATAAAGTATCTGGTGGATATTACTTTCTTGTTTTGTTTTTTTTTTTTTTTTTTTATCATTTGGAGGTTGTAAAGCATGATCAGTCCTTATAAGGGTCACATTTAGACAGCTACAGATTTTAATCGTTCCAAGGAAGGAATGGGGGATTATTTCAAAAGACGAAAGAAAACATTCTTTGATCTAAAAGCAGAACCACCATTTGACCCAGCAATCCCATTACTGGGTATATACCCAGAAGAATATAAATCATTCTACCCTAAGGACACATGCTCGCGGGTGTTCATTGCAGCACTATTTACAATAGCAAAGACATAGAATCAACCTAAATGCCCATCAATGACAGACTAGATAAAGAAAATGTGGTACATATACAGCATGAGATACCATGCAAACATGAAAAAAAACAAGATCATGTCTTTTGCAGGAACATAGAGCTGGAGGCCATTACCGTTAGCAAACTAATGCAGGAACAGAAATCTAAATACTGCACATTCTCACTTATAAGTGGGAGTTAAATAATGAGAACTCATGAACACAAAGGAACAACAGACACTGGGGTCTATCTGAGGGTGAAGGGAGGCAGAAGGGAGAGGAGCAGAAAAGATAATTATTGGGTATTAGGCTTAATTCTTGTATAATGAAATCATCTGTTCATTGAACCCCCGTGACACAAATTCATGTATGTAACAAACCTTCACATGTACCCCACAACCTAAAATAAAAGTTTTTATAAAACACATTTCTTTGTTTTATACAGACCAGAATGAAATCATTTCTCAACACTTCTTTTACATTAAAGCACATTATTCTTGTTTTTTTCCTCAGGTATTGCCCTACTTTTTAATCCTAATCTATAGTTCCATTGTAATTTTTAGAATGCTAATCTAATATTTATTGAATTCTTTTGTAGTAAGCAACTGAAAAAAATTTAATTTTCAAAAGGAAGAAAAAATACATGTTTAAATAATAAGATAACACAACTTTGGTATTCTAAGGAATGTTTGGGGATTCATTCCAGGGCGCTCATATTTTCAGGTTAGCTTTCAACTGTTATTTTGTCGAGTATAATCAATGGAGATTTTGTTATTCATGTATTTATAGAGCTGGTTAGCCATAAATAGTTTATGAATGGAGACATTTCTAGCACCACCTAATGGCAGTCAAGTAAAAAGAAAAAGTTTTTCTAATTTAGGAACTGTTTTGCATAATTTAAATTAAACTATATAGCCAGAGTTACTTCCATATGAAAATGAACTTTTACATTCCCTAATGCACTAACTAGGCATGGAAATCCATCTCTGAGCAATTGGATTGAGTAGGAATGAAGCTGAAGGGATATTTGATAATGAAACCAAGGGGTTTCTGCTGTCTTTATGTGTGCAAGAATAAGAAAATACCTAGCTAATAGAATAAATTAATTTTATGTGAAAATTTTCTTTTTAGTTTCAGAAGCCTATGCATACTAGATTTTCCATACTGTAGTTTCCTGAAAAAAGTATATTTTGAGTATTGTATTGGCATATTTTATTTGTCTTGTTTTTCAGCAGTTATTTATACATCTTTGACCAATTTATTCTACTAGTTTAATAAAGCGTTTTTTAAAGTTTCTGATAGTTTTTTTAAACTGAGTCATATCATTCTGATTATAATATTGGAATTTTCTGTTGAATATGAGTCAAAGAACATGCTTTAGATCCGTAAGCTCTACTCATTTATTTCATGTGTTTCCTAGCAGGATTTGAAGAATGTGTTGTCTGTCATAACCCTAGGATTGAGATCAATGGATTTGGTTAATGTATCCGAAGGAGAAGGAGAACTTAGCGATAGCAGCAGATTCTGACACCTTTCATCCTCGTCTCAACACTTTGGTTTGATACTTTCTTCTATGATATAAACAGGGAATACTAGGCAGACTGCAGATACAGGTAGTTTTTTGTTTGTTTATTTGTTTGTTTGTTTTTGAGATGGAGTCTCACTCAGTCACCCAGGCTAGAGTGCAGTGGCACGATCTCGGCTCACTGCAACCTCCAACCTCCGCCTCCAGGATTCAAGTGTTTACCTTGCCGCAACCTCCTGAGTAGCTGGGATTACAAGTGTGCCAACGAGCCCAACTAATTTTTGTATTTTTGGTAGAGATGGGGTTTCACCATGTTGGCTAGGCTAGTCTCAAACTCCTGACCTAAAGTGATCCGCTTGCCTTGACCTCCCAAAGTGCTGGGATTACAGGCGTGAGCCACCATGCCCGGCCAGATACAGGTAGTTATAAAAATCAACAAGAAAGAGACAGTCTGGTGGTGGTAGTAGTTTCAAGAAAGTGCTTTCTCTTCGACTGCAATTTCTTCCTTTCTATGAACATTTATTTATTGATGCCCTGTAATGCCCTTCACTTCTTTGTGCACACACTGAATTTTAATTCAGTCTTCACAGTCCTGCTTAACCATCACAGCTTCTGTGAACTTTTTCTGTATATCATTTTGCTCTCATTTCAACAAAATTAATCACTTTTGCTATTTTATAGCTGTAGATTACATATCCCTCTTGTACTGGGTCTTTATAATATTTTGTACTCATTTGGATACAAATACTTCTACTGCTATAGGATGGGTTTCCCTTAAAGTAAGTATTATGCCTTTCTTGTTTATCTTTATTATTCAGAGCAAACATGTATTTTGGTGAAAGCAAAGGCAAGTTAATGGAACTGATGTATCTTTAAGTTATTGTCTACTGTTTATTTTCTCTAGTTTTATGTTTTAATGTAGGCTGATGTTTTCATTTCTTCCTTTCATTAATCCATTTCTTTATTACTGCTAAAAGTTAACTAGTATTTGTTGTTAGTTTTTTGTTTTCTTTTGTTTTAGAGACAGGGTCTCACTATGTCACTATCTTGCCCAGGCTGTACTCAAACTCCTTGGTTCAAGCCATCCTCCTGCCTTGGACTCCCAAATAGCTGAGACTATAGGCATATGACACTGTGCCTGGCTGGGTTTTTGTTTTGTTTTGTTTTGTTTTGTTTTTGTTATTTTTAACATCATATGATACTTGATTGACTTTTCTAAACCCGTGGATTAATATCTGCTTCTAAAGTAAAAAATTGTTAACCTTGTTATTGAAAGCTAGAAAGAGAAAATGTCTGGCTTAAAGGCTATCCTAAATTTTTGAAAAATTCTTATGAGAATATAATCATCTATATAAAGGGTACATTTGGAAAATACAGGTATATCTTTAAGAAAGATTCAGAATTTACAAGAAAAAATATTGAATATGAAGATGATTAGACAATTGAACAAATATGTAGATAAATACATCAATTTTTACAAAACATGAAATAGCATTAAAAAGAGAAGAATTTATCACTGCTATCACTTATCACTGTTGCAGAGGTCCGATTAATGCAGTAAGAAATAGGAGTTTAAAAGTTGGACATAAATTGATCAGATAATTATTATTTTCTGATAATATTTCCTGTAAAATCCAAGATAATCCACTGAAAATATAGAACCAGTTGAACAATCTACAAATTGACTGGAGTCAAGAGAAATATATATAAAACAGTTGCATTCCTGTTCTCACAAAATTACTCATAAAATAATTAGAAACTTCTGTTTCAAATTGGGATGTAGAACAGTAAGAAAGAACTTCGCTTTCATGGTAACAACAAGAAAACCAGACTAAAGAAATATCTTTTTCTATGAGTCTGTCAAGGAGCAAGCAATGCAGAAAACCCTGGCTGAATTGAATTTTAGGAAGAAATAAGTGCTTCATAGGTGATCAGAGTGCTGTGGCAGCTTCCATATCTGAGGCTAAACACTTGTTCAGACAGCGGAGGAGTATGCTATTGTAGATGGGGAGAATTTTTAAGGTCAAGGGGAAACCATCCACCCTTAGACAACAATGTAGCCTAGTAAGATGAAATTAGATCTAAAAGTCTAAATGCCAAAGCAAGTAGCTCAGCCCCAGGTTACACTATTATCCTCCACACTTGAATTTTGCTAAGATAAAGTCAGTTGAAGAGGCCCTAGAAGTGGATTCCTATGAAATTTTGCCATGATTGGATTCCAGAATTATGAATAAATTTAATCCAAATATGAGCCAAAAATATTTATAGTCCCAGCCAAGTCCCCCGCTAGCTCAAATGAGGATAAGATCCAAAAGGTGGCATCACCAATGGTTGAAGGTTGAGCTAAACACAAGTGAACTAAATACAATTAAAGCCCAACTTCAGTTCTACATAAGTCAGTAGAAATGTATCCACAGATTGCCAAATTACTGTAATTAGAAAGCAAAGAATTTAAAGCAAATATTGTAAACATTTAAAAAAAATTAAAGGTAAAATTCATATAATGGATGAAAAGATAAAATATTTTAAGAGATAAATGATAGCTCTAAGAAGAAATAAAATGGAAATTCTAGATCTGAAAAGTATAAATTTACAATAAAAACTTTATTGGATAAGTATAATAGCAAATTGGTCAGTGCAGAATAAAAGATTAATGAATTTAAACACATATCATTATGAAGTAACCAAAGAAAAATGAAGAGAAAAATAGGTTAAAAAATAAACAGATCGATAACATGTGGAATAATATCAGGAGATTTAACATACATGGAGATGTGGGTTCCAGGAAGAAGAAATAGGCAGAAAAATATTTGAAGAAATAACTGTTGCTAAATATTCAAATTTGATGATGAAACAACCTAAAAATGCAAGAAGCTCAATGAATTCCAAGTAGAATAAGTATAATATAGCCACATATTGTATACTCACAGTCCGATTACTAAAAAAAAAAGATTATGGAAATAAAAACCTTAAAATCAGCTAGAGAAAAGGAAAAAGGCACTACATAGAAGAAAACAATGAAATGAATGAAGGCTAACATTTCATCAAAAATAATTGAGGCTAGAAGATAATACAATATCTTTAGAAACTTTAAAACACCAATCTCAATTCTATATTCAGTGAACGTATTATTCAAAAATAATTTGAAAGACATTTTTAGATTAAAGAAAGAGTTAGTATATCATGAATAGTCTTGCATTACAAGAAGTGCTAAAAAAAGTTTTAGGCTAAAAATACCAATAATAACTCAAGTGTGAGGAAAAAATGAAGGAAAATGGAAATTAAAAATGTGAATAAACAGAAAATATTATTAAAAACTCTTTTGAAGACATTTGATTAGTGAAAACAAGAAATTTTAAACATATTCTGCAGTTTACAACATATATAAAATTAAACTGTATAAAAAATAGTACAAATAATTGGACAATGGTAAATGGAAGTATGTTGCTGTAAGGATCTTATATGTGAAGTAGTATAATGTTAATTTGTGATAGTATGTGTGTTAAGAATGCATATGATGATCCTTAGAGAGCCATTTTAAAAAGTCTAAAGTCTACCTAGGGAGATGAAAAAGGTAGCAAAATGGAATGTTAAGGTAACTCCTCTAATCCATAACAAGGTAGGGAAGGCACAGCAAAGAAGCAAACAGCAAATGCAAAAAAAAAAAAGAAGAAGAAAGTAAGAAAAGAGAGAATTCAAATAGCAAGATGGTAAAATTAAGTTAAAAACATATTAATAATTATGTTGAATATAAATGCACATAACACAACAATCAAAAAGAATAGATTATTAAACTGGCTAAATAAGCAAGACTTACAAAGGGTGTACAAGAAACACACTTCAAGTATAAAAACATAAAAAGCTTAAAAGTAAAAGGATGGAAAAAATAAACCATGAAACATTTATCATAAGAAAATGGTAGTGGCAATATTTATATCAGCCAAAATTACCTTTAAGACCAGTAATATTACTAAACAGACATTTTATAATGATAGTCAATTGATTAAGAAGAAATTATCCTAAATGTGCTTATATGTAGTAATAGAGTTTCAAAATACATAAAGCAGAAGTTTACAAACCAAAGGACAAAATAGACAAATTCCCTTCTATATTTCAAGATTTTTAAATGACTTTCTTAGTACTTAATAAAAGAAGTTGATAAAAATCTATAAAAATACAGAAAAATCAAACACACTATCAACAAACTTCAGTGACAGTTATTGTACATTCTATACAAAACTGGAAAATAGCTATTGTTTTTCAAATGTACATGGAAAGTATGTATATTTGAAAGTATGTACACTACAAACATTCTACAGCTAATATGCTGGGCCATAAAAGAATCTTAATATATTTAAAAAGTTGAAGTCAGAATATATTCTCTGTTTATATAGAATTAAATTAGAAATCAGTCTGAAAATGCTATCTGGAAATTTTCTAAATACTTCAAATTAAACAACACATTTCTAAATGCCCTACCAATTAAGGGGAATTTTTTAACAAAAAATAAAGTATAACATGAACTTTTTGGAATGCACCCCAAGTAAGGCCTGGAGAGAAATGTATAGGTTAAATGGTTATCTTAGAAGAAAAAAGTCCAAGCTTTCCTAAGCTTCTTCTTAAAACAGGCAAAAAAGAACAAATTAAGACCAAAGTAATAAGAAATGAAAAAAATTAAGGCAGAATTGGATATCAATGAAATGGAAACAGAAAGCAAAGCCCAGAATTGATTTGCAAGAATTATGGGTGTTGGGGAATGGAGAGTGGTAAGGGGAGAGAAGGAGGGGGGAGAGAGAAAAGGAGAGGAAGAGAGAGAAAAAAATATTTTGGATTAATTTTAAAAATCTATCGATATGATTTACCACATTAATAGAGGAAATAGTATAGCAAAATATCATATTATCTCAATACAGCTGAAAGACATTTCACAAAATTTTATACCTATTCATAATGAAAACTTTCAGCAAACTAAGAATAGGAGAGATGAAGGACCACTACAAATATTCTACAGAATACATATACATATATATATATATAGTATACATATATGAAATGTACACTACAAATATTCTACAGCTAATATGCTGGGCCGTAAAACAGGCAAAATATATATACAATATATATTTAATATATATTTATTATATATACTTATACATACTTAATATACTTATATATTTATATATATAAATATATAAAAGTGAAATAGTGCATGTTTTGATTTTAAGATAGGGATCAAGTTTTCGTTCAAACTTTACCAGTAGTTCTAGCCACTGCTAAAACAATACGATAATATAAAAGTCATAAATATAGAAAAGGAAAAGAAAATGTATTTGTCATCGACATAATTTTGTATGTAAATGCTTTAAAAAATCTTTGAAAAAGTGTTAAAACTAATAAATGAACTTGGAAAGATTGCAGAATACAATGTTAATATAAACAAAATTAATTGAACATACTAGCAATAAACAATTTAAACAAAGTTGGATTTAAAAGAATATTCAAAACATAGCACTTAAATTTAACAAAATAAATGAAAATATTTGTATAGCCAAAGCTATAAAACATAACTTAGAAAAATCAATGTAAACCTAAATAGATGAAGATTTATCATGTTTGTGGATGAAAAACAAAATATTGTTAAAATAGCCATTTTCCTGAAGTCAATTTATTCATTTAATGTAATTCCAATCAAAATTCCAGCAAGCTTTTTTGAAGAAATTCCCAAGTTGATTCTACAAGTTGAAAGACCTAGAATATCCAAAATACTATTGAATAAAGTATTAAAAAAATGGCAAACTGAGCCATCTTATTTCAAGATTTAAAATAAAGCCATAATAATTAAGACTTCATAGTATTTGTACTGGCAAATTAATCAGAAATAGACTCAGACTTCCAATGTCAATTAAAATTTGATAGAGGTAAGGCAGTTCAATGGGGCGAGTACAATCTTTTCAACAAATAGTACTGTATAGTGTATAGGAGTCAAAAAAAAACAATAAAGCTTGACCCCTATCTCACATCATGCATACAATTTAATTTGAGATGGGTTCATAGACCTAATAAATAAAAGCTGAAATTATAAAGCTTCTAGAAGATAAATGAGAAAATATCTTGATCATCTTGGTGTTGGTAAAGATTTCTCAGACAAGGTACAAACAAAGCGCTAACCATTAAAAAATGGTAAATTCAACTTCATCTAAAATATTAAGAAAATGATTGCCATTCTAACTGATGTGAGATGGTATCTCATTATGGTTTTGATTTGCATTTCTCTGATGGCCAGTGATGAAGAGCATTTTTTCATGTGTCTGTTGGCTGCATAAATGTCTTCTTTTGAGAAGTATGTGTTCATATCCTTCGCCCACTTTTTGATGGGGTTGTTTGTTTCTTTCTTGTAAATTTGTTTGATTCTGGATATTAGCCCTTTGTCAGATGAGTAGATTGCAAAAAATTTCTCCCATTCTGTAGGTTGCCTGTTCACTCTGATGGTAGTTTCTTTTGCTGTGCAGAAGCTCTTTAGTTTAATTAGATCCCATTTGTCAATTTTGGCTTTTGTTGCCATTGCTTTTTGTGTTTTAGACATGAAGTCCTTGCCCATGCCTATGTCCTGAATGGTATTGCCTAGGTTTTCTTCTAGGGTTTTTATGCTTTTAGGTCTAACATTTAAGTCTTTAATCCATCTTGAATTAATTTTTGTATAAGGTGTAAGGAAGGGATCCAGTTTCAGCTTTCTACATATGGCTAGCCAGTTTTCCCAGCACCATTTATTTAATAGTGAATCCTTTCCCCATTTCTTATTTTCGTCAGGTTTGTCAAAGATCAGATGGTTGTACATATGTGGCATTATTTCTGAAGGCTCTGTTCTGTTCCATTGGTCTATGTCCAACAATGACAGACTGGATTAAGAAAATGTGGTGCATATACACCATGAAATACTATGCAGCCATAAAAAATGATGAGTTCATGTCCTTTGTAGGGACATGGATGAAGCTGGAAACCATCATTCTCAGCAAACTATCGCAAGGACAAAAAACCAAACACCGCATGTTCTCACTCATAGGTGGGAATTGAACAATGAGAACACATGGACACAGGAAGGGGAACATCACACACCAGGGCCTGTTGTGGGGTGGGGGGAGGAGGGAGGGAAAGCATTTGGAGATATACCTAATGTAAATGATGAGTTAATGGGTGCAGCACACCAACATGACACATATATGCATATGTAACAAACCTGCACGTTGTGCACATGTACCCTAAAACTTAAAGTATAAAAAAAAAGAATCAAAACTTTAAATTAAAAAAAAAATGAAAAGGTAAGTCAAAGACTGGATTCGGCTAGGTATATGTTTAACTTAGAGAATGCCAAGCAGTTTTCCAAAATGATTGTTTAATTTTGCCTTTACATTAGCATGTATGAGAGTTTCCATTGCATCACCTATTCAGCAGATTTTGGTGTTTTTAATTTGACCAATTCTAGTGAGTATGGAGATGTGTCTCATTGTAGTTTTAATTTGCAGTTCCTGGATGAATGATGACACTGAACATCTTTCTCATGAGCAAATATGGTTATTTGCATATCAGAATTTTTAGTCAAGTGATTGTTTAGACGTTTTGCTCATTTTCTATTGGGTTGCTTGGCTTTTTATTGAGTTGTAGGATTTTTTTATGTATTCTACATGTCCATTGTAAGAATTTAAATTTCTGATAAAAGATTAAAAAAATCTATAGTAACTTTTTAGCAGCTTTTTCATTCATACTAGGGACTTGTATTACAGGTTCCTTCTCTTGATTTGGATTTTGGAAGGCAAAATTTTCATCAGCTGAAATGTATTAGTTCTTGATTTCTTTTTGTTCTTACAATAGCTTTGTATGGCTATTACTTGACAATTTCCAATCATTTTGAAATGTCTTACATTTTCCTGTATCTGCAATAACAAAGTTAAGTTGACAGGGATAAAGGCTTTTGGATGGCTTTTTATGTTTCTTAGTTCAAGAGAGACACATTTGGTTTTTGAAAAATGTTTGTGTTGAAGTCTAACATACATACAGAAAAGTGCAAAAAGTAGCAGTGTGCAGGTTGACCCATTTTTATAACCCGGATAGCCTTGTGTACCCAGCACCCACAGTACAAAATAGAACACTACTGGGCCCCCAGTGGGCCTGCCTTGTGCCCTTTCTAAATCCCAGCCAGGATTACCTCTATCCAGACTTCTAACATCATACGTGGATTTTTGTCTAGTTTTGAACTTGATATAAATGGGATCATACAGTATATATTCCTGTGTACTTAGTATCTCTTACACAATCCATGTTTGTGAGATTCATGTATATAGTTGTTCATTCTCATTGCTATATCTGTTGTTTGTACAGTTGAGTGACACGTGTGTATGTTTCAGTTTGAAGGTGTAATGAAAGGTCTTGCTGTAAACATACTTGTATATCTTGTGACCCTATGCATTTGGGTGGGGCTGGATGTAGATCCAGGAGTAGAACGGCTGGATGAAAACATACATATATCAAAAGATACAAGGGTAACTTTTTTGTTTGTTTTTGAGACGGAATCTCGTTCTGTCGCCCAGGCTGGAGTGCAGTGGCGCGATCTCCACTCACTGCAAGCTCCGCCTTTCGGGTTCACACCATTCTCCTGGCTCAGCCTCCCGAGTAGCTGGGACTACAGGCGCCCGCCACGACGCCCGGCTAATTTTTTTGTACTTTTAGTAGAGACGAGGTTTCGCCGTGTTATCCAGGATGGTCTCGGTCTCCTGACCTCGTGATCCGCCTGCCTCGGCCTCCCAAAGTGCTGGGATTACAGGCGTGAGCCACTGTGCCCGGCCCACAAGTATAACTTAATAAATACTGTCAGTTTTTAAAAGAGGTTGTACGCTCCAACTAGTAGTTTATGAATGTTGCATGTATAGATATTATTACATTATATATTATAAATTTAACATTTTACTTTTTAATTTAATATTATATATAAAAATATATGTAATATATACGTGTGTGTATGTGTACATACACACATATACAGTAGTTGCACATATTTGGCTACACTTTGTGTTTCCTTTTCATTTTAGCCATTCTAATGGATATTTAGTGGTATTGCATTTCATTTTGCATTTCTCAGATGACTAATGATACCGACCATCTTTTTCATATTTTTTTTTTCTGGCTATGTATCTTGGTATCAGATATATGTATTGCAAATATCTGCTTTCACTATGTCATTTGTCTTTTCATTCTCTTATTCATACCTTTTGATAGCCAAAAGTTGTTAATTCTAACATGGTCTAATTTATCAACTTTTCCCTTTATGTTATAGCTTCACATTTATCGTTTAAGAATTCTTTGCCTAATCCATGGCCCCGAACGTGTATGATTTTTATGATTAAATTTTAAAGTTGTAAACCTCTTACTTGAAAGTTAAATATTTCCATGTAGAACTTGGATTTTTCATATTTTTAGAATGTTAGGCCATGGATGTAAGTTTATTTTACACATCTCATGTATACCATTTGTACAAAGTATGTGTTCCTTAAATATTTCCTGAATGAATGAATATAGAGATGCATGAAATGCTCTATTGTTTAAACACTAGAAACCAAAACACTGAACTTTAGAACATTTCCTGTCTCATTTTTTGAAAATCAAAGTCTAAATTTCAGAAAGTGAGAAAAGTATAATTTTCACTTGTCTGCCCATTTTAGTCAGTGTTTCAGCTTAACACAAACATTAAAAGCAAAAATATTTTGGCACTGCTGGGCTCTGATCCACAGCTCTTCTTATTCCTGGGCCCAGGATGATAACACATTCATGAGGCAGAGGGGAAGACAAGTTCAACTACACAGCTGTATTAAAATTTCTGCTCTCCTGCGCACACCGCATGTCCACTTTCATTTCTTTGGCCAACACAAGTCACATCACTAAGCCTAAGTCAATAGTTGGGAATCTGTAAATACATAATCTTCTTATAGGAAAAGAGAGTGTTAATAATTTTGAATAGTTATGCATGTTACCATTCTGTCTCACGGTAGAGTCAGTAATGTTTTCTTTAAAATGTTTTATATGTTAATCAAAATATTATGTTTATATTTAAATGTATTCTTTTTTATTTAGTTCATTTAAAGAATTGATTACATGATTTCAGCATTTGGCTCAAAAGATAGAATTTATCTATATCTATGGCAATAATTAATTGTCAAGAATATGTTTCAGTGAACGTGTGCATTTTTAATTTTGTCATAGATTTTGCACAAAAGACATTCATTATTTATTTTGGCAGTGTAAAGAGAAAAATGAGAAGATTAAATTATTTGGAAAATGCTGTGGGAAAGTCTCACATACACCATCAATTCCAATTGCCTTTTTTTATACTATAGCTTCCCTTCTTAAGAAATTTTCCTTGATCTGTGTAAAATATTATATTTTAGTTGCACTAGCAGTGCATTTTCTCATATAAGCATAAAACTTGAAAATTAAATAATATATTTTAGAAAAACACACGAACTTGCATATTTCTTAAATAGTGCATAATTTTTATGAGATTCCCACGTATATCTTGTCTAAATATTCCTGTAATTCTTACTGATTTATTTTCATTCATCAGATTTCTCTTGAATTAAAGACAAGTAGTTGTCTTCCCAGATTGAGCAATTATTGATATCTTCCAACACCCAATTCCTTGTTTTTATTCTCCTCTCTACTGCCACATAGATGACTCCAACACACTGGTAGAGAGTTTTGCTCTCTTCATGTTCCAAATTATAGCATTTTTGTGAAATAACCTCAAGCTGAGTAATTTTATAGGAATAGGTTTTATTATAATATATGATACCAAATATCACATAAAAAGTGGTGACAGAAAGATAAGATTTCTCAAGTAGTGTTACTCTGAACCATAAGGAGAGAAGCTTAAGAGAAGAAAAGAGTTGGTAGAAATATAATTGTTCTCTGCTCAGGTTGTAGACCAGACTCTACGTCTATGTTTCTGCTGGTAGATGCTTCCTTTTATCTCCCTGGTCTACCCTGATAATTAATTTATATGTCTCCCATTTCTTTCTCTATCAGATTTTTCTAATTCGTGTTCTGTACCCACCTTCTACTCATTCATTTCCTCAGTCCTTATCACCCAGCAGTCAAGAGTCTGTCCATTCTACTTAACTGAAAAAGATTATGTCATTACCAGCTCCGTAAGTTTTTCTTCAGTTCTAATTATTCTGGACCTATTGGAAGTGTTTACACAGTTAACTAACCTTGCCTCCTTAAAGTTCCCTCCTATCTAGATTTCCATTTTACAATATTATCTTGATCTAACTTTATTCTTGCCCTTGTTTTTTTCTTTTCTGAAATGTGGACATTTCCATTAAAGGCTCTTGTTCTTTTTCTACAATCTGTCTCTTAGACATGGCTTTTGATAGGTGATTGCCAATGTATTTTCCTAGCATCGTCTTCTCTTCTAAGATTTAGTTTCTCATTTCCAAATGGCAGGCAGAGTTTTCTGCATCATAAGTTCAGTATGCCTAAAACTAAAGATAATTCCTAACCCCAGATTTCCTTCCTTATCTGACATTTCTATTTCTGTTATTAATGCCCCATTTTCCTCAATAATTGGTGAAAAGAATGGACCATTTTGCCCCACACCATCACCTCATATCAATATGTCTTAATGTGCCTTTCCTGGTATGTATAGAGTTTATCCTTTCAATTACTAATTCAGTTACTTGTCTGTCCTTGTCTTATTCTCCCAAAGCACAGCACTCACCTCTTTTCTGTGTAGCTAAGTTACGTCTCCTCCCTACATTTCATCATGAATTTTGTTGCCTTAGTCTCAATTTTGAAAATCCTATTCCTGCTCTCCACTCAAATTTTAATTTCTTCCATTAATTTATGGGATATGTTTCAAATGGGTGGCTCAATCATTTCAGTGCACTTAATAGGGGAGATGAGAGAGAACAATACATCTAGTAGCAGGAGTCCAAGTGTGTTTGACTACTGAAAAGCAATTTGTTGGGGCAAACAATTCTATTCTGTGGAGTGGAAGAGTTGCCAGGAAGGACTGCATCCTGAATCTGACAGCAAGAACACAACATTCAAGCAGGCCAGAGTAAGAGAAGAAGAGAGTGTGTAACAATGAGAAATAAAAATCACTAGGACAAGTTTGTTGAAAATGACCAAGAGCATAAAACGTAGAAGATGGAGATGCAGAAGTCAAGAAGGCCAGGATAAATTTGATTTGCCTTCTTGGAAAGTCTAAAGCTTGTATCCTAAACTTAACCTTTGCTGTGACTAAAGGAATAGCACTCTAAAAATGACTTAGAACACAGCATTCTTTTTCATCTTTGTCTTCTATACAAACTTCTCAAGCCAGATTGTACAGATGTGGTCTCACCTATTTCTCCAGATTTATCTAACTGTCTCCCTCACAACCAGCCTTCCTCAAACTTTCCATACCTCTAGGACTTTGTACAATTCCCGCCAAATCCTTCATATTCTCTAAAAACAAGCTGAAGTACTATATTATCTAAAACTGTCCTCAATTTCTTTTAATCAGGTATTTTGTATACATCCCTATACCATTTATCACATTGCATTACATTTTTTTAATTGTCTTTTTTCTCAACTAGAACTCAATGTCAGTTATGGGCTTATTAGTTTTTCTTCTTTGCTGTGTATCGGAGTACTATTCAACAAATGTTAGTGTTCCATAGATGTATGTTGAAAAAACGACAGTCCAATGTTCACCAAATGATATCTGCTTTCCTGCCTTCAAATCCTAGCTAAAGTTTTTCTCTTCAGACATGGCTTCTGGAGTAGTTGCTGTCTATTGAAACTGAGTTAACCACCACCCACCTATGTAGGGCTTTTGGTTACCAGCCCAGCCTGAAGGAAGATCTCCTTCCTTTAAATTTTTATTATCCTGCCTGACTGTATTTTTACTCAAATCAGTATTCATTCATTATTCACTATTGTGTTCTTGAGATGTTATTTGATTTTCATATATGGTCTTGAGCTCTTATTTGATTCCACAGGATAATTTGTTAAGACATATACATTTAATATTTTCAACTAAACTGGAAATTCCTTGAAAACAGAGATTGTGTCTCTTACCAGTTTTAATGCATTAAGCAAAAAGCCTTATACAGGGCAAGAGCTCCACAGTATGTGTTGAGTACGTGGGATACTGAGTAGAGTGGAGATGGGGCCATGTAATGGTAGGACTGGAGATGGGGCCATGTAATGGTAGGGGGAAGGCATCATTCATAGGACTGGAGATGGGGCCATGTAACGGTAGGGGGAAGGCATCATTCATAGGACTGGAGATGGGGCCATGTAATGGTAGGGCGAAGGCATCATTCATAGGGCTGGAGATGGGGACATGTAAAGGTAGGGGGGAGGCATCATTCATAGGACTGGAGATGGGGCCATGTAATGGTAGGGGGGTGACATCATTCATAGGGCTGGAGATGGGGACATGTAATGGTAGGGAGAAGGCATCATTCATAGGGCTGTTGCATATTGCCCCTGCTTCCTAAGCTGTGGAAATTTCTATGAGAAAAGAGCATTGTATATCCTATGATATGCAGGGCTAGTATGTGCTCTGAAGGGTCAGTAAAGATCCCAAAATTCTGAAGGCTGCAAACCATTTGGTTATAGGGTGGTGTTTCAGGAAATTACCTCTATAGGCCTCTTCATGGCAGGTCTTTCCAATATTAACTTCTATTACTGAACCGATTCTTTAAACTTCATAAATATTTTAAGCAAGACCCTCTGTGTTTCTTTCACTCTTGTCAAAAACCCATTTATTTTTATGACTCTCTGATAATGTTTTCACATTGATACTCTGAGTATCCAATTTTGGGTTGACAATATGTCTTTTTGGGTTGATGAGTTTTGCATAAATTTAAACTTCATTATATATTGATTAGCAGGAATGTGGGCATAAGATTCCAAGTACTGAATGGCATTTAAAATGGGATATATTTAAAACCAAATGGCCTAGACCATGCGAGTATATTGCTGTGTATAATTTCCTGACTGTACTCACTACATCATAAATAATAATGAAAGTAAATGTACATTTATCAGAAAGAATCAACAAAACCCCAGCACTGATTTGCTGATCACACTTGTCTTACCAGGCATTAAGGCCAGCTTTCGAACAAAAGTGCCTGAAGGTTTGATTGTCTTTGCAGCATCACCTGGCAATCAGGAAGAGTATTTTGCACTTCAGTTGAAGAAGGGACGTCTTTATTTTCTTTTTGATCCTCAGGTAAATGAGAAATCATAAACTTTAATATTTTTAAGAATTTAGTAGGTGCCTGGTACTGAGGTAAATGCTTCTGTTTTCACACTGAATCTTCATTCAAACCTTGTAAGGTAAGTACTATTATTATCCCCATTTTGCCAATCAAGAAAATGAAACTTACAAAAGTAATGTGACTTGCCCTCAGCTAAAATAGCGGAGCTAACTTTTAAACCATCATGGTCTGACTGAGAATCTGTGGGCTTAACAACCAAAATGCCACCTTATAATGAAGATTAAAACTTTTAAATAAATTTAAAGAGATCTATTTTTATTTTTCTTAGTAGCAAAAAATCATGTCCCCTTTTCTTCCTTCCCTGTCTTTCTTTTTTCATTGTTTCACCAGCAAATATTTAAGTGGCTATCGGGTACTATGGTACTGGGCGTTGCAGACTACCATAGTTTCAAAGTTAAATATGACCATGCCCCTGCAAAGGATACAGTAAAATAATCAATTTAAAATTCTTATAAATTGTATCAAAATAAAGATTTAGGATTCTATGTATTATAGGAACATAAAATAAAGAAATAAATTGTTTTCTGAGTTGTCAATTTTCTCTGGAAATGTGATATTTAACTGAGATACAAATCAATGAAGAAAAGTTGGTCAGGACAAGATTATATGTCTGTATTTGAGGGTGTATATTTCAGGTGGGGCAGTACAGGGGAGATTCTGATCTCCACCTGGGAAGGTGCTGAGCATAAAGTTTCCAGGCAAAGTGAGCAGCAAATATTAAGGAAATAGCAAATATTAAGTGCCTGAGGTGGACGAGAACATGGCACATTCAGTACACTGAGATGAATCTCTTATGGCTGGGAACAGAGACAAAGGGAAAGGTGGTAGATTGAAAAGCTGGGTAGAAACCAAGTCATTTAAGACCTTGTAAGCAAATGTGAGGATATGAATTTTTCCTAAGGGCAGTGAGAAAGCACTGAACAGTTGTCTTCACTTGAGTTGAACAAATATCAGTGAGCATTTGATATTAGGTATTGTATTAAGCATGTGAGATGAGTAAGAGAAATGAGTAAGACTAAGTAAAATATATTAGCTTTCCATTTTCTCAGTTCTTCAACTTAAAACTGATGATCTAAATCACACGTTATGCTTGACAAATAAATGTTTTACATTTTATTGGTAAAGCAGACACAACGTTCACCCTCTGTATCCAAGTTGCGTCTAGGATCATGGACTGAGTGATCTGACTGAGGATCTCAGCCTCATGAACCCTGGAGATCCATTGACCTTAGAGAGAAAAGGCAGGGCCTATTGTACCAAGTGTATCTGAGGACCCTGCCAGACTCAAAAAGCAGGCCAAAGTCCTCCTGCTTTATGAAGCTGGGAGAGCCGCACAGTGGCCACTCGAAGGACCAGGGACAGAAAGGCTCCCTCCTCATGACTTGACAGGGCTCTGCTAACTCCCTGGCTGGTGCACAGCAGGTCCTCAGACACAAAGATTTCTGAGCGTCCCCTAGTAATGCAGCTTCTTAAAGGATGCCAGCAGGTGGGCAGTGAGTAAGCAAAAGGAAATAGCATCACACCTAAGCAGATCCTGCAGCCAGAGGGAAAGGAAGAAGCAGCAGCTATCGCAGAAGGCAAGACAGATGGCAACTGAAAAAAATTTTTAAAAAATCAGCTGAAGTTGATTCAATTACATAATGGAAGATATTATTTTTTATTTGAAAACTTTAAGTAGATTAATTAGAGGAGAGACACTGAGCCTCAGATTAGTAGGTCAGAAGATTAAGTTGAAGAAATCTCTCAAAATACATAAAAATGTGACAAAAACAAGAAAGTTAGATACTACTACTGTCACTAAGAAGCGAATCGGAAGGAGAACAAAAAGCACATGCTCAAGAAAAAGAGGGATAACATAAAATGATGAAACAAAAAATAGGAGAGAATATCTGATTTAAGAGGGAATTTAGTATAAATCCATTGAAAAGACTCATCAATTTCCTGTCAAGATTAAGCAAAACTAATACTTCTATGAGACCTCTTTGTGCCAGGCATTATTCTAAGTGGTCTCTCTATACATCAGTTTGTACACTTACATACACACATATGCCTATACACACACACACACACACACACACCTACACACGCACATAAACTCATTTGAACTTTTCAACAACTCTGTGAGGTAGATACTCTTCATATTCCCATTTTACAGGTGAGGAATCTGGGCCACAGGTAAGTTAATTTTCCCCAAGTCACAACACTAATAAGTGACCAAGCCAGGTTATAAACACAAGCAATTGAGCTCCAAAGACCATGATTTTAGCTACAGTGCTATACTGCTTTTCAACATGAAAGAAAGATGGTTGTTGATATCCATAAATTCAGAAAAAAAAAATCCATCTCTGCACCAGGTTGGAAAGAAATATTTCAGTAAGTAATCTAGCCAAAAGGAAAAATAACAGAGTCAGAAATATAAAAAGAAGAAGCATCAGTGAATAATAAATCTAGTAATATTAAGTTATGCCTAAATATTTAATGATAGAGTGACTAGAACTCTGTTTTACAGTGCCAAATGAGAATCTTTGAAATAGAAGAGAAGTATAGCAAAGGCAAGAAAAAAAACGTGAATAATCATTTGTTGCTAAAATTAGTAAGATTTGAAGGAGAGGAAAGATGAGTGAATTAAAAGTTCTGAAGATACCAGCTTAGTGGCGGGGTGTGGGTGGAATAAGGGAATAGATTATACTGACGTTTTGTTTTCGTTAAATAAATAGGGCAAATGTTTGATTTCAAATGTTATAGAAAAATAAGTTACTACTAATAAAAAGTGCTCTTCAGGACATCCAAATTAACAAGGTTAAAAAGGACAGCAAATGCTAAGTTAAAAAATCAACAAAAATCAGAAAAAGAAAGGGGAGAGTACAGTAAAATAGAAGACTGTCAATGAGAAAGAAAAATCTGGCTCTGCTTTTTCCCCTTCAACCTGTTAGTATCTGGAGATATTTAAGAAGAAGCCAGATGGAAAAAAAACTAATCACAGGACCACTTGTTTATAGAGCTTTAAAGTATACAAAGTGAGTTCCTGTTAATGATCTCATTTCATTCTTGAAGTAGCCCCTTGAGGTTGATTTTGTTTTCATCCCTGCTTTAGATGAAGTGGCTTAACTACGGTCATAGAGTGGTTTAGGGATAGAACTAGCACTGAATTCAATTATTTGAATAGCACTGAATTATTTTATTCAATGAAACTTTGCTAAGAATTTATTGGACTTCACAGTTATGCACTGGGAACACAGAAATGAACAGAATGACACTCATTGGAATTCTGGCCATTGGTTGTTCATCACAGATTTTGAGTATTTATAGCCACCCCCCTACCAAACATGGGACAGTCATTGGAGAATTAATCCAAAAATGATTTCCCCAAGTCTGAAGCATGACTGCCATCTCTTTTGACATGTGGTGTTGCTATTTCTAAAGGATGCGATACCTTAAGACTCTGTAGGATAGGAGGGTAAAGGGGTCAAACTGCTTAACGGAGAATGGCTGCCAGGAAACTCATCTGGCAGGTCTAGTTGTTTTCATATCCTTTACGGTGATCACCTGGACAGGCTGGTGCAAAGCGTGGTAACAGAATTCAGGGAAACATTCACAGGGCATTTGCCCATCATTTCCGCCCCCTTACCCTTCTCATTCACACAATTGCTTAGAGTACTCGTCACTGCTATTAGTTTTCCCAGTTGCTCTGTCCCTACCCTGTATAGCCAAACCCTAAGCTGTATACATAGTCCGCAGGTGCCAGCCAAGTATTAATAAAATTGTTAAAGCCACTGGGCGTGGTGGCTCATGCCTGTAATCCTAGCACTTTGGGAGGCTGAGGCGGGTGGATCACAAGGTCAGGAGTTCAAGACCAGCCTGGCTAAGATGGTGAAACCCCGTTTCTACTAAAAATACAAAACTTAGCTGGGCGTGGTGGCAGGTGCCTGTAATCCCCGCTACTCGGGAGACTGAGGCAGAGAATTGCTTGAACCCGGGAGGCAGAGGTTACAGTGAGCCGAGACTGAGCCACTGCACTCCAACCTGGGTGACAGAGTGAGACCTTGTCTCAAAAAAAAAAAAATTGTTAAAGCCAAGTTGGGGGCTAAAGGGAGTGAGGAAGGTTTAATGATGTCTAGTAAGTAAATTTTTATCTGAAATAATCTCTCTCCATAAGGTAAAACTGCTTGAGTTTTCAGGAAAGTGACAATTATTTTTTAAAATACAAGATATGGGTTGAGCAGGATGGCCTTAGGATCTAGCTGAGAAAATGTAATCAGATGCATTACACTATGTGCTCACGGGCCATGAGGCTCTCTATATATGAAACAACGAGCTTATGCTAGCAAGGACTGTGTCCTTCCTTACTTCCAATGAATTTATACTCTAAAACAGGTACTAAACATATTTTCTAAATTTATAATGAAAGCCCCACTCATTTTTAGACAAAGAAGTGTTAAAACTGAGGGATGGTGAAAATTTTGAATACTCTTCTCTTATTTGCTCTCTTTTTCCAAAGTAATATCAATGCAGCTTCTTGTATGAAGTTAGAGCTACTCTGGGTTTTAAAAAGTATAGAAGTTTATTTCATATGCCTTCTATTGGCATTACATTTATTTATATTTTAAATACTTTGGGTACCACTTTAAGTCAGTTTTTCTCCTTTAATCTTTAAATGCGGACGAGATTATCTAGTGAATACTTTTTATACTCATCACACAAGTAATTATGTACTTAGTGTGTCTGTCTTATCAGACTGTATGATCCAGTGAGGGCAAAGTCTATGAATCTTTTGCCCACAGGTACTTCCTCAGGACTTAGAACAGTCTTTGGAACATAGTAGATGCCCAGTAAATAAATGACCATTGACATATTACCTGGCTGATTGACTCAATAACTGTTGGTAGGATACTACTACTCATAACTGAAGAAAATTATCCATTTTTCTGGCTTACAACGTCTAGCTTTGTAATGATTACACAGATATTTTGTGATGTTTGTTTTATTTTTTTTTATTTTGAAAAAATTAGAGAAAAAGTCTTGCTGTTTTGCTCAGGTTGGTCCCGAACTCCTGGCCTCAAGCAATCCTCCCACCTTGGCCTCTCAAAGTGCTAGGATTACAGACATGAGACACCATGCCCAGCCTTGTTCAAATTTGTCTGTTTTTCAGATAATTTGATTTTTATCAGGAAAAAACGAGATGCTTATTTTTAAATTGTTTTTACTGAATTCATTCAAAATAGCCAAATTTTGAATTATGAAGAGAATTTCAAGGAATTTTAAAGTAGTTATCTAGCACATATTTATAAAATAACTTGAAGTCATTGTGTACTTTGCTCTTTTTAAAATATCTTAATAAAATTGAGTATTAAATTCCTTACAAAACAATTTAATACAACGTAGAGGCTATAGATATAAAAATGTATTTGGTTTGTCATCCAACTATCCGAAGCATTCTATTGAATAAATGTTTAGGGAAAGGGAGATTCTTCATAGTACATAAAATTGGAAATGTGTTTGTATATTACAAACTGGGCACTTGCCATTGTTAAAAGATACAATAAAGAAAAGTTAACTGCAACTTTTAATTACAGTTTTTATTGTTATCTCCAACAATTTTCTATAATTTTCCCATTCTTCACTTAATTAAATTCAATTTTGAATATACTTGATCAGATAATATTTTAGTGACCAGTAATGATCTATGTTTATCCCTTAAATATTCTATGTTCAGTGACATTAACAGGAAATTCACATCATATTCTGGGCTTACTTGGAAGGAAGCTGTGAAAATGAAAGCTTTAAAACAATTCTGAATAGCATCTATTGAATGTGTCTGATATGTTCCAAATAGAAAGAACAACATGCATAATATGACACCAGAAGTCATCACAGAATTGTTCTTTCAACATTGATGGGGGGAAGTAATCTTAAAATAGTCTTCAAAAAATGATATTCTAAATTGCTGTAAGTATAAAGTGAGTTTGTCATGCTGAGGCTGTAGGTAATGTACTTGAATTTGTCTCCAATAAACTTGATTTCTGATGTAGAGAACTATTAATGCTTCAGATTGTTGCCAAACAAAATATGAAGAACCACTTATTCAGACACCTGATCTTTAGAATGCAGCATCGTTTGTAACAATTTTAACGCTAACTAAGTACACTTTGATGAGACAGCATTTAATAAAATGCTCATTAATTTCATCATTAGCAAGGGTATGCTAAGAAGTAAGCCAGTTTCTTATGTCACGCCCAATTAGCATCCCATGCTAGTAATCCCATTAGTATTGTTGAATTCACTAATGGAAAAACTAATGGGCATGCTACCAGGGCACATTAATTGGGCACGACACCAGTTCTGGTTTTAATTATTAAACTACGATAATGAAATGTGTGTTTGTAAAATATTAAAATGTTGAAATAGGGTTGAAGAAAATAAAAGGGTGTGTAGACAAAACAGATATAAGGAAAGTCAACCTACAAAAATACGAAGACTAGAACTTGCCAGATGGTCATGTTTCTAGCTGATGGAGTTGTCTGTAAAAGTTGGGATATTGTCCATGTGAGAGACAACCCACTCATACTCATGGGAAATTAAAAGCTTTTTTTTTTTTTTTTTTTACTTTGGTAACATGAAATTCTGTATGTCATACATGTTGTCGAGCTCTTTATGAGGCCCGACAGGAACCAATTAAATGTGTAGAGTGGACATGTTGTATCACTGAAGCCATTTCAGAGAAAGATAAACAGAAATCATACTAAAGATGGTATGATTAACATTGTATGTTTTTCAATATACATCTTCAGCACCATTACATCAAACAATTATCTATTTTCTCTTTTTGAAAAAAACAGCATAGCAAAATTATTAGAGTTTGGTGAAATTTTCTGGTAATTAAGTGTTTTGGTAATATTTTACCCAATCTAATTTTTTTAATTTTTAAAGATTTTATTAGAATGAGCTTTATTCTTGTTAAGTAAATCAACTTTATTAAGAAGAAAATTCATTCCCATTTAGAAGTTGTAATTTCTTTTTTATTTTTATTTAATAGTAGTACTAGTAGCTGTTGGTGACAAAGTTGGGATATCTTTCACTTAGTCTTATTCACTTAACACAGAAAATGTTACTATAGGTAACCAAGGCTACTATAACATACTGGAAAATTGTTTACTTTTCTCGAAAGTAGTGAGATGGCAGGTGTTTCTTCTATTTCTCTTTCTCAGTTTTTTTTTTTATTCTTACCTCCTATTTGCTAAACTCTGTTCTTAATATCTGCCATTTCCTATGTCTTATCACTTAGGAACATGTTTTTAACTATTATATGATTACCTTAGCCAGAACTATAATTATTGGATTTTAACTACAAAGCATTGTGTACTACATTTAACTCCACCCTTATGTTTAATGTATCACAACTGGCTAGTTTTTAAGGTGAATGTCATTCCCATTTGTTATTGATAATTTTGTGAAGATAAGAGTGACTTGTCTGACATCTCTCTATCTTCAGAACTCATTTTGAGTGGTATTTTATGAGTTTTAAATTTTTCTCTTCTTTTTCATATTTATGCCATGAAACTTAAAGTCTAAAATTTTAGAATAGAAAATTCTTTACCCTTCTGATGAATAGCTATATTCATCAGAAAATGCAAGTGACTTTGTAAGAAATTCTTACTGCAAAGGTGAGACCTTTACAGATCTGTACACTGTGGTGCACAGGGAAGTATTAATACATCACAGGAAAGCCAGAATGATGCTAGACATCAGCTTTAATTTTGAGTTCTGTTTGAAATGTATGCATGCTTGTATCAGGATCATAATCTTGAAACTTGTAAATTGGTTTATAACAAATATGTGTGTGTTTATTTGTAGATATGCATGTATAAACATTTATTTATTCATTCATTCCCTTAAGGGGTCACCAGTGGAAGTAACTACAACTAATGATCATGGCAAACAATATAGTGATGGAAAATGGCATGAAATAATTGCTATTAGGCATCAGGCTTTTGGCCAAATCACTCTGGATGGGATATATACAGGTAAGTACTTTTTGATATGTATAAATAGCCCTGTTGATATGTTGGTGTTGCCATACTTTTCTGTTGTTTATATTCCTACATTCTTATTTCACCATAATTTCTACTCAATTCCATATATATTGCTGTTGAATTTGCCTTTGGGATGCTCCTAAAAGGATGAAGTCTGGCAACCAGTTTTTCATCCATGAAGGTCTTTGGTAAAGAAAAAAATAACAATGAAGTCACCTATGTCTTTTACAGTTCTTTACAATTCGTGTGGACCTTTAGTTATGTTCTGTCATCTTACTTTTGACTTCCAAAAAACACATACAGTAGAGGAAAGCAGTTTTTGTCTGCATTTGGAGATGAGGAAACCAAGGCTGAGAAAAAAGTAAATATTTTTTCCTAACTTACACAGTTGAGAGGAAGCATTCTTGGGACACACATCCTGTTTTTTCACATTTAAGTTTAGTTTTTGCTCCAGCCTACCCTATCTGCCACATTTATGTAATTATAACATGATCACTGTACCTGTATAATGATGCAGGCTTTTATTAAATTATTCAGGAAATATCTAATTTTAATCAGTACCTATTATGTTCCAGGTATTGTTCTAGGTGCTCTGGATACAAGGAGCAAAGAGAATACTGTAAAACTTACATTTTATGGGAGGAATGGGGCAGCAAAATACAGAATAAATAAATTTAAACAAATATCAAGTGGTGATAAATTCTGAGAATGAAAAAGCCAGATGAGAGGGAAAGTTGTGTGTGTATGTGCGTGTGTGTGTTAAGAAAGGTCTCTCTGATGAGGTGACATTTGAGCAGAGACCTAAAGGGACAAAGGGGAAACCATGTAAATATCCAGGAAGAGGATGCTTTGGGTTGCGAGGACAGCAAGTATCAGGGCCCTGAAGTGAGAGCACACTACATGTGGCATGTCAAGGACCAACAAGAAGGCCAGTGTGGGAAAGAGGGTGTAAAAGAGCTAATGACATGACATAAGGTCACAGAGGCCATTAGGGATCAGATTATATGGGACCTTGTGGGCTTTTACTTTGAAAGAAGGAAACTGTTGAAGGATTTTGAGGGAAGAATGACATAATATGACGGCTTTCTTTAAAAGGATCACACTAGCTGCTCTGTTGAGAATAAATTTTAAGGGGAATGAGGGTGAAGGCATGGAGATCAGTTAATAGGCTTCTGCAATAACTCTGTAATAATTCAGACAAGAAATCATGGAGACCTGAACCAGGGTGATAATTGAAGATATAATAAGAAGTATTCAGATTCTGGTTATACTGTGAATGTCAAATTAACAGGATTTGGTGATGAGATTGAGGCAGAATAGGGGTTGGTAAACTATCACCATGGGCTAAATCTAGCTCATGCCTGTTTTTATAAAGTTTTATTGGAGCACAACTACACCCATTCATTTACGTATTATCTATGGCTGCTTGAGTCTGAATAGTCTACAAAGACACTGTCTGGCCTTTGACAGAGTTTACTGGCCCTTAATGTCGAGCAAGCCTGTCAGGTTTGGGTCTCAGGCAACTGGAAGAATGTAGCTGCCAAAACCAGGGAGTGCATGACTGTGGGAGAAGCAGGTTTGGGGAGAGACATTCAAAGTTCAGTTGAGAACATGTTAAGGCTGAGATTTCTAAGACACCCAAGGGGAGATATCAGGCAGGCTGCTCAAGAAACAAGTCTAGTTCTGAAGTCAGAACTTCCAGCAAAGGATGGTATTGAAAGCCAAGGGAACAGATGTAAGTAGGGCTAATTGGAGTGGATTGGGCTCTGGAAAAACAAACACAAATAACTTTGCCTCTTCTCTCAAAGAAGGTGGGCATTAGAAATATGAACAGGGATTTCCATTGTTATGCCACACAGTCAGAGACCCAGGTTCCCCTGGCCTTTGGCCCTGGCAGTTCGTACTGGAACCCAGCCCACTATTCATCCCTCTAGAGTACTTAGGGGGTGCCTATGGGTAGAGAAAGGAAGAGGCCTGAGAGGCAGGCGGTCTGGATCATTCCAACATCATGATGCTGGGATGTTGAGGAAGAGCCAGTGAAGAAAAGTAATGAACAGGCAATGAGGAGAGAGGAAAACCAAGAGAGTGGTATCCCAAAGGCTGGTGAAGGATTTTATTATTTGCTGAGCTAGTAAAACTAGAGTATCCTGGTGAAGGTGTATTTCTCATCTCCTCTTCTCTAGGTTCCTCTGCCATCCTGAATGGTAGTACTGTTATTGGAGATAACACAGGAGTCTTTCTGGGAGGGCTCCCGCGAAGTTATACCATCCTCAGGAAGGATCCTGGTGAGTTTAGTAAGGTATATTATATGTTGTCATCCAAACTTAGAATAGAACCTGTTTACATTATTTTAAAGTAAGAATAAGTATTATGTTCTACCTCATGCTATATTTTCTATATTAATGTGCCAAAAATTTCCTTTAGGTCTCTTTTTTTTAAAGGAACCATGTATTCCATATGACTTGTATTTATATTGTTAGTACTCGGTTCTTGATATATAAAAGGAATTCATTAAAACTTTTGCTGAAATGAATTATAATAATTTCAGTCAAAGGTATGTTATTTTAGGACCTATGCATAGTTTTTTCTAAGATTTTAAATTGAATGTGAAACAACACAGAAATGGAAAACTATGAGCTTGATTTATACTCTAAATAGGGTGAAGAACATTCCCTGAATACTATGTGATAGGCACTAAACCAATCCCTAGATATTCATAGATGAATAAAATGTGGTCTTTATCACAATAGAGGTCACAGGCGTATAAACAGACAATTCCAGCCTAATGCCATTAGTGCTATAATTGAGCTATAGACAAAGTGATTCTCATATTTTTAGAACAAGAGCATAAGAACATATTCTAAAATGAAACTAATTAAAATGAACATGAATGGAATTAACCTTAGATAGGAAAAAAAATCACCCTTCAAACGCAATGCTAATATTCTAGGATTGTTTCCCAAGTCCTCATTAAGAATCACAGGGTGCCTCCCAAGTCTCTCCCAGGAAGTTAAAATATAACTACATAAATATTACAAATAAGCTAGAACCCAGATAAGTATAATTTGTTCATGGGTTGCAGTCTCAGGGAATCATGATGAAGATCAAAAGGAATAGAAAGTGTTCATCAAATTTAGGAGAAGGATATAGTTGAATCCTCAAGGCTGATTATAGTTACCTCCTCAGAAATGTCTCTAGATTAGAGAGGGTTTTCATTCAACTACTTGAGACTGACAGAGAAGTCCCTCTAAAACACACACACACACACACACACACACACACACTCACGTACACAGCCTTTGTTTTTTGCCCTTCTGGGAAATAGTATCTTCAGGTACTAGGAGAGAATACCCTGATACTAAGTACCCTTCCTGTAGAGGACACATCTCCATTATGAATAACCAATTTTACTTTGTCTATGTAAATTGGCCTTATAAAACTCTCATAAACTCAAAGCTGAAAACTAAGCTTTGCCCCCATAGGAAAGGAGGTGGCTGTGTGAAATTCGACCTCAGTGCACCTTCTCCTCCTCTTGATTTTTTTTTCTTGCTTTTTCTCTAATTCTCTCATTTGCACATTTTCTCTCTCAACCTTCTGTTATCACCCTATTCACTGTATTTATAAAGCCACCTCTACCTGGTCTGGAGAGTTCCACATTCAAGATCAACACTATATACATTTCCCAAAATATGAAGCCAAATTATTGATTTACTTCAGTAACAGACTGGTTCATAGATGAGGAATCTAAACTGTAAACTATATATTAAATAGAAACACTCCCTTCCAATCTAACTTTTAAAATTATAGTACTTTATTTTTGAGGCTAGTGGCAGATGAATTTTCTGTGTTAGTTGAAAAGGCAATATTCTTGCTACTGCAAAACCAAGGTTTCTGCATAAACATCTGTTTCTGCAGATATGATGGGTTTGAACCAGCACTAAACATTATAATTGCTATCATTTACTATAGCTGATGGTGTGGTGTTTACATGAATCATTAAGAGGCTTGCAGTAAATAGGTAGTGAGAGCTAGTGCCTATTTCTTTGACTTTAATGGCACATAAAATTAATTGCTTGAAAATAATCTTTCAAAATATATATTTCTTGATATCTATAAACTCCTGCAGAGATAATCCAAAAAGGTTTTGTGGGCTGTCTCAAGGATGTACATTTTATGAAGAATTACAATCCGTCAGCTATTTGGGAACCTCTGGATTGGCAGAGTTCTGAAGAACAAATCAACGTGTATAACAGCTGGGAGGGATGTCCCGCTTCATTAAATGAGGGAGCTCAGTTCCTAGGAGCAGGTAATGCTCTAAAAAAGACATGAGTGTTCACTTAAAATCTATGTTCTATCCTTTGTATAATTTAATCTCTCCTGTTTGATTAACTTGACCTCATATGAACCTAGTATCACAGAAATACTTAGTTATTCCAATGGTGCACACAAATATATTCTTGACATCTGAATATGCAATATAAATTATAAGACTCATAAGTATACATCCATGTATGATATCTCTGGTAACTCATGCAGTTCTTGATTTACATATGTTAGCATCACCAATGTCCATTTGCAAATCAGTTGTTTGGAAACTAGAATGCAGTTAGAGAGGTGTACTTAGAATGCACTCAGAAAGATGTTTCAAAGAGTTTTGTTTACTAGGTTAATCCACAAATGCCTATTTATCTCATTATATAGAAGAACAATGTTCTTAGTTAATTCTCGGCTAGGTAATGGGTTAAGTAGGCCATTGAGAGAGAACTGGAGACTAGAACCACCATCCCTGCCATTGCTCAAAAGGCTACAATGAAAGGGGAGGTGTAAGTGTCTGTAGCTTACCCCTGACATGCATGCACATTGAGTCTCTGCCTGATCAGAGCAGAGACTTCCACCCAGGGGAAGGGGAGAGGGATGATGGTGGCTTGGTGCACCCGGCTTGTTCATCAAATAAAAGCCCATCACTGCCTCCTATATTTACAGCTAAGTTGGTTGGTTATTAAGTTGCTTAAACTGCCTTCAGCACAAAAAGGCATATGATATTAATAATATAATCTACACATTTTTTATTCTGTTTTCATCAAGGTCATTCTGAGTTTCTTTTAGTCAATGCAAACTACTTATTGTTAATATTTATCTGAAACAGTAATAATCTTACATGATACAGACAACACATGATTTAGAGAGCAAATTTCTTCCTGTTAAAAAGTATAATATATATCAAAGTCTTTCTTAGTATATCAAGGTCTTTCTGTCACTTCTGTGCAATTACAAAAGGAATTTCTTAACATTGATTTGCATCTTCTTTTGTGAGATTTACTCAGTGGCAGACTGTGTCCTAGAGTTTCTTAGCACCCTTACAATGCTGGCAATATTGTGTTACACATGCTAATATGTACATATTTTTATCTTTAAAGGGTTCCTGGAACTTCATCCATATATGTTTCATGGTGGAATGAACTTTGAGATTTCCTTTAAGTTCAGAACTGACCAATTAAATGGATTGCTTCTTTTCGTTTATAACAAAGATGGACCTGATTTTCTTGCTGTATGTGAATTAATTTGATTAAAATTACTTTAAAATATAGGACCCAACTTTAAAATAAATAAACCATGTGTTGGCATTACACTTAATTGGGGTTTCTTTACAAATTCACATTTGTTCATTTTTTTTCCCAGTCATTTTTAGTTTTGAAGTCCTGTGAAACATTTTGTATTTTATTATCCTAGTAATTTTTTAAGATGACAATTGTAACAATTATAATTTTAAGAAAACAGACTAGATATAAGGAATTAAGAAAATTCAATTTAGTATCTTAAGATATGAAAAACACTATTTCCCTCATTATCTTTTGATATGAGTTTTGAAAGCATATATATTATATATTTTTCATATGACATATAGATAATCAAGTATAATAATATAGTGAACACTCCTGGACCTACCACCACGCCTGATAACTGAATATTATCATTTTTGGTCTATCTATAAAGTCTTTCCTATCTTGTTTCCATCTCCTTTCAGATGTCATAGGTAATCAGAATTTTGTATTTGTTATTCACATGCATTTTTATAGTTTGAACACCTAATGAATGCCTACAAATTCTTGCTTTTGAAATTTATAAAATTGGTTTTATACTCTCTCTTTAGCACTCAACATTGTTTCTGAGTCATTTATGTGTCCACATAGGTATACATTTTCTTGGCTGTGTAGTATTTCTCTTCTCTTACCAATGATGTATTGGTTGTTCCCATGTTTTGCTTCAATGAATAAGACTGCTATAAACATTTTTATACATTTCTCTAAATACAATGGGCAACTGTAACTGCTTTTCCTTGTCTTTAATCATTAGTTTGATACCACTGTTAAATACGTTA
The DNA here is from genome assembly GCF_000001405.40 of Homo sapiens. Taxonomy (NCBI): domain Eukaryota; kingdom Metazoa; phylum Chordata; class Mammalia; order Primates; family Hominidae; genus Homo; species Homo sapiens. Next base: position 216,082,624 of record NC_000001.11, on the reverse strand, counting down.
TTAAAATTTTAATTCTTAAAAGTTGTTTTAAAGAACTAGCATAGAAACAGGAGAAAAATATGAACATCTTACCCTTAGATTCTTGATTTCTAGGCAAATAGACAAATACAAGTCTTGGCTTTTAAGAGTCTAAGATACGTTCATCTTTTTTTTTTTTTTTTTAACATTCCTAGCATACACAATGCCAATATTGCTAAGAAGGGAAATGGAAATTTATCCCTTCATAGTATTTATTAAAATTTCTGCTTTTTTAAATATTTGTTTGTCCTCTTGTGTATTGTTGGCTTCTTTCTCTGAAACGTAATGTCTATGAATCTTCTCTGAAATGTAATGTCTATGAATCTTCGCTGAAACGTAATGTCTATGAATCTAAGGACCTTGGTTCTCTTCTTTATAGTTGTATCTTCAGTGCCTAAGCCTTAGCAATTATCATGTTAATCAATATTGTTGAATGAATGAATGAGTGAACATGTGAATGAGCTCATGCTGTGGTGACCTTCACTGAGCATCGTTGAGTCATCTACATGTGCATACACTGTGGAGGATACAAAGATGTTTACCATTTGGCTCCTCCTCTTGAGGACCATATGCCTGAGCTGGAGGTCTATATGCCCTACTATGCCATGCTTCCACCCTCCACCTTCCTCTATTCATTGCTTTGTTACTGTATTAAATAATACTGTTAACTTTAAGTAACTCTTACTAAAAAAAAAAAATTAAAAAATTAAGGCTGGGTGCAGTGGCTCACCCCTATAATTCCAGCACTTTTAGAGGCCTGGGATTATAGGAGGGTAGCTTGAGGCCAGTAGTTCGAGACCAGCCTGGGCAATATAGTGAGACCCTTTTTCTATGAAAATAAAAATAAAAATAAAAAGTTAGCCAGACACTGTAGCTAGTTCCAGCTACTCGGGAAGCTGAGGCAAGAGGATTGCTGAAGACTGGGAGTCGAAGGCTGCAGTGACCTGTGATTGCACCTCTGCACTCCAGCCTGGGCAAGAGAGCTCTGTCTCAAAACAAACAAAACAAAAAAAAATCAATACACTTAGATAAATATATACGGAGTGCCTATTATGTGCTTGGCTTTCTTTTAACACTTCCCATGCAACTGAAAGGAAGCAGTCTTTCATAAAACTTAACATTACGGTCTGCCATATCTGAGGACTGAGGCTGCTCCCAGATTACCCCTCAACAACTCTTTCTATTATACTGACTTATTTCAATATGCATGGTTATCCCCTGGAACTTGATAAACTCAGAATGTTTCCATTGCTGAAACCTTGAATCTCAAAATATAACCTCATATCCCTCTAGCTCTCTCAGTCTCTCTCATTAAGTTCACCAACGCATTGACACCATTGGCTATTAGCCCACTTTCTAGTTAACTTACTTGCTCCTTACCTGAGCCACTATAATGTATTTCTTCAACCATATTTCTACCAATACCCTGATCTTGTGTCTTGTATTGGGCTTCACAAACCTTGATCCATCAGTCCAGCCACCTCGCTTTTCAGTTCTAGTAGCTAGATTGCTAAACACTATAGGAAAACTAATACGGGTATGAGAACTTGTTTTGAGCTCTCCAATTCTTTTATTAAACAGTATCTATTGTTTACAGGATTTTCTAATATATTTTAGATGTAGAAAGTGAAAGAAAAATAATCTTAGGATCTAGAAACACTATAACCTGAATGTCTTCAGGTAGTCTCACACTCTCCTGATAAAAACAAGCATGCATATTCAACTTTCAGTCTCTCTATCAACTTGACCGTATTTGAGCCAAGCCAGATTTCACTCTCTACCGACTCAGGGGAACAAATGAACAATTACCATGCTTACAACCAAAGAAAATATGTCTACCGTCATCCTAGATTCTATCCCTTCCTCTGTAAGAACTTGTTCTACAGTCTCCCCTCTTTGTATGTTCAACTGTTCCCTCTCAATTGGCTCTTTTCCCTCAATATATGGAATGATTGAAATTTATTTTCCTTAGTGTTTTTTCTTTTGTCTGTGAAGCCTCCTCCACTGTACTTTTCCTTACCTTCATGGTCAAGTGCATTGAAAGTGGTTACTTTTGTTATTGCCACTTTTTCATCTCACTTCAGTCCCTAAAATGACTGTACATTAGGTTCCTGCCCCTACCACACCTTTCTACAAAATCACTTTTCTAAAGTGGTCAATGACCCCCACATTTCCTAGCCCAATGATTTTTATTTCTTATATTTTTTGTCCTTTTTCTGTCATTCTGTTTTTTTCTTATTCTTCCCTACTGATTTTCCAAAATACTAGTTTCTCCTGATTTCATTAAGTTCTCTTAGCTTCTTTAAGGAGATCATTGTCACTTAAAAGAACTATTTTCTACTACAAGACCCTTAAAACATTGGTCTTGCTGAGGACACTAATCTTTTCCCTTTTCTCTCAGTCTTTTTACACTCACTGAATAATCTTATTTATTTTGTCATGTATTTTCTCCTTTTTGCTGGGCCATCCCCAAACTGTGTATCTTTATGTTTGACTTCCTCAAAAAGAGTTTCATCTGGATGTTTTATAGGCATTTCAAACTCAATATATTTAAAATGAACTCACCCCTCCTCCTTGTCAACAACAACAGTCAGCATTTCTTTCAAATGCTTTTCATAACGTGATGATGGCAGAACACCCTCCTAGTTACCCAAAAAAGATGAGATGTGTTCTTAATTTCTTTTTAATTCATCTAACTCATTTACCTTTTTTACCAGGTCCTAATGAGTTGCTTTTACAAATACTTCTAAGATTGAGTCTTCTCTTTCATCAGCATCATCATTATCCTTATTTTAATGACTCTCAATATGTTTTCACAATTAAATGGATTTCCTAATGCATTTCCTGAATTCTAGTCGAGATTTTGTTTTCAATGTGTACTTCTTATGTCTGGTAGGCTAAGCTTTTAGTGCAAGGTAATACTGGGAAGAATATGAGTTTTGGTTTCAGACAGACACCAAACATTCTTTCCATACCAGACCCTCCTATCACTGAAAGTCCTTTAAAATCTGGCTTCTACATAGCTGGCAAGACACTACCTCACCTCCCACCTCCATATGTACCCTTTGTCTTAGCTAAGTTGGTGCCTTTCTCTGAACCTGATGTCCTCATGTCATGCATATTAGTCCCCCTCCTTGGGGGACCCTCCATGAATCTTATATAGTTTCTAAAACCTTGCTTTAAACCTTTCCCAATTTCCAGGGAGCAAAAAGCCTTCTCTGTTCTCTGCTTTCACTTTACTCCTTTCTTGTCTTGATTGTTGTATTGCTCCCACATGTTTGCCTCTGCTACTAGACAGTATGACTCTTAGGAGCAGTGTTTACCTTAGAGCAGCAGGTATATGGCACATTGTAAGAGACTCGATATTTATTGAATAAGTGGTTAGACAAATGAAAAATTGCTTACCTGAGGTCCTTCCTGAAGATGATGCTTTTATGGAAAAATTCATAATTTTTATCTGGCATGATTTAATTTGTTTTACTCGACACAATTGATCTCAAGATTTTAAATATCATATGGTTACTGATATGGTTTCTAACAAAGTAAAAATATATTAGGTAAAATAATTATCATGAGACATTTTGAAGGAAAACCTATGAACTTATTTTTTACTATGAAAATTTGGGTGAAATATGTTCACATTAGAAAATGGTACAGTCATCTAATAGAATACACATAGAAGCAATTATGTTAGTTAAAGATTTAGAATAAAACCGAAATATTGAATCAAAATATGTCTTACATATTTGAAATTGAGTTCACTAGCCAGTTAAAATAAGCTTAATCAAGCTTGACATTTCATTTTCTTATTGTCTTGCCATATTTTCCCCCAAATTAAATTGATATATGAAGTAGTATTTTCTCATTTTCTAAAAATTCAAAGAGTCATAGTTCAAAGTGTTCTGTTCTCTTCAGTCATTCAGTCACTTATGCAGGGGTTTAATCTTCTAACTATGTTGCAGCAAAAGTAAACCTTAGGTCTACATAACATCGCATCACATCCTATAATCATTAGTAGGTATGAATTTGTTTGCATCAATACAACATTCTTCATGTCAACTATAAGCTAGAAAAGTGTTTCCTATGTTCCTAAGCAGAAACTTAGGGTAGAGTGACACATTTCTATAGAGTGCTTTCAGGGAACTGTTTTGCTTTTCTTCAAGAAATTGACTTTCTGCTCTCTCCCAAACTGCCCTTCTGCAGCCTTTTTATATACCTACTTTCTTTTTTAATATAAAATACAGATGGAGCTGAAAAGTGGAATATTGACCTTCCGGTTAAATACCAGTCTTGCCTTTACACAAGTGGATCTATTGCTGGGGCTATCCTATTGTAATGGAAAGTGGAATAAAGTCATTATTAAAAAGGAAGGCTCTTTCATATCAGCAAGTGTGAATGGACTGATGAAGCATGCATCGGAGTCCGGAGACCAGCCACTGGTGGTGAATTCACCAGTTTATGTGGGAGGAATCCCACAGGAACTGCTGAACTCTTATCAACATTTGTGTTTGGAACAAGGTAAGTTCCATCTGGAGGAATTCACAAATCCATACAGCCCTGGTGCTAACAGTTTTTGGTGGTTCTGTGTTTCAAGAGATAGCAATAGACTCAGGCTAAAAGCAGCACCCAACAGCATCTCTTTTTCTGGAGAAATTTAAACCTTAAAAACTAATGAAAACACTTTTTCAAAGAGTTTTGTGTGTTACCCTTAACAATGTGCCATCATTTATAATCAGCATATTTATTTCAATATGTCCTCAGTAAATAGTAATTAATATACATATTATTATTAATGTGACATATAATTATATATGTGGTACATAATTATATATATAAATTACTATTTACTGAATAAATATCAAAATAAATATGTTGATTATAAATAAGGTAACTGAGGTGCTTCCCAAAGATGATATTTATATGGAAAAATTAGTAATTTATATATTTATTTAAATATGTAATGCAATTATATGTGAGATACATAATTATATAAGAAATATATGTGTGTACATACATAATTATATATATAATTATATATATAATGCATATAAATGTATTTCCTCATATGTTGGATAATGATCATTATCTGTATTTACAGATGAAAAAATAAATTAAGTTGGTATGCATAACTAGTAAAAAATATCAATGCAATTCATTGCCTTTTCTTTCTTTGACATAAATGCTAATTGTCTCCATAGTTTTTCAGTAGAGCTTTCATGTGGAAAAAAAATGTGGGGTGTATGTGGTTGACTTCCAAACATACTTGTGAAAATCTATATATTGTAGATTATTAATAACTATAAGAGAAAGGAAAAGTGCATTATTTACAATTTAGGTGAGAAGTTAACTCATAGACGTTTGAATGTAATCAGAGAAATAATTAATTTGAAAAGGCTAACAATATCTGTGTATCATTTCTTGTGGCAGTCATGGTTCTGAGAGCTTACATGAGAATAGGTGAGTCAATTATTCATAACAAGTGTGTTAGGCATTATTATTTATATCCTCATTACAGATGAGGAAACTGAAGAGCAGAGAGGAAGGTAACTTTCCCAAGGTCACATGGCTAGTAAGCAGATAGCAAGACACTAAGTCTCTCAGGCAGCCTGTTATAAAGTCAACTCTCCTTTTTACAGTCAATGCTCTCTTTTATGGGCATTGGTCAATGCTCCTTTGTAAAGTGGGGAAAGCATAGTAACTTCCAGCATAGGACCAAGCACCCTCCCACGTGTGAAAAAGGTCCTTTACGTATTTCAAAATCTACATACCCTGAATGGTTAAAATTTTCATGAGGCAATCTTTGCCTATTTGGTAAGTACATAAAGATTTAAATGCCTTTGAATAGAAAATATATGGCAAGCTCTTAGGAGACTTTTAGAAGGGTAGTAGTAAGGAGTTAATGAATAACTGGGGTGTAAGACAGTAATGACATTTTCAAGGCACTTAAGATGTAACAGCAGCTAAAAATATTACATTCATATAAGAGCTTCTCCAGGTTTTCAGGTTTCTGAGGTTAGAAAGAACTTGAAAACCCTTCGTATGAGTGAGATTACTTAATCCTGTTTGCTTCTGGGAAAAAAAAAATAAAAACAAGAAACAAAAACCCTGCATGTACAGCCTTGTTCTTTGAATTACCCCTAAACCCATTACTATTGATGGTCCTAAAGACGTGGCTAAAACCAAAATTGTAAGATAATAACAGAAGTTTAAAACATCACCATAGACCCAAAGGGAATAATTTTACCTACACACTATGACTAAGTCTGTGATACTGGAAGATATTTTATTAGTGAGTAATATTAAATTTTTATTACTGTAGTATCATCCATATCAGTGGTCTCAAAACACTGAAAAAATATTGACGTATGGTAGCTGGAACGTAGAAGTCAAAATTAGCCATTATTTTTACTATTCAAGATACATTGACATCACCTGGAATGGTTATTAAAAATACAGATGTTAGGGACCCCTGTCCCCTAAGATTCTGACTCAGATGCCTTGAGAGACACTGATCTATATAAATAGCTGCATGTTTTATACGGTGATCAGGGAGACTAGTCACAATACAGAGGTGCAGCATGTATGTAGTCAATTGCAATTAAAACAAATCATGTTCATTTAATGTATTTCTTTCAACCCACTATCAATTGTCTTAAAAACGTTTTTCCTTTTCTCTGCTTCTTAATTAGCACCTTTTTTTTTTCATCAGAAGCTCTATTTTGTGGTCATATTAGTGCTATTTTTTTTTTAATCTACTAACGTTGCAATCTTCCTCCGAACCAGATACAAGACTAATTTTCTTTCTTGTTTTGAAAATGCTGGGCAACATAATTTGCTGAAGATGTGCCAGCTCAGATGATGAGAGTTTATCTTCTTAGAATGATCAATGAGGATAATCACTTACATCTAGGTTGGGCATGACTGGGTCTGGCATGTGGTCTCACAGGCAATGCTCTGCCCAAACCCCTCCATGGAGAGGGAGAGAGTGGGGGCTCAAATTTAGCAGGCCTGCCAAGCCAAGCACTCTGCAGCAGTACTGCCTTCCCTAGAGGAAGGGCTAATGTTTTTCTGATTAGTCATCTTAGAGCTCTGGGCCGCCTTTTAGGCATTTAGAGGCCCAGGGGTGGTGGTGTGGATGGGGATTTTTTTGGATTCTCACAAGGGTAGTGGAGTAAGAAAAGAAAGCATTTCCACTCCTCTCGCAAACATCCCCTTTCTCCTTTTGTTGTCCTCGCATCTCATTCAAATGTTTTAGGTCTGGGGAGCATTTCTGGTGGTACAGAGTTGAAAGCACGGGACAACCTTAACTGAACTCTTTGGTTGCCACTGGAAGGACCCTGCACTAGAGCTCAGCAGCTTCAAGAGCTCAGCAGTCTCCAAGGCCAGAGGCCAGAGGACCATTTCCTTAGGAGGATTAGTGCTTACAAACTTCATTTTATAACTAACTCTCTAGGCCTTTTTCTTCATCTCCAAAATGAAGAAAGATGTATCTCCCTGGGCTTTCCCAAATTGAAAATTTCATCTTGTGAATTAATTTTTATGATGTTTTTTGCTAAATTTTTAATTTTTTAAACATTATGGTAAAATATATGTAACATGAAATTTACCATTGTAACCATTTTTAAATGTACAGTTTAGTGGCATTAGGTACATTCACATTGTTTTGCAGATATCACCACCATCCCTCTGAAGAACTCTTTTCATCCTGCAAAGCTAAAACTATGTACCCCTCAAAAAATAATGTAGCATTTCTTATAACAGCACTTGTTTGCCAAGCTGCCCTTTCACTGTTCTGATTTTGTTGGTAGGGAAGTTAGGGTACAGAGAATTTTGATAATACAGTTATGTGCCATCAGAAAATTACTACTGATAAATACATTAAAATTCTTAGCTTCTGAATTTTCCAGCCAATGATTTCATATTGAGCTTCATTGCTTTCAATTCAATTCACCCAACTTATTGAGTGTCTACTGTGTGTTTAAGATAGACTAGCAGTATTGATCAGTCAGGACTAAAAAAATGTGGATAATAGTAAAAGACATTTAAAAGGAAATAGGCTGCAACTTAATGTGTTAGAAGGCATAATAAGACATCATATGAATGCTGAGGAGAACAATATGGTCATTGTTACTATTAACTTATTTTACTGTTATGCATTTCATTATATTTTATTTCCATTTCCTGCTGCTGTGCTTTAATCTTGAAAAGAGCTGATCATGTGTTTGAGGCCTTTCAAACTTTACAGTGTTTTGTTCGGAGAGAGAGAGAGAGAGAGAGAGAGAACATGCACGCTACAGCAATCTCAAACTCGGTCCTGTTTGTCCCAATTTCGTGCAGTTTTCTGCGCAGAGTACTGCCAGACTTCACTGAGCTGATCTCTGTTTTCACAAAATAGCATGTAATTCAAAGCCACTGCTATTCCCTGGCTAACTGGATGCCTTTTTTGTTTGCTGTCTAACAAAAAAGTGGTGAATACTCTAAATTCATTTCATCCGCATTCTCTGTTAAACTTCACAGAATGGTACTGCGCAGTGGGTGTTCTAAGGTCACCTGTGCAGAATGCACATTCCATGAAATCTCATGGTGTTGCTATTGCCAACAGTGAAGGCTGGCCCCTGTCATGCTAATGGGGATGTAAAACTGGTGACCATTTTGTATGTTCAAGATTATGGAACTCTGTGAAAAATGATAGAGCATAGTGACAGCTCTTCTGTAGGCTGATGTAACTCGGGCTAAATTCTATACCTCTGAAGTGATCATTATGCCATTCATGGCAATATTTCAGGACTAATATATTTTGAAATTATGTTCTCTCTCCTGGTATTCTACATAAAATGCTCAGAGTGTATTTTTCCCCAATGAGCTTACTGAATAATCATGCTAATTCAAATATTATTTTTTGGCACTTAAAACTGACTTATATAGTAACTTAATCTTTCAGAATTAAGAGACATGGGGCTATCCCCCTACCATAATATGAAGTTGCCTAAATTTTATTTTATGGGAAGAAGCGGAATTTAGAAAATGTGGGCCTAAGGAGGTAAAATAAATGCTTTTTCAGTACCAAAAGTTAAATTAGAATTATCCATTAATGTGTTTTCCAAATAACAGAACTATATTTCTTTGCAACAAATTAGCTTGTTAAAAAGTAGGAGGCATAAAAGGTTTTCCAAGGAAGACTCGAAAGTCTAGCAATTGTATCTAACCACCCCCCTTCCTCAAAATGTAGTGCTGCAGAGGACAAAAATGATTGGTAATTAATGACTCAAGCCCTTTATGCGATACTAATCCCTTACTATTTGCTAGGTTTCGGTGGTTGCATGAAGGATGTTAAATTTACACGGGGTGCTGTCGTTAACTTGGCATCTGTGTCCAGCGGTGCTGTCAGAGTCAATCTGGATGGATGCCTATCAACTGACAGTGCTGTTAACTGCAGGGGAAATGACTCCATCCTGGTTTACCAGGGAAAAGAGCAGAGTGTTTACGAGGGTGGTCTCCAGCCTTTTACAGGTAATGTGGAGGTCCTCTAAATTAAATGTTACATGTCTCTTATTCATCCCCCTTTCCCTCCCTGCCAGCCCCTCATTAATCTATATGAGTATTATTTTAATCTTGCTGCATCTTATTTCCATTTAAGAATACCTGTATCGAGTGATAGCCTCGCATGAAGGAGGTTCAGTATATAGTGATTGGAGTCGAGGACGTACAACAGGAGCAGGTAAATACTTATCTTCAAATGCATATGTGCACACACACACATGCATGTATTTGTGCATTTATATAAAAGGAAGGACTATTACCCTGAAGCAGTAATATTTTTGTAGTCTTCTGACAGAGCATGCCTTGGTTTGAAAATACATCTGTCAATGGCTAAAATGCTTAGTAGATCAGTGCTTTTCATTTACCAAGAATTCACTAAATACTTGCTCAGACTTGATCCTTTCCTCTTAGGATGCAGAAGTAAGGAAAGTTCAGGTTGTCTTAAGGATGTAATAGTCCCACCTACCTAACATGTCTAAGGATAGGTAACCTTTACAGATGGTGTAGATAGCAAGAAGCTGAAGTCAGGGATTAGGATTATCCTTGGCTGGGAGTGGCACCTTCTTGACTTTCTCACAGAAAGCACATTTGAAACCTGCAACTGGTTGGAATCAGGGGTGTCTATGACATCATTGCAGATGTTTGCCCCGTTGTTGACTATTAGAATCTTAGAATGACTCTCCCAAGAGAGAAATTGCTGATTGGTTTAATATATTTTGAATTGGAAAAGAACCAACTAGGAGACAGTATACATTAGACCTAATCTCAGACAACTGACTTGTTTTGTACTTCTGACTGGCCACAAAATCTTTTCCCAAAATACCACCACAGGAAGGCATTCAGCACAAAGAGTTTTGTGAATCAGTGACATTCTACTATTTTGGGTCAAATATTTGTCAGGAAACTGAACACATCTCCAGATGATTGCCACTTATGTCTCAGCAAGGAAGTTTATTCAGCGAGTATCAATTTGTCTAAAGACGTGTTTCCATCAAGGTATTCTCTTATACTTAATCAACAGTAGGTTACTATCCCAGGCATCCTTTGAGGAATCTTCTTAATCTAAAATATAATTAAATACTGAGATGAGCAACTAAGAATAATTTTCAAGACTCTCTACCTACATATTTTCCAGAAGAGGACAACTTGACACTTTTCCAGGATGATTTAAATTATCACCTATTTATAGGCAAGACAATGAGCTGAACGATCTCTTAAAATTCTTTTCAACTTCAGAGCTAAGAGAAAGCTCCAATATAAAATACTCACTTGTTACTGACATGTTCTCTGCTCCTATTTCACACTCTTCTACTTTATTAACAAATATAAAGCCCGCTTTGAGTATAATTCAGCAACATTAATAGGCGTCTGGAAAGCACATTGCTTACTTAGCTTAATAGTCCCCATTTTGAGTACTACTGAGAAAGTACACAAATAGAGCTCTGAATTTATAGCAATGATCTGACCACAGCCCTATGCCATAAATTCATATTTACAATCTGACCACAACACTGAGCAGCTACATGCTCCCAAGGGTTGGAGAATAATTGCACTATTTAATTATTTTTGAGTCAGTTTTGCTCTGTCCCTTATGAGAAGACCATCTGTTAGACTGTACTGTACTTTGCCCTGTACCACATTTCCGAACTAATAAAATCAGCGTCACTCCCATTGTCCCTTTCCTTGCAACTCGATCTTGTGGCCTGTGTGTTTTCTATAGGTGTCTGTAGTGTTTTAACTGCTCAGAGAGTGGTTCTCCCCTTTGGTGTTTCCTCTTATCTTTTATGTTCACTTTGTTTCCCTTAAAGCTGTCCTACTTTATTGGTCTGGACAGTAAAGTCGGAGAGGAGGAGATTTGATGTGGAAAAACCAGAGTGATCCTCCATCGACAGGGCTCAGGAGTCCATGAGCAGCTAGAGCAGGTCTCTCATCCATCATCCTGCCACGGAGTTCCTTGGGCTCTTTCTTTGTGTCCCCAGTGCACTCAGCTGTGATGAAGTTTTTACTGATCAGAACTGTAGAAATGTCTAATAAATAGTTAAAGGTAATAGATTTTTTAAATTAGGGGGCTCAGCTTGTAAGTAAGGTTTTGCAGTTCTTTTAAACTTCCTCATTTTGTGATATTATTTTGAAATATTCTGCAGAACAAGACTTTGAAAATGACTTTGTAGAATCTCAAAGGCACCAGCTCCTTTACCCCACCCCCACCCCCAAAAACTGCAACTAAGAATATATTCCATATATCATATCTGGTAGAACTTTGCTTTTTAAAAATTAATTAGAAAAACAATTGCATTTGGAAAATGGGTCTAGGCATTCAAGTACAACACAATCACATTTGTGATTTTTTTTTTGGCTAATACATCGAAGATATAAAAGTGTCAAACTACTATGTATAATAACAGTCTAATTATCTTGCTTCAAAGGGGGTACATCATTATATTGCTTGAACTTGTTATCTGCCTACCATCCACCTCCTTCTTTATGAGTGATGTTTAAACATGTCTGATACATTAAATGTTTTTGGAAAACCTGGACTAGACTTGAAAGAATGTTATGTCGATGGAGTTTTGATGGTTTTGAAATATCGCTTAAACTGAATGGCTCAAGATGTGCAGTCATATTAAATCAATGCTGAAAAGTTACAACTCTAATAAATTGTATTTATGCTAATGGTTGAGTCTGATTTACTGCGGCCATTAAAAGTGAAGAATAGGAGCAATAGTCTTCTCAGAACTGCCATTTTCCCTATTTTCTCTTTTATTCCTTCACAGCTCCACAAAGTGTGCCAACTCCCTCAAGAGTCCGCAGCTTAAATGGATACAGCATTGAGGTGACCTGGGATGAACCTGTTGTCAGAGGTGTAATTGAGAAGTACATTCTGAAAGCCTATAGTGAGGACAGCACCCGTCCACCCCGCATGCCCTCTGCCAGTGCTGAATTTGTCAATACAAGCAACCTCACAGGTAAATGCAATCCTTTAACAGAGTAGACCCTATTAACTTCCTTTTTGTTTGCATTTTAAATAAAAATCTTCTGCAAATGTTTTTTAGAAAAATGTATTAAATATACATGTATTTTACCTGATTAAAAACAACACCCATCTAAAGTAGTGGAAGCCTGCATCTACCTAGGATAAAAAGGATAATTCTACAATGCGCATGGGCTCTCATGGATAATTTTATTCTAAGGTAGATATTCTCTCCATCCCCCAAAGATTACATCATAGGTGGCTATAGCCCTTTAACACCTTATAGACATCTTTTGGAAATCCTATGTATAAATACTTATTTCACAAAGCAAAAATTTACTCTTTGGGACTAGCCCCAGTTCATACCACTATTATTTATTGTAAAATTGCTGATTAAACCTAATTATCTCAAGGTGGAGGAGTCTTAGAGCCCCAGTTAGTTGGACTGGCAAATCAGTGAATCGATTTCTCACAGTGTGGTGTGCCATGAAGAATGATTATAATGAAATATACTCATACACACCACTAACACATCTCACACTCAAATTCATGCGTGTGTATTAAGAGCATTTTTCAGCTTCATGAAATATTAAAGCACATTTAAAGGGAGAGTTTAATTTAAGCCTTTGATAAAAGGGAAGTAAATGTGTCAAATTTGACAGAAAAAAAACATTTTCCTCTATCAAAAAATCCTATAACGTGAACCATCAGAATGGACGTTAGAAAAGCCTTAAATATTTTCCCAACAAACCTGTTGGTCAATTCCCTCAAGACTTTACTTCCTTCTTTAGACACTTTGGAATGCACAGCCCAAATATACTACCAACTTTTAGCAAAAGAAAAACAAATTCACACCCTTCACTTCTTTCCTATTTTACCCTCCTTATCAAAGCCCAGCCTGAGTAAGCCCACAGCTTGCCTTTTCACAGGTTGCATATGGCAGCTACATGGGCTGGAAAATACCAAGTAGTTTATTGCTAAAAATGCTCAACCCCACTTTCAGATGAGCACTCAGTAATGACACCAACCCTACTGTATTTCCAGAATAGCTCCTTCCCCCATTCTCCTCATTAAATATTTTATATTTTTCCAAACTATACACGTTACCTCCCTTTCTCATCCCACTCAGCTGACAGCGTTCTATTTTAGATTATATTAGACACCATAGAAAAAACAATTTATTTTATAGGATTTCTATTACTTTCTTACTACCAAATGTACATATTAATTGCATTTTTCTGCCTGATGGAGTTGTTATTAGGGGTTGGATGAATGAATGCATGCTAAAACACATAAAACCATTTTGATATACAGGAGGTGTGTGCTATGCTATAATTTTATTTTCATTATTATTTTTAATTTTCACGCTTTTTTTCCTTTCTGTTTTACAAAGCTTCTCTTATCCTATCAAAAATAGAAATCTTCACAAGTCCTCTGGACCCTGACTCTTTCTGTTTCTTCAGAGATATTACTGATAGCTTATCGTCCTCTCACTTATATTTTTAACGCCTCTGTCTGCTGCAGTAGAGTATGGCCCAAGGACCAGCATTACTAGCTTCACTTGGGAACTTATTACTAATGCACATTCTCCTGCCCTGCCCACCCCACACCCGCCAAATCAGACACTCTGCAGTGTGGCTCAGCAGTCCTTGTTTTAACAAGCCCCCAGATACATCTGATGTATGCCAGCATTTGAGAACCACTGACTGGGTGGATTCTTCCCAGGGTCATTCAAACTCTTTTATCTCCCATTGTTAAAAACCAACACACTAACCCAAACCAATCACAAAAATCTTAATTCTGTCCAAACTCCCAGCTATTGCTCCCTCTCTCCTCCTCTCGGCCTTCGTCTAGCATGAAGTATCTAAGCTCATTTTGTCCTCACTTAACTGGCTTCTGCTCATTACTTTCGTGACGAGCACCAAAAACTGCCATGTTTACATAGGCAAAAAACACTTGACACTCTATGTCTTCACCACTCTTCAGCATTCTCCACAGTAACTCTTTCATCATTTCTAGAAATATTTCTTCACTTCTGTGACTTTTCTGCTTACCTCCTGGTTCTCCAGGGGCCCTGTTCTCAGTGTCCTTTGCTCACTTCTTCTAAAGTGTGACAAAATATTGAAGAGTCTCAGGATTTAGAACTGGGCCGTCTTCTCTTTCTCTTTCATTTTTTTCTGGCTTGCTCCAGAAGCCTTATTGACTCTCATAACATCAAATACCAGATAGATGCTGCTATTGACTCCTAATTGTACATCCCACCTAGACATCCAAATGCCTGCATCCAATAGGCGTTTGGACACAATGACATTTCCAACTGGATGTCTCTCACCTTCTACCCATACCAAACCTCAACTCTTGCTTCTCCTGCATTCTCATAGATACCTCCAGCCACCCAGTCAATACAATTTGAGAGTTACTCTGGACTTTTCACCTCCTTCACACCTCATATCCACAGTTGTCATTCTATTTTTCAAAATATGTGTTAAGGTCATCCATTTCTCCTCTAATCTACTGGCCAGCCCAAACTACTACCATCTTTTTCCTGGACAACTGCAATACTTACCTTCATCTTTTTCATAGCCTTTTTTTTTTTTTTCTCTCCCTGGCCGTGAGTGTATTCTACAGAGCATCCAACATCATGTCCCTCTCCTCAAAAACTTTCTTTCTTTTTTTTTTAATTATACTTTAAGTTCTGGGATACATGTGCAGAATGTGCAGGCTTGTTACATAGGTATACATGTGCCAGGGTGGCTTGCTGCCCCCATCAACCCGGCATCTACATTAGGTATTTCTCCTAATGCTATCTCTCCCCTACACACACCCTCCACCGCTCGACAGGCCCCGATATGTGATGTTCCCCTCCCTATGTCCATGTGTTCTCATTGTTCAATTCCCACTTATGAGTGAGAACTCGCAGTGTTTGGTTTTCTGTTCCTGTGTTAGTTTGCTGAGAATGATGGCTTCTAGCTTCATCCATGTTCCTGCACTTCCTCTCTCACAATCACACTTTGTCTGGGTCTCCCCCTACTTCCAGGGTTTCCAACAATTACCGTTGTAATTAATATAATTTAAAGAAATTTGTATGTAAATCCTTAGGAGAATTCCTGACAATGATGATATAATAAATCCCTAGCAGTGGAATAACTGCATCGAAGGCTTTTAAGACATTGTATAGTCTTGAACTTTGAAGTCAGACATTGATATAAATCTCTGCTATATACCTTCCCTGTGGATAAGTTCCACATCCTTCTGGATCCTAAAGTCCTAACCTATGAAATGGGAGAGTGATATTTACCTCAGAAGAATATTGAAAATATTAAGTGATATGATATTCTAGCTCTAACCCTTTTTAGCTGTGTAGCTTGGACAAATCAATAAACCTCTGTTTGCTTTAAAATCCTTCTAGGTAAATAAGAATGAGATACAACTACATGCCTCCCAGGGCAGCTGTGGGGATTAAACGAATTCATATGTATGTAAAGCACATAGCACAGTGCTTGACATGTGGCATGCACTGTATCAAAGTTACCTACAGGATATCTGTAAAGTGTGTAACATTATGCTTAATGCTTGGTAATTTCTCAAGAAATGGATAGCAATTATTATTATTATTATTACTATTATTATTTAATGAAGTCTCACTCTGTCGCCCAGGCTGTAGTGCAGTGGCGCAATCTCTGCTCACTGCAAGCTCCGCCTCCCAGGTTTACGCCATTCTCTTGCCTCAGCCTCCCCAGTAGCTGGGACTACAGACCTCCACGCCCGGGTAATTTTTTTTGTATTTTTAGTGGAGACAGGGTTTCACCATGTTAGCCAGGATGGTCTCGATTTCCTGACCTCGTGATTCACCCACCTTGGCCTCCCAAAGTGCTGGGATTACAGGCGTGAGCCACAGTGCCCGGCCAGGATAGCAATTTTTACACTGCCCAAAAAGCTGTACAAATTATGCTTCCACCAGCAAGCAGAATGCAAGATTGTGCATTTCATTTTATCTAGCCAACACCAAGGTTTACACTTGAAAAAAATTGCAAATTTAAAAGGCAAAATATATCAGAATATTGTTTTAGTTTGTATTTATGTGATTACTAGAGAGATTAGTTTTTTAATATTTATTGACCATTTCTACTTCTTTTATGATGTGCCTAGGTAGGTCCATTGTTTTTTATTTTTTATTTTATTTTATTTTTTTATTTTTTGAGACAGGGTCTCACTCTGTCACCCAGGTTGGAGTGCAGTGGTGCAATCTCAGCTCACTGCAAACTCTGCCTCCTGAGTTCAAGAGATTTTCCTGCCTTGGCCTCCCAAGTAGCTGGGATTTCAGGTGTGCATCACCACGCCAGGGTAACTTTTGTATTTTTAGTAGAGATGGAGTTTCACCATGTTGGCCAGGCTGGTCTCGAACTCCTGACCTCAGGTGATCCACCAGCCTTGGCCTCCCAAAGTTCTGGGATTACAGGCATGAGCCACTGCACCCAGCTGCATTGCTAATTTTTCTATTGAATGATTCACATTTTCTCATTAAAGTTTTTCTCTGCATATGAAGAATAATATACATGTTTATCTCATCTAATGCAACTCCCCCAGTTTTGTCATTTTTTAAAAAATTTTGATTTGCATTTTTGTGTAGAGATTTAAAAAATATTTTATGTAGTTAATATAACACCCTTAAAATGTTCAATATTCTATGTGTGATTTTTTAAAAATATATATTCCCCATTTAGGGTTGATTATTGTTTATGTTAGATATACCATATTGATAACATATAATGCATATTCCTCAAAATAGTAATTCTAAGGTTAGGATAAGAACAAATCAGAAACTGGATGCAGGGAGGCTTTTCAAATTAAATCAGCCTCTCCCAAGATTCTGAAGGATACCTTCTTGAAGGCGAGATCCCACAGATTGTAAACCAATGTAGGGCAGTACTGGATGTTACTCAAAAGGCATGTCATACATGGTAGTGATGTATAGGGAGAAGAAAATCAGAAAACTGTTGAGCAATTGTTATTTATTTTTATATATCAAATTTGTCACAAACTAAGGGAAGAGTTAACTATGTTAACTATGCATGCAGTTTTGTCAATTTCTCTGAGATTTTTTTGTTTGAATTTTTTGAGTTTTTATTACTTTTACACTTATTATTTATGTTTTAACCTTCAAAGTCTCATTGCTTTAGGTACAGTCATGCATTGCTAAAGGATGGATATGTTCTGAGAAATGTGTCATTAGGAGATTTCATCACCTTGCAATGTGCTTACATAAACCTAGATGACATAGCCTACTCCACACCTAGGCTAGATGGTGTAGCCTATTGTTCCTGGGCTGCAAACCTGCACAGCATGTTACTCTATTGAATAGTGTAGGGAACTATAACTCAATGGTAAGTATTTGTGTATCTAAACAGATCAAAACACAGAAAAGGTATAGTAAAAACACTGCATGGTAATCTTATGGGACCACCATCCTATATGTTGTCTGTTGTTGACCAAAACATTATGTAGCACATGACCACATGGCAGCAACTTGGCTAACATCCTTTAATTCAACATTGTTTTCTTATAAGTTTGATGAGAAAATTAAAAAAAAAAAAACAATCCCTAGCAAGGGCCACTCTCTGCATGGAATTTTCACATTTTCCCCATGTTTTTGTGGGTTTTCTCTGGGTACTCCAGTTTCCTCTCACATCCCAAAGGTTTTCCCCTTACATGAATTGAGTTGTCTACGTGACCCCAGAGTGAGTGAGTGCAGGTGTGTATGAGTATGCCCTGTGATGGTATGGTGGCCTGTCCAGGGCTGATTCCTACCTTGAGCCCTGAGCTGCCAGGATGGGCTCCAGCCACCCACAACCCTAAAGTGGAATAAGCAGATTGGAAAATAAATGAATGAGTAAATAGAAATCATTATAAAATAAAAATTCATAAAGTCTATGATAATCATACAGATGCACAGCAATAAACAATTCAGTATGACAGGGCTCAGCAAGCTGCCCAGTCTGTGATTGCTGGGGTTTGAACTTCATGCTGGTAGGCGGTGCTCCTTACAATGTTCACTTGGAAAGCATTTATTCCTTGATTTATATACCACACCACTGTCACTCACTGATTCACCAAAACTTGAGTAAATCATTATTTCGTTTTGATTAATCTTTTGTAAATGCATGTATAGCACACATTCATTTCAATGTTTAATATTAGTAGTCTATAGAAATTTGGTGATGTTTTGTGACCAGAAATATGCCATAGGATCTTAATTCTTTTTTACATCAATTAGCCTGTGGGAAAATTGGGTTTGTTGTATATCATTTCACTTAAAAGTGATAGTTTACAAAAAATTCCAATGACATTAAGTGAAGACTTCTATATATCTCTGCAGTTTTAGTTTTATCTTTCACTTGAGATTCTCTGTATTTAAGTACGGGAGTCACTCATTCATACTTGTTTTTATAATTGATATAATTGGTCTTCTCTCTGCCATCATGTTTTATGCTTTCCAGTTTTATTATTTCTTGTTTTTTAGTGATTTTTTCACTACATTTCTTGCCAATGTGTACTATGAATTCTTTGATTTTTTTTCTTTCAAGGAGTTTGCTTCTCTCAATGCTAAATTGAGTCATCAAGGACATAGGTAGAAGGTAATCTTAAAGACTAAGAAGAACTCCAGTATTGCCAGGTGGACTTTTCATTGTGAAGACTCAGGATAATGAGGAGGGAATGTGAATTGAGAGTCACCAAAGCCAGCTTGGATAATTATCAAAGTCAGAGAATTTCCCAGTAAACAAAAGGAATACTAGGAAGTGAGATGGAAGGAGCTGATAAAGCAGAGAGCCAGAAAGCTGGATTTGGTGGAGACGTTAGGGGTGCAGAGATTGTTTTGAGGCAGCTGTTTTGCCAGTTGGTTGAGAAACCAAGGTACCAAAAGAGAGAAAAATCGGTGAAGCCTATATAAACAGTTTTGCTATTGAGCAGTTTTGCTACTGATCTTGAAAATAACCCTTATTTAGCATTTCTGAGGTGACTTTTGTTGAGATTTTAATATTTAAGTTAATTTTGGTTGTTAGAGTCATATTTAAATAAAATAATTCTGACACTGAATGTACAAGGCAATTTCGCTTTATTAGTTAGCGTAGGGTTCTTTACCAATTAAGTTTAAAAAATGCTAATCAGAAAATGTGCTGTTTTATTTCATTAATTTTTTGTTGTATAATAAGCTCTTTTATTCTTCAGATTTGGGTCTTTCTTCAGCTTGGAAAATTTGCCATTGTGTTTATGATCATTACTTCTGGTGAGAAATAGCAATTTTCAATATTGTATATTTCTTCCTAGGTTGTCTTCCTCATTTTAGTAGTTCAGAACACGGCTTGTAGAGTCAAATCAATCTAAGGTCAAATTCCGCCTATGCCACTTTTTAGCTGTGTGATCTCAGACAAATTTAAAAACATATCCTTACATTGGAGTTTCCTCATTCATAAATTGGGGATGAAAACCTTATTTATATTATGGAACTGCTATAAAGATTAAAATGAGTTATGTAAAATATTTTGCTCAGAAACAGGCACATAGTGAGTGTTCAATGAATTCATAGTTACCTTTATAATCTCTGAATTACAGTTTCTGATTTCTGGGTTATTGTCCCATAATTGTTTTTATTTCCATTTTCTGATTTTTGCACTGTTGATTCTGCTCTTTGAAACTTCTAAGATGATTTTTAATTCTTCTAGTTCAGTCTTTGATATGATCTGCCTTTTTCCTCATCTAGCTTGCTTTGATTTCTGCCTGCCTCTTGAAATTCTCAATTTTTGTCTTCATCTCTTGTTTACTGCTTACCTTCTGTCTCTTACTTAGTGGATTCCAAGTTATTTTAGATCTAATTAATGGCATGCAACTCGTGATTTTTAAATTTTACAAGTTTCTTGAATTAAATCCTCCCCAGAATATGACAATCTTCCATAATTTGAGGGCTATATCCTTATCCTTCTTTCAAGTTACAATTTTTCCATCAGCTAAATGTCCTCCCCCAAACTCAACTCCATAGTTTAGTTGGCTCATCTCTAATATAACCTTCTGACTGGGTGTTTGCATGGGAAAATTAAACTGTTTTCAAATCATCTTACTGGGCATCCAGTTGCTGTTAATAAAAGCCTTTGCTAAGATGATGACAGGGTTAGTGGGGTAAGTTTGCATTAGCCGCGCAGCCACCCTACAGTTTCAGCTTCTTTCTTCCCAGTGTTTGGTAGAGTAGGAGTGCTGAGAGCTTGCTGGCATTTTGCTTCCAGTTTAAGTTTGGGTTTGCCTAGGACTTTCCTTCTAACAGTCCATTGTCTCTGCCTGGTCTCGTTTTAGGTATTTATAAAACTTTGGTCGTTTCACTGGGATTCTTACAAGGTGGTAGTTCAAAACTATAGCTGTATACTGAGTCAACTGGGGAGCTTTAAAAAATATACTGATGGCTGTGTGCCCCACATGCAAAATGTCTGATTAAATTGGCCTGGAATGTGGCCTGGACATTTGTACTTTTAAATTATCTCAGGTAATTCTGCTGTACAGCCAGCACAGGGAAACTCTATTTAAAGGAGGAGTTTGTCACCAGTGATCACATTTAAATTTTATCCAGATATTCTTATAACTTTCATTTCCCCACTGAAACTCAAAAATGTTAGGAAATAAAAAACTAAATGTATATAAAAAATAATAAGCTATTAAAAGTAAATAGAAAATACTAGCAAAGGAATATCATAAGATGACAAAAATTAAGTGTAATAGTTATTGGGAAGTGGGATTTTATGTTCAGACTTACAAAAAGCAGAAGGTAAAAGCAAAGAAAATTATTAAAAATGAATATCAACTAAGATAACTGAAGAAAACAGAATAGTGAAGCAGAATATTTACCATTCATGAATTTGTCTATCAGAGGATTAAATGAGATAAATCCCAGTTGCAATGGAGAGTCCAAGGGTTAACAGGCCCGCTCAGGAGCAAATGGGCCCCTTTGGGCCACAGGGTCTAGATTCTGTGCCCTCCCAAGGCCAAGGTTCAGAGCAAGGAGTTCTTTAAGGTTCATTCCCTCAGCCAGAGCCTCAGGGTAGAAAACCCTTCAGTTATCACTCCTGTGTATCTTTAGATTTGTTGAAAGGGCTCCAATTAACTCTGGGTAGCTTTTGCTGATTTTTCCTGCAGCCCTGTTAACATGCAAAGCTGCAGCCCAGAGAGACAGGACTGGCGTTTCCCCTCAAACTGAGGACTGCTCAGAAACTGACTTCATAATTTGATTTGAAATTATTTCAAGAATGAATGGATTCAAGACTTCGCACATATACGAATTATTTTTTCCGTAAGGTGTTTAAACATGTAAACTTAATTATCAGCATAATTACTACAGCACCTGGCATCAAGTGTTACAGATATAATTGGTGTATACAAAATATTTTCTCAATTTTATTGTTGCATTACATTGAGCTAAAGTCTAGGGGTTATATTGCTTCTTCAGGTAAAATGATAAATAATAGTAATATTTCTTACTATTTGCTATAGTTTGGCAAATGAATCAATAATGATAAGAATAATCTTCCAGATGACTCACATATATCTACATTTATGTAAAGAAAAAGACATTTTAATTTATAACACAAATAATAATATAGCTTTTGCCACTAAAATTGTTTCAGTCTTTACATACAATGGACTTAATTTTTTTACCTGAATGAAGTGGGTTTCATACTGAAAATCTGCCTCTAATTTTTGCCTCTTTTACATGGCTACTGTAATAATTAGTGACTCTCAATTCTACTGGTCATAAGGTGATTCTCAGATTACTTATAAAATGCAGATTTGGGGGTCACTCACACATGATTCTGTACATCTGGGCTAGTATTTAGCAATTTGCATTTTACCTAATGCTCCAATTGTATTTTTGGAAGGTTTATGAACCACATATTGAAAGACACTAGTGTAGAGGAGTGGTCAGCTTAGACTGGAATACTTTCACCTGCTAGGCTTGCAACTATCCCTGCTTTATTCCTGCTTCTGGTTCTGACTGTGTTAGCTTTGCTGCCAGAAAAATGCCAAGGCAAGTGAAGAAAGAGAGGCAGTGTCAGTAGGACCCCTGAACCCCAGTAGGACTCCTGAACTTCTGAAAATTCCCAGAAGAAAGAAAGTAAGAATTGGGGATCTTGATAACATGGATTCTGATTCACTAGGTCTGGGAATATGGTGTTAGATTCTGCATTTCCAACCAGCCCCCTCCCACTCTGTCATGCCCCATATAGAAAGGCAAGGAGCTCACTATTTATATGGGAAATGGAAAACAACAACAACAACAACAAAGAAAAAACAGTAAAATAAAACAAAACCCAATTCTCAATTACAAGATGCCCCTTAGGTTCATATAAAAGTGAGAGCAGTATAATTCAATGTAGGAATTATCATTGCAATGTCTTGGTAGAGCCTTGCCTGCATGCATTTAAGTTACAAACATTCAACTACATATTTTGGAAATGGGTAAGGGATGGAGGAAAAAGTAAAAAAGCAAAAATTAAACAAAACAAAAACCTATAAAAATAGTGTCATAGGCAAAGGATGCTATCCAGTATGGAAAATGTCAACATCTGTTAGCTGGAAAGAATGTTTGAATAATTTTAGGGTTTCCCAGTCATTGACAAAGAAGTGATACTCATTGTTTGGGTGTCTACAAAAAGAATGAAGACTTCAGAGCCCTGAAGAATCATTGATTTCTGAAGAGTTAGAGGCATACACAAAACCAAATGTACTATACTTTATGGGCCATATAAAGAGTTGTCAAGGGAACTTTAAATCACGTTATTTTTGCCTTATGCCTGATTTTGGAACTTAAACTCAGCTATGCAGAGTATCATCAGTAAGATTAAATTAAATTAAAATGCTACTCTATATATGTATGTATATGTGTATGTTATGTACGTTCATATATTATATAAATATGCTCTCTCTCTATATATGTATTCTCTCTATATATATGTAACCATACTTACCTGAGAAGTCTGCAGAGAAATGACTGTAATTCAACGCCGTGAAATTTTTTTTTCTATTCAACTGAAAGTTCTTACTCCATAGTTGCTAAAACTGCCTATGGTACTCTCTGTGCACCCATGCTATTTCTTCAATAGACAATAAGCTCCTGGAGGACAAGTTTCATGTTTCATATTTATTTTAAGCCTCGTTCACTACCTTGCTCAAGGTAAGTGATTAATATACTTATCTTAAAAGAATGAATGAAGGAATCTTTCAATTAGCAAATGTAGCTTTCTGCTACTAACCCCATAGTTAACCTAATGTTAATATTTTTTTGTGCTGAGTTGGACTGAGTATTGAACTACTAGTCCTTACTAAAGTCTCCTCAGTCTTTTATCAACAGTTCTTTAATTTTATAGAAGAATGCACAGAGCTATCACAACTTAAATGTATATTTGGAACTTAATACACATTTCCCAATAGAAAAAAAATATGTTGGTAGGGTAAGACTAATAAATAACTAATAAAGACTAATTCCAAAACTTAGACCTCAGAATAGAACCCAACCACTACATATTTGAAATGAAAAATAATGGAAGCCAATACTGCTGCAATGCTGATAATTATAAAGAACAGAAAATATTCATTTATTTAAAAAAGTGATCTACCACGTTCCATGCTAGTGCTAGGCCCTATCATTGTAACATGATTTTTATAACACTAAAATATAGCCCAAGCACTCTCTCTGAAGTATAAGATTATGTAGACAATGAAAGTTTTATAGGGAAAACCTAACAGAGATGGGTTTATCATTTTTAATTCATTATTTCACTTGAGATACTGAGAACCTAAAATAATAGCGATGAAGTTTTTCTCTCACTGGTAATAGGTGTCCACAGTAAGTCAATGCAGAGGCGGGATGTTCATAGGCGAGACCCACACACTTCATCTTTTTGCTGTGTCATCCTTATGGACAAGGCTTCTACCTCATAGTTCAAGATGACTGCTTGAGCTCCTGCCATCCAGTCTGATTTTCACCCAACAGGAAGAAATAATGGTTAAAGAATACTCACATTCACTTTAAAGACATATTTTAGAAGTTGTTCCTCCACCTCTGGTTATCTTGCGTGGCCAGAACTTAGTCACATGGCTGTACCTAGCTTCAGGGAATGTTGAAAAATGCTGTCTTTATTCCAAGTAGCCACTTGCCCAGGTAAAAAGTGTTTTTATTTTACTGAGGAAAAGGAGTATAATACATAATAAGGAGCAATTAGTAATCTTTGCCACAATAGGAAATCGTCAGAAGTAAATAAAAAGTAATTCTTTTTGTTGGTGTTATTAAAGATAAAAGCCAGTTTTTATAGTAGACCATAAATTAATATTCCAATATTTGTAGTTTATTACGAACTTTTTTTTTTAATTTGAGATGGAATCTTGCTCTGTTGCCGAGGCTGGAGTGCATTGGCACCATCTCAGCTCACTGCAACCTGCGCCGCCCGGGTTCAAGCAATTCTCCTGTCTCAGCTTCCCAAGTAGCTGGGACTACAGGTGCATGCCAACACATCTGTTTTTTGTTTTTTGTTTTTTTTGTTTTTGTTTTTGTTGTTGGTATTTTTAGTAGAGATGGGATTTCACTATATTGGTCAGGCTGATCTCAAACTCCTGACCTCAGGTGATCCACCTGCTTCAGCCTCCCAAAGTGCTGGCATTACAGGCTACAAAATATTTCTTTAAATGTAAATCTTGAAAGAAACTGGTCTGAAAAAATTCACAGGACGAAAATATGGCCTATGACATAAATAGTAAAAATAGAAATGATGTAATGTTCCTGCTTAGCTAATGTAGAAAGATTTCATTAGGTAATGCAGTGTTGATGAGTTAATAGCTTTGTCTAACTCTCCTGAATACATAATGTGCCTGAACTACTGGTACATTGTGAAATCTTCAGAGAGAGTTGTTTTTTAAAAAAAAAAGTTTTTCATTTTATTTTATGCAATAAGAATTGACACCAAAGGATTTGCATTTCTTTTTGGTAACATGTTGAGCCGTAGTTAAAAATGATGAAAATATATAACTTTTGTTCTACAGTGATAATCAACTAGGCATGTCCACAATGCTTATAAACATTCAATACAAATACTTCAAGGTTATCAATCATAGTTGATAAAGAAGAAGAATGCACAGCCAGACTTTTCTGTTTTCTACCTTTTATGATCATTTTATATTTGTGTTATATTTGGAACAAATTAAAAGGGTTATATGTATAATAAACAAAGGTCCAATATTGAACCCAATCTCTCTCTCTCACACACACACACACACACACAAATGCACACATAGAATTTCTTATAAATCAGTCATTTTTGTAAAGGAATATTACAGGCATACAAACTTGCTCATTTTGGAGGACAAGACTTCTAATTTCTGTTTGTAAGCAATAGGTGTCAGTAATAAATTTGAACCTCTTAACACATTTTAAGGTGCATTTTAAATAAGATATTTTATAGTAAAAAGTGTGCTATTATTGTTTTTAATTACCATTTTTCAACACTTTTTTCTTGTTTGTGGAACTGGAGCTTAGGTCAAATGGGAGGAGTAATGATCTTGGGGTCAGAATACAGGTTCTAATATTGGCTCTACTGCTTTTTAGCTGTCTGGACTTGAGCACCATACAGTACACTCACTCCAAAAGCAGCCTCCTCTGTACAATGGAATAACAATATCAGAGGCTTGTAGCAGGGGACCTTGGACACTGATCATAAGGGATGACTTTCATTTCTCTTTCTTTTCTTTTCCTCTTGTCTCCTTGCCTGTCTCTCTGCTTAGTCAGGTCCAGTGTTTTCTTGAAGAGTTTCAGTAATTTCAGTGTGAGACCTTTATGTAAGGTAAAGAGTTAACACAAGCACGTGGCTTCAAACTTATTGGCAAATTAGAATAAAAATGGCAAAGACTCTGTAGTTCTTACCACAAAGGCATTGATTAAAAATTTGAGGTTAGAGGTAAACCTGCTGAGAGAATCTTAACTGGATAATACTTTGAGGTCAATTAAAATCACTGTTTAAACCGTCCTCTAAGACTGGGATTAGACCACATATTTTATAAAGAAATAAAGAATAATGTTTTTCCTGTTTGTAAGAATCAACATCTGCATAGTCTTTGATAGGTATATGATATTCTATGCTCTCTACCAAAAGTTTTAAACAAGGTCAAAAAACCCATTTGAAGGAAATTAAATGTAAGAAAAATTAGTTTTGAAGTTTCCAAGGGATTACCTTAGGTTTGGGTTAAGTGTATTTATTGTTCCACCTTTTGGGTAAAATGCAAATTGACTTTCCCTTTGTAAATATTAGAAGTCCTTATTTTTATTGAAAATATTATCCAAAAACAACAATAACAAATCCCACCCTCCTGGGCTAAGAACCAGAGGAGAAGCATCCTGGATATGTTTCCAGATCTCTATTAGATAGTTAAGTTTTCATCCATATTTAACAAATGTCATTATTCAGTTTCATGGGATCACTGTGTCAAAATGTCTGTGTTAGAACTTTATTTTCAGAGGTTCCTTTAAGTGGTCAGGAAGCATGGCATATTGGATTGATTACTCTCTTTAATCCATCCACTGGGTTGGTTTGGGATGTATACTTAAAAATTAGATTTTATCAGCACTGCAGCGGGATCCTCAGCCAGAAGTCTCTTCTTCTGCCCTCCTTCCCCTAGCCAGTTTTCTTTTAAAAAGTGGGCTCTTCCATTATGTCTCCAGGTAGCAGTAGCAGCTCTGCCTGTGTGGCATCCCTTACCAGATGGCCCTCTTAATAAATGTCTTGCTCTTGCCCACCCTCACTTTCTTGATCCAAATGTGAAATGCCAGCAAATAAATAAGAGCATTGTACTCTGATGAGTTCTCTTGAGATGGGGGAAAACCCTGGGGAGAGGAAGCTAGAAACAGCTTTTCTGTTTGCTGTGACTGCTCCTAATTACTGGCCAGTAGTAGAAGATATCATTTAGATGCAGTAGAATATAAAGATAAAGAAAAAAAAATGAGAGATAAATTCTCCATGTTATCCCAAATGCCTTTGCTAACGTGGAAATACTCTTGGATTGTTGGAGTGCATTTGAAATATTGTGCATGATCCTTACAAGGGGACCCCTGACTTTGGACTCAGGGTAGACAGTTGCTGCATGCAGATTTCACCGCCAGACTAAAAGTGCAACGGAAATGAGTGGGTGATGAGAGCAGAGCAGCCAGTTCTTTAATTGAATTAAAAGCTGGGTGACATCAATGCAGACACCTGTCCAATTACAGACAGGCCAAGGTGTTTACCATTGCTGTACAAGCGATTCGAAGATGACAGAAATCTTTCCGCCCACAGATTAACATAATGAAGGAGAACAGATTACAGTGGATGCCGGCCAAACACCTTGGTTGGCAGCTGGGGGTGGGGTGGGGGAGGGAGGAGGAGTCTGCTGAAGTATGTAAGTAGAAACGGAGTCCTTTTTTCTTCTCTGAAATATGCTCGGCTTTAAAAAGGATCCATTTTGCTTTGTGTCTTAGGCTCGGTTTCCAGGCAGAGCATTTATACTTGTCTGCATTTAGTCAGAGGAGTTAATCATAAAATTTCAACGTGAAAGCAGACTCCTCTGTTGTTTTGCTGCTTCTCAGCATACGGTGTCCCATTAGAGGTGCAAAAGCTTGCAGAGCTGGTGTCAGCTCCACAATGATTTTGTCTTAGGTCGTCAGGCTGCCTCCAATTATTAATATTTTTCTTTGGCTCCTTTGAAACTTGAGGTTACAGCAAAGGAAAGAGAGTGTTGGAGATAATAATGTATCAGTCAAAAGAAACAATGTCTGTCACTTTGCTTGTTCCCTGGAAGGGGCGTGGTGGGAGTCAGGCTCTCCTATAGTGAGAGAAATAGCCGAGTGGAGCTAACAGTCTGCAAAATCTTAATTTTCAGTCACCCGTCAAGTGCTAACTTTTGGTAAACCATACTAATAGCTGCTGGGATAGAGGATAAGGAAAGCAGTAAAAGGCTATGCCCTCTGTGTTCAAGGAATTCCCAAATCACTGTGAAGGACTTCTAAGTTGCAAGTTCTCTAGGCCAATGCTCTTCCCCTCTGTTAAGTGGAAACCCTGAGTGCACAGAGTTTGGAGCCATATGCAGTAGGCCTCTTAACCTATCTACGGTGATGAGTTTCCTTCCCTTAAATCAAGTCCCTGCCCCCTGATCTTTCAGCTTGGGCTTTCTGCACCCACTGTGGCCCACAGGACTTCAATTCAAAGGGAATCTACTTACTTGACTTCAAACTCCCTTGGTGTGGCATGTCAGGATTTCTCAATGTTAGGCATTAATGCAAAATGCATTATCGCTTAGCAGTGAGAGTTATGGTCCTGCTGGTGCCAATGATTTTAATCCGGATACCCACGCTCCTGTGTTTCATGGGATACTAACACTTTTAAGACATCAATAATGCTTACTTTATGCTTATTGAATGTTTCTTCAGCTTGCCCTCTTCCATTACCTAGAGGGACTAGCAGGTTTCCTGACATGATTGGGACCATTTTCTGATTTCACAGAGTTTGTGGCTGAAAGGCAGTTTGCGAGGTCATCTGGCCTGCCTTGTAATAGGGACACTCTCAAAAAAAAAAAAAAAAAAAAGACTTCTCTGGGATGTGTCCCAAACAAAGAGATTCACAACCAAACCAATTTTAAAGTTCTCCCTTTCAGGATATACTTCTTCAGTATAAAAACCCCAAGTGTCACAAGTATCATAAAAGGCAACTACCGCATTTTCTATTTTTGGGCTTTCTGTCTAGGATTCCTTTAGATATGTCAATTCTCTATTTCCCAGTATTCTTTTTAATATAATACCAAAATATATATTTAAATTAAATTTAGGCTTCCTATTATCTTGAACTGGTAAGTCTGAATCTTATAAATGTCATTGTCTACTTGGCCCGTATGCAAACATTCTTCTTTATGTATCAATCTGTTACTGTAAGAATTCTTCTAGTTCCAATATTTTCTTATGTTAGAAACCTTGTAAAAATCAGTTGTATTCTATAGCACCTTTTCCAGACGCATATAGCGGAAACATTGATAAATGCTTTTTGATGATGATATATCTTCAGAGTAACACTGTATTTTCCAGAGAGTACCTAATCTAAGTAGAACCCTG
This sequence comes from Homo sapiens, assembly GCF_000001405.40. Lineage (NCBI taxonomy): Eukaryota > Metazoa > Chordata > Mammalia > Primates > Hominidae > Homo > Homo sapiens. The sequence goes on along the minus strand of NC_000001.11, from coordinate 216,052,934 downwards.
ACACTTAAAGCAAAGCCATTAGGATAACCACTCAATGATCTCAAAGGATATATCCACAATCTACATAGTCTTGGAGAGAATGTGTTACTCTCTTTCTTTGGCCATGGCACAACTTTTCAACTTGAATCCATCCTGGTGAACACTACTTACTGAGAATCAAAGGAGATAAACCACGTGTCTCCAACAATAAAATGACCTTGTCTTGATTCCAAGTGAATGAAGACCACATATTTGACCAGCCCCTTGCCCTTGCATAACCCTTAATTTTTAACCTGACAGGAGGAGAAAGCACAGTGAACCATTATAGTGTTCTTCTTCCTGAAGTAGGTAATTCTAACTGCCTTTAAGGAAAATTATCAGTTGGTTTGACAAACTTTGTCTCTGACACACAGCATGATGAACAAGATTCCCTACTGGAAATAGAAAAGAAATGGCACTCCAGCCTTAGAAAATGCAGCACATTTTTTGAAAGTGTGATTTACAAGCCATCTAAAACCTTCCATCTTTGATCCAAAGTTGGCAAGAACCAAAACATCAGCTTTCTTCTTTTTCTTTCTTTTTTTTTTTTTTTCCTTTGTTTTCTATTTTTCAGCTCTCATTTCTCAGGGCTTATTATTGTTTCACCGGGCTTGAAATGGGAAATGTGAGCACTTTGATAAATGGCTTGAAAGATGATCTAGTTTCTCTCCAGCATCTTTCTTTAAGAGTCTCAGGGTTTTTCTATGAAATACAATACAATTTGGTAAAGATCTCTACCAAATCAAAGCTGAAGAAGCAAGTTTGCTGAGATGAGCAGTGCTTGCTTTTAAGGTCCTTAAAATAAGGAGTGGCTAAAATTAATAAAAGACTCTCACTATACACATGTTATACACAACGTAACTCCTTTAGTGAAGACAAGAAACATTAAATAAAACACTAAAGATCACTTAGTGAGTTGTGAACTCAGGATCTGGTTTGATACAATCCCTCTGAAAGTCTATAGAATACCCTTCCTTATAACTTGATGTAACAATTAAAATTTCAACATTTCACTCTAGTTATGATTTGGAAAGAAATGTCTTAGTATAAGGAATTTTATAAAGCCAGGCTGTAAAATTGTACAATCATAGAGCTGCTTTTATATTTCTCAATGATAATACTTCCTGAATGTACAACACATCTTCATGCTAATGATTGCAGATAACCAACCTGTATATCAGCATTGTTTCTTTTTGGGCATGGTGTTCCTATGCCTCAGCTGAAGCATGCTCATCTATGAAGGGTGCTGCTTTTCACATATGCCCCATAGGTTAAGTGATGATAAAGGGAAACTAGCCTCATATTCCAACATGCTTTTCCTTATTGACATTAGGATTAAAAGTCTTATTCTCTGGGGGCTGATTCATTTCTTGTTAGCATGGCGTTATACTAATTCAGCCATGCAAGTCATCTTATTTAGAATCTTACGGTAGTTTCCAACTTGGCAATAGGAAAGACATGGCAAATGCCAAAGATTTGCTAAAGATAGAATGGCTAAAACACATTTTATGATGATAACTTTAGTTTTGAGCCTGGAATTTGGGTATCGTGGTGGAGGCATTACAAAATGGAAAAATGAAGCTTACATAATTATTTAGAATGTTGATTCTTGGTTGGGGCACGTTGAGTATGAAATACCAGTGGGACATCCAGGTGTGGTTACATGGCCTGCAGATAGAAACCCAGAACCAGGGCTTGGGAGAGATGTGAAGTCTGTAGATACAAATGTGATCACTGAAAGATAAGGCTTAATAAGCTAGCAAAGGCGAGTGTTTAGAAAAAGAAAGAAGCTTGACAACAACCCAATCTTGAGAAACAAAAGCTATTTAAGAGACTGTGAGAGGAACATGAGTCAGTAAAGGAAACAAAGGAGTTCTCGGTAGTTTAGGAGAACAACTAAAAAGTTCAATGTCACAGAAGGAAGTTGAGGGAGGATAAGGACTGAGGAAGGGCTATTTGATTTGGTATTTAAGGGATCACTGCTGATCTTTAAAAGATACAAAGCGTCGGCCGGCCGGGCACAGTGGCTCACGCCTGTAATCCCAGCACTTTGGGAGGCCGAGGCGGGTGGATCACGAGGTCAGGAGATCGAGACCATCCTGGCTAACACGGTGAAACCCCATCTCTACTAAAAATACAAAAAAATTAGCCGGGCGTGGTGGCGGGCGCCTGTAGTCCCAGCTACTGTGGAGGCTGAGGCAGGAGAATGGCTCCAACCCGGGAGGCAGAGCTTGCAGTGAGCCGAGATCGCACCACAGCACTCCAGCCTGGGCAACTGAGCGAGACTCTGTCTCAAAAAAAAAAAAAAAAAAGAAAGAAAGAAAGAAAGAAAGAAAGAAAGAAAGAAAGAAAGAAAAAGATACAAATTGTCTAGTAGCATGTAGAGGCAGAAACTGAGTTGCAATGGTAGCCTAAATTGGAATGGCATAGCTCTGCACTAGAGCTCTTGACTGGCAATACTCCATGTAAGTATTCTAAAGTCCTGAACTTGTTCAGTCTTAATACTAACCCTTTGAGGTAAGTACTATATTATCCCCATCTCACATGTGAGGCCTGCAAGGCCTTTCCTTCAAGACCGAGATTATTATTATCTGTTTACAGACTAGGAAACTAAGGCACAGAAGTCTGAACAACTTGCCCATGTACATATGGCCAATCGGCAGCAGATTTGGCATTTGGAGCCAGCAATCTGGCTTGAGCATGGGTGCCCATTTCCCCACTACTCCATTATGAAGATGTGCATGTGATAATGTTAGCTTGCTTTTAAGCCATTTGGTGGAAGGAGAAATAACTTCTTAAAAGAAAGTAAACTCAGAACGTAGGTCATGATCTGGGAGATTTAACAGGAAATGACAATCGCAGGGGCAGGAATGAGAGAAAGCAGGAGGTTCTGACACGAGAGGGTTTTGAAATTAGAGAGAGCTGAATTTGGCATGAGATGGTCACACATGTGTGTATATTAGTTCGTTGGCTTGCTGTCTTCTTTGGCCATGAGCTAAGATGACGGTGCCAAGTGGATGAATATTTTCATGTAGAAGCATGGCAGACAGGATTCAGTAGCCCACGGAGATGCCTGGGTCGTTGCTGGAATGAAGACTTAGAGACAGCCCTAGGAACTAAGGGCAAGTGGGAGGTGTCAAAGCAAAGAACTGGTCTTTGCTCCATCCTGGCTTGTTGATCTTTTAATTCTTTAAATTTTCTACTGGGGAGGGAAATTATGGAAACATGTATATTAAAATTTGTGTTTGAATGATGAAAGCTGTCATCAAAATTGGCACCTTAAAGCAATAATGTATTCTCTGAGCGATTGAAGGTTTCATCAATAAAGAGACACCACGAGTGGGGCCATCTTTTTATAAAAATAGTCATAATCTATGTGGTTAGGATTAAAGATTGCTCTGAAAAACGTCTTTGCGGAAAAACAGTGGTGAGCAAAAGCACAAGTTATATTTTGGATTTTTTTTAATTCACAGGATTAACTAAATAAGGAGTCTCTGCCTTGCTTATGAACACTAGTAAACAAAATGTGTTTTCATTTCTACACATACTTTTAATTGCTGAACAAATCTCATATATCTACCAGCAAGCCATGTTAATTCAATACTTCCACGTGTAACACTTCCGTTTAAGACAGGTGTCTTAATTAAATAAACTAATAATTTTGCAAGTAGAAGTACAAAAGCATAATTATCTAATTTGCTAATTGTTCAACTATGTTAATTTGCATACTTGTTAGCTACAACATAAACAAATGGTTTGTATATGTATCGCCTACTGTTAAAATAATGAAGCCACTCTTGGGAGTAGCATTTTTAAAGTGTGTTAATAGGTGCCCTATAAAAAGGACTCCTTAGTTAAATACGGTTGAAAAATGCTAGGTTAAAGAAAATTAAATAGTTTTGTTTCTGCAGGAGGTCTAGGATCCTGGAATGAGATAATATATATCTTAGCTATTGGAAACATTGTGCTCTGCCTCACGAACTATATGTGGAACCCCCTCCCCATTTTAATGGGAGAAACATCAGATGCTGTTTGAGAGCTGTTTTAACAATAAGTTGGTCTCACAATTTTTTCTCATGAGTCCTTCCATTCAACAATCAGCAGAAAGGGAGGAAAATGACTGAAAGAGGAATATGTTTTTGATTTCTGTCTCTGGTCTCTTTGTTTTTGTCTCTCTCTCTTATAGACACACACACAGATATACACACAATGCTCTTTATTGATGCTTATGGTAAACACGCAACCCTCTTTTGTCCCTTTTTATTATAGGCATATTGACAGGCTTGCTACCCTTCAAAAACTATGCAGTAACCCTAACTGCTTGCACTTTGGCTGGCTGTACTGAGAGCTCACATGCATTGAACATCTCTACTCCACAAGAAGGTAAAGTAATTTCAAAGGTCTTGACTTCCACATTTCAGTCATGAATAATAAAATAGGAGAAGAGCTAAATGCTACAAGGCCATTTGCTGGCAAACCCCAACCTAATTTGATGACAAAGTGCATTGCCAGGCCATAATTGCTCCATTTTTTGGGGGGGTGCGAAAATGAATCAAACTCCATACCCTTTAATGACATGCATCTTTAATAGCTGTAATGCAGATTAATGGGCTTTTTAATTGCTGTTACATTGTTCATGCAAGAGCCTTGTCATTAATATGAAGCATCTGAAAGATTAATGAAAGCTTCCTCATTTTACTATGGCTCAGAAGTAAATCTAGAGACAGTCTGACTAAAAAGAATTGATTGTATGGCACAGTATGAAATTGAGAATCAAACGGTTGATTTCCATGGTCTTTTTTAACTGCTAAACAGCAGCACAGGCAACAATTATTTCAGTATGATGAAACCTCCAAATGCCAATTGAGGCATTATTAATCACTGCTTAGTTCCTTCCAACTTAAGTCTCACTTCTGTTGTACTTGGAACTTACAAACTGTTGGCATAAATTAAGGTTTCAGAAAGCATATGTTAAGAAGGCAGTGAGAAAGAGAAAATATTTTAGCACGCCAAAGTGAAAGCTTTGCTCAAGCATCAGAATGCATCACTTCAAGAAATAACAGCTCTCAAAACATTTGAAGCATTGTTACTTCATATTTCTCTATTCTGGATAAGAGGAATTGTACATATCTTATACTGTCTAGTTGAAAAGTTCTTTAGGAGATTTAAACGCTTGATCTTTAGGGAAAAAGAGTCAGCCAGTCTTTCTCTCTCTCTCTTTCCCAGTATCTATATATTCCCCCCTTCCTCTTTTAAACCCTTTACCAAGCACCACTTGCACTGAAGATATGTAACAGAAAGGAAGACATGGACCCATAGGATGAAACCAGGACAGGATAAATGACTTTGTAAAATCCTTCTTGTGACCCTTAATATGCTGTATTTTTTACCTAAACCAATCAGACTCCCCTCACCTGAACTATGCTGTCAGTGACCCAGCCTCAGCATTTTCTCCATCTGGTCTACTGGTAATAGCACTGTTTTTGTTGTATCATTGCATCTGCTGAGGACATGATTATCATCCCCTCTTACAAGGACTTTGACCAGCCTCAATATGGGACAAATGGCCCTATGTTGCATTATTTTCTCCGTATCCACTAAATCCTTTGTCCAGGGTTTACCTGGTACCCTTCATACCAATTTCAAGCTAAGCCCCAGAGAGATCCCTGCTCTTGTTTATATTTCCTTTTTTATTTTTAAAGACATTCCCAAACTTCTAAATATCCACGAAGTAATTCTGAATTTACTAAATGATAGAGGAGTTTAGGAAAATTTAAAAAAAATGTTTAGTTCTTAGGACCCCCCAATTCATTGACAACTATATAAAATACACAGCTCTTTTTAAAAAAATATGCACTAAAGTTTTCATATGTAATTGACTAATTTGGTTATGCGAGCTCTGGCAATTCTTATCATTACATATAGGTTTTTAAAAATTTATATTATGAACCACATTCACCAGCATTACTCATCTCAGATCACAAGCTCCTTGAGGCTAGGGGACTCTATCTGCTTAATTTGCTTTAATAGGTACAGTCCCACATAGAGATTATGGGTTAATAGTACTTTTGGTGGAGTAACACAAGCATCAGTCAAGTGAACTAGTGTAAGTACTCCTCATCCATCATTGACACAAATTCTCATAAATGTGGGACAGTTATTTAACACTGTTCCTAAAGCAATTACTGACAAGCTGCCCACGAATCGGGAATATTTCCATGCATGGGATTTCAGGTTTATTCCATGATTTATTGGTTTGGGTCTGAAAAGTTTGAATTAGAAAAGTAAACTAAAATTAGACTCTATAAATCTTTTCTTCCACAGCCCCACAAGAGGTTCAGCCACCAGTAGCCAAATCCCTTCCCAGTTCTTTGCTGCTCTCCTGGAACCCACCCAAAAAGGCAAATGGTATTATAACTCAGTACTGTTTATACATGGATGGGAGGCTGATCTATTCAGGCAGTGAGGAGAACTACATAGTCACAGGTAAGACCTCTAGAGTTATCAGCGAATTGTTATAGTCTATATTCAAATATAAACATACATATAGTTGGCTCTCGATATCCAGGGGTTCCATATCTGCAAATTTAATCAAGAATGCTTAGGAAATATGTGAAAAAAATAACAACAGAACAATTAAAAATAATATAAATTCTAAAAACATAGTATAACAACTATTTACATAGCATTTACATTGTATTAGGTATTCTAAGGAATCTAGAGATGATTTAAAGCATACAGGAGGATGTGGATAGCCTATATGCAAATAATACACCACATTGTAACAGGGACTTGAGCATCCATGAATTTTGGTATCAGTAGAGGGTCCTGGAACCAATCTCTCACTGATATTGAGGAGTGACTGCACACACACACACACACACACACACACACACACACACACACACACCAGATAAATAGAGTCTATAGTTATCTGAAAATGTGTTTTTGAAATTGGGTTGCTTATTTTTATCTCCTGTTAATCACTCCAATTGTATGATCTTGAAGGTCATATTAGATTCATGGTGAAACTGAAGCTAAAAAAATATGGAAAAGTGCTCATGTTACCTCCCTCCACCCAGGGCTGTCCTACTGTGTGTTCTCTTCTATAGAGCCCACCACCCCTTACCTAAATCCTTCTAGCAATTACCTTTGCTCAGATGCAGAGGAGGCCTGGAAATGCACAAATGTGCTAAGCACAAAGAGCTCAGCACATGACTTCTCTGACTTCAGCAGACCACAAGGATTGAAATTGGGAGCCAGTGTTTTCCCAGTCAGGCTCACAGTGTCCAGTTGGATCAATGACATCATCAAATAAATGCCTCTCTCACATGAGCTATTAGAGTGGTGCAAAAGTAGTTGTGGTTTTTGCCATTGACAGTAATTACTTCTGTACCACACGAATACTTTAAAATCCTCACTAATGTGTAATAGTCTTAAGACTCAGAAGTGTGACTCAGTGTGGTTTGAATTTTAGATCTTAGAGGAAACATAGTATATCTGCCCATATCATATTATAAAGTGTGATGATACTGAAATTAAATGAAGTAAATTCTTGAAAAACTTTCTAAATACAGAAGACTTGCATTATGTATGCTGCCTGTACTGTGTTTATATTTGTATTATACTTATAGTGGTTTTGTATTTCATATTATTTTATATACTGTATGTGACTCTCATGTGAGACATTATTAATCAAATGTTGACTGATGAAAAAACCAAGGCCTAGAGATATTAACTTCTTCATAAAGGTCATAACAAGTTAGAGTCAGAGGTAGGATGAATTATTTATGTATTCACTCACTCACATTAATGCCAGGTACTAAGGTTGTAATAGGGAACTGGCCAGATACTGTCCCTCTTCTCTTGGTGCTCACAGCTTCATGGGGGCACATGTAGATGCTGGAGCAAGTCGTGTGGACAGGGCTGTGTATTCATCCAGTTGCATTCTCAGGTTTACATTTTTTTGGCCCCCCTCTAGTCTGAGAACCTTAAAAGGACAAGAACAATTACTTTTATATTTTATTATTCATAATTGGATAGAATTCCATAATATTTATTCTACAACATAGGTATTATTTTACACCCCAATTTTACAAGTGAAGAAACTGAGGGAAAGAAGGATTAAGTAACCCAAGGTCACACAGCTTGAGTCGGAGGCTTTGGTACTAACCCAAGCATTCCGGCTGTGTTGAAGAATGTGGTCTTAAAAACAAGTGTTTTAACTTGTCTTAGTTTCTGAATTTGTAAAATGGTGTTAATTACATTTTCCAGTATTTTAAAGAGAATTAGAACTATATATAAAATATAACATGTCATTAGCAATTGGTAAAGAGAAGTTATAATTGTTATCTCCTGTACAACACAGAGTTCATTGTAAAAACTGAATAGGTTAATCTTACTCCAACAGTATCTTATGGCATGATTTTAACTAAAAATTATAAACCACAGAAGTTATTTCAGAAAAAATTAAATCACACCATGGAAGGAACTTTACATATATTACATCTTTGAACCTTTACATATATTACATTTTTACATATATTACATCTTTGATGTAACATATTAATAATTAACATACAAAGCACTTCTGTGACCAAGAGGTAACATTGCATGTAATGGGATATCATAACTTTTAGAACCAGAATAGACATGTCCTCTGAGAATCCTTTTGCTCCCCACGTGTGACACAGGTATGCCCCGTATGCTTACTGATTACCTTTATATTACATCGCTGCTTTTTGTTTGTGTCATCTTGAATAGGACTGTTTGTTTGTTCATCGGTTTGCCCTGCTGAACCATAATGATCATTAAGGACACAACTATATTTGTTTTTTTCATTACTGCATCTCTTGGACCTATCACAGAGTGGGAATGGAATAAAAAGTGTTAGAGTGAAAGAATGAAGTCAGATGATTCCTGGGAATAAAAACAAGAAGATAGCAAAGGGGAACTGATGGAGGATAGGATTAGGGTAGGAATAAGGCAATAGAGAAGAGAGAAAAATGGAAAAGATACAGCCAGGGGAAGAGAAACTAAGACCCCTTCCATGCGCCTAAACGAAAGCTGCATCAGTCCACAGGGAAGTGGTGCAGCTAATGGCAGGTCTCAAACTGTGGGCCTTGACTCTTTCCAAAATGTACAGAACTCCATATGAGGTTACACTGGACAAAACCGGAAAAAGGGCAGTGTAGGGAGAGGAGGAAGAATTCACATCAATTTCTAATACCACCTGCAAAATGACACTGAATTCTGTATTTTGTTTGTTTGAATTATCAAGAACGCCATGTGACTATAGGCCCTGAAGAAAGATTGTGGTAAATGGCACCATAGTGTATTATTACAATAGAAGCCCCAAATATAAAGAAAGTGAAATATTTTTAAAGTGCCTACATCCATGGTAATAGATTGATTCTTCAATGGTTTTCTATCTTTATGTAATATTTTAAAGAATATATCTCCAATACTACCCATAGCATTTTTTTTTCTGCTGTAGCTTTCTTGGCATTTCATAAGCAACTATGTTCCTTGTTGCTTTCATCTCCAAATAGTTTAAGATATGAAGCATATTGGGACTGCAATGCTGGTCAAGGAGGGGAAATAAACTGAGAAAGTTAATATGGGGTTCAAAGATGCACATGATTATTCTAACTTTATAGCTAGAAAAACTGAGACCTAGATGGGTTAAGAAACTCTAGTCAGTAATCAGAGGAACTAATTCAAATGTAGATCTGTCTGGCCCCAAATCCTCTGCTTTTAATTTCTATACATTCTGCTTGTTGCTCATATTTTATTTTCCCTTGCCAGAACTCTAAAAGAAAGACCCCAGAACACCTGTATTAGTCTGCTAGGGCTGCCATGTCAAAATAACAAAACTGGGTGACTTTAATAGAAAAGTATTTCTCACAGTCTGGAGGCTGAAAGTCCGAGACCAAGATGTTGGCAAGCTTGATTTGTCCTGAGTCTCTTTCCGTGGCTTGCAGATAGTGGCCTCCTCACTGTAGGTGCACATGGACTTTCTTTCAGGTGACTTCATCCTTGGTATTTTTTCCTCTTCCTCTGAGGATGCCAGTCCTATTGGATGAGGTTCCCACTCTTACGACCACAGATTTTATATCAGTGATATGGACTAAGTTCAGGTCATTTATATTTTTAAAGTTTAGCTATCTACAGAGACTCTCAGAGAAGACTAAATAGGAAAGGGACTCTGTCTGTCTGAAGTCAGCAAGGGAGAAGGCTGTGGAGAAACTGATCTAGCCATTGGGATGGGCTTTAGCTTCTATGGGCAGTTTAAGTCTACACCATAACATGTATCTATCTACAATGCTATTGGTACTTACTGCTTGTCTTTGTGTCAGGGTATTTGTGACATAGTATCTTTTCCACACTGAGTGGCTTGTGGGTAGAACTTCTATTCATGATGTCTGGTGATTTCAATAATAGTGTCAGTTTAGGTCTACTAAAGTGGATCTGTATAGAGCTGAAATATCTCTTCATAGAGAAACCGAGAAGTGGAATACAGAGTTTACTAGATAGGGAAAATAATTGATAATATCTTTAATTATAAAAGTGATAAATTCTTACAGAAGATAATTTAAAACATGCAGACAAGTAATACCTGAGAATCCTGTCATATTGAAACTCATAATATTTGATGGAATTCCTTCTACTACTTTATTCATGTTAACAAAATTGAGCTATAACCTATGTATGATATTGAATACATATTCCCTTATTATATTATGACTATATCCTATCATTAAACATTTTTGTAAAAATATTTTGAAATGTTTTGAATAACATTATATTCCATCTCATATAGCATATAATGGATATTTATTAATGCATTTAACCATTTGAGCAATAGTATCTAATCTATCTCTATTTTAAATATCTTGACATAGATATTCTTATACATAAATCTTTATTTGCTAGGTTCCTAGAAGAATAGCTAAATCAAAGGTAATGAACATTTGCAGAATGTTTGGTATAGTTTGTCACATTATTCCAGGAAAGTTGTCAGCAGTGAATTTTATATTCTTAAATATTTGATTATTTTACAAAAAAAAAAGTTATTTTATTTTAATTTGCATTTTAAAGTACTAGTTATAGTGAATACTTTTCTGAATAATTATTAACCTTTTATATTTTCCTTTCATTCATCTAATCACATTCTTGATGAGCAAAAATTTAATTGGGGTAAGGAATAATTTTGAGACTTCTCCACGAGCTATCCTGTTTTTTCTGGTTACAATCACCCACACTGTTTAAAATGTTTTACCCTCTACAATATCAGAAACTTCCCTACTAACTTGGTTTAATGTCCCCTCCTAAATATTCAAAGTGTCAACAATTTTTTTCTCACTCCTACTTCATTTACTTGTAGTTTCCCTTTAGGTTTCCATATAGAATCGACATTCTTCCCGTAGGGTTTGCCAGTGGATCTTGCTGCCATGGGGGGCACAAGCAAAGTAAATGCATTTCAATTCAGAAGCCACTTAGCATCCAGGTGGCTTGGATTTTTTTTTCTTCTTTTTCTTAAATATGAAGCATTAAAAGTCAAAGGCATTGCTGCACCTTGAGTTAGTACAAAATTTATTTTAAAATGCATACAGTTCAAATTTTTTACCTTGCATAGGCCATAAGCTAGTAGTATGGTGGGTCAGTTCTGACACTGAAAAATGAATCCAGTTAGAGAACCTCCCGAAGGCTGTTGATGTTTGCTATAATAAATAGCACACACTTTAAGTCAAACTTTTTCATTCTGTATTCAAAGGTAATGGATTTTTCGTAACCATAGTAACCTTGGTGTATTCTGGATAAATACGTGAGGTATATACATTCTAGTTTTATTTTTGAATATAAACTACCACATTATGTATTACTAATAATATGAAAAATAGGATGTAGGTTAGTATAATGACAGCTTAAACTAGTATGCATTTTCCTTCTGCAAAAAATAAATATTTATCAAAAGTATAGGTTCAATTAATTTTTCTCCCAGTTTTGTGGTATTCTGGTGGTGCCATTTATCTTTTTTTCCAAGATCTCCATTAATCTCTTATTTCTGTCCCATAACAGATTTTTAAGAATTTTGAGGTAAAAACAATTGTACTTTAAAGCTTATGATTAAAAACATAATCGAAAGATTGAAGGACCTATATTGATATCACTAGCAGAGCTATTGTGGGCCACTTAAGATGTGTGTATACAGTACATTCCCAAACAAGTAGACAAAAGAAATCCTTCATGAGACTGTTCAACATACCAGGATTGTTTCAAAGTTCAGGCTGGACAGCACCTGATCGATGATGACTATCCAGACTGTAGCCACAGATTATTCTTATTTTAAACGAGCACCCTACCAGAAACTGGCCGTTTTTAAGAAGTTTATAAGATGTTTCCAAAAAGCCTACAAACTTTTTAGAAACAAAAATAGCAAGATGGTGCTAATCAGGACAAGTCTCCACCAAACCCGGCAAGGAGGTTTATGCGAGTTGTGCTTCCTAGTTAGAAAATACTACCTGAATTGCTTTTGGTTAAGCCAACCTAAGCCATTGCTGTGGATAATGACTAGAACTCCAAAAGAGGAAAGGTTAATAGGGACATTATAGAAAAATAACAACTATCTCACACCAAGCCATAACACGTGTGTTTTCAAATGTATCATCTGATAAATCTACATAGTCATCTTATAGTTAAATAAGAGTGACTGATATCTAGAACCATAGATAGTGTCTTCCCACTGCTGTTCCATCAGGACCTGGATTTCTATCACTAAGACTGAGGCAGTAAGATATAGATAATAGCAATGTAATGAGTGTGTGCATGCGTGTGTGTGTGTGTGTGTGTGTGTGTGTGTGTGTGTAATTGAGAGACAGAAAAATAAAGAGAGGGTAGAAAGGCAGATGTGGGCAGGGGGAAAGAGGGAGGAAAAGTGGATGAATTCTGGTAAAATCATATAGGCAATAATTATTTATGTCTAACCAACTAAAAGTGCTAAAACTTTTTTTTTGGTCTTATTTGCCAAGGTCAAAGAGAACTATGTGTAAATAGCAAAATAGAAATGCTCATCTTAAACTTTCCAAACACTTAAGTCTTACGATGGGAAATTTATTGACGAAGAAGCTGTATTGCTTATGGCACAATAAAAACACATTTAAAGGTTAGGCACTTCTATCCGAGCGTTATAAGGAACCTTATCAGCACTCTACAAATTTGAGCTAAATTATACTCATTCACACCAATGGCTTACAGAAGCTCTTTTCTTAGCAAAATAGAATTTTACTTTAACCTAGATATTTTCTTTATTTTGCATATTTAAATATCACATTGCAGTACATTGAAATAACTCCTCTTACATAAAAATACTATTACCTAAAGGAATGCTGTTAACACGCCTGTGTTCTGTTACAAGCTCTAATATTAATAAAGCAGAGCATGTGAGGATTTCCAGGTAAGATGACGGTCTCATCCATGAGTCACCATGCCACTCTATTACAAACGAGGTCATACCATGTTTCCCTTTGATGTCTCAGTCATATAGTATTAAATTGTACAAAGTCTGAGAAACTTTAAGGACACGAAGGAACAAAAGTCAAGCTATGCAATAAGTAGAGCCTTCAAAGCCAAATTACTAAGCTACTAACTCTGTGACCAGAGACTCCAGAATAGTTGTTCAAGGTTGTTCTATATACCAGATCTTTGGGTTAATGAACAGTGGATGCTATACTCTCAAGAGTCTTATTCATCGAGCAACAAAGGGTCAAATGAAATGAAATAACTTGTACAGAATGTTTGAATATCAGTTGTGGTTAGCTGTAAACAATACAACCTAAGTGTCGTTCTTCCATTAAGGTGCTTCTATAATGCACCCGTATGTGAAGAAATAAAATATGTTTAAATTTACATTTTAAGACCCGTACCCAAATATTATATGATCTGTTAACCTAATTAAGGAATATTATGTTCGTAAATGATAGGGAAAGATTCTATGCTTAAAGGGATTTTAGAAGAATCATGGGAATAATATTCAGTTAGAAAAGCAATGGAGTTAAATGCTGGAAAGATAACGGAATATGTCCTTCAGTTGAAAGTGTTACAAATAGAGGTGTCCTGTTATTTTCAGCATTTTGAGAGTTGCTATGATTTTTTATGTACGTTTTAAAGTGCTTAAATTGAGTTATAAATTAATACAGAAAAGTGGACACATCTTAAGGGTACAGCTTGATGGATATTTACAAAGGAAACACATCTATGGAATCTGTACCCAAAACAAGAAACAGAACATTGTCAGCACCCTGTAAAGCTCCTCATTTTGTGGCCTCAAATCTTGACTCAGGTGATTGCTTTCCTGAGTGTTGACACCATAAACTGATTTTGCTAATTTTGTACTCAATATAAATAGAATAAGAAAGTGGAGGGGGGGTCTTCAAAAAGCTTATGGAAAATGCATATTATGAAAAATGTGAGGATTTCAATTTTTTCCACCAAAATAAACTCATACTAACTTGTTATAACATTCCTGAACCAGATCTAGTTTGAGGTGGTAAGAAAGTTAAGACATCAGTCTGAAACAAGCCCCTACCAGGGCAACATGAATTCAGTAAAATTGAAGCAAGGACAAATATCAAATTTCTGGTGAAGCTTGCATAGAAGAATAGTGAAATCATTGATGTTTTACAAAAAGTTTTTGAGGACAATGCCCCAAAGAGATCGGCAGTTTACAAGTGGATAACTCATTTTCCTTAAAGGACAAGGAACAAGACAGTATTAAAGATGAAGCCTGCAGTGGCAGACCATCCACATCAATTTAGAAGGGAAAATATTCATTTTGTCTGTTTCCTAATTGAGGAAGACAAACAATTAACAACCAACATCATACACATCTCAATTGGTTCACTTTGTACAATTCTGACTGAAAAATTAAAGTTGAGGACATTAAACTTAGCAAGCTAACATAGGAACGGAAAACCAAATACCACATGTTCTCACTTATAAGTGAGAGCTAAATGATGAGACTCATGGACACATAGAGGGGAACTACACATACTGGGGCTTTTCAGAGGTGGAGGGTAGCAGGAGGGAGAGGATTAGGAAAAAAAAAAAACTAATGGGTACTAGACTTAATACCTGGGTGATGAAATAATCTGTACACCAAACCCCCATGACACAAGGTTACCTATGTAACAAGCCTGCCCTTGTACCCCTAAACTTAAAATAAAAGTTAAAAAAAAGTTGAGTGAACTTTCTACTTAGTGGGTGCCAAAACTGTTGCACCCAGATCAGCTACAGACAAGAGCAGAGCTTTCAATGGAAATTTTAAACAGGTGGAATCAATATCCTGAAACATTTTATCAAATAATTGTAATAGGAGTTGAAATATGGCTTTACCAGTACAATCCTGAAAACAAAGAACAATCAAAGCAATGGCTACTAAGAGGTGGAAGTGGTTCACTCAAAGCAAAAGTGGACCAGTCAAGAGCAAAGGTCATGGCAAAAGTTTTTTGGGGATGCTTGAGGCATTTTGCTTGTTGGTTTTCTGGAGGACCAAAAAACAATAACATCTGCTAATGATGACAGTGTTTTGAGAATGTTAGCCAAAGCTTTAGCATTAAAATGCCCAGGACAGCTTCACTAGAGTCCTTCTTCACCATGATGATGCCCCTGCTCATTCCTCTCATTGAACATGAGAAATTGTATGACAGTTTTCACGGAAAATCATTAGGATCTTACAGTTCTGATTTGGTTCCTTCTGACTTCTTTTCGTTTCCTAATCTTAAAAAAATCTTTAAGGAGCACCCATTTTTCTTCAGTTAATAATGTAAAAAAGACTGCATTGACATGGTTAAATTCCCAGAACAGTCAGTTATTCAGAGATGGACTAAGTGGCTGGTATCATCACTTACAAAAATGTCTTGACCTTGATTGAGCTTATGTTGAGAAACAAAGGTTATATTTTTATTTTTTAATTCCATTTTCCATGAAATTTTTGTAGTTCCCTTATATGTTCTCTTTTGTCACTGTCTTTTTCTTAGAGATATAGGAGGGAGAGTAAATCAGTACAACAATTTTTTGTGTTCCTGTACCTACATTCAGAACCCTCTGATCTACAGGCAATTGCTAAGATGTTGTTAGTTGTTAAATTCCTGTCTTCCAGAAAGCCATTGGAAAATTTGCAAACTGAAACATCTACCTCTTTCTCCAAGTTCAGATCTAGAAAATAATTATAGAAATGCTTCATCTGTGCAATTAGAATTTAGCACATGAAGTCACTGACCCGTGTACACTAGCAACAAACAAACCATATAAACCATTCTGAGTTTCCAACAATGTAATGTTGTGTGACCATAAAGTTTATGATGCTGTAGAAAAATATTTAATTTGGAAAGATAATAACAACAAATATTTTACACATATTTGAGTCTAATTCGTTAAAATATATGTGTATATACATAGATACATATACATGGATGTGTACATATACATATATAGGTATGTCCCCATATGGACATATACCAAAATACTAATAGTGATTATCTCTTAATAATGGGAGTCTGGTATTGCTTTTTTTTCTTTTCCTTGAGAGTCGTTCAATCTTTTAAATTCTCTACAGTTTGGATATTAGAAGTCAGATTCTTTTTGTAATGTTATTCCCAATTTTAATATATGTGATAAAATTGATAGAAAGGAAAGAAATTTCGGGAACCTGACTACACTTAACCATTAATACTTATCTCTAGTTTTCCCTAGTCTTCACCTTATATTTAATCAGGTTGATCGTCTTACTAATTTCCTTCTAGCCAATACCATAGATGACCTCTAGCACTATCTACCACCATCAAAACGTTATGTATATTTGATGATCTACCTCAATTCCCACATCTTCATTTGACTCATAGACTCTTCCATATCAAATTCCTACACATTTGTCATTTGGACACATTCTATCTTGCAATATTGACTTATTTTCAAAGGAGTAAATCTTGATTAAAAATAAGAATGTAAGTGCATTGGTTACAGTTATTATGCCATTATTTATTTTCAAAATTTCTGTAATATCTCACATAGGAATAAGGACCCAACTGGCATCCAACAAACTCACTGAATTGAGTTTAAATGAATTAAGTTGAAAAAACACTGAGACTCAGTAAATTAATATTTTAGAGAAAATAACAATAAATACCAATGCATAATTTGGATATAATTAACATGCTAAACTTGGTAAACAATTTTATTGAGGTAGGCTTTCCTGTAGCTTAGGATTTTTCATTTAATCATCCAATATATAGCAAATATATACAAATATTTGTTGCTCAATTATGTGTTTTAGCTTGCTAAGACTATTGTAACAAAGTAACACAAACTAGATGGCTTAAACAACAGAAATTGACTGTCTCACACTTCTAGAGACAGGGAGTCCCAGATCAAGATATTGGCAAGACTGGTTTCTTCTGAAGGCTATGAGGAGGAATCTGTTTCATCCCTCTCTCCTTGTTTTGGTTGTTTGCTGGCGATATTTGGCATTTCTTGATTGTATATGAATCATCCCAATCTCTGCCATCATCTTCACATAATGTTTTCCCTGTGTGCTTATCTGTGTACAAATTTCTCCTTTTTATAAGGACACTAGTCATATTGGATTTGGGCCCACCTTGTTGAGCTCATCTGAGCTAATTACAACTGCAGTTCTAGAGGCTAGGACTTCAACATATGAATTTTGGGGAGAACACAATTCAACGTGTAACTCTAGTGCTGTGCATTTGATGCTGTGATTAATAACATTCTAAAACTTTCCTGAAATACCTAAAACATATTAGAGAATTTAAGGTGTGTGTTCACAATCAGTTTTAAGATGGATATGGCCCATGACAGTAATGAAAATATTTAGAAAAGGTGATAATCAATTCCATCTGGAATGCTCCCAGCCTTACTTTTTGCATCTTCACAATCACATCTCTTACTTCCCTGGCTTGCTTTCTTTGATTCTTTATAGGAGTGATTAGTTTCCTAGTGCTGCTTAATACAATACCCAAAATGGGATGCCTTAACACAATAGAAATGTATTCTCTTGAAGTTTGAGAGGCTAGAAGTTTGAAATGAAGGTATCAGTAGGCCCATTGTCTCTCTGAAAACTGTAGGGGAGAATCCTTCCTTGCCTATCCCGCCCTCCAGTGGTTTCTGGCAGTCAGTGGTATTCTGACAGTCAGTGGTTTCTGGCAGGTGTCTGTCAGTCAGTGGTATCCTGGCAGTCAGTGGCTTGCAGTTGCGTCACCCCAATCTCTGCTTGTATCATTACATAGTGTTTTCCCTTCTTCTAAAGTTCTCTCCTCCTCTAAGGATAACAGTCATATTCAATTTAGGGCTCCCCGTCTTTCAGTATGACCTCAACTTAACTTCATGACATCTGCAAATACCTTATTTTCAAATGAGGTGACATTCACATGTACAGGGAGTTAAAACATGGAGATACCTTTTGGGAGGACAAAATTCAATCCACTACACCTCCATTGACTCCACAACTACTTTGCCACTCAGTTGAAACTGTTCTCACCTAGATTGTCAATGTTCTGGTAGTCTCCAATTCAGGGACAGAGTGGAGGTTGTATAATTCATGATGTTTTATTGATGATTCCTCCATCTCAGAACATTCTTCTCTTGGTGTCTGTGATACCTCACCTTCTCAATTTTCCCTATTACTGTTCAAGCTCTGGTGTGATCTCTTCCTCATTTTCTTCCACGCACAAATGTTGGTTTCCCCCAGGATTCCTCTTGAAACATTCCACACAATCTCCCTTTGAAAACTCAGTAGTCCTTGTCTTCAGATATTTTTCCTAAGCCATGAACATTTTTCTCACTGCATATTGGGCACTCCTGCTACAAGTGTTTTTACTCCAACTCCTTAAAACTGAATTTATTTTATCTGCCACATCCTACCAATGTGCTCTTTTTTCTGAGTTTTTTATCTTTGGGAAAAGTAACACTATTCATTCTTTTTCCCAAACAAAAACCCAGCATTAATCTTTGATTACTCCTCCTTCATCCTTCACATCCAAACTTTTTTGCTGTTCTTGTTTTAAGACAGGGTCTTCCTGTGTCACCCAGGCTGGATGGAGTGCAGTGGCGCATTCACAGCTCACTGCAGCCTCGACCTCTTGGGCTCAAATGATCCTCTTGCCTCCCGAGTAGCTGGGGCCACAGGTGCATGCCACTACACCTGGCTAATTTTTGTAGAGATGAGGTTTCACCATGTTGCCCAGGCTGGTCTTGAACTCCTGAGCTCAAGAGATCTGCACATCCAGTCTTAAAATCCAAACTGCTGTTGCCCTATTACACTTATCACCTGGCTCCTATCTACTTTCTTAGCCTTATATCATTCTTTTATTCTCATTTATTTCTACAACACTACATTGGTTTTCTATTTCTGTTGGTTTGTTTTGTGAAATACCACATGCCTTTTCCTACATGCAGACTTTTGAACTTTCTGTTCACTCTGACTGGAATTTACTTTCCCCAGTTCTTTACATGGCTGAATCATTGTCTTCCTTGAGTTCTCAGATCTTATAAAACCTTCTCTATATTTGTTAGAATAACCTAGATGTTATAAGCATACACACATATACATACAGAGAGATGATAGTTTTTAATAGTGAAAACACAATAAAAGTTTATTTCTTGTTCACTTAGCATTGAGTGCATACAAAGTTTGGTCCACAGAGTTTCCTTTTTCTGCACAGTCATTCAGGAATGCAGGCAGATGCAGATTCAGATTCTGTCTTATTTAACACATGACTTCCAAGGGAGCTCTGGAGTTATTTCCATTGCTACAGCAGATGAGGAAGAAGATTGAGAGATCATCATGGCAGATTGTTATGGGCCAGGCCTGGGAGTGAAGGTATTAAAGCAATACCTTGTACTAACTCAAAGTTCTGTAAATCAGAAATTTGGGTGGATTTAATTGGGTTCGTAATTAGGGCTTTACAAGGCCAAAATCAAGAGTTGGGGCAGTTTGGGCTCTCATCTGAAGGCTCTGGGAAATAATTCACTTCTAGACTCATTCAGGTTGCTGGCTGAATTCAGTTTCTTGCAGTGGTAAGGCCAAGGTCCCTGTTTCCATGTTGCCTGTCAGTCATGAGCTGCTATCAGCTTCTAGGGGCCACCTCAGGTCCTTTCACATGGCTCCCTCCATCTCAATGATGGAGGATATCCAGTCCCCCTCATGCTTCAAATCTCTCTGACTTTTGCCTCCAGCTGGAGAAAACACTCTGCTTTAAATTGCTCGTAGTTAGTTTGCACCCACCAGGATTCATTTCCTTTTCTCCATATAAGGTAAGATAATCATAAGTGTGATATCTCATGAAATTCACAGATTCCACCCACACTCAAAGGGGGAAAATTGTATATAGGTGTGTGTCACTGGGAGTCATTCTTAGAATTCTTCCTACCACAGGTTCAGAAGCAGAATCACTCAAGCATGGTTCTTACCCTGTGACCTTACTAAGCCTTGGTTTCCTGGTAGAATGGTAACAACAGTACCTACTTTAGGGATTTAGTATAAAAATTAAATGTGATAGTGCATATAAAAAGATTAGCATAGGTCCCATAACTCTTCTAAAAATGGTAAATAATCAACAACCCATGCTATTAGTCGCAGAAATAAGGAAATTATTGTTATATCATCATAAATATTCTTAATGCAAAACATCCTCTGCATGCAAAAAAAAAGCATGTCTCTAAACTTCATGTTCAATTTAACTCAGAAAATATTTGTTGAGCAGGTACTATGTACCTCAGAGGTTAGAAGTTATTTATAAAACTAAGATACTGTCATTCTTCCTCAAATCATTCCCAGTTCAATTGCTTAGACAGAAATACATAAAACTAAATAGAATGCTGTCCAACCTGTGGTAAATTCTGTAACATGTGTGACAACAAAAGAGAAGGGTTCAACCCAGTGTGGAAGATAAAGTGTCACAGAAGAATGTTCACAGGCTTTAGAGTCGAGTTTAAGAACTGAGGAACAGGCAAACATAAGGACCATGGTTGCGTAGTCACTAGACACAGAACTATTAATGCGCATTTCACAAAAATTAAAGAGGGAAGAGTTTAATATGAGTGTGCACCCTGGGTAAGTAATCAATAGTGAGAAGCAAGGTGGGATTGAGATTATCAAAGGTGCTAAGTTATGTTGAGATATTTGAACTTTGTTCTGAAGCAAGAGAGAACCATTGAAGGATTTTCAGAAATACCACAAGACAATCAGTGCTTTAGAAAACACATAGTTGGAACATATCATTGCTTCAACATAGCGAAGACTGAGTCTGTGTAGCTGTTTTCTCCATTTAGCAGGCATAAGGACAAGTGGGTTAGAACACTAAATGCAAGAAGCTAATTGGACTTAACAATACAGATGGCAAAAGGATGAGGAGAGGAGAGAAACGCATTATGTTTATTTGTTAACAGCTCTATTGTATTGTATTTATATGCATTAGTCAGTGTAAAATAAAATCTGCTTATTTTAAATCCTTTTAAATAGTGTTTAAATATTTCCTGATGACACAATCTGCTAAAGTATTTACCCTTGGTGCAGATTTCCATTAACCTTGCTGTAGATACTAAGCCTACAACCATATATTTATAGGGGGCTCAATTATGGGGTAAAGCCTAGTGACATCATTATAAAAGCACATCTGGATAAGCTTTAGGGTCTTTGTCTTTCTATCTGATTTAGGAAATTTAGTAAACTGTAGGAGAATACCATTATTAACAGCCCCTGAATTCTCAGATTATGAGGATGTCCTTTCTCTCAAAATAAAGGAAGAGAGGGATTAAAATCTCTAAAGCTGTAAATGATATAGAGAAATGCCCAGTACACAGATATCAGGGATATTAGGGGAATCCAGTTGTGTTGGATATACAAGAAGAAAAAAAAGGCAGAAATTAAATTCAAAGTATTCTTTCCTCATGTCTTTTGTCAGTTTTTTTTTATTGTTTTTTAGAGAGTCTATATAAATCCTTTGGTTCCCTAAAGGACAAAATTCCTTTGATAATTTTACAAATTCTTTTCTAAATAGTATCTCTGTATTGTAGATTAAAAAAATTAATACCTAGGAAAGGTCAGGTCACTTCTTTCAGTCAAGGAATGACTCATTCATGAAACTGGAAAGAAAACTTCTTTTTCACTCACCCCAATACTTGATAGCTATCTTAAATTGAATATGTCTTTAACAGTATATTTGATATTATCAGTGTATTTTGATTTATATATATATATCGTATATATTATATATCTGTGATATATATCTATATATCATTTATATATCTGTGATATATATCTATATATCATTTATATATCTGTGATATATATCTATATATCATTTATATATCTGTGATATATATCTATATATCATTTATATATCTGTGATATATATCTATATATCATATATATTATATGTCTGTGATATATATCTATATATCATATATATTATATGTCTGTGATATATATCTATATATCATATATATATCTGTGATGTATATCTATATATCATATATATTATATATCTGTGATGTATATCTATATATCATATATATTATATATCTGTGATATATATCTATATATCTTATATATTATATATCTGTGATACATATCTATATATCATATATATTATATATCTGTGATGTATATCTATATATCATATATAATATATGTGTGATGTAGATCTATATATCATATATATTATATATCTGTTATGTATATCTATATATCATATATATTATATATCTGTTATGTATATCATATATACCATATATTATATATCTGTGATGTATATCATATATATCATATATTATATATCTGTGATATATCATATATACCATATATTATATATCTGTGATATATATCATATATATCATATATTATATATCTATGATATATCTATATCTCTCTCTATCTATCTATCACATTTTCTTTAACCATTCTATCAGTGATGGGCATTTAGGTTGATTCCATGTCTTTGCTATCATGAATAGTGCTGTGATGAACATTTCTTTTGATTTTTATTGTCTGTGTTAGGACATCATAACAGGGCCCTCCTAATACCATTAACAACGCATCATGACCCTGGTAATGGTTTTGTAGCTGAAGTCTAGATAGTTTAAGTGCCCTATCTTATTCATTTGTACATATTCAATATATATAATAACTACTATTTTCTGGACGTTAAGAGAATTGCTGAAAATACAGTGGTAAACTGCAATGACCCTATATATCCTGGTTTGTACACTGTTTTATCTTCTGTTTCAGTTACCTTGCTTAAATCTTGTGGCTATATGACACTAATAAAAGTTACCAAATTTGTAATAAATAGCATCACAAATATTTCATTGTGCTTGAGATTGTTTCAAAGGTTTTGATTTTTCTGGCTATACACACACATATGTAACATAACATAATTAAAAATGTAATGAACATCACTAGACTACTAGTTAAACAAGTTATGGCTAATAACTAATATGTACACAAAATATGTGGACACAATAGAACAAGCAAATCTTTATCAATAGGAGAATATCTTCAAAGTGTATATTGTAAAGCACTTGTGCAGAAAAGTATATTCTATATTCTGCTAATGTTTATTTGTTTGGTTATATGTATGTAGACTACATCTGGAGGCATACATATAAATTCAATAATTGCTAAATTCCTAGGAGAAAACTGGGTAATAGTGACACAAAGGTGGAGAGAGTCTTAATTTTTATGTAAGGTCTTCTGTACATTTTGGCTATCGTACCATGAATATATATTAATGCATTATTCATTCAAAATTAAGTACAATTTAAAAATAAAATTACTACAAAATGGTAAATTTTAAATGTTAAAGAAAACTTGGAAAAATATAAAGAAAAATTCAAATTGTCCACAATTTTATCTACCAGACACAATCACTAATTATATTTTGGCTTATGCATTTAAAGTCTGTTTTTTTATTATTAAAGCACAGATACAAACATATAATTGGGACCAGACTGTTTTACAACTTTTTACCACTTTATAATATACTAAGCTTATTACCAAATTGCTTGCTCAGCATTCTTTTATGTAACATTTTGTGTATGTGCATTTTAAGTTTTTTAAAATTAATACCACAAATGTGTTTATGCATTATTTAAAATGATATATTCTTCTTCCTATTTTGTAAATGTTTTAATATATATGAAGGATGCTAACCATTTGCATGCACTCTATATGACAGTTATTTTTTTCCGCTTTGTCTTTTGTATTTTTTTACTTTGTTTATGGTGGTTTTTAAATTAAGACATTTTTAAAACTTGTAGTCAATTCAAATTTAGATATATTTTCCAGCATAGTGTCTTCCTTAAATAGAAACACTTAGATTTTCTTCACTTCAAGAATAGATAAATATTTCCTGAGATTTTCTTTGATAATTTATACTTTCAAAAATATTTTCACATATTCCAGCTTCTGTGAATATTTTTATTTATTTATTTATTTATTTATTCATTTATTTATTGAGACAGGGTCTCACTCTGTCGCCCAGGCTGGTGTGTAGTAGAATGATTTTGGCTCACTGCAACCCCGCCTCCTGGGTTCAAGCCATTCTCCTGCCTTAGTCTCCTGAGTAGCTGCGATTACAGGCATGCACCACCACACCCAGCTAATTTTTGTACTTTTAGTAGAGACAGGGTTTCACCGTGTTAGCCCGGCTGGTCTCGAACTCCTGACCTCAAGTATTCCGCCCACCTTGGCTTCCCAAAGTGCTGAGATTACAGGCATGAGCCACTGCACCCGGCCACTTCTGTGAATCTTTAAATTACCCAATGATGTGTATAAGGGTTCAAATTTTATTCCCATTTTCTCAGTGAAGAAATAGAGATTCTGAAAACTGATTTGATATGCCTGAAATCATAAAGTTAGTTAATGTCATCGCTAGGACTAGAATTTTGGTGCTTACACAATGTGCTGACTCCCAAATCGTAAATTTCTACCAGATGTTTAAAGTAAAAGAATGATGGGAAATTTCATTAAACTATTAACTATATTCAGTGGTTTCAAAATATTAATACAACATTGATATCTTTAGTGCATTATCAATGTATTCTTGGAGACAACATGTCAATTAAATTGTCTCTTATTCAAATGTTAACTTCAGTTTTTAAAATTTAAAGCTAGTCTGCTGATTTTCAATAAGAGCTGTCTAATATTGTGAACTAGTGAATTTGAGGAGATAAAAGTGGAAATTATAGGTCTGCAGAGTGTAGCATTGATAAAGAGGGGGCCATTTCTTCCAAGTCAGTAAAGAAAAGTGATGAAACATAAACTGGAATTTTTGTGATTCTACTGTTGCATGACCTTATAACACCCCTGTTTTAATTAACTACGGACCTGAAATAATAACGTATATTTCTAATCCACTCACAGGAATGGTAGGTATATTAGTTAGCTAGGGCTGCCATGACAAAATACAGGCTGAGTGGCTTAAACAACAGGAATGTATTGTCTTACAGTTCTGGGTGCTAGAAGTCCAAGGCAAAGGTTTCCATAGGTTAGGTTTCCTCTGAGGCCTCTCTCCTTGGCTTACAAATTGCCGCCTTCTTGCAATGTTCTTACGTGGTCTTTTCTTTGTACACGCACACCCTGGTGTCTTTATTCCCATCCAAATTTTCTCTTCTTATAAGGGCATCTGTCCGATTGAATTAAGGCTCATCATAATGGCCTTATTTTGACTTAATTACCTCTTTAAAGACCACATCCCCAAATATGGTTACATTCTGAAGATTAGAATGTCAATTTATGAATTTTGGACGGACAAAATTCAGCCTATAGCAGAGGGTCTGCTTTGCAATGATTATGCACTATTACTCACCAAGGTAGTAAAAATTAAGCAAACATTTATATACACAAGTTTTTGAGGGGATAAAGCCTACAGAATATAAGAACAAAATATTTTCAAGAATGCCTGTCTGTGGTTCTTTCATTAATTCACTTCTTCATTCATCTTTATTGAGTACGATAATGAGGCAGGGAAAATATAACCATCTGACTATGAATTGACCTGGTGCTTGTAGACATATGTGGTTTAACAGTTTTCCACTTTGTGTACCCCTCTCTCATAACATGTAGCATACTCTGCTAGAATTATTGATTGATTAACCTCATTGTCTTTCTCACTAGATCATGAGTACTTTGAGGGCAGGAACTTTATCTTTCATCTTTCATCCTGAAGACATGGATCAGCATATGTGTATAGTAGGAGAACAATAAATAGTTTTCAGAATGAAGGGGAGAATTAATTTTTTCATGAAAACTAGATGTCATTATGTGGAGAATTTATCAGAATGCCAGACTGGTAAGGATGTTCAGAGACACAGTAGTTGACCTAAGACTAACCTAAATCTGTTTGTATCACAGAAGTGTACCAATGCTTGACATACATTGGATAAAATGTTTATTTCCTATTTCTCTGTATTGTTTGGCCACATGACTATTGCAAAGCTCATAAGCACAAAATTTGCACAAAACCCCTGAGAGATGCCATCCATGGCTACAAATACATGTTTTGATTATATTAAAGTAAAAAAATTGATCAATTATTTTAAATATTCAAGGTAGTTAAGTGAATAAATTCTATGTAATTACAACCACAAGGTTGGTGCATATTTTAGAAATAAATGCTTGTTTTACTATGAGAGGAAAACTGCGAATGGCACACGACCTAAACAAGGGCATCCTGTTTGCTTGGATGAAAATTCCATCCCCATGTTTACTATACCTTCCACTCTCATTCAAACCTAGAACAGGAGAAAAATAGTTCGAGTTTAAAAACAAATCCAGTAGAGTTTAGGAAAGTTTGTCTCGTATACCACACCTTTAAAAGGCTATTTTGCAATGACAATATTCTTGTATTGCCCTCTCTATTTTTCCCTCCCTATTGTATACATGAGCCCAGCAACTTCTAGAATATACTAGCACATATGAAATTTTTGAATATCTATTTCATGTAGGGAGATTAGAAAGTCACTTTCTGCCACTTGTGTAGCTCTATTATGCAAAAATCAAGAGGATGCAGATCATAAATCCCATTAGGGTGGAACTCTGGATGTGGAAAAGACTATATAGATAATTTTAAGAGATTTCCCCTCAGCTGAATCATTGCTATAAAGTTAAGCATGGTTTTTAAAATATAAATCAAATAAATGGTTTCTATAAAGGCACATACCTTTACTGTAAACTGAACTCCAACAAACTTTTGAGTGGACATTTCTCAAATACAGCATCTATTGAAAACTTCCTCTGAAAAAACATTTCATAAAAATTGAAGCTTGCCTTACATATTTTCATACTATGTGGTTTTAATGACCGTTGTATTCCACTCTATCACCATAAATAAATATGTGACTTTAAAAGATATGTTGTAAATAAAATTAGCTCGAAAATACTAACACTAACCAAACATTAATCACAGAATTTAAGGAGACTATCAGAGACTAATTCAGAAAATAAAAATATTGTAAAATTACTACCATGAAAGCTCTAAGAAAAGTTCATGATAATTTCAGTGATGCTAAGGCTACAGACCAAATATAAACTTAGAAACAAAAGTATTTAGTCTAAGACAAATTAAATGTGTATATATTAATTTATTTTCTCTGTTTGATGGGCATAGAAGCCCATCAATACTCTGAATTTATATTTTATTAATACTCTCACAATTTACTTTCATATGTGACTTACTATGTAATATAAAAAACAAAAGAGCTTGAAAAACTGAGATCAGAGGGCAACAATAAAATATTAATGCTAATATTATCTTGAATTTTTATCTATACATATTTAAATGTTGTTATCCTCACTGAAATTTGTTACTAATCAGTGAAACTTTAGTATTTACCTAAATTAGTTCTTCTTATAAGTAGCTCAATCTCCATAATAGGAGATAGACTATAATTTGTACTTTAGCATAAATATTCTTCTAAAATCATTCACCGTTTTATATTGTAATTGACTGAAACAATATAAAGTGGCTTAAAATCATTGGTATATTATAAAACCTATGTCAGATAAAACATGGCATCTGTGAAGTTTGGGAATTATAACCCAGAACAGTGTATAATTCAAAACAGATACCTGAAATTATCTTGTACACATCTCGCTATCTGCTATATCTCATCACATAAAATGCATAGTAGATGCACAAAGTAGCTGTCCAACAAATACTTATGGAATTAATAAATGAAGGAATGACAAAAATGCTTTTCCTCAATGTGCTAAGTCAAATACATGTTTCCTTTTATAAAAATTTAACTATATGTTTTAGATTTAGTTGAAAAAATCTATACTGGAATTTACATAATTACATAATACATATTTTAAAGTATTATTCCCAGTATTTATGAACATTCATTAATGAGAATGGCTTCTACATTAAAAGATCAGTTAGCCTCTGCTATTTTTGATAATGATTTAAACTTGTTAATTCTTACCTGTATAATGCATTCTCCTTTACAAAATGCTGGTATGGCCACTTGTTTTATGTTATCCTCACAACAATTGTAGGTATAGATGTGATAAATAATATACTCTTCCTATTCTGTTTTTCTTTTTAACAAATGAGAAAACTGAGGCCTAAAGCTCCAGTGATTCACTCATGTTTACACAAATAACTCTAAACTGGCGCTCAGCTCTTGCTAATTCTTTGTCTCCTCTTTTGTTTTGTTTTTGTTTCATTTTGTTTCCCTAAACCATAATGCCATCCAATATTATTTAAAGTTTGCCTGCCTGCTTTTGCAATGGTTCTTAGCTTTCCACAATAGCAAGTGCATCAAAGAAGAAAAAGGAAATGATTATATGGTTATTAATCAAACTCAGATATGGCTAGTACCACCTTTATAAGTGAAACTTATATAACAATCTCAGTTTATGTCAGTCTCTTATCCCAGTGTTTAAAGTTTTAAGGACTGAGCTGGGAATGTGAGGAGGCTTTTGCTTTTCATTTTGTACTCTACTAGTTTTAATTTTTCACTATGTGCATACATCTGCACCCCAACCTTTAAAGAATTAGTTTCCTGAAAAAAAAGGAAAATGCAATTCATCGTACAAATAAAAGCATAATCCCTTTTATTAATTTTTAGCTAACAAACACATAATACCATCCTATTCCAGGTACTGTTTTTAAATGACTTGTATCTAAATGTAATGTTAACGCATACTTTCGATGTGCATAAATATAGCCAAGCAGTCCTAAATTCAGATAAATTATCTTCCATCTACTGTATATAATTATATAGTATTTCCTAATTTTTATAAAATATGGTTTGTGTGTATGTATACTGTTACTCAAATGAGGTTTTGTTGTTTTTCTCTCCTCAAGGTCAAAAACAATATCTCACTCTATCTTTTGTGTCTTTTGTTTTTTGATTTTTTTTTTTTTTTTTTTTTTTGTCTGCTTTGAACAGTTTTTAAGAGGAAAAGAAGAAAAGGTGTTTGGGGGTTACATAAAAAAAGGGAGAAAGAGACCCAAATCTCCTGTCTCTTTTATCACCTACAAACTGTATTGATTTTCACTTTCCTTTCCTAAATCCATGCTTTAAAGACATTGTCCATCTAAGAAACATAGAGTCCCAAAGCACAAGTTTTGATGTAGTGAGCACCCATTGATTGTACCTTGAAGTGGATGTAGGTAAACAGATGACAGATAGATCAGGTAGATATATAGATATAGATATAGATAGATTTATCTTGAATTTTCCTAGATCCCATTAATCTGAATGTACAAATAAGTCTCATTAGTTCTAATATTTGTATTTCACTGCCTCATTGCCCTCACCTGCTGTAGATGATCTCTGCCTCCAGCAAACTAATCCTCATGCATTTCTGGGGAGTCCATATGGGTTTTCTCACTTGCACTTAGGATCAAGCTGGACACCAATTGGCTAAGTGCCACGGTTACTCCACTGGGCATCTCCATGTCCCTTCTCTGGATAAACACCATCATCTATGGGCATAAGGAGCACTGCTATTCTTCCATTGCTGCTCCACCAGGTACCTGAGCTCTCCCACTGCTGTGCCAGGTGGAATAGTTTTCCACCAGGGGCCACCTTAGATATTCCTCGTCAGGTGAGTACCAGGACTGCTTTGCTAGGTAGAGCTGTCCCAGTCGATTCTAATATGCCCCTCTGCTGTTATATCTGTATCACTGTTCTGTATTCTGCTAGTACCAAAGCTGAATGAGACTATGTTAAAAGTAGTGGTGGAAAAATGTCTTTCTTCCTTGCCTCCCTCTTTCTTAAGTGAGTCCTAAAAGAATACTGAGTAGATTTTGGTATCTTAAAGGTTTAACAAAACAGATCTTCTTTGTTTTACTCTAAATACAAATCTGAGTAAACTAGCCAAGGCTCTCAGAATGATCTCTCTCTTCTGAGAACCAGGGCACCATACCTGGCTCCGATTTCTCTCATGGTGAATTCTTCAAAATGTTTTCCAGTGCATGGGCTTTCGCTGGGTTATCTCCCACGTTGTTCACAATGTTCAGAGATATCTGAGTTAACAGCACACCCAGAGGTGTTCCCTCTTTCCATGACTGTCCCCCACAACCCCACGCCAAGAATGCCACTCCCCAGTTCTAATGGCAGTATGCTGCTGGTAGCCTGGCCACCTGTCTCAGTCCATTTAGTGTTCCTATAAAGGAATCACCCAAGACTGGGTAATTTATAAAGAAAAGAGGTTTAATTGGCTCACGGTTCTGGAGGCTGTACAGGAAGCATGGCAGCATCTGATTCTGAGGAGGCCTCAGGGAGCTTTTACTCATGGTGGAAGGTGAAGGGGAGCAGATATATCATGATGAGAGAAGAAGCAAGAGAGAGAGAGAGAGGAGGAAGTGTCAGGCTCTTTTTCAACAGCCAGTTCTTGTGGGAGCTAAGAGTGAGAACTCATTCACTCCCATGAGAATGATGCCAAGCCACTCATGAGGGATCTGACCCCAAGATCCAAACACCTCCTAAAAGGCTCAGCCTCAATGTTGGGGATCAAATTGCAACATGAGATTTGGCAGGGCCAAACAAACCCTATCCAAACCATAGCACCACCCAATTTGCCAGATATACCCAGGCAGATCTAAATATATCTTACACTCACAATCAGGTCCTCCTTTTATGAGATACCAAAGATGTTCCATTAGGGTTCTCAGACAAACAGAATGGAGAAAGAGAGATTTATTGTAAGGAATTGGCTCACATGACTGTGGGAGCTGACAAATCTAAAATCTGAAGTCTGCAGGGCATGTTAGCAGGCTAGATATCCAGGGAAGAGTTAGTGTTGTAGTCTTGGGACCAAAATCTTCAGGGCACGTATTAGTCTGTTCTCACGCTGCTAATAGAGACATACTCAAGACTGGGTAATTTATAAAAAAGGAGGTTTAATTGACTCACTGTTCCACATGGCTGTGGAGGCCTCATAATCATGGCAGAAGAGCAAGAGATGTCTTACATGGCAGCAGACAATAGAGAATGAGAACCAAGCGAAAGGGGAAACCTCTTATAAAATGGTCAGATCTTATGAGACTTATTCACTACCACGAGAACAGTATGGGGGAAACTGCCTCCATGATTCAATCATCTCCCACCGGGTCCCTCCCACAACACGTGGGAATTATGGGAGCTACAATTCAAGATGAGATCTGGGCAGGGACACAGCCAAACCACATCAGGGCAGATGAGAGGTTTTTGTTCCTCATGACACAAAATGTGGTGTCTTTTCCAACACCACTTCTTCAATTCTCTGACACTCACTAGGCATGCTATAGTTCAGCTCAGTTCTGACAGTAACTACCTGGAGTTAGAGTAAGACTCCATAGATTTAAGAGCCCAGTCCCACAAGACTACCTTCCCTTCAGAGGCCAGGCACAAGTATTGAGTCCCCACTTTAGCCACAATTCTCTCCAGCTGAGCTACACAGTCTTGGGTTCCCACAACCCCCTCTTCAGGGTTGATAATTTGCTAGAATGACTCACAGAACTCAAGAAAATGCTCTACTTACTATTGCAGTTTATTTTAAAGGATGCATATAAACAGCCAGATGACAAACCTCCTCAAATTCTGTTTAGGGGCTTTTAGGAGGTTTCATGACATAGGCATGATTGATCAAATCATTAGCCATTGATGATTGACTCAATTTCCAGCCACTCCCCTTCTCCCAAGCGGTTGCTGATTGAGTAGTGAAGCTGAAAGTTCCAAGCTTCTAATCAAGGTTTGGTCTTTCTGGGGAACAGCCCTTATTTTGAAGTAGTCTAGGGGCCGTCTGACAGTCACTTAATTAGAACAAAAGATGCTACTATCATCTTTATCACTCAGAAAATTCCAAGGATTTTAAGAGTTCTGTGCCAGAAACCTGGTACAAAGACCAAATATCTTCTTATATCACTGCAGGCCAGCAGACTGGAAACTCCCATAGAATTTTTATCATGCAGTCTTGAGGCAGAATTCTTTCATCTTTGGGAAATTTCAATCTTTGCTCTAAAGGCTTTCAACTGATCGGATGTGGCCAACCCATACTATGTAGGGTAATTTACTTAAAGTCAACTATCTATAAATAAATGTTAATCACATCTAAATAATAACTTTATAGCAACATTTAGATTGGTGTTTGATCAAACAAGTGGATACCATAGCCTGGCCAAGTTGTCACACAAAAGTAACCATCACAGATGTATTATTTTATTTAAAATCATCAGTATTATATGAATTAATTCAGAAATAAAAAAGGTGTTGTCATAGTGTGAACACTTATAAGTGTCTTTCCCACAGAAATGTCAACAGACTGTGATTTGAAAATTGCTGTTTTAAAAGAGAAAAGCTCATCATTCTACAGAAATGATTCAAAGATAGACAATCCATTAAATATCTTATAATGGGCCAAATACTACTAGTTGTTAATTTACACTTGCAACATCAAACACTTTACCAGCTTTTTAACATGCAACTGTTGCATATGATGCATTGTGTTTTTTGCAAGTAGGTATACAGCATAATTCTAATAGGATATTTATTTACAACCTAACCTTACAATTTAAAGTCTGCTACTCCATTGTGCTCATCCTACCCGCTGTCTTCTTATATTCAAAGCTATTAAGGAGTACTTGCTCAGCATATCACTCCAAATTAAACTGCAAGACATTTTATGATGAATTAAATGGGTGACGCTCTCCCAGCCTTTGTAACTACTAGAGCAAGTATCCAAGAAGCAGACAATTTTATCACAAAATTCTGATTGCCAAGTTGTTTTTATTAAATAGACATACAGTAGAGAATTTAATCTTAGAAAGCATCTAACATAAACACAGATTTCTCGTTTTATAGATGAATAAACTAAGATCCAATGAGGGCAACTATTTTTTTCCAAGTTCATGCAGGCAGCTAACACCAGAACAAAGACTAAACAAAGCTCTTCTAACTTCTCCCCCCATTTTTATCATCCATTGCATTCATTACTACAAAATTACTACAAAATTATTAGCCTGGTCTTTAATGGTGGCCCCAAAGAATGGTTTTTAGTATTACTTCCTTCACTTCTTTCGTATGTCCTGTGCTCCAGCTAAACTGAACTATGTTGAACTAAGCTAAACATTTCTCCTTAAGCTTGTACTGCATTTTGCTACAGTCTTTTTGCCAACTCTTCCCATCCAGAATGTCTTCACTCTCTATCTCCACTGCTTTAAAACCTAAGCAATTTTCAATTTAAGTTCTATCTCCTTTTTGAAGTATTGTATATTCTTCTAGCCAGATAAAATTCTAGGAAAATATTGTCATAC
This sequence comes from Homo sapiens, assembly GCF_000001405.40. NCBI lineage: Eukaryota > Metazoa > Chordata > Mammalia > Primates > Hominidae > Homo > Homo sapiens. The sequence goes on along the minus strand of NC_000001.11, from coordinate 216,019,095 downwards.
TTGACTGCATAAAGATTTAAATTGTCTATATAGCAAAATAAAACCATTATTGAAATGATAAAACAAGTGACAAACTAGAACAAAATACTTTATAGCATACTTATTTAATAAATATCTATTGATAGCTTGCTAAGTAATAGGCACTATACTAGGTGCTATATCCAAGTAATGTTGACTTATTAGCTTTCAATTAGAAAAAGAGAAACACTATTAGATATGGGTCAATTAGATAAACAGGCACATCCAAAAAGAAAAAAATATGTAAATATAGTCACAGAGATAATAATAATAATAATAAATGAGATGCTACTTAACATTTTTCAAATGTGTAAATATTTTTTAAAATTAGATTTTTCCATATTGATTAGAAGATGGAGAAAAGAGCTCTTTCACATAATGCTGCTGTGAATGAAAATTGGCAATTTATATCATAATGTGCCACAGTTTTGTTCTGTATGGTCTCAATCCCCCCTGTAAATGTGTGCTCTACTTTTCTCTACCTTGTCCTGAGCTTTAGCCTCTGGATTCTCTTTGGGTTCTGCCAACGTAAGACACAATAAAGAGAACAACAGACAGGAGGGAATGAGGCCGAAGTGTTTATTCCTCAGGCTCTGTGCTTGCAAGGGTCCCCAGGCTCTGTGCTTGCAAGGGTTCAGATGGGCAGTAGCTGTTCCTCCATTGAGGGGAGGCCCTTCCTACAGTACAGCTGTCTTTCCAGCTGGATGTGGTCCTCAGCCTAAGGCAGCAATGGCTTGGTCTGTGTTTAGCCACTAGCTGCGTTCTTATTCTTGAATGTGCCCCTTAAGCCTGGCCCAAATCCTGTAAATAGTCCCTGACATATTTCTCTTCAATAATTCCATTTCAGTGTGCCATCTTCTCCCTTGTCAGGAGGACCCCAAATGATCCCTCTTTGACTGGGAAATTCTACTTCTAAGAGTTTATGCTTAAGGTGTAATTAAGAATGTACCCAATAATACAGTAATCCATATTAAATGTTATAATAGTAGTAAAAATGACACTAGTGAAGCACAAAAGAGAAATTAATCCAAACTGAAAGAGTTTGAGAAGGTTTCTTATAGGGTGTGGCATTTGATTTGTGTCTTAAGGGTAGCATGAGACTATGCCAAAAAAGAAATGTGTATGTCTTGCCACCCAAAAGAGATATCTTGGCCATTGAGGATAGAGATTCATTACTTTCTTATGCTATATAAGGCGTAGTATAGGGCTAGGTTGAAATAGTATTAAAATAATATTTAAGGATTGATTATAGGTTTTCATTGAGAACCATTCTCAGGTGATACTTTACTAAGCTGACAATAGACTTAGCACTGCCTGGCAAACAGCAAGTAGCAGTCAGTGATATAGCCATGATTATTACTGAATTAACAGCATCTTAATCTTCACTACGATATTTGAAAGGGAACACTGATTCATAAACCTACTCTTTTCCTGCCACAGGTAGTCAGGAACTTATTATTCTTATTATGTCTCATTATTAACTTCTGTTGCCTAACAAGATATTATATATTGTATGTCACATGAATATTTTCTTACAAAGTATTAATTGATTCCTAATCTTGTTAAAGAATATGATAGTAGCAAATATCCAACTAATTCTGAGAGAAAAACCTCCAGTTTTGCAAGAAAGATTTAGCCAAGTTATGCAACTAAGTTTGTTCAAATAATAACTCTATAAAGTTATCTCGATTATCTCCTCTTTAGTTTATGAATCGAAAGCATTGATGAAGATCAAAAGCTAACTGATGCCTCCCTAATTCTATATCTATCCTTGTGCAGAGGCAAAGTAGGGGAGTCAGTAGGATGTTTGTGTGTGTGCGTGTGTGTTTTTGTATGTGTGTGTAGATGGAGACAGAGAACCATAGCAAGATAGAGAGAGAACACGAGAGGAGACTGAGAGAGAAGGAAAGAGGGAGGAAGGGATGGATGGATGAAACGAGGGGCTTTCTCTCATTTTATATCATAAAAGTAACCAAGAAAAAAATCCTGGGTTCAATATTTTATAATTATTACAAATGGGGTATTAGAGATGTTCAGGAAGCCAGAGTAGAAGGCAGCTAGCTAAGAATGCTGTCAGCCTAAGGAGTTTTTCATGGACGCCTTTTTATTCTAACCAGCCACAGAAGAAAAGAGGGAAATGAAGAAGCATCATCCTTCACTATCACAACTGACAATAAGGGTTCTCCCTTACCTCCCACCCCCGCCCCCACTACACACACACACACACACAAAGTAGTGACTGAAAACCCTCAGCAGGCTGGGCTCCCCTACCACATGCCACCTGCTGCAAATGTGTTGGAGGCACCAGGTCCTCCTTTCTTTTTTGCCAGTTTTCTTATTGCAGAAAGGTTTTACTATTCAACAATTAGGAGTGTCCAAGGTGTTAGGGGTCATAAGATACATCCTTGTTCTCAAAGCGCTTATAACACTGTAACTACTGATGACTGGTATAAGGATGCTTACAAGAGAAATTTATTAAAAGGGCAACTCAGTAGAGTACAAACTACGCATATGTTGAAGAGAGTCAGGAGATGTTTCATGGATAATGCAAACATTGAACAGGGTTTTCATGAAAGGGAGGGATGTGGATTTCTCTGATAAGGTGGAAAACATAAGCACAAATGGAAGAATTTGTTGAGTTTAGTATGTGGTTTGTGTTCAGTTTTAAATATAAGTCCTTATCATAGCAAAGCGATTTCTTTTCTTTTTGTTTTTGTTTTTTCCTTTTTTAAATTATTTTACTTTAAGTTCTAGGGTACATGTGCAAAACGTGCAGGTTTGTTACATATGTATACATGTGCCATGTTGGTGTGATGCACTTGTTAACTCGTCATTTACATTAGGTATATCTCCTAATGCTATCCCTCCCCTCCCCGCCCACCCCCCAGCAGGCCCTGGTGTGTGATGTTCCCCACCCTGTGTCCATGTGCTCTCATTGTTCAGTTCCCACCTATGAGTGAGAACATGCGGTGTTTGGTTTTCTGTCCTTGCAATAGTTTGCCCAGAATGATGGTTTCCAGCTTCATCCATGTCCCTGCAAAGGACATGAACTCATCCTTTTTTATGGCTACATAGTATTCCATGGTGTATATGTACCAAATTTTCTTAATCCAGTCTTTCATTGATGGACGTTTGGGTTGGTTCCAAGTCTTTGCTATTGTGAATAGTGCGGCAATAAACATACGTATGCATGTGTCTTTATAGCAGCATGATTTATAATCCTTTGGGTATATGCCCAGTAATGGGATAGCTAGGTCAAGTGGTATTTCTAGTTCTAGATCCAGACACATGAAAAAATGCTCATCATCACTGGCCATCAGAGAAATGCAAATCAAAACCACAATGAGATACCATCTCACACCAGTTAGCATGGCGATCATTAAAAAGTCAGAAAACAGAAGGTGCTGGAGAGGATGTGGAGAAATAGGAATGCTTTTACACTGTTGGTGGGACTGTAAACTAGTTCAACCATTGTGGAAGACAGTGTGGCGATTCCTCAAAGTGATTTCAACTCTACAGATCAGTTTGAAAGCACAGGACTGGATCTCAGTGATGGTTAATTGCTCATCTGGCCAAAGAAAAGCATGTTGCAAGGTTAAGGCTCCTATGAGGAAAAGGAGAGCAAGGATGTTCAGGCTGAATAAAGCCCCTGTTTTTATTAATTATAAGGTCAGAATCTGGTTCTCCTGGAATCAAAATGCTGAGCAAGCAATTGTGGAGCAAGGGCTACACAATGGCAGAGATGAATGCAACCTGATATTCCACATGCATTCTGGCGCAGCTCATTGCTTTTCAGGCATCTACGAGAAACATATCACCCCTTAGGTTTGCTGCCGAAGATGTGTTCTCACTGAACCATAACCTAGCAGAGGTTCTCAGGTTGGAATACCAAATAGCAAGATGATGTGGTCAGTGCTACCTATATTGCTCTAAAATTTTTAAACATCTAATTGATGATTTGTGGGAAGGTTGCACAGAGAGAAGAAAGGAAAACCAGGAAAAAGCTGTGTTTTTAATTTATGAAATATTAAGAAGTTTTCGGAAGAAGACCCAGACAATATGTATTAGATCATAAAGAAGCAAAAAAGTGCTATGTAATTTTCTGATGGTAGAAACAAATAAGAAGATATAAATTCCTCAGTTTACACCATGAGTTTAAAGAAAATCATCACCTACTTACTGGTTCATTTTGTAAATTGAGATCAATGAAATTCTCTGAACAACAGCATGAAATCAATCGTAAAATAGCACATAATTCATGGCCAGTATTGTAAATTATAGTTTGCTTGACAGTAATCGGTAAGGTTTCCATGCACTGGGATGCATTTCCTTGTAACACGTCTAAGGATAATGCCTGTGGATCCATTTCTAATGCATATTAGAGTGATCTGTTTTTCCCTGTCCACAACTCCCTGTGTTTGATCTTATGCAAATGATGCAATCAAGCAAATGGAAAACAAGATGTTGTTGCTCAGGGGCTCTTACAAACAGTGGCCTTATGTTTTCAGGGTTTCCCCACCCTCCATTTACCCAACTCAGATTTGTGTACATACCTGCAATTGTTTGAATCCGTTGATCCATTTGTGTTGCCCTTGAAGTGCCTAATCACATCTATAGAGACATATTACCAAATCAGTTGCAGTTAAGCTAGGAGGAGAGTTGTCATTACTTTCCTCTTTGCTTTAAATTTCAAATTGGTGGCTTTGTTTATGGCTTCACTCTCAAAGAATTTATCAGCCTCACTTCCCTGTAACCAATCTTTTTTTCATTTCTTTTTGTTAACTGTTTTTAAAAACTCTCTCATTCCATTCATACATTTTACACATGACTACTCCTTCCCCCCACGCCCAACCTGATGCCTCCTCCTCTTCTCCATTTTTTTCCCTTTCCCTCATCATTTCCTCCTGTTTTACCAAGAATTTCCCAATCAGATCACCGTGCAACTTTCTCTGCCACATGTCAAATTAGGTTCTCTTCTCTCTCTCTCTCTCTTTTTTCATGCTTTATTATTCAAAGAACACTAGTAACATTTCATCTTCTTATGGAAATACATTGAGAATAATCCACTTTGGGATGGACAGTACAGGCATAAAAACAACTTGGAACTCAAAAAAGCTATTTAATCACAATGGTTTTCTTTGTATTATGTTTACAGTTTTCAGATTTTTAAAACCAAAAGAAAATACCCAATTTCTATTGTAGTGACTTTCATGTGAGTCCGTGTGAAGAGACCACCAAACAGGCTTTGTGTGAGCAATAAAGCTATTTATTTCACCTGGGTGCAGGTGGGCTGAGTCCGAAAAGAGAGTCAGCGAAGGGAGATAGGGGTGGGGCTGTTTTATAGGATTTGGGTAGGTAAAGGAAAATTACAGTCAAAGGGGGGTTGTTCTCTGGAGGCCAGAGTGGGGGTCACAAGGTACTCAGTGGGGGAGCTTTTGAGCCAGGATGAGCCAGGAGAAGGAATTTCACAAGACAATGTCATCAGTTAAGGCAGGAACAGGCCATTTTCACTTCTTTCGTGGTGGAATGTCAGCAGTTAAGGCAGGAACCGGCCATCTGGATGTGTACGTGCAGGTCACAGGGGATATGATGGCTTAGCTTGGGCTCAGAGGCCTGACATTCCTGTCTTCTTATATTAATAAGAAAAATAAAATGAAATAGTGGTAAAGTGTTGGGACAGCGAAAATTTTGGGGGATGGTATGGAGAGATAATGGGCGATGTTTCTCAGGGCTGCTTCGAGCGGGATTAGGGGCGGCGTGGGAACCTAGAGTGGGAGAGATTAAGCTGAAGGGAGGTCTTGTGGTAAGGGGTGATATTGTGGGGTTGTTAGAAGAAACATTTGTCATTTAGAATTATTGGTGATGGCCTGGATACAGTTTTGTATGAATTAAAAACTAAATGGAATAAGAGAAGGAGAAAAACAGGTATAAAAGGTCTAAGTATTGGGACGACTCAGGACATCTGATTAGAGAGTGCCTAAGGAGATTCAGCATAGTCCTGCCAGCAAAGATTATTTATTTACTTCAAGAGTTAAGAGTGGCAGTTTGGGGATAGCATGAGGAGATGTCAGCTGTGATGGCTTGGAGAAACAGTGTAAACTGGCAGTGTAAACAAGAGCAGGACATGTATGAGTAGTTGAGAACGGTGAATAGGAGTATGACTAGACAGAAGATAGTAGGGATGACAAGTTTTTTTGGGGCACAGTCTAAGTTGGTCTGGTGTCTGGAATGAGACTGGGGCCTAATAAAAAGGAGCGTCTATACAGGAGCTCAAATGGGCTGTACTTTGTAGCATTCCGAGGACAGGCCTGACTTCTGAGAAGGGAAAGTGGTAAAAGTATTGTCCAGTCCTTTTTAAGTTGGCGGCTGAGCTTGGTGAGGTGTGTTTTTAAAAGACCTTTAGTCCGTTCTACTTTTCCTGAAGACGGAGGACCGTAAGGGATATAAAGGTTTCACTGAATACTAAGAGCCTGAAAAACTGCTTGGCTGATTTGGCTAATAAAGGCTGGTCTGTTATCAGACTGTATAGAGGTGAGAAGGCTAAACTGAGGAATTATGTCTGACAGAAGGGAAGAAATGACTGCGGTGGCCTTCTCAGACCCTGTAGGAAAGGCCTGTACTTATCCAGTGAAAGTGTCTACCTAGACTAAGAGGTATTTTAGTTATCTGACTAGGGGCATGTTGAGTAAAGCTAATTTGCCAGTCCTGGGTGGGGGCAAATCCTTGAGCTTGATGTGTAGGGAAGGGCCTGAATAATCCCTGAGGAGTAGTAGAATAGCAGATGGAACACTGAGAAGTTATTTCCTTGAGGATAGATTTCCATGATGTAAAGAAAATGAGAGGTTCTAAGAGGTGGGCTAGTGGCTTGTACTGTAGCATAGCCTGCCTTTGCTGGTGTGTGATGATTAGGCCTGGTGGAACTGCCATCAATAAATCAAGCGTGGGCGCCTGTAGTCCCAGCTACTGGGGAGGCTGAGGCAGGAGAATGGCGTGAACCCGGGAAGCGGAGCTTGCAGTGAGCCGAGATTGCGCCACTGCAGTCCGCAGTCCGGCCTGGGCGACAGAGCGAGACTCCGTCTCAAAAAAAAAAAAAAAAAAAAAAAAAATCAAGCGTGATCAGGCTGAGGAACAGGAAAGAAGGAAATATGGGGAAATGGGGTGAATGTCAGGTGGATCAGAGAGATACAGTCTTGGGTGTCAGGTGTGGTATCAGGAATAATGTGGGAGGCTGGATTGAAGTCCGGGCCAGGAACAATGGTAATTGTGGGACTTAACAAAGAGTGAGTACAGCTGAAGGAGCCGTGGAGCAGAAAGTATATGCGTCAGGTATGAGGAAGAAAATAGATTTTGGAAATTATGAGAAATGTAGAGAGTAAGTTGAGCATAGTTTGTGATTTTGAGGGCCTCTAAAGTATTAGGGCTGCAGCAGCCGCTGCACGGAGACATGATGGCTAGGCTAAAACAGTAAGGTCAAGTTGTTTGGACAGAAAGGCTACAGGGTGTGGTCCTGGCTCTTGTGTAAGAATTCTGACCGCACTAACCATGCCTATGAAGGAAAGGAATTGTTGTTTTGTAAGGGATTGAGGTTTGGGAGATTAATCAGACACGATCAGCAGGGAGAGCACATGTGTTTTTATGAGAATTATGCTGAGATAGGTAACAGATGAGGATGAAATTTGGGCTTGATTGAAGTAATGGGGGCTATCTGTGAAGCTTTGAAGTACAGCCCAGGTAATTTGCTGAGCCTAATGGGTGTCAGGGTCAGTCCAAGTGAAAGCAAAGAGAGGCTGGGATGACGGGTGCAAAGGAATAGTAAAGAAAGCATATTTGAGATCCAGAACAGAATAATGGATTGTGGAGGGAGGTATTGAGGATAGGAGAGTATACGGGTTTGGCACCATGGGGTGGATAGGCAAAACAATTTGGTTGATAAGGCATAGATCCTGAACTAACTTGTAAGGCTTGTCTGGTTTTAGGACAGGTAAAATGGGGGAATTGTAAGGAGAGTTTATAGGCTTTAAAAGGCCATGCTGTAGCAGGCGGGTGATAACAGGCTTTAATCCTTTCAAAGCATGCTGTGAGGTGGGATATTGGCATTGAGAGGGGTAAGGGTGATTAGGTTTTAATGAGATGTTAAGGGGCGCATGATCCGTCGCCAAGGAGGGAGTAGAGGTATCTTATACTTGTGGGTTAAGGTCGGGGGATACAAGAGGAGGACGCAAAGGAGGCTTTGGATTGGGAAGAGGGGCAGCAATGAGATGTAGCTGTAGTCCAGGAATAGTCAGGGAAGCAGATAATTTAGTTAAAGTGTCTCAGCCTAATAAGGGAACTGGGCAGGTGGGGATAACTAAAAAGGAGTGCTTAAAAGAGTATTGTCTATGTTGGCACCAGAGTTGGAGAGTTTTAAGAGGTTTAGAAGCCTGGCCGTCAATACCTGCAACAGTTATGGAGGCAAGGGAAACAGGCCCTTGAAAAGAAGGTGATGTGGAGTGAGTAGCCTCCGTATTGATTAAGAAGGGGATGGACTTACCCTCCACTGTGAGAGTTACCTAAAGCTCGGCATCCGTGATGGTCTAGGGGGCTTCCAAGGCGATCGGGCAGTGTCAGTCTTCAGCCACTAAGCCGAGAAGGGGTCAGTCAGAGAACCTTGGGCCAGAGTTCCAGGGGCTCTGGGAGTGGCTGCCAGGTGAGCTGAACAGTCCGATTTCCAGTGGGGTCCGGCACAGATGGGACGTGGCTTAGGAGGAATCCTGGGCTGCAGGAATTCCCTGGCCTGGTGGCCAGATTTCTGGCACTTGTAGCAAGCTCCTGGAGGAGGAGGTTCTGGAGGAAGGCCTGGCCGCTGCAGTTCAGGCATTTGGAAGTTCTTGTGTGCTGGAGATGTGGCTGGGGTTCGTCTCACAGTGGAGGCAAGGAATTGCAACTTTTTTCTATTATTGTACACCTTGAAGGCGAGGTTAATTAAATCCTGTTGTGGGGTTTGAGGGCCAGAATTTAATTTTTGGAGTTTTATTTAATGTCGGGAGCAGATTGGGTAATAAAATGTATATTGAGTATAAGACAGCCTTTTGACTTTTTAGGGTCTAGGGCTGTAAAGCTTCTCAGGGTTGATGCCGAGCGACCATGAACTGGGCTGGATTTTTATATTTGATGAAAAACAGCCTAAACGCTATCTGATTTGGGATAAAGAAAAAGGAGCATTAACCTTGACTATGCCTTTAGCTCTAGCCACCTTTTTAAGAGTAAATTGCTGGTCAGGTTGGGGAGGGCTAGTCATGGAACGAAACTGTAAGCCGGACTGGGTGTAAGGAGGGGAGGTGATAAAAGGATTATAGGGTGGAGGAGCGGAGGCTGAGGAAGAATTGGGACCTAGCTTGGCCTGGCGAGGAGCAGTCTGGGGAGGAGGGGAGAGGTCAGATGGGTCTGTAGAAAAGGAAGGTTAGAAAGACTCAGCCACGCTTGGACGCTTGGGGTTGAGACTGAGGGGACAGGTGGGAGGGAAAGAAGGAAGATTTGGGACGAGTTGCACTGGGCACAGAGACTAGGAAGGGACCGATGTGTAAAAGAATGCCTAGACGTCAGGCACCTCAGACCGTTTGCCTATTTTATGACAAGAATTATTTAGATCTTGCAGGATGAAAAAATTGAAAGTGCTGTTTTCTGGCTATTTGGAACTACTGTTGAGTTTGTATTGTGGTCAAGCGGTATTGCAGAAGAAAATAAGACACTTAGATTTTAGGTCAAGTGAGAGTTGAAGAGGTTTTAAGTTCTTAAAAACACAGGCTAAGGGAGAAGAAGGAATGGAGGGTGGAAGGTTGCCCATAGTGAAGGAAGCAAGCCCAGAGAAAAGAGAGAGTAGAGACACGGAGGGAAGGGGTTCAGGGGTTCTTACCCTCCAGAAAAGTGGGAAAGAGGTTGGGGCATGGAAATAAGGGATTGGGGCACAGAGATATAAGAGGTCAGGGTGTGGAAATAAGGGATTGGGGTGCAGAGATAAGAGGTCGGGGCACAGAAATAAGGTATTGGGGCACAGAGATACGAGGTTGGGATATTTGCCCCTCCCCCAGAAAAGTGGGACTTGCTGCTAAGGGTGAAGGAGAAGAGGTTGGGGGTTTCTTGCCCCCCAGAAAGGCAGAGAAGGGGTGAATAATCAGAGAGGCGTCCCTGCAATGATTAAACACCAAGGGAAGGCTCCTTCCCAGTCCGTGACTGGCGCCAGAGTTTTGGGTCCACGGATGAAACATGTCTCCTTTGTCTTTACCAGAAAATGAAAGGAATTGAAATTAAGAGAAGGGAGAGATTGAAGAGTGGAAAGGAGAAAGTGGTTGAGGGATAGTGAGAAAGGTTGGAGAAGAGAGTAAGAAGAGGTTGCTTACCCAATTTAAAATTGGTGAGATGTCCCTTGGGCTGGTGGGTCTGAGGACCTGAGGTCGTAGGTGGATCTTTTTCACAGAGCAAAGAACAGGAGGACAGGGGATTGATCTCCCAAGGGAGGTCCCCCGATCCGAGTCACGGCACCAAATTTCATGTGCGTCCATGTGAAGAGACCACCAAACAGGCTTTGTGTGAGCAACATGGCTGTTTATTTCACCTGGGTGCAAGTGGGCTGAGTCCGAAAAGAGAGTCAGCGAAGGGAGATAGGGGTGGGGCCGTTTTATAGGATTTGGGTAGGTAAAGGAAAATTACAGTCAAAGGGGGGTTGTTCTCTGGAGGCCAGAGTGGGGGTCACAAGGTACTCAGTGGGGGAGCTTTTGAGCCAGGATGAGCCAGGAGAAGGAATTTCACAAGACAATGTCATCAGTTAAGGCAGGAACAGGCCATTTTCACTTCTTTCATGGTGGAATGTCAGCAGTTAAGGCAGGAACCGGCCATCTGGATGTGTACGTGCAGGTCACAGGGGATATGATGGCTTAGCTTGGGCTCAGAGGCCTGACAGTGACGACATAGCAGTCAGATTTCCCAAACCAGAAATCTGACCTAACAAACTACTTTTTTGGTGTGAATTAGCTTATCTTAAAAACTTAGAAAACATTTCAATTGTACCTAGGTTCTGAAAATCTTGTCTGTGTGGTTATGATAAGCATAGGTGAGGTGCTGGTTGAGTATGTGGCATTCATAAATTTCAGTCTTCAAGACATATATGTATGTCTCTATCTCTGTGTACAGTTATGATTTTATTTCTATAATTCAGTTTAATATCTGACTTTACTCCCATGCAACTTAGTAGTAAGTAAATCACAGTCACTTTGGGGGTCCCCCCACCTCTACTAATTATGTAAAAGCTTCTGGGGTCTTACCTAGTTCCTTAGCATCTGGAGTGTGGCCACCCAGGATGCTTTCTTTCTCTGTGCAAAGGGATAACTATTGAGACAACCCTTCCACATTCAGTGGGTATCCTCAGTGCTTCTACATCACACTTGGGCAACTGAAATCTTTACAAGGTTTTCTGTGGCCCTGCCTGAATACAGACACCAAAGTCTTTCTTTTTGCTCTGGTCTTGCCCCCGACCTGGGACTCTACCTTGAAAACAGGGGTCAGGGCCCCTCCTTCAGAGAGCTTGCACATTTCTACTTCCTTTTATCCTTATTCCATCAGGCAGGGAATTCTGAATTAGGGAAGTGGAAGACTCCATACTTCCTATTTCTCCCAACATTATATCTGAGGGAACAGAGTCTTCCTTCTCTGTTCCCTCAGTCACTCTGTCCAGAAGATTTTTTTGTTTTTTTTTCTGCCTCCTGACCAGTCACATTCTGTTTTACAGAGAAATCTATTTTATAGTTAAATTCTGATTTTATAATTTAATTGAGTGTACTAGTTCGTTTTCATGCTGCTGATAAAGACATACCCGAGACTGTGTAATTTGTAAAGAAAAAGAGGTTTAATGGACTTACAGTTGCATGTGGCTGGGGAGGCCTCACAATCATGGCAGAAGGCAAAAGGCACATCTTACATGGTAGCACACAAGACAGAAATGAGAGCCAAGGGAAAGGGGAAACCCCTTATGGAACCATTAGATCTCATGAGACGTATTCACTACCATGAGAACAGAAGGGGGAAACTGCCCCCATGATTCAATTATCTCCCACCGGGTCCCTCCCACAACATGTGGGAATTATGGGAACTACAATTCAAGATGAGATTTAGGTGGGGACATAGCCAAACCATATCACTGAGAAGCATTTAGATAAAAATTAAATGCAGAAAACATATAGGGTCGGTAGCAGGGAAGGACGGAAGAAATAAAATAGGTTAGTATGACAATCAGATTGATCTCAGTACCCATTGAACAAATCCTGAGCATTGTAGGAGTTTAGAAGAGGAAGCTCTAAGGGCTTCAATGTAAACCCTTACTTGGTTCCTCAAGAGAATTGTCCAAACTATGAAAGGAGAAGAAGGAAAAACAAATCAATATAATGAAGAGAGTCACAAAGGAACAACATAATTATGGCTGAAAAGTTCCAAAAGCCCAGTTCAAACTGGAAAACCTGAAATTATACTAGACTCTTTCAGTGTGTTCAGTGACATCTCTCGGAAACATCTTAGAGATATGAGAAGTATTAGAGACATAAGATGATAAGATTTATCCAGAAGTGGGAACTGGGATAGCCATATAGAAGAGGACTGGGGATGTGAAGAACCCTATGTGACCCAGGGAGTATGGCTTTGTAATGGATGATCAAATTTCATTGATGAGGGAAATGAAACTATTGAAAATATCTGGGAATAAGAAGGTACCAAGAGACTGGACATTGTGTAGCGGCATAGGAGTGATTGCATTGATGTGACAAGTGGAAGAGGTGGGAAGTAACCAGTTTGTGGTCAGAGAGTGCAGGATTTAGATTTAGAATCTTGGAAATCATTCTGAAGATTATGAAGTAGTAGGTGTAACTATGCTGAATGTTGAATAAATGAAGTAGAGGTGAAGGGCATTGCATTTGAGGAAGTTAAAGTAAAGCCAGATTCAGAGATGAGTCATTATTGAGGATGTTAGAGTTGCCAAAAAGGGATTATGATTGAAAAGAAAACTGAGCCAATGCTGAAGTCATAGAGGAGAGAAGCAGTGTGACCGGAGATGTGATGGGGGCATGCGTTAACTAGGTTGGGGCATATCTTCTTTTAAATAATGGATTGATATTAACTATGGCTATTTTTTCTCCATCTATGATATAAATATATATCACAAAAAATTTGAAAAATATATGTAACAAAAATTAAATCCTCTATATGCACTCACTCAGAAAAACATTGTTAACATTTGGTTTACCACTATCTCCTGTTTTGTTTTTATTTTTTTTATTGTTTCTTTCTTTTACAATGAAGCACTGGTACTTTAAAATTATGTTTTGGCATTCAGACAGGTACAGCTTTGCCTTTTTCTCGTATTTAATGGTAAATCTCCTTTGTCTTACAACTATAGACCCCTACATTGGCCCAACAATTATATTCATTATATTCTTGGAGACTTTAAAACATGTTTAGACATTACTATATTTCTGAGAAAAAAAAATGGCAGCCTGGGTAGAGGGCATGGGGATATCCTTCTGGTCTTGCTCATTCATTTACAACAAGTAAAATTATGCGAGTTAGTCATCACACCATTCCTGGAGATATCCTGCTGAACATGATAAAAAATATTTATCTGAACTCAAGAAGTTTACATTCTCCTGGGAAGGATATAATATCAAGATATAAATGAAAAGGCAATATTGAACTTGTTTTAGTAATTATGATATGGAACTAAACAAGGTGATATAACAAGAACCTGGGGATGATGGTGGCCATATTGTTCAATTATCAAGAAAGACCACTCATAGAAGGATGAAGCTGAAGCATAAGAAAGAGCAATCCAAGTACAAAGAGAGAGAAAATAGATTTCAGTCAGAAGGAGCAGCACCTGCAAAGGCCCAGAAGTGTGAACTTGTTGTGTTAGAAGAACAGAATAATGTCTAGTCTAGTGTATGAAAAAAATAGGGAGAATGTTACATCAAATAGGATCTCATTGACCATTATTAGATTTCGTTCTAAGAGCAGAAGAAGGGTACTACAGGGTGTTACTCTGAAGAATCAAAAGATCACTCATGGTAAATGGTCTTGTTTTCTTCATTGGGAAAATTGAAGTAGTTAGAGGATAATGCCCATAGACTCTGCTACCATCTACCCACCTACCAGTATTGGCACCCACATAGTCTGCATCCCCTCCCATTACTATAGATTGTCTCTGTTCCAAGTTCAACTCTTTCACTTTTGAACTAGATTCTCCTCTTTCACATATTCAAGGACAAAACTCCAGCAATTTTTTTCTCTTTCATCCACTTCATAGTTTTCCCTTCACTAGTGGGTCATCCCATCACATACAACAAATTTTTCTCTCATTTAAATTACTTTAAAAATCTTCTCTTGATTCTACTTACCTTTTATCTATTGCTACATTTATCTGTTCTCCTTTACCACAAAACTTTTTGAAAATGTTCTTTTATTCACTGTTTCTAATTCCTCTTCTATTTCCTTATAAGCCCACTTAAGTCAGGCTTTAGTGCTGACAAGTTCACTGAAACTTCAATTGTGCAATTACTGATGACTGCCATATTGTTATACCCGATGGCCGATTTTTAATTCTCATCTTATTTCACCTTTAACTCTTAAAAATTACTTCCTTTGACTTTCAAGACACCATAATCTCAATGTTTTCCTCATACCTTACTGGTCACTCTCTGTCTCCTTGGTTGATTTCTCCTTTACTCATTGGCCTCATATGTTGGTATCCCAGGGTTTTCTCTTTTATATCTATTCTCACTCCGTTTGCACTCCTAGCCATCTATATGATGATGACTTACCAAATTATATATCTCAAGCCATGAACTCTTCCTGTAATTCCAAACTTCTGTTCAAATATCCTGACAATCTCCTCTTGGTTATCTAACTAACATAGCAAATGTCTAATTGACATTCATTATATGAATTCTTATCTTCCCCTCCATGCCTTCCTCAACCAATAAAATGGTTACTTTATCCTTCCCTTTGCTCAGGTCAAAAGCCTTGGAGTCAACTCTGGGTCTTCTCTTTCATACTCTACCTACAATGCACTGGGAAATCCTGTTAGCTTTGCCTTTAAAACATATTCAGAATTTAACCATTTCTTACTTGATTATTACTGGCCCCCACTTACTTGATATTACAAATAGCCTCTTCAGTGAGATGTATTCTTATGCTCTTGCTCACTACCATCTATACGTCTGGCAGCCAGGATGATACTCATGAAGTCCATGTTTGATTGCATGACAGCTCTGTTCAAAATCCTTAGTGTCTTCCTAAGTAGAACCTCTTAGATTAAAAACCAAAATTCTTACAAAGACCTACAAGGCCTGCATGAACTGACCCCTCATTAAATCTCTAATATCATCTCTAACTTACTTCTTCCTAATTTGTTCTGCTCCAGCCACCTCAGCCTCCCTGCTAGTCCTCAAGAGTGTCAGGCATGTCCCTCCTTCCACAGCTTTGCTCTGCTTGTTCCCTCTCTTGGAATGGTCCAACCCAAAAATTCCCATAACTTTTACACTCATCCCCACTTCAGGTCTTTGCTCAAAATGCCACCTTCCCAATGAGGCCTCTGCTGACTCTTAACTATTAAAATTACCCAGAACTTCTAATTCTCCTTCCTCTGTTCTGTGTTTTCTGCAGCAGTTTTCATGTAATGCAGCATGAACATCTTAAACTCCGTTACACATTCACTTTAAAGACATGCTATCTTCTAAAATGCAACACCTTTCTTACCCATAAACTTCATAATACCTTGGATAATCTAGAGGCAAACCCTAACTAGGGATGGAGGATTTGACAAGCTCAACTAAACTATTTCTATTTCAATCCTGGCTCACTAGCCATTCTAACCCTCTCAAGCAACATGAGAGGTATACTTGTTCTAAGTATACTCACTTCCCATCCTGACCGCCCCCTGCCCCAGTCCCAGTTGTTATAGAAACGGACACTTCCCACTCCATGGAAGAATCCGGGCACGGATAACAAATCCTGAACTAATTGCTTCAGGAAGCTCCTTCCATCTGAGGCGGATATTCTGGGTGGGTTTAGGGCTTAGGTGATCATAGTCACCTTCAACGCATGCAGTTTATAGGGGAAAGGTGAGTGGGGCACTCTGTGATAAGCAGACACTGCGATATGTGATAATATGATGATGCATTCTTGAGATACCTAAGTCCTACCTTGAGATACCTAAGTTCCAGATATGCAAGTCTGTACCATGGAAACATACGCAAGCAAGCATCGGGCCTTTTTGAATGGAGTAACTTCTTCACCACCTACAAGTTGGGTAGCTAAATCCCCACCCCAGCAAAGTAGAATGTAAGAAAGAAGGAAAACCTATCCCACTCCAAAGAGTTCACTGGCCAAAGAATTTTGTAGCATCCAATCTCGGTTGCGGCTGACCAAGACAATCTGATATGGCTATTATATATTTCAAGGTCACGTGGATTTGGCCACATGGAATATAATTTCTGGCTGGAGCATGTTCTTTCAGAAAGTTGGATGTGTTCTCAGTTGAAACACTATAGGTTTTCTCCAATTGCACTGAATTACCCATCAGGAATTCCTCTAAGCTTGGTGACCTCCTTGGTTTTGCTCCTGCAACGGGACTTAGAGTCAAATCCCCAGCTTCTCTTTTTCAGGGAGGACAAGGAATTCAGACAGATGAGAACAATGAGAGAGAGAAAGGTCACCAGAGAGCGAAGATGAAGAGAACAGAGGAATGGCAGATACAATATGTTAGCATATAAACACATTATAATTTTGGCCAAGATTGGCCCTGTCGGTAGGAGTTTTTCTTTGCATAAAGTTTTCTCTCAGTAAATAATAGTCTACTCTCTCGGTAGCATCTGAGGCCACTGCTGTAATGATTTTTTAACTTCATAAGTTTCCTAGAACGTTGGTCCAAATGAAGGCACCCCAGTTATGTCTCAGTCGTGTACCTATAGTGCGACTGTTGCTGCCATCTCTCAGCAGTCCCTGGCAATGCCACACTGCTTCACCATCAGCTTCAAAGTGTCCTTGAAGTATATATTCTGACTACATTGAATGGGAGTGCCCCATCTCAACTTGCAACCATTGGATTCCTGTAGGATAGAATTTGTAAAGAAAACAAGGTTTAATCAAAAGCATTAAGAGTCTCTTCTTGTTGACAACTTTTTGTTCTAAGGTAACCATATTTACTGTAAATTATTTTTTTAATCTCTCTTCTAGTGACCTACATGTTTAACCAATTGATTGTACTTTGCATGAAAATCAAAGTGTTCTTTCCCCAGTTTACTTTTGTTATCAGTGCAATGCAAAATCTGTTTGCCTGAATTAGGTTGCATTTCATTAATCTCTTCAATATGAAATTGTGGTGGCTCATGGTTAATGAGATTTAAGAATCTGTGTTACTTAAATTGTGACTAACTTATTTTAAAAGTATGTCAGAAAATAATGATTGTTTCTAGTAGTGTTAAAGTATTAATGATTAGTAAGTCTTGGTACACCTGACTGAACTTTGGTTAGATTACCAAGTGTAATGAAGTGTTCAGGATATTTCAGAATTGAGTTAGTATATTACAGATTAGTTTAATCTAATACAAGAGAATGTGGTATCTATTAGAAAGACAGACAATATAAAATACCAGGGAAGTTCAGGGGAGGGAGAGATTCTTTCAGCCTAGGGCACTACCCTAGTCTCATGGTCATCTTTCAGACCTAGCTCGTTTCATTCATTAATTATTCATTCATTCAAACACACATATTCAAAACCTACAATGTGCCAGGTATTGTGCTACATACTAAGGATGCAAAATGAATATATTACCATTCCTGCTCTTAAGGTATTTAGTGTATCATATAGTCATGACACAGTGTTTTTAAGTGTTAAGCTAAAAGTATGTACAAAGAGAAAGAGAAGAGGCTAATAGCTCCATCTTGTGCTGGGGTGACAGCAAGGAGTGTTAGGGACATCACAAGGAAGAAACAGGCATCTGCACTGCACCTCGACAATTTGAAGGTCAAATAATAGTCAGGTGGTGGACAGGAGAAGAATGGAATCTGACAAACGGAATTACAAGCTCAAAGTCATTGTTACAAGCTATGTATTGGCATTTCAAAGGCAACTCCTGTTGTCTTCAAATATGCTTTAAAATAATTTAAACATCTCATTTATTTTTAAACAGAGCCATTGAACTAAGACTAAACTTAGCAAATGATTTACCTGGTCACAGACGTTCAAGAAAACAGTAAAACTGTTAAAATGAAAAAGTCAAAACAAGAGTTTGATTGACACTTGTCTATTTAAACATAACCAAAGTATATTTAAGGGATGAAGCATCCTATATGTTATTGCTATTGATTTTTATGGCTATTTATTCATATTTTAAGCCTTATCTTAACAATTCTCTGAGATAGGACTATAGTGGAGGAGTGAAATCTCCTCAATAAGAAGTATAATGCTGAGTAAATTCTTGTTTCTCCCTATCCCCTAGATTTAGCAGTATTTACACCCCACCAGTTTCTACTAAGTGCATGCACACATGTGGGCTGTACAAACAGTTCCTGGGTCCTACTGTACACAGCACAGCTGCCACCAGAACACGTGGATTCCCCAGTTCTGACTGTCCTGGATTCTAGAACTATACACATACAGTAAGTAGAAATGTTGTCTCTCTCACATGCTGGTTCATGCAAGAATCTCAGTGAGTTCAATCAGGGGAGGAGCTTGTGACATAAAATTAATTTTATTGTGATTAAATGCATAGAAGTGATTAGTTCAGTGGATCTGGGAACCTTTGATTATCACTTGCCAGCCTAATTTCCATTTTGTCTTTATGCAATCAGGCTGAGCTACATAGGTACACAGATTCCATGCAAACTTCAATAAACAAAAAACTGACCACTTTCATGACTGCCTTGAATATTTTATGTTTGGGGCATTATTTGTAATAATTTGGAATTAGAAAGTATGTATATCTTTTTGAGTATAGTCCAGGACCTTCTTATTCCCTTATTACCTGCAGTTGATGTCAGAAAGGAAGTTTCACATATAGGCATGTTCTGATGATTTCTGGTATTACTGATTCTTGTCCATTTCCTGATACCTGAGGTATAAGGTGTACTATTGTGCTGAGCTAAAATCTAATAGGTCTCTCTTATCAAGAGTTAATACTTGTTCATATTTATCTCTTCTGGACTCAGTTTTCTTATCTGTAAAATAAGAGTTTAGACTAAATGAATTCTGACATTTATTCAAGCCGAAAAATATTATGATTCAGATCTCATTGTTCCATGTCTAAATTCTCCTGTTGGCTTCATTGTGCCCCTAAGCCAAGCCACGTTACTTAGCCAAAAAGATTTCCCACGACTCAGGTGTTTCTCAGCTTAACAATTTCCTGTCTGTTCTATGACTTGCCCTTCTCATTTCCACTGCTAAGTTGTAACCCTCATCTGAAATGCCCTCTGTTCTTCCTTCTACCTATCCAAATCCAATCCATCTGTTAAGAATAAAATCTTATGTATCTAAGTAGTGTGTCACTTCATTCAAGAAGTCCTGCCTGATTTTTTCAGCCCTTCCAGTCATCAATTTCACTGTTTTCTCTAATTACATATTAACCCTGTGTTGGATTCCTGGATTTTCCAGGACAATTATATTATTCCCTCTTTTCCCCATATCTAAGTTCTCAGAAGTTCTGCTTCTGAAGTTTTTGTTCTACAGCTTAAATTCAAAATAAATACTCGCTTATACATTTTTGTATTGTTAGCTAATTAAAATTACAGGTAACCAGATGGCAGGAGCCATATCACATTTCCTTTTTGCCCCTCAGAATAGGCATTGGATAACTACTTCAGTGTTTTATTTTAAATGAATCAATTTTGAGATTTATGTTTTTTAAAAAAGTGTCACAAATCCAAGTTCAAATGTGTCCTTTGAAAATCCTGTATATTTTAGTTTTGACTTGAATGAATGATAATAATGTATTTTACCATTCCCAGGTGGAAACAACCAAGAAAAATAAGTGGGATTCTGGAACGCTATGTATTATATATGTCAAACCATACACATGATTTTACAATTTGGAGTGTCATCTATAACAGTACAGAACTTTTCCAGGATCATATGCTACAATACGTTTTACCTGGTAATAAATATCTCATCAAGCTGGGAGTAAGTTTATTTCCATCACTTTCTCTGTCCCCATTCCTTCCACTTCTTCTCCCCTTCCCGTGGTCCATCTTTTCTTTCTCTCTCACTTAAAAAAAAAAAAGTCAAAATCTTCATGTATTGCTGTTTATACTGAAAACTCTCTTCCCATCCTAAATGTGAATTCTGGTGATCTAATACCTACACATTTATTTTATATTATGCAAATGATAGAATAACACCCT
This sequence comes from Homo sapiens, assembly GCF_000001405.40. NCBI lineage: Eukaryota > Metazoa > Chordata > Mammalia > Primates > Hominidae > Homo > Homo sapiens. Next base: position 215,998,665 of record NC_000001.11, on the reverse strand, counting down.
GAGTCAGTAGATTTTCCCAAGTCAAAGTTGGGATTATCAAGATTTTCAAAATTACTTGTAGAACATCATAATTGTTAAGAACTTTTTCTAAAGTGCTAGGATTCATAAGGTTATTTCCCTGTGGCATTTGTATTCATTTAAAAAACAATGCACAGTATGAAAATTTAGATCTTATATTTTTAAATGGAAGTTTAAATGACCGTCAAATATTCTTGATTGTTATTACATTCTGGTTTATATTATGCTCCTATCTCAGAAGAACAGTCACTTAATAAAACCCCAGAATCAACATAGTTTAGAGGTTCCCTTAGACAAACAATAGCATTTTTTAAATGCAAAAATAGCACTTTTACACAAAGGTCTTTTAAAAGACCTTGATATTACTGTGGAATTTATACTCAGTAATTCCTTTTGTTTTTTGATGAAATATAATCTTTTTTAAGTTTAATAGCACGTCTGAAAATAACTGAATATAAACATGAGATTGTCCCTATTTGTTTTAAACACACTCTTCATTTTATAGCAATACCTATATAAGGATATTTGCTTTGATAAATGCCATAGAAAATATTCTGCTCTTGATTATGAATAAATTTACATTTATGTAGACACTGTGTATGCATTCATTTTACTTAACATGCTCTTGAATGCTCTAAATATTATACCATGAGAAAATAAACTACACTCAACTATTGCTAACTGTCTGACTTAACACCACAAAACAAGGGCAATCAGACAGTGGTTAAAAAAATACTGTTCAAAACTGACTCCATGTGCCTAGGTGTTCTGCACAGCAGTTTATGAAACAGCACTTTGGTTATGTACAGTTTTATTACCCATTAAGTAAGAAATATACTAACTTGATTTTCAAATGCTAACACAGAAATACAAACTATTTTCAAAATAATGGTAGTATCAAAATTAGGAAGAGTCTTAATTTTTTGGAAGCAACCAAAACTAAACCAAAAATTGTGCTCTTGGTTGTTTATCAGAAGTAGGCAAATGACATAGAACAGATTCTCTTCCTAGGGCCGTTTTTAGGATGTGCTGTGCAGTCAATCAATTCATATCAATCTCCTAGATTTTATAAATCTATAATACCTTGAAAAATACATACTAGTAGATTAGGAGTCCTCTGCCCTGAGTATTAATTCAGATTTTACTACAAACTGTGTGACCTAAGGCAAATTCACTTAACCTCACTGAGTTTTATTTTCTTCAAGTCTAAAATTAGAACATTGAACTAAATGATGTTTAATGTCTCTGAGCCATAAAATTCTATGATGCTAAAAAAAGTAATCCCAAACACTATTCTATGGAGTCAAATGCTATCTGTCAGCCGCTGAATAGTGTTGATGCAAGATGTTATAAAGATGTGAAAATCCTTGCCTTAACTCTTGGTAGGGAAATAAACTTGCTCACATTATTTTCAAGTTCACTATATTTATTAGGGCAGAAAATAATATATTTTCAGGGAGGATTCAACTAACAGGGTTTTTACTTAACTCTGTTAAGCAGTAAATTAAATGAACCAGAACATTTTAGGTTCATCCTGGTTAATTGAGGGATTATTGTATATTTCACAGTTTCAATATAATAACTGGCTTTCAAGGTCATTAGATTAGTAGATCGAGAGCAGGTTCTCAGCAAAGTGGAGTTGCCTTTATAGATCATTTTAGCATGTCGACTAAGAGCTGGAAAACAAAACATAAAGATAACAAAGCCTTTAAGCAGCATTTGGAATAGAGGAAGCTACACGGGGATTTGAACCACTATGATTTACCCTAGGCTTGGAGCAGGTATGTTACTTCATGTAACGTCATTTAGTTTTCACATTTGACTGGATTATAAACTGCTGAAACATAAGGACTGAATCTTTCAAAATTTGATCTGCAGTTTCAAGCACAGGGCCTATTGGAAATGGGAAGCTGAGCAAACAATTCCTGAATGAATGATCACCAAGGACATCATTTCATAAAGGTTCTAAGACTTTTGATATGAATTAAATAATTTGCTTGGAAACACTGGAATTAGGAATGGTGTGGTTCCAAAACATACTCTTTCCACTGCAAAAAAAAAAAAAAAAAAAAAAAAAAAAAAAAAAACATAATATGTTGCTACTCTCAACAAAGGCTATTTTGAAATGTGATAAAATGTGATAGCTCCTAATAAAGAAGACAATATGTTAAAAATAAAATAAAGAAGCTATTAATACAGACAGCTATCAAGACAGGTGTTGCTTGATAATTTTCATACCACTGCTAGCCATTTGTAACTTGATGAATTCTAAGTATTATATATTCCTGAAAGATTCCTGGAAGTGGCTTCACTTTTTAAGTAATTATGGATCAAGTGGCCTTTTTCTTTTTCTTCGTGCTTTAAAATATGTTGCACTCTTAACATCCCCAATCCCTGTGGACCTGAAAACTTACTGGAAAAGAGAATGCTAGTTTTGGTCCGGGCACACTGGCTTACATCTGTAGTCTCAGCACTTTGGGAGGCCCAGGTGGGCAGACCAGTTGAGGCCAGGAGTTCAAGACCAGCCTGGCCAACATGGCGAAAACCCATCTCTACTTAAAATACAAAGAATAGCCGGGTGTGGTGCTGCAAGCATATAATCCCAGCTACTCGGGAGGCTGAGGTACGATAATCCCTTGAACCCGAGAGGCAGAGGTTGCAGTGATCTGAGATCTGCCACTGCACTCCAGCCTGGGCAATACAGCAAGACTCCATCTCAACAACAACAAAAAAAGAGAATGCTAGTTTTGGATTGTCTTAATAGTCATGATTTCAAAAATAATTGATAAAATTTTATTATTTATGCATTTTATTGTACCAAAATTGAATCCCTTATTTGGCCAGATGTTACTCATCATTTCAAGGCAGAGTTATGCCTTTATGAATTTTTCAAAATGGCTGTAACTGAGAAAAGCTATAGGCGATGGTTAAAACAACTTATTTTAATGGCTCTCAGGCTTTCAAAGACCTTGCTATTTCATAAAGGCATTTTTAATCAACCCCACTATTTTGTTTAGTTTTTCCAGACCAGAATTTTAATCAGCATTCAGCTGTATTGAATGTAGTGGCCTCTGGTGCGGGCAGGTCAAACAAGATACTGATTGGTTCAATTTCATTTAGATGATGTCAGATTAGACCAATTGGAAGCAGCTTTAAGAACATTTATTTTCCCATCAAAGGAACTAAGATAATGTCCTGCTTACTTAGGACCCTCTAAATGCATCCAAAAAGAATGTGGGCAAAACAAAATAAAATAATTTGCAGGTAATTCTGTTATTTCAGCAGCCTCTTTATAAATAATTTCATTTACAAGAAAAATGCTTTCATAAATGCCTTACATTCTTAAGAGATTTCTTTGTCAAGTTACTGGTTTATGGATCTCAGATGACATAGTAGATGAAACAGTCCTTCTAAACCAAAGGATGCTTTTACTTATCCTAGAAGACATCATAAAATCCTCAAAGTAAATTTTAATTCACACTGTGTTTTAAAAATATATACTTATATGTTGTATAGTATAGAATTTATTTGGGGAGAGTTAGCAGGGGAAATATTTTAGTATACAAATAAGAAAAAAATAGTGACAAGTAGACTATCAGAATTAAATCCCAGTGTGTTACAAGTTTAACAATAAGAAGCTGCAACATTTTTCCCTTCTAAGGAAAAAAAATCTGAAAAATGCAAATGGATGGATTTTTTTTCTCCCTGAGAAGTGGGAAAAATTTGTCTTTGACCATTTTTCCTTTGATAACTCAGCTGTCTCATATGGCCTCTTTTCCTGCCATATTTTCTGGTGGACTTTTAGCACATTTGAAATGTCTGGGGTCTTCAACTTTTTTTCTATTTTAATCGTTGGGCAATTATTTTTTGAGCTCACAGTGACCTGTCCTAAAGCTTTGAGTCAGAGTTTGGCCACATTTGCAAAGATTCCATTCTCTAGAGGAGTATGGTTTTTTTCTTGCACAGAAAGGCACATGCCACAGCTGAGAATTAGAGGAAACCCACAGAGGTTAATTAGGTACCCAATCTTAATGCAATTTTCATGCTCAGGCCACAATTTAACCCATCTGAAAGTTGCTTAATTAAGCTGGTAAGAAATTATCCTGAAGACATGGGCTATTGCTATAGTCTTGTAATAGCAAGTGAGATTAATTTCCATGTTTGTTGACCATAAACTGTTGTTTATGCTTATAATGAAGAATTTGCAACTAGTTGCAACAACTTTGCAAATAGTAGTGTACTCCCATATTTAAAAAAAAAATCTAAAAATCAGTCAGCTTCCTTCTGTCTTTGGGGAAAAGAATATCGACTACTTTAAGAATCACAAAATCACTCACTCAGTATCAAACTGAAAAATCAGAGAGACGCCTAAAGAAAGAGATGCTTTAATTTTTTATCTTAGTAATATCTGTCTTACACAAAAATGAGCTAAATATCTCTGCTTTTTTACATTGTCTTATGATTTTGCTTTATTTTCTTTTTGATTTTGGTAAAATTTAGTGCCTTTTGAAAGATTTTTAAACTTTGTTGTATCAATTGAAATTGTAACTTGAAGAGATACTGAACCAAGCTTAAGTATAGTTTTCAAATATCATTGTTATATAAGGATATAATTACTAATATTTGCTAGCAAATATGGGCTGAAAACCCCTTAATGTATTTATCAATTTCCTGGAGAAGTGCTTGTCCAGTAAGTTTAAAACATTATTTGCAGTTTATTATGAAATTGCACACGGAAGTTTCTGTAACATTCATGTTACCATTTCTGACATTAGTGATACTTAATTAGGGAACAGAGAGTTCTGTGATCATGTTAAATTTGTCAAACATGTTTTAATGAAGCCTATCTACTCTGACACATAAGTAAATTATGTGATCCTTTAAGCCATTAAACATTCACTCAAAAATTGCTTTGTATTTGTTGTTTTATGAGAAACATTGTTTTATTTAATTTTATTTGGTGTTATGCTATAAACATATTGGTCACACTGTAGAAATAAAAGGCAATTGTATTTGCTGCACATCTTTTCTTCCCTAGAAGTCAGTTGTTTTGTCTTAAAGTAGTCTTCATCCTCTAGTACTTTACTTATGTTATGTGTACACATGCTGTGTGTGTGTGTGTGTGTGTGTGTGTGTGTTTAATTCACTCTGGGAACCTTTGTGCAAGGCTAACTTCAGCAGGGCTGTTTATCCAGTCAATATATGCCCTACATCTCTAGGCTCTGACTTAAGATGCTTCCTTAATTCATACATTCATACCATCTCAGTTATTCTCTAACTATTGGGGATGGCTATCTTATGTCTTAAAAAGCAAATTAAATAAATGTTAAATCTTAACACTGAAATGAATTTATTTTGGGGAAGTAAAGGTAGCACTATATAACAAAATCTGAAACTCTTATTATGAATTCTCTTTCCTCAATGTTCATGAAAACTTTTGGGACCAAGAGTGAAATGAGCATTTTTGCATCTCTGTTTAGGCTTGCACAGGTGGTGGGTGCACAGTGAGTGAGGCCAGTGAGGCCCTAACTGACGAGGACATACCCGAAGGCGTGCCAGCCCCCAAAGCCCACTCATATTCACCTGACTCCTTTAATGTCTCCTGGACTGAGCCTGAATATCCGAATGGTAAGTGAACTCTTTTAGCCTCAAGTTAAAAAGATGATTAGCAAAGGTAAATTAATATTCTAAATGGCAGCTTATATGTGGTGCTTAATTTTTAATGATCATTTTAGCACATAAAATACCTAAGATAGTATCATTGTCTCTAGTTGGGGAGATTGTGGTTTTTAGGCTAACACACAATTTTGGTGGCTCAAAAGTGCTCCCTTTTGATAGTTTTTGTGTACTGCATCTCATTGTTTAATATGCTCCAGGAGAGGTGAAGAGAGCAAACGGGGAGGATTCCCAAAGAATGCCGTAGTGAGAGTGACATTGTATTTTCAATGACTTTCTGTTTTTAAAAGCCATTAGTTCTTCCTTGGCGAAGGAGAGAGGTGGAAAGTTCATGTACATATTGTGTCAAAACGCTTTTGATTTAATAAGTTTATCTTAAAAGAGGCCACTTGGAACTCTGTATTTTTTAATATACTATTTATAAATATTTCAACATGCTGTTTTTAAACAATGCATAGATTAAACATACATATATTTATACATATTTAGCTGGAGGCAAGTTTTGTGCATTTCTAAGCAATATATATGTTTTTGTACAGTTTAGTGAATTAAGCTAGTCAGTTACGTTTCACTAAAATAAAATCTCATTATGAAGAATTTGTAATAGTTTTGGGTAGAAATTGCTTTATTCATTTAGTGGAAATATCTTTAAGGTTCATATAACATAGTACCATTGTTTCACACTGATGGAAGCTTACTTGACATTAAATTTCATTCCTCTTTGAGACAAATATCAAGAAGACTTTTAATATAGAAACTCTTTTAAGAAACTCATTACTGAAAATTGAAATGGGCTCTTTTAGCACAGCCAAAAAGAATGAAAGAAAAAAGTTACAGTTTTATTAGTTTGTCTTATGTTTACTATGATATTAATTATTCCAGCCATCTCATTTTAATTAAACTTTTGGCAAATGCACTAGATATATTTGAGGTAATGGAGAGAATTCTAATAATCAGAGTGAATTATTATCTCTGCTATTGAAGTTATTCCTGTACTATTACAAATTTTCCAAGAAAAAATAAATGGATGCCTATTTGATACCATATTAAGCAATCAACAATCTTGTTATGCTTCTTACTTCACAAAGTACCCTAGTTCATAGATGACAATGAAAATGTTAATGATTTATTTCAATTGGATTGCTGTGAAATGCTGTTACATGATTTGCATAGTAGAGCACTTCCCTTCATCCCAATTGGTTAATACAACTAGAACTACAATTGCTCTCAGAATCTTCAGCTGTTCAGGGAAACATTTTCCACATTACAAAGCTCTTTGAATGTTTTGTGTATTTGCGTATGTTTTGTATATTTGCAAGCAGTTTTAAAATGTACTCATCAAGCAAGAAGAATTTGGGAGATTTTGGAGATTTGTATTGACACTTCCATGGTATTCCAAAGTCTTGTGTTTAATTAGAGTGGGATTTTTAGAACTTTAATTGTGGTACAATGGTTAGACATTTAAAAGGCAGTTTTATTTTTTTTAAAACGACTTTTTTTGTTTTTACTACTTCTCCCCACTTTCCCCCAATTTTTTAGCTTTTTGTTTCTCTTGTTGATTGTCTAGAGAGGGATAATCTGATTGTTGGAAAACATCTTGTCTCTCCATCTGTCTTCGAAGTCCCCACACCTCTCCTCAAATACCCAAAGAATAAAGTCTAAATTTTTTAGTCTGGTATTCAGGTTACTACCAACTTGTGACTCAACCTGAATACACATTGCCTTATAACATATCTTCCTTTCTAGCCATGCTGGAATATTTATGGCTTAATGTTGGGTTGGAAAACATGGGTGGAGTCAAATAGGCCTAGAGTCAAAAATTGTTTCTGATGTATAGTGACTGTGTTACCTCAGGAAATTCATTAACTTCCATGGACCCCAATTTCCTTGATTAGAAAATTGAGATTAACAGGCTGGGCCTGGTGGCTCACGCCTGTAATCCCAGCACTTTGGGAGGCTGAGGGGGGTGGATCATGAGGTCAGGAGATCGAGACCATCCTGGCTAACACAGCGAAACTCCGTCTCTACTAAAAATACAAAAAATTAGCCGGGCATAGTGGCAGGTGCCTGTAGTCCCAGCTACTCAGGAGGGTGAGGCAGGAGAATGGCATAAACCTGGGAGGCGGAGCTTGCGGTGAGCCGAGATCACACCACTGCACTCCAGCCTGGGTGACAGAGTGAGACTCCATCTCAAAAAAAAAAAAAAAAAAAGGAAAATTAAGATTAACAATCCCTGTCATCACCCTGTCCTTACCTGTAGAAATACAACTCATTCTTCTAGGCTAACCGTAGGCCTCTTATTCCATGAAATCATTCTACTCTTCCTTAAGTTTAAAGTAAACTTTCCCTCTTCTCTTGACTATGTGAACTGTTTCTATGCCTTCATAATGGAACTTCATTCAGCCTGTGCTTAAAGTTATTTGCGTATATGTCAAACACTCCCACCAGATGCTAAGGACCATAAATCATTAATTTCTCTTTCACTCCGCAGAGCCTAACACAATGTTCTACTTTTTATTGGTACGCAATAATATTTAATTCATTTAATGTTTCTTGTGGAAATTACCTTTGATCAGTGGCATATATACTCCAAAGCCCTGGCTCTTTAATGATACCAAGAGAGATGATAGAAGTACTTACCATCCAGTGTCTGCAATATATTTGTTCAAAATGCATTTGTTCCTAAAATATATTTTTCTAGCTGTGTAGATTCTGAGGCTGGGTTTCTCTTTTGAGAATACCGATCTTGCATTTGACCAAAGAATTTTTAATTTTCTTTTCTGGATTATGCCCAATTCAAAGTTAATGGTACCAGGCTCACATGGCAATATATGCTACCTAATGGTTGCTTTCTAATTTCTGAATATGCTGCTGAAGAGAAATACAATTGGAGAATAAGATAGACTTCATTCTTGTGTAACTAAATAAACCCTTTCAAAAGATTTTAAATGGTATTTCTCAAACTTATCTGATTCTTAGAACAATCTTGGGAGCACCAATTGAATAAGTAGATTCTAGGCTCCACCACAGACCTCCTAAATAATCAGAATCTTCCACTGCCTCGGTTATCATCAAAATACCCCTGGGTATTTACTACATTTTCCAACTGAGACCTCTCACAAAATCCTCCCCCTGGATTTTTGTTACATCTTAAACCCAGCATATCCAAGTTGATTTCTCCTCATGGTCTCCATCTCTCTGCTTGCTCTTTCTCCTGTATTCCCTCTCTCATGGATTTGCACCACCCAGCCCTGCCAGCCAGTATACTGGGCAGCAGTCTTCACCTTAAACCTTGCTCACCCCTGACTGCTGTCACCACACAACCCCTCGACTGCACTTCTCTAGTGAAGGCCATTAATATTGCTCACCCAGATCGCTTCAGGAGCCTCCTCATGCCATGCAAAAAATTTGCATTTGTTCATTCAAAATATGTATTTTGATGACCTACTAGGTTCCTTCACTCTTATCTATACAGTGCATTTCCTTGCTTCTTGATCTCAAGGATATCAGAGTCCTCGGGGAAAATATCCATATAAATGAATTCTCACAAGGTGGGGAGGTGCACAAGGTGCCAGGTACACAGAGAAGCAGCTCCTAGTGGTTCCCTATGAGATGTGGACATGTCATCCCTCTGCATCCTCACGAAGATGTTGCAGGACCAGATATAGACATGTGTTTAGTCTGAAACAGGTATTACTTGCCTGGTTTTGCACACTCAGGTTTCAAAATCTTGACTCTGTTAATCAGTTATGTACCTAAAGGTATGTTTGTTCACTAGGGATTTATAAACATGAACAAAGACTTGTTGAGAAAAATTAAACTCAATTTCTATAATGAGAACTAGGTATATTTTTATGCTTGCCTATATATGACAAAATATGAAAGGTATAAAAAGTTCTAATATAAATGTCCAGTCCTTGCCAATCAAACAATTGGTAGCCTTTGGCCAGCGTGGCTTAGGAAACATTCTGTCCTTGTCATAACTGATTCTGACTTAAATGATCATCTCCTACTCGTGAAAGTCTGATGGTAATCCTTAACCAATGCTTTAAGAAAAGATCCTCTCCCCTTGTTATTTCAGTTCTCTTCCTTGTCTCCCAGCCTGGTCCTGCTCCACAGTGTCTGTGCTGGAAAGCTTGCTAGTTGGTTCAGTACATACTTCATGAGCCCTGAGAATTTTTCCTAATTTGGTGTCTTTTGTTCAGCAGTGTACCAGCAGCTCCAAGAATAGTGCCTGAGACATAATAATTGCTCAGTTAAAAAATTGTTGATTACCATTATTAAAGAAAAAAACAGAAAACAACATGTTCTGGAAAGGATGTGGAGAAACTGGAACCCTTAAATACTGTTGGTGGGAATATTAAATGGTGCATCTGCTATGAAAAGTAGTGTAGAGGTTCCTCAAATAATTAATAATAGAATTATTAGATGATGTAGCAATCCCACTTCTTGAAATATATCCAAAAGAATTGGAAACAAGATGCATTGCAGCATTATTCACGGTAGCTACGAGGTGCAAACAACCTAAGTGTCTATGGACAGATAAGTAGATAAGCAAAATGTGATATATTTACACAATGGCATATCACTCGGCCTTAAAAAGAAGGAAGTCCTGTCATACAATATGCTCTGGATGAAACTTGAGGAGATTATGGTAAATGAAATAAGCCACTCACAAAAAGACAAATACTGCATGATTGCACTTACGTGAGTTTATCTATAGTAGTTGAATGCACAGAAACAGAAATTAGAATTACGGTTACCAAGGTCTGGGTGGAAGGGGGAAATGGAGAGTTGCTGTTCAATGGGTTTAGAGCTTCAGTTTTCCAAGACGAAAAAGTTCTACAACTCTGTTGCACAACCACGTGTATGTAGATAACACAATGGTACACTTAAAATGGTTAAGATGCCCAATTTTACGTTGTGCTTTTTACTGTAATAAAAAAAAGATACAGAGAGGATGTAATAAAATGCTATAAACTAAACTAGAAAAAAAGATTAAGAACAGTGTTAGTTTAAAACAAAAAAAAATTGCTGATTAATAATCACATAGAGATCTATGCATGAAGTATGCATTTTTTAAACAAGGGTGAGCTCATACTATTTGAGTTGTTGTGGAATTTACTTTTCTCACTTCACAATATGGTGCAAACATCTTTCCTTGCAGTTCAGTGGAACGTGACCTCATTCTTTCAAAAGGCAGTATGCAATCCCACTGAATGAAACTACAGCTTACAAGACCCATCTTTTTATTGATGGACATTTCTGTGGTTTTTGCTATTACAAACAAGGTTACTTGCTATTAATTGCCTCAGTCTGCCAAGTACAGTCTTTAAGTACTGAGTCATTATCACTTGATTCACACCTAAGGCTTTGCTTGCCTTCAAATATGTCCTGCTTAATTCTAGTCCCTTGCTTCACATACCTGCAAAAATGATGGTGTGACACTCCAGCTCTGTTTCTCTAATCAGAGTCCTTTGCACCCACGTTCCCTCTGGCAAAGGTGTTCTTTACAGGCTGTGATTTCAGACATGATTTTAAAACCGCTGAAAAGAGCGACTTTTAGGTCCAAGGTCTATAGGAACCCTTATTATGTAGGACCTTGACGCTTCCTTTGTAAGACCATTAGCTATCACAGAGAAGTAGCACAAAGGATTACTGTCTAATACATTTGTGACCTGTATTGTGTAGATTGCAATTGCGTAATTAAAGTTCTGCTTTTGAGAGCTTCCAAATTCTCATGAGCCATATTCCTTTTTAGAAGCTTAGGCCTTAGAATCCTGAAATATGTTTTTTCTTCACACTTCAAGTCTACCTTGCTAAAACAGCATAGCTATCTGACTATGCCAAACTTATTCGTCATTATCTAGCATAACATTTACAGTGACATTTTAAACTAATTAGAATATGTGTTTTTTTTAAATACTAACTAAAAATATAGAATATAAAATGTTTATCTTTTATTAATAGCTATAATTCCTTGTAACTAACCTCTATCTTTACCTAAGTAAATCGACCTAAAATAGTTTCTTTATTAGACTGAGCCCCATGAGGGCAGGAATCATATGTATCTTTTTCACTGCCCTAGTCCTGGCCTTTGGCAGAGTGCCACGGAGTAGAGGCATCTTATAAAGCTGTCGAATGAATTAATATTTACCGATGATAGGGACAATACCAAAATTGTAATAGTGTTGATGTGAGAAGCATATTCATATGCAATCATACAACATACACAAATGCACACTGTGAGCACATTTGATGATTATGTAATATAGGTGGGATGATTTCAAAGACAGCAGAGAGGAATCTTCCTCTTGGCCTGCTGAAGGCTTAAAGCACACACTTAGAGACCTAGTCCTTTTGCTTAAGATTTCATCAGCCTGGTAATCTGTAGATTTCCTAATGAAAGACAGCACATAGACTTGTCTTGTTTGTGCTCTGCATGTCTCAGTATGAAAGGATATGTTTTTACTGTGGTCAGGATTTGTTAATAACCACATGGGCATAATTAAGAGAGAAGCATGTGGCTGGGCGTGGTGGCTCACCCCTGTAATCCCAGCAATTTGGGAGGTCGAGGTGGGCAAATCACCTGAGCCTGGGAGTTCAAGACCAGCCTAGGAAACATGATGAAACCCTGTCTCTACCAAAAAAAAAAAAAAAAGAAAAAGAAAAAAGAAAAAAAAAATTAGCCAGGCGTGGTAGTGTGTGCCTGTAGTCCCAGCTACTTGGGAGGCTGGGGCATGAGAATCGCTTGAACGTGGGAGGCAGGGTTTGCAGTGAACCACAATTGTGACACTGCACTTCAGCCTGGGTGACAGAGTGAGACCACGTCTAAAACAAAAAAGAGAGAGAGGGAGAAGCATGAGAGCTGGGCACCCATTAGACATGGTCTAGCATCTTCTTGAGAAGTGAAGGGGACCTGAGAAGCTTATGGAAATATTTTCCTAATTTAGTCTTTCATATTGGCCCATCTTTGTGAGAATTTATATGTGAACATATGTCAAAATGGTGGCAATCATGTCAAAAATAATAGAAACATCTTAGCAGGTTGATTATTTTTGTAGACTTACACGTAGTACCTTGAAGACAATAGAACGTTATTTAAAAAAAACATTTGGCTCAGTGTTTTGAGCTTATATATTCTGTCAATAATGGGTGGTAGAGAAATCAATTAACTATAGGTCTCTTATACACACTCTATACATGTTGTCCTTCACATTAAGAGATGATGCTATAGAAATAAGTTTTCATAATGTATGCACATGAAGATATATGTATAAATACAAATTAAATATTCTATGCATGCATAGAAATAAATACTTGATTTCCTGTTAACAATAATAACATTAGTAATAATAATAATAGCTATAATTTATAAGAATTTGCCAGGCACTTTAATTCCCATAACTAGCCCATGAAATAGGTATTGTTATCTCACAAATGTGGAAACTTAGATTTATAAGTATTAAACAGTTTAATTATTCAAAATCAAGACAGCTGGTTAAGCAGAAAGATTGTATAAATCAAAGCAAGGTGTGAATGACAAAAATTCACGGTTTTATTCACTATATTATCTGCCTCTACTTTTTGTAGAAAGGCTTATAATGTAGAATTTAATCTAGCTGTATGAAAACAAAATTTTGTTACTTTTACTTGTTCAATGTCCTGTTCTTAGTGCCAATATTTAAAATTCATAAGATCTGTGTTCTGGTTTTTCTCTGGTTTTGGAGAGATAACTGTTTGATATTTCATTTGATTTTCTTACTTTTTATTTTAAAATAACTTTATTTTTAAATGGTCAAAATGTGATTCTATTTTCTTTCCTGGAAATGCTCAGTTTTAATAAGTGAAATGGATTATAGAACTCAGCGAATCACTTAGGAAAACTGCTTGACAGTTTTGAGCAAACCTTGCGTAACTTTTATGAAACACCTCCAGTCAGTTTGTCAGGTAGAATTTCCCAAGCACAGTCTTTTTTAGATTCCGTTGATTCCATTTTTAGGAGAGCATAACAGTAATAAGGCATTATCCCGCAATGTGAAAGCTCTTCTCTCTTTTCCTTTTTAATTGAAGGATCAAGTATTCACACAGGGAGATATCTGCCACATTCAATCAGCATCTGGACCTTGAGGGGAGCCCTCAGTTCATATTCCTATTGCCATGCTGCACTGGAAAAGACAAACAAATATGTTTGGAGCATCTATATTCACTACACATGTTATTTTTATGACACACTAAAGCATTGTTGTTTAATTCTTACAGTAAACACAATTCTTCAGCGTAAATAGAGATACCTTGTATTAAATTTACATTGTATTGTACTTGCATTGAATTTCCTTGGTTATATATGACAACCTATTGAGCACCTTAGGAAATACAATTTGACATAACATGATGAAGAGGCACAAAGATATATATCCCAGTGGATATGCTTTATGGACAATTATCATCCAGCTTCCCTGTGAAAATTAAACACCTTAAAAACCCTATCATTATGGAAACAGAAAGGTGATAAACTTGAAACTCCTTCTGTTGTACAGCCAATGGGAATTAAGTATCCATTTTGTGGATTATCCATTGAAGAACTGAATGTCTAGAACTAGATTAAATTAAACTGAATTAAGCCAGAACCTGACCCCCTTTGCCACATGGCATGTTACAGTTTTATTTTGCTTCAGCTGTCTTACTGATTATTAGTGCCAGAGAATAAGCAAGAAAAAGCCTGAAAAAATACAATATGGTACAATATAATAGAGTAAGTGATTTTTTATGGTGAATATTTCTCTTTTGCTTTTCTAGATTCACTCTTTTTCAACTCTGCCCCGTGCCCTGTAAGGCTGAACCTTCCTCACAGTGGCAATGGGCTTCCTCTCTCTCTGGCTTCCTGTTGGTTTGTCCATGGGCAGCAACGGCAAAAGATGAGAGGGTGAGAGGAGCATGGAGTCTCAGAACTCATTCTCCCTGGCTCTCTTTCTGCATGGCTCTGGATTCCAGGGTTGCATTCCTCCAGTAAAGGCTACATTTCCTATTTGAAGCCTCTTTCTTTCTCCAGGTTCCTGAATTTGTTCTCACCCTTTCCTCTAAAAACATAAAGAAGTTTACTGGCTCCTAGCCAACTAGTTAAAATGGTCTAGGAATCTTAGCTAGTACTAGCTGGGAATGCTTTATTGTCACTGGTTGCTTTCCCTTAACCCTGTCCGCATCTTTGTAAATAGGAGTTCCACTAAAATCTTTTCCATGCCATTTGAGTTGTCATTGGTTTCCTGTTGAAACCCTGACTCATTCCTAAATTTTATTTAATCCACATTTAACACGGAGAGGTGTTTTTTGTGTGTGTGTGTTTGTTTTTTTGATGGGGGGGTAGTGCGTGAAGATAAATTTAAAATGACTTTCTTCATGCTAAGAGTGGCAAGAATAAATAAGTAAATGAACAAAATTTCCATTTTCTTAAACTTTGTTTCAATACAATAGACATCTTAAAGGCCAATAAGAAGAGCCAAGCTCAAAGATTCTAGTGGCGGCTTGCTTATCTAATAAACCCATCATATTTAATTTTTCAAATAATAATCAACTTATTGATATATCTTTGAAAGCTTTTCACTTATTGTTATAAAATATTTCTTTGTTATCATTAGTGAAATAATGGCTTATGACATCTTCCTCTTGATGAAGTAGCTCTGAGTGCCAAGTTTAGCTTATAGGTCAGTTTCGGCCAGGCGTGGTGGCTCAAGCCTGTAATTCCAGCACTTTGGGAGGCTGAGGCGTGTGTATCACCTGGGGTCAGGAGTTCATCAGGAGTTCAAGACCAGCCTGGCCAACATGGCGAAACCCCGTCTCTACTAAAAATACAAAAATTATCTGGGCATGGTGGCAGGTGCCTGTAATCCCAGCTACTCTGGAGGCTAAGGCAGGAGAATCACTTGAACCTGGGAGGCGGAGGTTCCAGTGAGCCGAGAGTGTGCCATTGCACTCCAGCCTGGGCAACAAGAACAAAACTCCATCTCAATAAATAAATAAATAAAATTAAATAAAAATCAAGGTCAGTTTCTCAGATAAGCCCTATTACGTATCCTACCCAGACTAGGTTAGCATCCACCTCTCCCTTCTCTATCCCATGTTTTCCTTCTATCCATCTGATTTTTAAAAAGTAAACTTTACATCCTCATAATACCTCTAATGTCTGTTCTTTCGCTTAGATTGAAAGTTTTGTGAAGGAAGTAACCATGACTGTTCTGACAACTTCTGTATTACCAGCATGCAACACAATGTCTGGCTCATAGTAGCTACCCCATAGTTACTGATGAGCCAGATGACTACCAGAAACCAAATCTAAATCCAGCAGACTTACAAAAATTATTTTACAGTATTTAGTAAATACTTGTTTCTTTGCACTTTCTGGACTTCATTGGAAAGGAATGAATTTTAAATGAAAAGATAGCATACAAATATAAGAAACTATTGGCTAATGACAGATAGTGTGCCACGGAGGAATACAGACCTGCCTAAGCTTGTTTTTGAGAGATGTTAGTTTAGTTTTTACAAGAGAAGTGCAGCACATGACATAGGTCAGAATTGGAGGAGATAGTCTAAGGTGAGCTTCCTATAGCAAGTAAAACTTTAACTCATACTAGAAGCAAGGGGACAGTTCTGTGTGTGTCCCTTCTATGTGCACAGTGCTTATTACTAAAGCACATTCATATATGCTCACTTGTTTGATTCTCAGATCAACTGTCAGGCCACCAGGGCAAGGAATATTACCCCATTTTGTTGGTCAAGAAATGAAAGCTTAGTGAGTTTTGCTATCTAACCAAGTTTTAAAGGTACGTGGTCATGACAGAAGGGCTGAAGTGGTTGGAGGAAGATCCCTGAAAAAGAAGACAATTGGCTTGGAAGCTTTTGACTTTGTTTTGAAATAGTTCCCAGAACAGGAGACGCACTCAAGAACTAATTTGTTGATTGAATGATTACTTACGTAAATGTATATGCACAAAATTGATACTTCAAAATAATTGGCCATACAATTTATCCTGTTCTGCAACTTGCTTTTTTTCTCTAATTCACATGGAGTAAACATCTTTTTATGTCAATAGCATAGTGCTCCCTCATTTTTCCTCAAAGCTTAGTAAAATGCCATTGAATGAAACCACAACATTTATAGAGGCTATCTGGTAAATGATTAATATCCATTCCTTGCTACAGCTACATCTCATTAATGCCAGCTAACCATTAATTATAAAAGATGTTGACAATAAGGTTTGGTGCTTGGACTAGTAGATAGTCCTCAAATGGATTCTCATTTATTTGGATTTGGTATACTCCTTGAGGTAGTGTTGCAAGGAGTGTTTAGCCAATAGTTATATCCTGAGGAGTCCTCAAGGCCTGAGGAGAGGACCCTGAACTAGCTGTTAAGCCTCCTCCTCTAAAACAAAGTCAAACAACAGGGTTGAAAGTCAAAGAATGAAAGAGAAAAGAAAGCTGATGTGCCTATTTTAATATCAGACAAGACTTTACAGTGAGTAGTATTATTAGTTATAAAAATGTAGTTTCATAATAATAAACGAGTTACTAAAATTAACATTTATTTTTTATCAAAATATACTATAAGGGCCCACAAAGATAAATAATAAGAGAGATGATATTTAGAACACATGTAACCATCAGAAAACTGTATCCAGAATATATAAAACATGCCTACACATCTATAACAAACTGGAGTTAACATCTGAAAAGTCATTTCACAAAAGAAGAAAAATTAAATGTCTGATAAACATAAGAAAATGGGCCAACTTCTGTAATAATCCAAAAGTAAAAGATAATACCCAAACAAGATACCATTTTTTACATCTAATACTGGCAAAAATTTCAAAGTCTGACAATAAGGTCTTTTTGAGGATATAGAACAATGAGAACTCACATGGACTCACATGTACACTAGAATTGACATACTTTCAAAAAGAGATGAGCATTGTCTAGTAAAATTGAACATATATCAACAATTCCTCTCCAGGACATTTGTCCTAGAAAATTTGTGTATGCGCTTCAAGACACATATACAAAAATGTGTATAATTACATTGATGTCATAGCCAAAGTATAAAAACATTCTAAATATCTATCAAGAGTAGAATAAATAAATAACATTTGCCCTGTAGGAATACTACACAGTAATGAAAATGAGTGAAGTATGGCTACTCTCAAAAACATGTATAGAACACATGAATATCATGTTACACAAAGCAAGATGAAAAAATTATATATACAACATAACTCTATTAATATAAGTTAGAAAACCATGAGAAACTTAATTATGTTGTTAAGGGATGCATTTCTCAGTAGAAAAGCAAGGACATGGTTCTTCAAAAGTCCTCATATTTATCTGTGAGGAAGGGAAAGGGATCCAATTATGGACAGGAGATTTCTGGGGTGCTGGCAACATTCTATTTTTTCAACGTGAGTGATGGTTACATGGCCTTTTGCTTTTAAATTTGTCATTAAAATAGAATTGATATTGTATATATTTTTATATGTTATGTTTTATTACGTGATTTTTAAAATGTAGAAAGAATAGGTATATGGAAGCCGTAAAGTTGTATGCACTGTAGAGTCTGAATGCTTCAGTGCCGACACATAGCTCTACCACTTCCTAGCTGTATAACACTGGCCAAGTTACCAAACCTCTCTAAAAGCTTTTCTTGTCATCTATTTCTCTCATCTAAAATAGAACCCATTCCACTATCAAGAGTTTTTCCTGAAGATTAAATAGTACTTGATTAAAACGCTCAATCCAGTGATTATTGCTTTAGCATAAACTTCTTTGGACTTTAAAGTGTTTGTGTCTTCTTACCTGGCATGCTCCCCTGCACAACAGTATTTTTTAATTTAAATATTTTATTTTGAGATAATTACAGATTCACAAGAAATTACAAGAGACAGAGATTCCATGTATCTTTAATTCAGTTTCTCCCAATGTCAACATCTTCTAAAACTATAATACAATATCACAACTAAGATTTTAACTCTGATATAATCAAGACACAGAACAATTCCATCACAAGACATGGTTTCTTCTTATCCTCACACTGAAAAACAATTCCCTTTTTAACCAGGAACAGAAGGGTAAGTTAGTACTTTGGAAGTAGGCTTTTATGAGATTAACGTCATTGTTCATGTTTGATAAAGGAACACTCTTTTCTGAATAGTGATTTTATCATACCATATTGCAATCTAACACATTCCATCCCTAAGTGTCACAAGTTTTTTTTTTAATTAAAAAGAAAGTATATATAACTGCTAAAGATATTTCTTCTGCCACAGACTACTGCTGAAATGCAGCATTCCCACATCCCTGCCTCATTCACGACTACTTCCTATACATTCAGGAAAAGACGTCTTTAATAATTATTTTTCCTGTTTGATATTTTTAACCATCTCACTGTTACTACCTGCATGGGCTTCCCTACTCCAGTCTATTTTACATGTGATTCTAGATTATTTTTTCTGTATATGACTTTATCTTGTCGCTAGTCAGTTCATAAAAACACTAATGGTCTCCTGTGCATCATAAAATCCCAACTCCTTGTAGTGTCATTCAAGGCCCCAAATTCCCTTTGAAGTTTTGTTTTCTATTAGACTTTATCGAGTGATATGGTTTGGCTCTGTGTCCCCACCCAAATCTCACCTTGAATTGTGAAAATCCCCATGTGTCATGGGAGAGACCCCGTGGGAAGTAATTGAACTATGGGGGGCATGTTTTTCCCATGCTGTTCTCCTGATAGTGAATAAGTCTCATGAGATCTAATGGTTTTATAAAGGGGAGTTCCCTGCAAAAGCTGTCTTACCTGCTGCCATGTAAAACATCCCTTTGCTCCTCCTCCACCTTCTGCCATGATTAGGAGGCCTCCCTAGCCATGTGGAACTGGGGAGTCCATTAAATCTCTTTCCTTTATAAATTACCCAGTCTCAGGTATGTCTTTATTATTAGCATGAGAAGGGACTAATACATCCAGCTACAGGAATAACAACAGATTATTGATCTATTTGGGATACCTTTACTGAACCTTGCACTTTCTTACTTCTAGGCAGTGGCAAATGTCATTTTCCTCACCAGAAGCATCTTCCTGAGACATAGGTATTTCACATATTACCTTTCATGGGAGACTTAGCTTCATCATATGACTTATTGAAGTCCCCACTACCGTATGTGGAAGACTTGACTGCTCTAAAAAGCCTGTAACACTTCTTTAGCCAGAGTGATTATTCCCTGCTAGAGGGTCCTGTACCTACTGTCTACTATTTAATTATGTCATTTGTTTGGCATAAAGTTGTTGTGGTGCTTATGATCCTTGTTTAACCCTTGAATTGTTATTTAATTATACCTATGTTTAACTCTTTTCTTACTTCCATAAAGGTAGATATTATTCTTATTCTGTTCTTACTTCCCAAAATACCAAGTATAGTACTTTGCACTTGATTGACTTTCAATATATTTATATTAATCTTTTTATTAGGCTTATCTTGATTGCTTTGAGAACCAGAGCATGTTCACCAGTTCTTAATTCAAGTGAAATTCCTAAAAATTTTAGAAGAGGAAATTAGACCAGAAACATATAACAAGAGTAGTGACCAGAGTGGGGTAAGATGGCCAGTTTCCACAACTAAATTTATATTTGTATGGCCCTGTAAAATGGGTTAGCCCCTCTAAGAATCCATTCCCTCCTCTTTACAGCAATGACAACAACAATTCTTATTTTTTGGAGTTGTCAGTGTTAAAGAAAATAATGCATAAAAGCATGTACCCTATTGTCTGTCTCAAAGTAAGTGATCAGAACATTTTAATTTTCTTTTTTAAGAAAGGCTCTCACTTTGTCACCCAGGCTGGAGTGCAGTGGTGCAATCATGGCCCACTGCAGCCTCGACCTCCTGGGCCTGAGTGATTCTGCCACGTCAGCCTCTCAAATAGCCAGGACCACAGGCACATGTCATCATGCCCAACTAACTTTTTGCATTTTTTGTAGAGACAGGGCTTTGCCACATTGCTCAGGCTGGTCTCGAACTCCTAGACTCAAGCGATTCACTTGCCTTGGCTTCTCAAAATGCTGGGATTATAGGCATGAGCCACCATGCTTGGCCTGAGCATATTTTAAATTACTTTAAATTATTTTGGGCTGGTGGCAGTGGCTCATGCCTGTAATCTCAACACTTTGGGAGACTGAGGAGGGTGGATCACAAGGTCAGGAGTTCGAGACTAGCCTGGCCAATACAGTGAAATCCCGTCTCTACTGAAAACACAAAAATTAGTTGGGCGTGATGGCGGGCACCTATAATCCCAGCTACTTGGGAGGCTGAGGCAAGGGAATCGCTTAATTCGCCTCCTGGGAGGCGGAGGTTGCAGTGAGCCGAGATCATGCCACTGTACTCCAGCCTAGGCTACAGAGATAGACTCCATCTCCAAAAAAATTAATTAATTAATTTAAAAAATTATTTTAAGTATTCTATAATTTTGAAAATACTTACATGGCATTTCAAGGACTCAAAATCTTACTTTCCCCAGAGCTACTCATAAATCAAAACTTTGTTTAAAATAAATGAAAACAGAGGTACAACATACCAAAATCTCTGGGATGTAGCAAAGACAGTGTTAAGAGGAATGTTTATTGTGCTAAATAGCTACCTCAAAAAGTTAGAAAGATCTCAGTTTAACAAACTAACATCTCACCTAGAAGAACAAACTAAACTCGAAGCTAGCAAAGATTTTTTTTATTACTGATTCAATTTTCGAACTTGACATTGGTCTGTTAAGGGTTTTAATTTCTTCCTGATTCATTCTTTGGAAGTTGTTTGTTTCTAAGAATTTTCTCTGTATTTTCTAGTTTGTGTACATAGAGGTGTTTATAATAGTCTCTGAGGATGTGTTTTGCTTGTTTGTTGTTGTTGTTTTTGGTAGGAACTGCCTCCCCTACCCCGCCGAAAAAAAAGAAAAAAAAAAAAACTGGACCAGGTGGATTCACACCCAAATTCCACCAGATGTACAAGGAAGAGTTGGTAATGATTCTACTAAAACTGTTACAAAATATCAAGAAGGAAGGACTCCTTCTTAACACTTTCTATGAGGCCAGCATCTCTCTGATAGCAAAACTTGTCAAAGACACAACTAAAAAAGGAAACTACAGGCCAATATTCCTGATAAACATAGACACAAAAGTCCTCAACAAAATACTAGCAAACCAAATTCAACAGCACAGCAAAAAGTTAATTCAACACAATCAAGTAGGCTTCATTCCTAGGATGCCAAGTTTGGCTAAACATATACAAATCAATAAATGTATTCATAAATCTCCTTGAGTTGGAAATATATTTAAAAACATGATTCATCATATAAATAGAACTAAAAGCAAAAATCACACGATCATCTCAATAGATACAGAAAAAGCTTTCAATAAAATCCAATATACCTTCATGATAAAAGCCCTCAACAAAGTAGGCATCAAAAGAACATACTTCAAAATAATAAGAGCTATCTATGACAAACCCACAGCCAACATCACACAGAGCAGGTAGAAGCTGGAAGCATTCTATCTGAGAACAGGAACAAGATAAGAATGCCCACTCTCACCACTCTTACTCAACATAGTTCTGGAAGTCCTTGCCAGAGCAATCAGGCACAAGAAAGAAATAAAAGAAATCCTACTAGGAAAAGAAGAAGTAAAACTATCTTTCTTTGCTGATATGATTTTATGCCTACAAAACCCAAAAGATTCCACCAGAAAGTTCCTGGAACTGACAAACAACATCAGTAAAGTTTTAGGATACTAAATCAATGTGTAAAAATGAGTAGCATTTCTATACACCAATAATGTTCAAACTGAGAGCCAAATCAAGAATGCAATCTCATTTACAATAGCCACAAAACAGTAAATTCCTAGGCATACATCCATCCAAGAAGGTGAAAGATGTCTACAAGGAGAACTAGAAAACACTGGTAAAAGAAATCGTGTATGGCACAAATGGAAAAATGTTCCATGCTCATGAAGTGGAAGAATCAATAATCACTAAAATGGCCATAGTGCCCAAAGCAATTTACAGATTCAATGCTATTTCTATCAAACTACCAATATCATTTTTCACAGAATTAGGAAAAAGCTATTCTAAAATTCATATGGAACCCAAAAAGAGCCCAAAAAGAGCCAAAGCAATTCTACACAAAAAGAACAAAGCTGGAGGCATCACATTACTCAACTTCAAACTATACTATAAGGCTACAGTAACCAAAACAACATGATACTGGTACAAAAACAGACACATAGACCAATGGAACAGAAAAGAGAATCTAGAAATACAGCTGTGCACCTACAGCTATCTGATCTTTTACAAAGTCAACAAAAATAATCAATGGAGAAAGGACTGCCTATTTTAAAAATGGTGCTGGGGTAGCTTGCTAGCCTTATGCAGCAAACCAGACCCCTACTTTTCATCATATACAAAAACTAGCTCAAGATGGATTAAAGATTTAAATATAAGATCTCATATTATAAGAATCCTAGAGGAAAACTTAGGAAACACCATTCTGGATGTTGTCCTTGGGAAAGAACTTATGACCAAGTCCTCAAAAGCAATTGCAACAAAAATTGACAAGATAAACCTAATTAAACTAAAGAGCTTCAGCACAGCAAAATAAACTATCAACAGAGTAAACAGACAAATTACAGAGTGGGAGAAAATATTCACAAACCATCCATTTGACAAAGGTCAAATATCCAGAATCTATAAGAAACTTAAATCAACAAGTAAAAAACAAATAACCTCATTAAAAAGTGGGTAAAAGACATGAACAGACACTTCTCAAAAGAAGGCAGACAAACAGCTAACAAACATGCTCAACATCACTAATCATCAGAGAATTGCATATCAAAACCACAACGAGTACCATCTCACACCAGTCAGAATGACTGCTATTAAAAAGTCAAAAAACAACAGATGCTGGCGAGGCTGCAAAGAAAAGGGTTGAATGCTTATATACTGTTGGTGGGAATGTAAATTAGTTCGGCCACTGTGGAAAGCAGTTGAAGGTTTTTCAAAGAACTTAAAACAGAACCACCATTTGACCCAGCAACCCATTACTGGGTATGTACCCAAAGGAAAACAAATCATTCTACCAAAAGAAACATGCACTCGTGTGTTCATCACAGTACTAGTCACAAGAGCAAAGACATGGAATCAGCCTAGGTGCCCATCAACAGTGGGTTGAATGAAAAAATATGATACATATACACTACGAAATACTATACAACCACAGAAAAAACCCTGAAATCATGTCTTTTGCAGCAACATCTATGAAGCTGGAGGCTTTTGTACTAAGCAAATTAATACAAGAACAAAAAAACAAATATTGCATATTCTCATTTATAAGTGGGAGCTAAACATTGGGTATTCATGGACATAAAGATGACAATAGACCCTGAGGATTAATGGCAGGGAATGGGGAGTAAGGACTGAAAATCTAACTGTTGGGTACTATGCTCACTATCTGGGTGATGGGATCATTCACATCCCAAACCTCAGCATCACACAATATACCCATGTCAGAAACCTGCACATGAACCCCCGAATCTAAAATAAAAGTTGGAAAAAACAGCTATTGATACATGTCCTGTGTTCTAGTTAAAGAAAAAAGCATCTTCTTAGGCTTCAGTTTAAAATGTCCACTACATTATATTTGTTAGTTTTTGTTACTCTGTTTAGGAATCTGAGGTCAATGAAGTTAAAATTGTCATGTTAATAGGTGTTTTAGACTTACCGCTTATTAAAAGTATGTTTTAAAGCTGAATCATACAGTGTTTTATATTATATTGATTTTGTTTATATTGAAATCAGCTTAATATGATGTGTGTGTGTGTATCAATATAATACTAGTCCTACAGTGTGGTTCCACAATTCATCCTTCAGCCCTTCCTCCATATGCTGTCAAATACTGTTTACCTACAGGATGCCGGGTAACTCTGTGTTTGTGTGTGTGTGTGTGTGTGTGTGTGTGTGATCTCACCTATGTTAAAGTTAGACTTCATTCTCATCCACCTCTCAATTAGATACATCCTGGATACTAAAAAGTTTTTGAGCAGTTGAATTAACTGTCACAAATATCACTTAATTTCATTCTCAGCTTATTTGCCATGTATTCATCTTAGTCTAAGCCCTTCTTTCAATAACTGTCTGCTCTTCCTATATCCATAGTTCCAGATGTCAAGGTTATCTAGCTTCTCAACATAGATTGCTAAGGGTTGACTTACTAGAGTCAGATAGACAAAAAAAAAAAAAAAAAAGAAGAAGAAGAAGAAGTAAATTTGGAGAAACTGTCACTGAGAGAGGATGTAGAAGAACTCAAACAATGACACAAGAATTGGTAAGGTGCAGTCACTGAGTGATGTTTAGGGTAAAAGCTGGGTAAGAACCCTGTATCTCATCAATCACTGAAGCATTATAGAATTAGAGAATGTAGTCTTTGGTGTCCATAATCAAAGTTTCAGTCTTCACAAAATGATTCAATTATATTCATTATATTCTGTGTGAGAAGACAGGTAAGTGTGTAGAACTTACTAGAAGGATTTCCTTCAAAAGTGGTTAAGATTTTTAGAGTTCATACTTAAGGGGATGAGATTTAGTTTCAATGAAAATTAACTTCTATAAAATATCTCATTTCCCAATATGTCAGATAAATGAGATATTATGCACATAATCCTAACATAAAAGACATTCTCTGTTCCCCAATTATGTAAGAAAAGGGAACTATTGATTTAGGTACTTTGTATCTCAGTTAAAAAGCAGGTCAAATAGGTAGCATTTCAAGGGTCTTATGGTTTCTTTAAGAGATTCTGTAACACACTATTTGTACATAAGATTTTTTTAGGATCAACTGACTGCTTCACAGAGAGCCTGACATGTAAGAATTTTTTGGTCATTGTTATTACCTGATCATATCTTTTTTCCCTTTAAATTTTCTATGTATTATAGGTAGGTGGTGTTTTCACTATGTGTCTTTCACTTCTTAGCTTTAACTCATTTGTGTCTTTGTGTGTCAAGTACTACATAGAATTAAATCAAATACCTTCCATAGGTATTCATAAAGTTACCATAGATGGTCACACCAGAAATAAAGAAAAACAGATACTGGCAGCCACATCTTTTTGTGTGTTTAGAGCTATAAGTGGTACCTGAGAGTAAAATAAAAGATCTTTCCCAAAAATTTGGAAATAAGGGAAATGGACTTATCAGAATGGTAAACTATACAAGGTTGTCTTCTTAAAGGAAAATGAATCACAGCAGTGGCTTTTTAAAAGTATTAACTCATTTAACAAAAAATGCTTTAATCCTAAATGAATGTATTGTCCTAGATCTGATTGGTATAAGAGAAAACATTTCAGATATTCAAAACAGAGGGTATTTTATACAAGTAGGTTGTTCTCAAGGTGTTGTAAAGAAGGGCTGGAAGAACAAAAGGGAAAGGTGGCAGGTACTGGATGGAAGAAAAGGATGATTGACAGGAGCTGGTGCTTACTGCTACACTTGCCGATTTGACATTTGAACCATTATGGGACGCTGCCCCAACCAGAGCTGAAATGCCAACAACATTCCACTACCGAAGAGGCAGAAAATGCAGAAGAGATGCTTCTTCTGTCTGGAATGCTTGAGGCTGCAGGTGCTTTGTCCCCTGCTGACACAGCAGCTGTCAACAAAGCCCTCAGCTCTTGGAGCTAGAAACTGGACGTTTTCTTTCTTCCTGCTTCTGTCCTCCTCACAGTGCCTCCCACTGGCAAAACCCAATAGAAGGCCAACAAGCAAGAGAGTTGGAAATGTAGTTTGTAGTTTGTAGGTTCAGCCGTACAGAACAGGCTATAGAAGCGTGGATGTGTAGCTGGGGCGGACGTCAGATGAATCACCTTCTTAGCTACTCGGCATTCACACACACCCTTGTACTTTTCACCACCTTTCATTACCAATAGCAATCACTCTATGCTTCCAATGAACATGATACTACTATGCTTTGTACAAATGACGGTGCTCTCACCTCCCTCATCACATTCTTATCTGGGTGATGTTAATTCCCCTTTTAGTTCAGGCACAACCCATCTGGATATTCTTCAACATAAAAAAACTAAACTATAAATTAATACCCACTAACCCTATTTACATGAATCAATGGGGAAAGGAGGACGGAAAATTGGCTACAATATACAAATCTCTGTGTCATAAGCAGAAATAAAATATGATAGCATTTATAATTCTTGTTTATATAATTAGTTGTGAGACCATAGCTGATATTTACAACTTCTTCTCTTTGCCCTCAGCTGGTAGTTCATTTGTTTGTAGTTCTTTTATTTTTATTTTTTGTAGAGATAGGGTCTCTCTATGTTGCCCAGGCTGGTCTTGAACTTTGGGGCTCAAGTGGTCCTTCTGCTTTGGCCTCCCAAAGTGTTGGGATTACAGGTATGAGTCACCACACCCGGCTTATTTGGAATTTTTTACTTAGGCCACTGGATCTTCATTACTAAGGGGGTCTATGTCCTTCCTGTTCTATCTTGATTGGGTTGCTGCAGATTTTCAATGCTTATATGATTGGACCTGGTCATATAAAGAGATGCCCTTTTGAATGTCCTGACTGACAATGTGCAGTAGGAAGCCAGTTTCTCCTCCAATATGATACCTTTTCTCTTTGCCTGTTATAGGAATGCTATGAAGAGAGGGTTAAAAAGAAGCCAATGTGTACCAGGTGCTTAGAACAGTGCCTGATACATTATGAGTCATATAGAATGCATTAACAAATAAGGTCGATTTACTTCTGGGGCATATCTATTAAGAATATCTTCTTTTAGAAAGCAATACAAATTATAAGTATGCTTCACTTATTAATTTTTGATCTGGAACACACATGACAACAGTTAACAGGATGCAATAGAAAGATTCTCATGCTGGAACTGTTGGGTTCTATTTCTGTCTCTGTATTAATTAGGTTTACAGTTTGATATTCAAGGGTAACATCTATTTTATCCTTTGGTAAGAGACAGAGTTTAGACAAGGAGAAATACCAGAGTCTGTGATTTAATGATTCCATGAAACTAGAAATCACATCAAGAGTGCTTGCTTTCTTAAGACCTTCTTTGCTATTGTCTAGTAGTCATACTGAAAGGCAATTATTATCTTCCCAGGTGTTATCACGAGTTATGGATTATATCTAGATGGTATATTAATCCACAATTCCTCAGAACTCAGCTATCGTGCTTACGGATTTGCTCCTTGGAGTTTACATTCCTTCAGAGTCCAAGCATGCACGGCCAAAGGTTGTGCTCTGGGCCCACTGGTGAGTATCTAAATTTACATTCTAGGAATGTGTTAAATGTCAGATGACACTGAATATTAAGGAAGAAGTAAGTGGCGGTGACTCACCCTCTGCACAGCTAGCCTTTCAAGCAGGATGGGAGATTTTTCTTTTTATAAAAGTTCATTTAAGAGTTACTAAGATTTTATATTCGACATAAATTTCAAGACTGAACATAGGTCCAGTGAAGGGCAGAGTCTACATTTTATTGAAAGAAAGATAAGTTGGCTAGTGTAGTAGGCAAACATGAAATTTTTCCTAATTTAGTGACATATTGAAGGCAGATGTTTTTCTTTCTAATCATGGGCTCAACATCTAAGTAAGTTTAAGATTAAGAAGTAAAAATAATTGAAAGTCCATAAGTGCCACAATATGGCAACACTGCTCCCCAAAAAGTAATCAATTAAAAGGTTGAGTTTACCTCATCTGTTAGGATAAAATAGTTTCATGTGATACAGCTTCATAAGAATGGTATTTAAAATTACATCAATATCAGCTTTTGATATTCATATTTCAGAAATCTATATCTGAAATGTATATCTATATTTCATTAGCAGTTAACAGCTTGACAAGATTATGTTTTCTATTCCTAATATAATTTTTCAAACCCAATTAATAGCACTTAATTATCATAAACTAGCAGGACAGTCTTCAGTTTCAAAACATCACATTACACTTTGGTGCATTTTTCTTGATTAATTAGATTTTGCTTCTTTAGATGGAAATGCTCATTAGTCTTAGATATTTTTTGGCAATGTTTGCTAATGCCCTATCATTTTAGTGCATGCTGTCTTCACTGAAGAGTATATTATATAAATATTACCTTGGAAGACAGCTCTATGTTTTAATTTCTGCTTCCTTATTTTTGATCACACCTCTCTTTTTGTTTCAGAGATTGGTTGCTTTCCAAGCAGCTAACACCATCCATCGGCGGAGCTGAGCTGTAGTCTTTATTGCCATTAAGCATTTTATAGCCCAGACCCCTCTGATGGATACTTACCCTTAAATGCAGGAATGGCAATAGGCCAGCTTTTCTTATCCATTCAAAAAAAAAAAAAGAAAAAGAAACAAAAGAACACGTCACATGAGATTGAAATTTACACTTTTTGAAAATGTAAGCTGCAAATGGTAGTTCTGGCTACAAAATTGGCTCAGCGGTGTCTCCTGATGTTCTGGCAACTTTAAATAAGGGGGACCTGCATTATCAACCTGCATCCTGCACAGACAGTAGCTACGTTAACCTTAAGAAATCAAATGCCACAAAGCTCTGATAGGAAGGGGGGAATAGAATTGGGTTGTAAAACCTAGTCTGCCATGGCTTCATTCATTCCAGACTCAATCCTGACTTACAGCACAGAGTTATTTTCTCCCTTGGTACTTTTCTTTATGCTGTACTCAGTATGCAAACGCTTTTCCCTAGTCAATGATCCATCTCTAATCACTGGGATTGAAGAGCAATGTCTTTATTTAGAACAAGTCAACTATATGCTACCAAGAAGTTAAAGCCCATGGTCTTCAACTGGTTTGTGAAATATTTTTGTGCCCATTAAGTGATTCCATATCTGAGTATTCTAAATAGCCCTGGATGGCTAGCACAATCATGAAGGATATTACAGATTCAGCTTCTTTTTGTTGATGATTCTTTTAATGTGTCCTTATTGACTTAAGAAATCTATGAATCAATCTTAAAAGGCAGAGTTTTCTATCATTAAATTATGATGTGATACTCAACAAAATTCAGTCAAACGTGGCAATGGTGTACAACGGTTTCTTAAGATATTCATCTAAATAGAGCCCGATGCTATGACATTTTAAATAAAAAATTTCATTGAAACAGAAAATTTATCATTTCTATTTTTAAATATTTTGCTGGCAGAAATCAGAATAAATTTTGAAAGAGTTCAATTTTTTTGTTCATCTAATATTTCTTAATGATAATTCTTGTTCTTTAGATTATCCACACATGCAGGGAAATACTATTCAATGTTTTCTATGAGGAATATGCTTCACAGTCCCAAATATGATATGGTTCATCCTCCAAATTGCAAATTGTTCATATAATAAAAAATATGAATTTGATGGAGAATTTTTAAAAATAAAAAGACATACAGAAGTTCCATATTCTTACCACTTGAATGTAGTATTAGCTCATTTTTTTTTCTAATCTGACCAGTTTGTTAGCTATTATTTATGGTTCAGAAGGAGTTGCCCTGTACCTATCTGGAAAAAACAAAAACAAAACAAAATAAACAGCAGCAACAACAGCAACAAAAAAAACCCACAATGATTCTCCTGTGGTTTTTTTCAGTTCTTACTCAACCAAATAATGTATTTGACTCTTATGGAAATTTCAATATAGAAAACAATTGACAAAGCCTTTGAACCTAATTTTTAGATGCTAATGTGCATTGTCAAGTTAAATTCAATAAATTGGGGTTTTATAAATTTTGAAATAACATAAAAATTAACAGAATGCAGCAGGAACTTTTTAAATGCTTTCCTTGCTTTCAATTGTATTAGAGGGAAACCCTTCACATTTTGTAATATTCTTTAATAAAATACAATAATGTTTTCCATAAGAAAATCACTTTGCTTTCTTACTCCCCACTTAGCCAATGTTACATAACACTAGTGGAGTCTAAGATTGAGAATTTTATGACTGTGTCTTGTATTGTAACATTCATTGGATCGATTCTCCAGGGACTCTTAAGGATGATATGCGAGACTATAGGTCATTGCTATGTGATATGGCTAAAAAGTTGTCTTGGTTCCTTAGTGATGTCATACTTATACAGATAAATACACCTGGATAAATACACATGTACAAACACATTCACCCTTTCACATTTTTTTTTTTTGCAAAGAAGCAAATAAGTGTGTTATTTAAGACATCTAAATCTTAATGGCAATATATAATATAGTCAAGCAAACGCTATAGGGGAAGTCTGCCTTCAACCTGCTTAAACCCCTTAAATCCCTATACCCCCTTAGGAGATATACTTATTCTACAAAGCCTCAGATTTCTCAACTATTACAAAGAGAAATAATGTCTACTTTAAGAGAGTTGGTGTAAAAAATTAAATATAACTTACACAAATTTCTGGCGCATTGCAAGAGTTTTATTAAGAATAACAGTTTATGGCCAGGCATGGTGGCTCACACCTGTAATCCCAGCATGTTGGGAGGTCAAAGTGGGTGGATCACAAGGTCAGGAGTTCGAGACCAGCCTGGCCAATATGATGAAACCCCATCTCTACTAAAAATACAAAAGTTAGCTGGATGTGGTGGCGGGCGCCTGCAGTCTCAGCTACTCCGGAGGCTGAGGCAGGAAAATAGCTTGAACCTGGGAAGTGGGGATTCCAGTGACCCGAGATTGTGCCACTGCACTCCAGCCTTGGAGACAGAGTGAGACTCCATTTAAAAACAAACAAAAGAATTACAATGTATTAAAGTGTTTGTATGTTTTATTGCACATTTGCTCTC
Source organism: Homo sapiens (assembly GCF_000001405.40). Taxonomy (NCBI): domain Eukaryota; kingdom Metazoa; phylum Chordata; class Mammalia; order Primates; family Hominidae; genus Homo; species Homo sapiens. The sequence goes on along the minus strand of NC_000001.11, from coordinate 215,967,123 downwards.
AAATATTTTTTCTGTGTCAAGAGAGGTTCCCAGGCCAAAGCCAAGCCAACTTTTACCTTTCCCAAGTGCCTTTTCCACATATTCCTTTTACAGCAAGGTAGATAAACAAAAAAGTAAAATGAAAAAGAAAGACCAGGTCAGAGCAAAATAGTACAATTGCCAAATTCAATGTATAGTAAAAACTGAAGTGTTTATCCAAATATTTAAGGAAATGTTACAAAACATATTTATTTTGAATTAACCAAATATTTGAGGATTATAATATAATTATCTGGAATTGCCCTTAATTCTTCAACTTTTCAAGTCTCATTTTATTTGGAATGCTTTAAAATCATTCTATGTACAATAATATGAACTATATAGATAGGCATAATAAAACAAATTACATTGTCATAAAATATTAAAATGATGAATTGATATTTTTCTGGCCTAGTTTCATCATTTTTGTATGTAGCTATTAAACTAAAAACGAAAGAGCAAGTGTTATAGTTCTAAAGAATCCCATAGCTTTTCTCTGATGAAAATAAAACATGTTGTGACCTCATAGTTATTAAAAATTAACACTTTCTTTTTCACATTTATTTTCATAATTGATAAGGTATAATCACCCTAACAAATAAAGGTTTTCTAATTGATAATATTTCTGCCTAAGGATTTCATGTTTGATCACCTCCTTGGGAGGCAAGAGCTTGTACCTTAAGAATAAAGTTGAAATTATCACATATTTAGTAAATTGTGAAAGGTCAAATATCTATGAGTGATGCTGATGAGTTTGTAGTGATTAGTTAACTGAATTTAAGCTAATGATTAAAAGATATTAAAAATTTCTGAACTCTTTTCTACTTTCTTGCCAACTACATCTTCCTCTGACCACTTATTTTACTTATTTATCTATTGAAATCTTCCTGACCCCGGTACAGCTAGGGATTGCATTTTATTTCAGAGTCTTTCTCTTCAAATAATTCATCTTTTGCTCTTTTCTGCATAGCTTCATTAACACAATCAATATTTTTTTGTGATTGTGCCTTAGGGATAGAGTCCCTAGGATGCATGTATTTCTTAATGTTAGCATGATGCCATTTTTACATAACTGATAGCAACATAGCTCATAAAAATTTTGCGTGTGTGTGCGTGCATGCCTGTACACACATGTATGCATGCGTGTGTGTGTGTGTGTGTGTGTGTGTGTGTGTGTGTGTGACAGAGAAGAGAGAGAGTCAAGATATGTGGTGTAGCTTTTTGACAGAGGCCAGAAGTCTACCACCTAAGTCAAGGACTTATAAAAACAGACTGCGTGCATTTCTTCTCTTTTGCAATCACATAAAAATTATTTTAAAGCAGTCCTAGAATTGGTCTATGGATATGTACAGCCATAGGCACAGTCACAGTGTGAGCAGATCCACATATTCTGGAAATCACAAATAGCTGCCTTGGTCAAGAGCTCAAATTCTAAGCTTTAACAGCAGGGGGAAGAAAACATGAGGTGTGCTTTGATCCTGCTGACAAAATGAGGTATTCATACAAGATGCTACTGTCAAAATAGTTTACTTCACAGCAAAAAGAGATTCTTTGAAGAAATATGCTCAAAGCGAAGCATGTACTTATTTTATTTGCAAACAAAAATAAATCTTTTTATACTCACAGGTGGAAAATCGAACTCTAGAAGCTCCTCCTGAAGGAACAGTAAATGTGTTTGTCAAAACACAGGGATCCCGGAAAGCCCACGTGAGGTGGGAAGCACCTTTTCGCCCTAATGGACTCTTAACACACTCAGTCCTTTTCACTGGGATATTCTATGTAGACCCAGGTAATTTGTTTTTATTTTCTAAACTTTAAATAACATTAGAAAACAACTCATTTTTATTTAAAATCTTTCTTTTGGCTAAAATCTTTCTTTTAGCCACAGATGTTGGTTTCTTTATTTTCCTGAAAATAACCTATACGGATAAGCTACTGCCCGACGGTTCTCAGAATGTGGTTCCCAGAGCAGCAGCAACAGCCACATCTGATGAACGCTTAGAAATGTACGTTGTAGAGCTTCTGCCCCAGCCTAGTGAATCAGAAACTCTAGAGGCTAAGGTCTAACAGTCTGTGTTTAAGCAAACCCTTTAGGTGACACATGCTGAAGAACTAGTATATACTCTTCTTCCCTTGCTAAAAAGTGGTTCAAACCTAAAACATCGTGTATGCAAAGAGTTGAACTATAATTTTGCAGTCCATCTTAAACAAGCCATTTTTGTGACTGTTTTAGATTTCTGAACTATCTTAGTAATTCTGCTGTGTGTTCTGATAAATTTACTGAATGTGGATTAGGCTACATGGGGTTCCTTGAAAGTATTTTCAAAAACTATCTGATTCAATAAGTTAGGTGCTATGGTAGCATGATGTTTATTTTAAGCAAACTCTACCATAAAAAGAGCAGGTATATATTTTAATAGAAACTTTGGATCTGTATTAAGTGCTGTTGTTTATCATCTTCCAGGAGTGGCCTTACTATTTTTGTAGGAGGAAGTTTGAACCTTTATTTTTAAATGAGTAGCAAATATGCAATATCGTGGATTCAGTCAGACATGTTATTAGCATGTTAGTCTGTTGCTTAGGCTTGAAAACGTTTCTTTGTTTCTGAATTTTCTATGAGTCTTTGTAATACTTAATAACATCCTCCAAGTGTAAAAACAGGTGAAGAAAGAAAAAAACAGGCTTTTCTAAATTTGAAAAGGGTGGTTATTTGTGTACTGCACTGGCAAGCAAATGCGAGTCAAGTGCGTGTCAGAGTCTAAGCTGATCCCCTCAAAGATTGGTGTGTCCCTTTTTTATGCAATCAGGGCTTTCATGTATTCTGCTGTAAAGCACTTGTAAGATTATGAGGTGAAGGAGTGATGATCGATTTGAAAAAAGAAGCAACATTTAGGCCGGACCCATGACAGCCCAGCTATTTCCGCCAAGGCAGCTGGGTGAATAATGCAAGAGCCATATTCCCCCTCGTGTTTAATCTTGCATTGTTTTTGCAGAGAAAATTTCTGCTTGCCTTCTAAGTCATGTCATCTTCAGTTGTCATCCCGTCTCTCAAACCATCAAAACGGTATTAAATGTTGCAAAGCTGCGCGGCAAGAGAACTTTCAAAAGTCAGAACCCATTTACCGAACAGCCCTTGTAGAAAATGTATTCTGTTCTCGGCAGAATTTTCCTTCAGTTCTTTCCACTGAGAAGTTTACTGATTTCTCCCAGTGGAATCTGCTGGAATTTATCGGTTCATGGTTGGCAGTCACAGATTAAGGTAAATGTCGATCCGTAATGACCCTCTACATGTTAGTATTGCAGTAAAGCTGGGCTTTTATGTCAAAGATATCGGAGAGGGAGCTATTACACATGACAGGGGTGATCAAGGGACTCCAGACCAAGGCAAGCATTATTAAATATTGACTAGTTCTGTGATTTATGTAGAGCTGGAGGAAAAAAGTGACTTTTTAACCATTATATATTCTTCAGCAACGAAAACCAGCCATTTATCTCCTGCTGGTAATAAAGAACAGAGTGCCTGCATATTTTAGTGGAGGGAAAACCTGGTCTTATAAATGAGATGAACTCCTTCGTGATAACATTTCAGTTTGTTAATTGCCAAAAGCAAAACAGACAAATTGGAAGCAATTACGAGATTTGACTTAAAGAATTTTTGCGGTACGGGTTCAACTCAGGGGTTGGAAAGGGGTGAGGTTGGAAGCAAAAGGAGCATCTGAGATGGGCCCCAGGAAAATTCGTGTCATTGGTTCACTGGCACTGGAACTCTCATGTCCACTGTTAACTGAAAGGATTTTGAATATTGTCTTGTCCTGTCACCCATCAGCAGCTGGGTGACATTTACACTGAGGGTAGGGAGGTCTGCATGGCTCTACAAGAACAAATTAAACATTAATTCATCAAACTTATTTAAGATATCATCTGTTCACTAGATTTATACAAAGCTTATTGAATTGTCTAATGGCTAATTGGTTATTTCCTTGACATAATGAACAACTGTATTTCATCCTTTCCTGTGATGGCTGCTAAAGAGGGGGTGGTTAGAATTTATAAGATAGGGAAATTCAGCTAGTTCAAAGCAAGTGTAGTTTCAACATAAAAGTGCCTGCAGCTGGGTCACTATTTTGCAGGAGAAATTGGGCTGTGTCTGTAAGACACCCTCATGGGAACCCTATTCTTCATGTCAACTCGTATCCTGAACTAAAAACTTTACAAAAACATTAGGTTTCGTAACAACAAGTGAAGTGGCACGTATCAAAGTGTGATTTTTCTTAAAAATTGTTCACTTTTGACCACGTATTATGTTCTCATGAATCAAAATTTAAAAGATAGAAAAAAAGGAAGTAAAGTACCAAGCCTGTTCTGCAGTCTCAGAGGAAAAGTAGTGTGCTCAGCTTCTTATATCCTTCTAGAAATATTTGTCTTATAGGTGTGTGTGTGTGTGTGTATACATAAACAAACACATATTTCCCCCATTTGTAAATACATATAGTTTTCATCTCACACATGCAACATTTTATACTAATGATACCAAGTGGTACACATTATTTTGCACCATGCTTTTTTTCCATCTTAATAATTTCAGAGAAATTATCACAGCAATTCCTAACGAGCTTCCTCATTCTTTATATAGCTTGGTAATATTCAACGGGTTAGAGCATACCATCATTGGTTTAACCAGTTCCTTATTAATGGCCATTTAATTTGTTTCTAATCTTTTATTATTTCAAATAATGCCTCAATGAATAAACATATGGGAATGTCCTTTCACACTTTGCAAGTAAATTAATACGATAAATTCCTTGAAATGAATTGCCAGGTCAAGGAAAAATGAATTTGTAACTTTGTAAGATACTGTCAAATTTCATTCCATAGAGACCATATAATTTATATTCTCAGAAAAAGTATGAGGGTGCCTGTCTCCCCACAGTCTTGTCATCAGAGTGTTGTCAGACTTATCTTTGCCAATTCGATATGTTAAAAATGGTAGCTATTTCACAGTATCTTGAGTAGTTATTAGGAATTAGTTGGAACTTATGAACATATTTTCTTAAGTTTAAAAACTGTGTTTCTTTTTTTTGTGAATGCTTCATTTGTATCTTTTGCCCACATTTTTACAGAGGTTTAAGAAGTTCTTTATATATTAGGAAAATCTGTTATATTAGTAGAAATTTTTCCCTTCATTATTGCTTTTTCCTAGCACTCTACTGCTTTCTTTTATAAAATATTTATATTCAGTTCATCTGAAATTTATACTGATATAATATGTCATGTATGGGTCAAACCTTATTTTCTTCCCAGAAAATTTTCCTTTCTCTCAAAACCATTTACTGAATAATCCTTATTGTTCCCCACTGGCTTGGGTTGTCATCTCCAAGAGCTCCTAAATTTCCATCTTTATTAATAAATACGTGTGGACATATCTGTACCTTTATTTACATTATCAAGGTATCTTAATGATTAAAACTGTAGAATATATTTTATTGCCTTGTAGATCTAGTCCTCTTCATTATTTTTATTTTATATAATTTCCTACTTATTATTTCATATTTATTTTTTTCAAACAATATTTATATATTTCTAATTTTACCCCAGAAGTCCTGATGCTGTTTTTATAAGGATGGAACAGAATTTACAGGTGACTTAGGTAGAATTAATATCTTTATACTGTCGGGTTTTTCTGATCAATGATATCATTATACTTTCTATTTTGTGTCTTTTGTGTCTCTCGCAAGAGCTCAAAGTTTTCTTCATATAGATCTTGCATATTTCTGTTGTGTATTCATTAATATTTTATAATTATACATGATTTAAGTAATTATGATAATATATACATTTTACATATTAACATTAAAATTAAATAACTGAAAAGAGCTACTTTCAATAATTATATGTAGACTTCACTCGCAGATACCTGTCTTCTGAAAGCCACGATTTTAAATGTTTATATCTATTAGATGATCGTTCATCTAACTTTTACAAATATTTGAAGTTTTTTTGCTGCTAAGATTATTGTCATTTTCTCTAAAATGCAGGCATCTTACCAGGGGAAAATGATAATCTAATTAATTAGACTCTCAACTAGTTTGTGGTGTGTAAAATGGCAACAAAGGTTGGACCTGAAGAATCTCTGTCCTGACAGAATTTACAAATAAAAAAGCTAAGGCAGACAAACTTAGCCAAGTTATTCTCAAGTGCATGAGGCAGGAAAGAAACTAGATGGTGTGACAAGTGGAACAGAAATAATTAAGGGAAGATTTTGGTAATACTGGGTCTTTCTCTTTAATTATGGATGAGAATAAACTGAATATGGAAAAACTAAAGAGAATGACGGAGAGAGCACAAACACATGTGAATGGCAAAAATTAACAGATCAACCAACCTACACTTGGTTATATTAGAATGTATTTTTGCCATTTGCTAACATCCACCATAAAAGTAAGGATTAGCACTTTTCTATGGGATTCTACCTGATTTGAAACATCTATTCAATTATGAGGAACATATGATCAACAAATTAGTTTTTCTAGGGTGTGCAAGTGCCATTTACTGACCTGGAATAAGTGCTTTGCTCAATGACTCTCAAGGGTGCACCATTCACCTTGCACAGGTGAATAGTCAACTCCCAGTGATCACTTTACAACATCTTCAGTATTTTTTCACACATATGAATTAACTATCAATTTAAATTATAGATAACAGGTTTATAATCATTCCTTGTGAAACATATTGAATATATAATTTTTAAAAAATAAAACAAATGTGTAAGTTTGGGAATACAAATAAAACTTTACAGCATAGTAGTAGCAACCTGGCTTATGTAAAACTATTTATAAAATTATAAATTCTATTCCATTTAACTGGTAGATGAAAGTATTGTGCCATGATAATTTAGGGTTACATCATTATTTTACAGAGCTTCAAAAGTATTCTCAGCTACAAATATAAAACAACCTAATTGTCAAGAAGAAAAATAAAAACTATGAAAAGATAAAGAAAATATTCTGAGATCCTATAGAATAATTTTTACAAATGGCAGCTTCTTTACTACTAGACTTCCCTTGGATTCTTCACACTGATCCTGTACTTAGTAGACAATGCCATGTCTTAGTACACATATCCTGCTTTTTTCTTAAGTGGTTATTGTGGAGTCCTCTGCGAATTGTTTAATTCTTCATTATCCTTCCTTTTGAATGAATTGGGACGTGATCTTCATTGCTTGATATCCTGACAGATTGCTTTGTGTCAGAGTTTCTAAGGCAAGGCACCAGCGTGTGCTAATTGCTGAGTCCTTTGTGCACTGTTAACTCTCACCTGCTCTGAAAAACTGGATTGCAGCTTAGTTTTCATCTTCAAATGTCTCTTTCTCCTAATCCCCTATTTTGTGCTGTGCCACAGAATAAAGATATTTATTTGAAAAAGAGAGATATGGATTACTGTGGGGGAAAAAAGAGGGTAAATGAAAATGATCCTTAAGCATTAGCAAAGGGAAATGGCATTTTAGAAAAACAAAAGAAAAGCAAAGCAGAATGATCAGTTTTTAATGTTGAAACTGAATCATTTCATGGATCTCAGATAACTCTTTCTGAATGTGGAGAGGTACAACAAACAGGTTTTAGGTGACTTTTCCCAGAGTAAATATGTCTAATCCAAAATAAGTCCTCAAAAGTAAGGGTGGAAGGTAAGGACCGGGAAAGAAAGGAAATGGAAGATAGAAAGAACAATTTTTAAATTGTTAAATGCTCATGAAATGAGCATAATCAGATGCTTTTTATTTGCTTATAAGACCTGATGGTCCTGAAAAAAAGAAACCCAATTAGTATTTAAGAATGTTTTTAAAAAGGCAAATGAAAATTTGGGAAATATATCTGTTATCTCTAGGTGGTTATATTATGAATGGTTTGTCTTCCCATTTTTCCTTTTATATGTACTCAACTTAAAAAAAATTCTATAATATATACATATTATTTTTGCAAAACATTATAAAAAATAGCTCACAAGAGCAGATGATTCAAGAGCAGAGTAATTTGGAGTAAGCATGGTGCTTCTGGCTCCAAGGAGGAGATCCGGGTGGTGAGTCAGAAGTCCTAAGGTGGAAGCTTACAGAAAGAAGGGCATCTTCACATATTTCCAATGATTATTCAGGAAAAGTCTTTTGGTGACTTGTGGGATGTTAAATTTAACTTTCTTCTTATGTTTTGGCTGCATATGTTTTTCCAACAGTTGCTAGGGGTAATCAAACAAAAACACCAAGGATTCTGCAAAACAGAAAAGAAAACTAAATAGGAGTGGTCAGAGAAATAAAAGAGCCTCTTTATACCTGAGACATAATGGTAGTGTTAGGGGAGGACTGAGGCATGGGAGATTTGGTTTTTTTGAGGTTACATTGTGGGGATCAGGAGGGGCATAAAGTTTTTACTGCAGTGGTAACATCTGGAAGGAGTGGGGTGCCTTAAAGACCGATTAGGATATTTCCAGGTAGAAAAGATAGAGTATAAATGTGATGGCTCCCCATCCCCCATTCTCTGAGCCTAAACTTTTTCTTCTGTTATAATTGGAGTCCATATCTCATTTCAATATTGGTATCAAGTGTTTGCTCTTTGGGATAAATCCCCATCTAAAAACAAAAGAAATTAAAGGGGAACGGAAACTGCAGAAATGCAGAAAGTATTTCATTGCTGGTTTAAACTAGATGAAAGTGTATTTTTAACTACAGTTCCGAAAAATCCTAGCACCCAGAATAGGCTTACCTTCTCCTGGAATTGCCAGTTACCAGAAAGAGTGCTTTAGAATGTCAGTATATTCAAATGCTCTAAATCTCTAAAAAATCTTGAAAAACCAAAGAAATGCAGTTGATTTTTCAAGGTTACCCAGAGAAATCCAGTGTCCTTTTCACACACTCTGGTTCTCTGGGTGCTTTTCTCCCCAGAATATACTGTGTTTTATAAAAATTACAAGATGGAAAAAAAATATACAGAAGCGTTTATTTTCTTGAGAAGGTAAGGAAAATAATTATATGTGGGAACCTCTTAGACTTCCAAAGAGTCTGTAGGAAGGCTAATGCTGTTAGGAAAGGGACAGCTTTGTTTTATAGTCCCTGGTATCTGTTTTTTAGTGTGGAGGGAAATCTGCGGTTTCAGAGCTGTGCTTGCAACCCATGCAGTATATCTGACACGCTGCCCTCTGGGAAAACCCGCCAGTGGGGGAATTGTTCCAGTGATGCAGTACAGCTTGTAACTTGGAATCCCGTCGGAGAACTTTGTAGTTGCTTGTCAGTCAGTGGGAAGATAAAAGAGGCAGCTTCTTTTCAAGCAATCTGAATTCATTTTCCCGTAATGAGTTAGGGGGTCAGGCAGCAGGAGTGAGTTCACCTGAGATCTTATAAAGTATATTTCCTGGTGGAAGAAAGAGAGGAGGAGAAAAGGGAACATAACGTCCACCACGCAGCTGTAGAACGGCGTAATGTGGCTTGTCGTTGGTCTATTTCTTTTTATGCCCACATATTCTGATTTCAGAGCATATATTTTTAGAAAGAAAGGTCAAAGAAAGTACAGCTTTATCTCATTTAAAAATATAAAACCCAATCTGTGAAAATTGAAACCCAGTTAAAGTCTAAAGCAGCAAGTGATAGTGTTTCATACACAAATACTCATCAAGCAACAACATGTTAAAGATATTGTACTATGTCTTCTGACATTACATCATTATTAACCACACAATTTATTTTAGAGACTTAGAAGAAATTAAATGAGTGTCATGATAAGGAGTTCTTTTAGTTACAGACAACAGCCCCAGACCTCTCTTCCTGACCATTTCAGATGTTGTTTCTAAATCAGCACAAAAGATATTAGGAATAAAAACTGTGGGAGAATGTTCTTATGGTCAAAGCAAGTATTAATATAAAAAACATTGGGAATGTAGGGGAAATAGAGAAAATTACTCTGTTTCTATTTGTTTGGAAGCAAATGTCTCTTATGCAAAAAAGAAAGTATAGTTATTATATCTTTCTGTAAGTTTCCAACACATTTCTGGATGTATAAATACATACAAATCTAAACACTTGGGAAATCAAAAGGCATTTTTTCTGGACTACAAATTATGGCCATATTGTTAATGAAAATATAAACGGGCAATAATAAGATATCTGTCATTTCAAATATTGGGCTATAGAATGTATATGCACTGAATGTATTGACACTTCTGATTGTATATCATGTCATGGCCAATAAAGCTATAGAAATGTTTAATTAGGACATATTCTTCCACAAGAATGGAGTTAAGCATTAATTTATCAAACTTGTTTAAGACCTCATCTGTTCTCAACACTCACACAGCAGCTTATTGAATTTGTCTGATATCTAATTGGCTATTTTCTTGACATAATGAACAAGTGCATACTCTATGCTGTTGTGTCTGTTGAGGCGGCGATGTAATGATGAAATGGAAATTGTAACCATGGGTCGTACACTGATTCAGGATATGCAGCCCACAGAGCCATGAGAGGGCACAGGATTTCATTGTCCTCATGGCTTAACTTTATGTTTCAAACTCTGCAGAGCATCTCTGTGGAGGAATCTCTCCATTCTAACTCCTCATGAAAGGAGCCTGTTAGAAGCAAAATACAATCAGCAGATCACCCAGATGATGTACCTTTGGCTTTGGAAGGCTTTGCATAATTTAAAAAATAAAATAAAATTCTCCTATTTAGAGAAATTTTTAAAGCATTTAAAAATACTCACACCATTTTCAAACCCACACCACAAGTGATTTGGGGGATTTCTAATACATGCATGATAAAGTTCAACTGGATAAGCCAGCCGTGGGGCAGATATATAATGTTTACCTATAGTTGTGTACCACTGATATGCCTGTCTAGTGTTGGTTTTTGCATGCTTTGTTGTGGCAAGAGTTCAGTGCTTGTTGAATAAATAGTAATATTAGAATCAGTGTTTAGATTTTGGTAGACTGAACATATAGCCATTTTACCTAGGAGGTTCTCAGTAGGAAAGTGTCAGCTGTGAATTGATGTTAGAGGGAAACAGAAGAATGGATTACACAGAGAAATAGAAAAAAAATCTAGCCATCTGGGGCCAATGTCCTTCTCTAGCCTCTAAGACACACCCTACAGCAAGGAATTCCCTTCTCTGATTCCTGAACTTCTCCTGTGGGAATCTAGGGATCAACTTCCTTGGATGGTGATGGGTCCTTATCATTATACAGAGTTATGAGGATTACAAACCATATGTTTGGCCCCTTAGAAAGTGATAATAGGTGACTCCTAAATCATAGTTCTATATACCAAGAACAGCCCACATCAAACATATTTCCCAAATTTTTGTGTGAAATTCTTCATAATCAATGTGTTACTTTACTCAATTATTAGTGTTGCAGAATCTAAGGATTCTAGTGGGCTATTTATGAAAAAAAAAGTATATGGCTTTTAGAGAATTTGGATTCTTTATTTATAAATCGGGTTGCAAATAAAATTTATGTTTTTCCTTCTAGCAATATGCCTTTGGGGAGAAGCAAAGGGAGTTTTACACCCAAGAAGCAGAAATCAAAAATCATAGAATTAAATTAAGAAATTTATTTGTTTATTTGGACATTCATTCATTTGTTCATGTAGAAAGCATGTATCTAGCTTGTTTTATGGAACAAGACAGAAACTAAATGATAGCTGCTGGAGTTGAGTAGAGAAATTTTCTCTATCCAGAGTTGAATCATATGTTGTTTTATTGTGCTAAATTTGTTAGACATTTAAATTTATACGAATGATGGTGCCTGTTTCTGGGATATTTATTCCTTCCCATTGTAAACCTATTTCTCCAAATCATCACTATGCTAACTTAATCACTATGCTTTCAACATCTGAAACATTTAGAAAGTACTTAAATATCTGGCAAGCATGGTCTGTGTGCTGAAGGGGCTTGTGGTTTAACAAGGGGAGCTAGAAATTACCCAAGTAATCATATAGAAATATAAAATTACAGACTTTAATAATTATTAAAGTAAAAGTATATATAACTAAGATTTTCATAATAAGAAGCTTAATATAAATTGGAGGGTCAAGAAAGTTTCTTTGAGCTGATGACATTTAGGGTAACTGTAACATGACTAGACACCAACTCAGAAACTAGAAAGAGGATTCCAAAGTGAATGGCATTTGTAAAGGATGTGAGGAAGGTAAAATTGTGGTGGATTTGAGGAAATGAAAGAAGGACATTGTAGCTAGGCTAGGGAGTGAAGAAAAGAATGGCACAGATGAGACTAGAAAGTTAGACAGGAGCTACTTCATGCAGCAGACTGTTTTAAGGACTTTGGCATAAAGTAAAAGTGTAGTTGCAATAATTACAAAAAATTTTCAAATTTTCAATTGTTTTTTTTTATTATTATTATACTTCAAGTTTTAGGGTACATGTGCACAATGTGCAGGTTAGTTACATATGTATACATGTGCCATGTTGGTGTGCTGCACCCATTAGCTCGTCATTTAACACTGGGTATATCTCCTAATGCTATCCCTCCCCCCTCCCCCCACCCCACAACAGGCCCCAGTGTGTGATGTTCCCCTTCCTGTGTCCATGTGTTCTCATTGTTCAATTCCCACCTATGAGTGAGAACATACGGTGTTTGGTTTTTTGTCCTTGCGATAGTTTGCTGAGAATGATGGTTTCCAGCTTCATCTATGTCCCTACAAAGTACATGAACTCATCATTTTTTATGGCTGCATAGTATTCCATGGTGTATTTGTGCCACACTTTCTTAATCCAGTCTATCATTGTTGGACATTTGGGTTGGTTCCAAGTCTTTGCTATTGTGAATAGTGCCACAATAAACATACGTGTGCATGTGTCTTTATAGCAGCATGATTTATAATCCCTTGGGTATATACCCAGTAATGGGATGGCTGGGTCAAATGGTATTTCTAGTTCTAGATCCCTGAGGAATCGCCACACTGATTTCCACAATGGTTGAACTAGTTTACAGTCCCACCAACAGTGTAAAAGTGTTCCTATTTCTCCACATCCTCTCCAGCACCTGTTGTTTCCTGACTTTTTAATGATTGCCATCCTAACTGGTGTCAGATGGTATCTCATTGTGGTTTTGATTTGCATTTCTCTCATGGCCAGTGATGATGAGCATTTTTTCATGTGTCCTTTGGCTGCATAAATGTCTTCTTTTGAGAAGTGTCTGTTCATATCCTTTGCCCACTTTTTGATGGGGTTGTTTGTTTTTTTCTTGTAAATTTGTTGGAGTTCATTGTAGATTCTGGATATTAGCCCTTTGTCAGATGAGTAGATTGCAAAAAATTTCTCCCATTCTGTAGGTTGCCTGTTCACTCTGATGGTAGTTTCTTTTGCTGTGCAGAAGCTCTTTAGTTTAATTAGATCCCATTTGTCAATTATGGCTTTTGTTGCCATTGCTTTTGGTGTTTTAGACATGAAGTCCTTGCCCATGCCTATGTCCTGAATGGTATTGCCTAGGTTTTCTTCTAGGGTTTTTATGGTTTTAGGTCTAACATTTAAGTCTTTAATCCATCTTGAATTGATTTTTGTATAAGGTGTAAGGAAGGGATCCAGTTTCAGCTTCTACATATGGCTAGCCAGTTTTCCCAGCACCATTTATTAAATAGGGAATCCTTTCCCCATTTCTTGTTTTTGTCAGGTTTGCCAAAGATCAGATAGTTGTAGATATGCAGCATTATTTCTGAGGGCTCTGTTCCATTCTATTGGTCTATGTCTGTTTTGGTACCAGTACCATGCTGTTTTGGTTACTGTAGCCTTGTAGTCTAGTTTGAAGTCAGGTAGCGTGATGCCTCCAGCTTTGTTCTTTTGGCTTAGGATTGACTTGGCAATGCGGGCTCTTTTTTTGGTTCCATATGAACTTTAAAGTAGTTTTTTCCAATTCTGTGAAGAAAGTCGTTGGTAGCTTGATGGGGATGGCATTGAATCTATAAATTACCTTGGGCAGTATGGCCATTTTCACAATATTGATTCTTCCTACCCATGAGCATGCAATGTTCTTCCATTTGTTTGTATCCTCTTTTATTTCATTGAGCAGTGGTTTGTAGTTCTCCTTGAAGAGGTCCTTCACGTCCCTTGTAAGTTGGATTCCTAGGTATTTTATTCTCTTTGAAGCAATTGTGAATGGGATTTCACTCATGATTTGGCTCTCTGTTTGTCTGTTATTGGTGTATAAGAATGCTTGTGATTTTTGCAAAGATACTCCTCGAGAAGAGCAACTCCAAGACACATAATTGTCAGATTCACCAAAGTTGAAATGAAGGAAAAAATGTTAAGGGCAGCCATAGAGAAAGGTCGGGTTACCCACAAAGGGAAGCCCATCAGACTAACAGCTGATCTGTCGGCAGAAACTCTGCAAGCCAGAACAGAGTGGGGGCCAATATTCAACATTCTTAAAGAAAAGAATTTTTAACCCAGAATTTCATATCCAGCCAAACTAAGCTTCATAAGTGAAGGAGAAAAAAAATACTTTACAGACAAGCAAATGCTGAGAGATTTTGTCACCACCACACCTGCCCTAAAAGAGCTCCTGAAGGAAGCATTCAACATGGAAAGGAACAACCAGTACCAGCCACTGCAAAACCATGCCAAATTGTAAAGACCATCGAGGCTAGGAAGAAACTGCATCAACTAACGAGCAAAATAACCAGCTAACATCATAATGACAGGATCACATTCACACATAGCAATATTAAGCTTAAATGTAAATGGGCTAAATGCTCCAGTTAAAAGACACAGACTGGCAAATTGGATAAAGATTCAGACCCATCAGTGTCCTGTATTCAGGAAACCCATCTCACGTGCAGAGACACACATAGGCTCAAAATAAAGGGATGGAGGAAGATCTACCAAGCAAATGGAAAACTAAAAAAGTCAGGGGTTGCAATCCTAGTCTCTGATAAAACAGACTTTAAACCAGGCCGGGCGCGGTGGCTCACGCCTGTAATCCCAGCACTTTGGGAGGCCGAGGCGGGTGGATCATGAGGTCAGGAGATCGAGACCATCCTGGCTAACAAGGTGAAACCCCGTCTCTACTAAAAAGACAAAAAATTAGCCGGGCGCGGTGGCGGGCGCCTGTAGTCCCAGCTACTCGGGAGGCTGAGGCAGGAGAATGGCGTGAACCCGGGAAGCGGAGCTTGCAGTGAGCCGAGATTGCGCCACTGCAGTCCGCAGTCCAGCCTGGGCGACAGAGCAAGACTCCGTCTCAAAAAATAAAAAAAATAAAAAATAAAAAAAATAAACCAACAAAGATCAAAAGAGACAAAGAAGGCCATTACAGAATGGTAAATGGATCAATTCAACAAGAAGAGCTAACTATCCTACATATATATGCACCCAATACAGGAGCACCCAGATTAATAAAGCAAGTCCTTAGAGACCTACAAAGAGACTTAGACTCCCACACAATAATAATGGGAGACTTTAACACCCCACTGTCAACATTAGACAGATCAACGAGACAGAAAGTTAACAAGGATATCCAGGAATTGAACTCAGCTCTGCACCAAGCAGACCTAATAGACATCTACAGAACTCTCCACTCCAAATCAACAGAATATACATCCTCTTCAGCACCACACCACACCTATTCCAAAATTGACCACATAGTTGGAAGTAAAGTACTCCTCAGCAAATGTAAAAGAATAGAAATTATAACAAACTGTCTCTCAGACCACAGTGCAATCAAACTAGAACTCAGGATTAAGAAACTCACTCAAAACCGCTCAACTACATGGAAACTGAGCAACCTGCTCCTGAATGACTGCTGGGTACATAACGAAATGAAGGCAGAAATAAAAATGTTCTTTGAAACCAATGAGAACAAAGACACAACATACCAGAATCTCTGGGACACATTCAAAGCAGTGTGTAAAGGGAAATTTATAGCACTAAATGCCCACAAGAGAAAGCAGGAAAGATCTAAAATTGACACCCTAACATCACAATTAAAAGAACTAGAGAAGCAAGAGCAAACACATTCAAAAGCTAGCAGAAGGCAAGAAATAACTAAGATCAGAGTAGAACCGGAAGACATAGAGACACAAAAAACCCTTCAAAAAAATCAATGAATCCAGGAGCTGGTGTCTTGAAAAGATCAACAAAATTGATAGATCACTAGCAAGACTAATAAAGAAGAAAAGAGAGAAGAATCAAATAGACGCAATAAATTTTCAATTGTTACACAGTTGAATATTAGTTACATTTAGTAGCTAAAGGCTTAGATTGGAGTGTCTTTTTTCTTCAGAGACAGTTTTGTTAAAATGGTACCAGTTAGACCAGGTGCAGGGGCTCATGCCTGTACCCAGCAGTTTGGGAGGCTGAGGCGGGTGGATCACAAGGTCAGGAGTTCAAGACCAGCCTGTCCAAGATGGTGAAACCCCATTTCTACTAAAAATACAAAAAAAAATATTAGCCGGACATGGTGGTAGGAGCCTGTAATCCCAGCTACTCGAGAGGCTGAGGCAGAGAATTGATTGAACCCAGGATTTGGAGATTGTAGTGAGCCAAGATCACGCCATTGCACCCCAGCCTGGGTGACAGAGCGAGACTCTGTCTCAGAAAAAAAAAAAAAAAAAAGGTAGCAATTATAAATGTGTTATTGGCTTGCAGTCATTTTTTCTATGGAGATATACATATGTGTATTCATGTGTTTGCATATATAATGTATTGAGATCTTACTACAAACACATATCATATTTTACACATTTAACATTATATCATGAATGTTTCTTGTATTACACACAAAAAACTCATAACAAGTATTTAATATTCAATAGGTACTTAATATACTATAGTATAGATGTGCCAACATGTATTTATCAATTCCTTATTGTTGGATATTTAGGTTTTTTATTCTTACTATTTGAAAGAATATTTATTGTTAACACATACTTCTACATTTTTCCTTAATATGTATAACAACAAAGGAATTGCTAAATTAAAGGTTGAGTATATTTTTGAAGACACTTGATATGCATGGCAAAATGCTTTCAAAAAAATTACATCATTTCACATGGCTTCTAATAGTATACAAATGTGTTCATCTGTCTGTAGTTATATGCATTTGATAGATAAAAATGGTAGGTTGCTCTAATTTGCATTTCTTTTATTCCTATTGAGACCAAACATTTTCCATATGTTCTTTTCCTATTTGTTTGTCTTTCTTTTTTTGTCTGCTCACACACTTTGCCCAGAATATTTTAGAGGTTTTAAAATTTGTTTTGGTATTTATGGAAGCTAAAATAATATAGATAGTAATTCTTAGTCATTACAATTTTAAATATTTTATCTGATTTATCTTTTTGGTCTTTTTATGAGGTTTATGATGTAGTACTTCAGATTTTTGATAATTAAATCTTTGCTAATTTATTTTTATAAAAAATATTTTCTCCGTCTACAGTTGAAACATATGTTGCTTTATTTTGCTAAATTTATCAGACTTAAATTTGTATACATGATGCTGCCTGTTTCTGAGCTATTTATTTCTTCTCCTTTTACCTGTTTCTAATCTGATTGAATTGTGGTGCTTTCAACATCTTAATTATTTAGAAAATACATTTGTATCTTATGGGTAAAGTCATTATTTTCTCCCTTCAGGTTATTATTCATTTCTGTTAAAAGGTCTTAGTTCTTTTCATATGCATATTCTTCCAGTTGAACATTAGATTGAGTTGAAAAAATGACAGCAATATTTTTAATGGAGTCTCCTTCTTATACATTAATTCTTCTGAAACTTACATCTTAAAATATTTCTCATCTAGAAATGTGTTATTTTTCCATTTACTTAAGCAGCTTGTATCTCCATTAAAGTTTTGTTATTTTCCCCATAAGGACCTCACATTTTTTGTTAGGGTTATTCCAGGTATTTTTACTTTTGTGATGGTGTTCATTTATTTTTATTATAATATTTAAAAAATCTCTGGTATTACGTCAGTGTTTTTAAAACATGCCATTTTTATTCAATACTTTAAAAATATTTATAAATCTCTGAGTTGGCAATTTCTCCAGCTCTAGGAAGACAGAAAATACACAGATCTGTACACTCAAAGAACGTGAGTCCAGCCCACTCAGTCATATGAACTTAGCTGGATATAACACGTTAACAGACAGGATAGACATTTTTACCTTGAACAGAAAGAGCTGTAATTCAAGTTCTGTGTCACAGATACAATCCGTACATTATGGTTTCTTTAAATAAGCCATAACCAATTTTTTTTAGTAATTATTTGCTTCCAGTTATTCATGTGAGATTATTAAAATAAGCTTATGAAGTAAATATAAGATGTTTCAAATATTCCTATCCATTGAGAACCCCAGAAATTATCCTTATTGAAATTTTTAGAAAAAAATTAGATAGGTGCACAGGAAAATCCTTATAAAATTATGTCCCTGACAGAGTTTATATGTATAATAAAAATCAAGAGGGTGGGTGTTTCTAAATATTCAACTATATGGATTGAAGGCATTGTGGTAAATCCATTACAAAGATTATACTGTATATTTGTTGATGAGAAAATATATATTCTTACAGCTATAAAACAATGAGCATCATAAAATTCTATGATTGCAATATATGACAGTAGATCATATATGTATAGATGTATGTCCATATATACGTGTGTGTGTGTGTGTGTGTGTATATATATATATATATATCTGAACAAATATGAAGGACACACACCAAAATATACCAAAATATTAATAACAATGATTATCTTCACATTTTAGGTAATTTCAGCTTTTCTCTTTATGGTTGCTGATATAGCCTTAACATTTATAATAAAAAAAAATTCTTTTGTAGTTAGACAAAGAAGAAATATGTGAAGCCAAAATAGGAAAACATGGGGGAAGGAAGGACTTTATATCATGTTTCATCTCATAGCAAAACTATTGGAAGCATTTCAGAAACAAAAGACCTTAAAACTTCAAACTCTAATAAGAAATTGGGAACAAAAATCTTGAGATTGTTATACAAGAGATGTTAAAGACCTTAGGCCTCAGTTTCTTTCAGAAGCCCAGCAATTGCAATTATTATTTATTATCACTTTACTTTTGCTTGAATCTCTTTAGCTAAAGGTGGTTTACTTCCACTTTTCCCTAATAATTTATGTCTTCATGATAATAGATTTTCTTATTATCTTTCTGATTTGTACCTGTTTCCTATTTAATGATTTACTCTGTATGGCATACATGCCAAAGTTATCATGCTAGAAAAATTATTATGCTATAATAATTATGATACCATCAAACTGAATTAAATTATGTTTCATTGTAAATAGTAAAATGTATTAATTTTTTTAAAAGCTTTTTTATGCCAGCGGAGATAAATAAAGTTACCTTTATGTACTTTCATTAAACACAATGACAGTACAAGCCAAACTGATAACAAATCAACGCACTCCTTCTTGTAACACTCCTAAGTTGTTCTGAAATCAGCTTTCTTAGGACTATGAATTCAATGCAATGTATTAAACAGAATCTGTGCCTTCTGTGAATAAAAGTTTCACCTCCATCTCTTGTGAGTATATGTAGGCAGATCTTTGAACAATGAGGTTTTCTTCCATTGATTTAAAATGAAAATGAACCTGGATTTTAAATGTGCATTCTAATTGTCCCTTTAGCACATCAGAACAGCACTGCCTAATAGAAATATAATGTGAGCTACATATATAATTTTGAATTTTCTAAAATGCACATTTTAAAAAAGTAAAATGAAACAGTTAAAACTAATTTAGTAGGGCTTGGTGCGGTGGCTTACACCTGTGATCCCAGCATTTTGGGAGGCTGAGGGTGGCAGACCACCTGAAGTCAGGAGTTTGAGACCAGTCTGGGTGACATGGCGAAACCCTGTCTCTACTAAAAATACAAAAATTAGCCAGGAGTGGTGGTGCATGCCTGTAGTCTCTCAGCTACTCAGGAGGCTGGGGTGGGAGAATCACTTGAACGTGAGAGGCGGAGTTTGCAGTGAGCCAAGATCACACCACTGCACTCCAGTCTGGGCGACAGAGTGACTTAGTCTCAGTTAAAAAAAAAAAAAAAGTAATATACCTTATTTAATACAATCTATCTAAAATATCATTATTTTAACATGTAATTAAAACCTAAAAGTTAATGAGATAATACATTATTTTTTCTACCAAATCTATGTCTGTATTTTACACTTATAGGATATTTCAATTTAGATTTTTTATCAGATATATTCAGTCTGCATTTAGATGTCATAAGTTTTCAGTTGAGAAAGTAGATCCACATACCAAATTGTTTCAAATGTATTTAAAAGTTTTCCAGTAACTGAATCAATGATCAATTTTTAATTTAAATTCATTAAAATCAAATTAGAAATTCAGCTCCTCAGCCATACTACCCACATTTCAAGTGCTCAATAGCCATATGTGGATAGGGGCTATTGTATTGGACAGCAAAGGTTTAGAACACATGTATAAGATGTTAACACAGAGGAAAAGTTAAAAGTTAAATCAATGCCAAACTATTGGGAATGTTTTGTCTACCGGGTTTCAAGAAATAATGACATGACTGATATTTTTCTTATTGAATCAGCTGCTCGGCTGGTTGGCTCAACTAATAGAGTCAAACAGTTGCTGGGTTTTATAAACAAATCATCTCCTTTTTTATTTGGTCCTCCAATTTTCTTAAGGCAAATATTTGTGCCAAATTATGCCAAAGTCTGTCTCTCCTGAATATCCCTGTTATCCTCGAATATTGTTGAGTGTCCCATGAATATAACTGTTAAATGCTGTTTTGAGTTAAAACCAAGAACACCTATATTGAGAAAAAAATTAAATGTAGTTAATGTTGTACCACCATGTTTTGTTCTAGCTTCTCAACTGTCTCATGTAAATAAGCACAATAAACATCTACTGAGTGATTCTGTAATAGTTTGGATCTATAGGTCCATCATTTGTGATGACACATAGAAGTTGGCCCAGGAAAGCTAAAAGTATGTCATATGTCAAATAATGCCTTCCACCAAGTTTAGAGCAGCATTTCTTCCCCAGCATTACAACTTCATGTAATGGCACTTGGCAGTATTGGCATTTCTGATATGACTTCTTTTGGCTAGTTCAGAATTCTTAAAAAATAAATAGTTTTTCACCCTGTGATTGAAAGGGTTAAATAGTACCAATTCATTACACTCACAAAAGGATTTATTTTGTTCTCATAAATCAGTTTTATTCCACATTTTTATTATTCCCTTGGGTGAGCTACTCCAATTGAAATCAATACAAGTGCAAGTGAGACAATCAATCTCGATATTTGATTATGGATTGGAGATTCCCAGGTCCGCTTTTTAGCCAGTTTCTTTCTGATCATCTCCCCCAAAGAACTGAATATTTTTATTGACATCTATGAGTTCTGAACATGTTTAGAAAGAAGATAATAATCTTCATTTGTATACTGACAATGGAAGCCCCACAAATGAACAAGGATTAAAAAATAAAGACTTAAAATATGTAGCTATAACATCATCAGCAAACTTCAAATTTCTCAATATTTTTCTTAAGATGTAGTCATGTTTTAAAATAACTTTATTCTTTCTTTTAAAAAAAGACCTGTTAATACAACTGGTGGCTACAAACCACATTCTTAGGGTGCTATTAGGTAAATGATTATTTTTCATGACAAAGATATTATTTATTTTCACATGCTTGTTTCAGAGCTGAACCATATCAACTGGTCTAGGTTAACAATAAGAAAACAGTTAAGGTGAATAAAATGCCTTTGAAGGTATCCAGCCTAGGTCTTTTCATTTCTATAATTGTCCAGGCTGGAAAGCCACCATCTGGGGGATTTAAAAGAGAAAAACAGCTCAACTTTAAATTAGAGAGCAAAATTGATTAAGTTGTTCCTCAATGAGGCCAACATTTATATATCAAACTCTCTTTGCTTTACAAACAAATTTATATCTTATGATCCTTTACATATCGAATGCTTATTTTGGGACTCATGGTACCATATTATTGTTCTCTTGCCTCTGACTCTAGCCACCTGTTCTAGGTTCTTAAGCAAAATTTTTGAAAAGGCACAATTAAACCTTTCCGTAATTCATTATTTGATACTTAGAATAAGGCAATTATTTGATGCACTTATCTAATCATATTCTTAAAATAAATTTCAAGGTAATATTAACACTGCATTTGTTACTTTCAGCAAACATTTTAGCCTTATTTAGCCATTTACTAATTTTCACTAGAATCCATTGGAAGGGGATGTTTCATGTTTTGGACAAATTACCTACCACTGATTTTTTTTCAGGAAGACATATAACTTTGAATGTTGTAAAAAAGTATTTTAGAAGGAGTTAAAATAGTAAACCCATATTTCTTTCATTTAAGCAACATTAATTACTCTTCAGTTACTCTTATTAAGCCTTTAGAATAGCAGCTGTATAAGCCATATAAGCCAGGCACTTGGATTTCCACTGGCAAACTTCCTAGGCATGTGGAATTAGGGGACTGTCTAGAACTTATTTTTGTCCAGCTTCATTTCCTTTTCAGTAATTTGCATTTATTAATGCTGAATAATGAAAGATAATCAAAACATTAATGAAGGTATGGTGCAGTGATGTAACAAAGGGCTATATCAACAAAATATTCTTTCCACGTGCTTTGTTCCACTCTTTAAAAAAAATATTTACTCAAGAGAATCATTCTAGAAACTGGAAATTGCTCCCTTTATTCAGGAAGGCAGTATATTTTTTAAAAGTTAGCTTCTTTAATTGTTTAATTCAGAGGTTGGCAAATCTTTTCTATAAAGGGATAGAAAGTAAACACTTTAGACTTTGCAGGCAATATAGTCTCTGCCATAATTACTCAATTCTGCAGTTATATCATGAAAATTCCTAGAAAGATAATTACTTTTGTTCTAATAAGCCTTTATTTACAAAAATAGGCAGCTGGCCAAATTTGGCTTGTAGATTGTAGTTTGTGGGACCCTGTTTTATTATAACTCGTTTATACATTAAAATGCAATTTACATACTTTCCTTGGATATTTCAATCTTCTCATGATTCATTTGATTTTGCAAAAATTATGAATGCTAATTTAAAAATCTATGTAATACAGAAAAACAACATCCACTAAAATCCCACTACCCATAAATAACCAATGTTAACAAACAGTAAACATTATTTTAGAGCTGTCTCAATTCATGGGTGATTCTTGGTAGCAAACAACAGAAACAAATTTGGTTAATTCAGGCAGAGATGAATTATATTAAAGGAATTCAACAGTTCAAAAAGTTGTCAGGAAAGCTGGAGAGTCAGACTTGTGGAGAACCACAAATAACATAGCCCAGACCAGCTTATGCCTTCTTAGGACACCCCCACTGGCACCATCACCATTCAGTCGCCTTGGAAAATTATCACTCTACTTCTGGATTCTCAACAATTTTAGAGGCATCTTGAATAATCCTTAGTTGACTGTGAGCCATTGTTTCACTGGATCAAGCTTTGTAGTCCCCAGATGAAAGCAATGCAACTGACTGGCAGTCCCATGGTCTTACCACATGAACTTCAGGTGTCCTTTCATTTACAAAAAAAGAGAAAATTAAGTTATGTTTCTAATCATTTCTTTCTACATACCTATTATCTTCTCCCTGATTGTTAGAGTTTCTTGATCTTTTTACTTATGCATTAATTATGATTCTCTCAAGGCTTTTCATCATACCATTGATTTAGATTTTAGCTCTATTCTGTTCCTGGCTTTTTCTAACTTGTTTATTAAATACTTACTGCATTTTTTAATTTCCAGATTGTTTCTCTGTCTCTGCAATATCATTTTATCATATTATAGGGAATATATATCATTTTTTCCCAAACTACATGGTTATTTTGTCTTTTTATGTTACAATCCTTTCTTTAGCTGTATGTATAATACTCGATATATTATTTTTTTCTTCAACTTCATCTTGCTTATGCCTTGTATGGGCAGCTCTGTCCAGATTTTGCACTGGTTCTGAGCTTGGTCTACTTCCTTTCCTTTCTGGTGCTAGTCAGTCTTCTTTCGACCTAAATTTTGAGCACTAGGTGTTGCTAGAGGGTGCGAAGATGCACTGGGCAGAATTCTGGGGAATCCAGATTTTCTGTCTCCTCTGAGATCCTATTATATAGCTTTTGTGGCAGCACTTGCTGCATTTATTCACATGTATCTCCCACACCTGGGAACACCAGCTTTTTCCCCCAACTCAGCACAGTGCTTGGCAGGATGGCCAGCCCTGATTTCTCTTCCTGTCTCTGCAGACTCTACTCAGTTCATTTCTCTACATATTGGAGAGGATTTTTTTTGGCTTATACTCCTTCCTCTGGGAACAAAGTTAGGAGCTGCGCTATACTAAGAAGGAATTTACCATCTCTTTCTTCTTTTAGGTTTCAAAATTCATGTCGGTCATTTTTTTCCTTTTCCTTTATACATTTGTACCTGGAGAATCTTCAACTAAAATTGTTAATGTTACTGTTTTCATAGTTTGTTTCCATTCTGTCAGGTATTTTGGAAAGACAGTTGTGTGGTACCACTTAATTTAGAAGCTGTGAAAGTTCACAATTTGTCCAAAATCTCTTTCTAGCAAGGTGATTCATATATACAGTTCAGAGACTAACAGGGAGACTGTAAGGTGGCATCTGACTTTCCCCACCTCCTGGTGTTCATGTCCTTGTTTACTCTCCTTCCCTTGGGTGTCTTCAAAACCTGTGACTTGCTGCTCACCAGTAGAACAGAACAAAGGTGATAGCATGCCACCTCCATAAGATTGTAACCTGTCTTGCTAGAAGACTCCCTCTTTTTGATACAGCAAGTGGTCACACTGGGGAGGCCCATATGGGAAGAAATGAGGGTGAACGCCAGGCAACACAAAACTGGTAACTGAGAGCAGCCTTGAGTCAATAGCCAGAAAAAATTGAGACCCTCAGTCTCGACAGCCTACAACAAATTGAAAACTATCAACAACCACCTGAGCTTGCGAGAGATCCTTCCTCATTGGAACCTTCAGATGGGATTTCAGTCCTGGCCAACACCTTGACTGCAGTCTTTTGAGACCCTGAGCACAGGACCCAGTTAGCTGTGCCAGACTCCTGACTCACAGAAACTATGAGATTCTAAATGTATGTTGCTAAGTTCGTGGTGATACCATGACACATCGATAGGTAACTAACACAGGAACACCTTACTGTGTGACTGTAGCAAATGAAACAGGTAGAATTCAACAGCAAAACATGATATCATTCTCATCCAGACCCCCAAGTCGTTGCTCTTCTTTTACAGAGGAACCATCTCAAGTATATATCTTCCAGTAATTAGAAGAAAATGTTAAACATGTCATTAAACAAAGAATGGACCATAGGCTTTGTCTGGGATCAATAATGGTTGTCAAATTACTTGTCTGATCCTAGTAGCACCACAGGCTCAGCAGGTTCAGCATGGTTAGTAAGGCTCTACCAGAACTTTAAAAGGAAACACGTTTTGGTGATAAAATAGTTGTATTCATGTCCAGTGTTTAGTGTGGAAGCCGGAGACCACTTTCTATGAGAGTATATTTGTTCAATAACTTTTAGCTGATTGAGATAACAGCATCAGTTTGTTCAGCTGGAAAAAAGTTTGCCCAAATGGCAAAAAAAATAAGTCAAAGTGGAAAAAAACCCTGACATTTCAGAGCATATATGGTTAGTAAAAATAGACCATACTTCTACAATTTACAATAGTCACAGTACATCTCTGAATTTACTCTCTCTCTCTTTCTGTGTGTTTATATACATATATATAGTGAACTGTACTGAATTTTATATATCGTAGTGAACTTTATATATAAAATGTATAATATACATGCATATATACATATATCTTTCATTTTTATAACTATTTTTAGAGCAGTTTTAGGATTACAGCAATATTAAGCATAAGGTACAGAGATTTTTGTCTATCCTTTATGCATTATAGTTCCTTTCTGATATTCATAAAATGAGATACATTTAGGAAAATCTGACTGTGGTACATAGAGAGAGCTTGATGGGGAAAAATAAAACATGCTTCAACAAACTTTAAAAAATAATTTGCGATATTTAGAACAGTAATTGTGCCTACACGTTAAAAAAGATCTAGAGAACAAAACATAAAGATTCTCGATATCTATAGAGTTGTCATTGCTCTTGTATGGGCACAACCAGGACAAATGTGTCTGAAGCATCTTTTGGTGAGTTGATAAAATAGTGCATGTATTTATTCCCTGCACTACAATTGTCAGGCTAGAGGAATGACCAATTTAAAGAGGAGTCAAAGAAGTACAGCTTTGACTAGATGACAACTAATTAAAATCACTATTACAGTAATTACAGTAATGTAAGAAATATGATGCATTAATCGAGCACCGTCCTCAGAAGGTCTTAGTGGTTCATAGGCTATTTATTTCTCTTTCAAAATATCCTGTGGAGAAGACAGCTTCGTAGGCATATGTCCATAAATATTTTATACATTGTCAAAAACTTAAGGCCAGGAATAGATTTCTTTCACCATATATTAATTACAAAATAAACAAATACTCAGCACCTTTCAGATTCCTACCAACATGAGATCTATCAGAAAAATGGAATCTGGAAGAAACACTTGCTTTTTGGTTAAAATAATTTAAAATAATATTTTTAGAAGGAATAAATAAATGTAACTTAAATATTAATACAGGGTATATAGAGAGACCTGAAATTCTTGGCTCACAGTAAAGGCTGATTTTGCCAGTTTACCTTGATCACAATTCAGTGTCTTCTGATTTTGGTATTGGCAGAATTTCGTGATAGTGAGATGGAACTGAACAACTCTAAAATTGAGACCTTAATACCAGAAAAATATAGTATTTCTTTGTACAGCAAGAAGTGGGAAAAATTAGTTAATACCTTTTCTACCTTAAGGTGTAATTGGATTCAGAAAAAGACTAACTTAAAGCAGGACCAGGCCTGACATATAAAATCCTCACGAGGTAACAAGAATCAGTTTGGTTTGTTCACTGTCATTTCTCATTATAATCTTTGTCATGAGAATGGATTCATGTTGTGCCATTTTCTGTTCCTGTTACAATCTTTGTCACATGAATAAGATATCAGGATGTTAATGCCTGGCATACAGTATTGTGTGTGTTATGATACTGTACAGGACTACGCTGACCTTTGCAATATTATGTATTCTGATTGGTTGTTCATGTCACCTCTTTCCCACAAGTTAATAAGGCTGTAAAAAGGAGAGAACTGAAATGGCCAGCCAGTCAAATTATAGAATATTGAAAAGGTCAGAGCAGTCCAGCACAGAGAAAAAAAAATTATGGAATATATGGTGCATTAAAATTCTTGTGACAATGATTGTAACAAGAATAGGAAAGGATACCCATTTATGTTATTCCAATCTAGAGAACCCCATAGGATGGTATTCTCGAGACAGCAATCATTTACGCATCCCTGAGTCATACATGTGAAAATATCCATTTATGCTGTTTTTTCCTTAAAAATAATTGCATAGATTTTCTACTATTCAACAAAAAAGAGCATTGAAAATAAGATTTTCATCTCAGAAAAGGGGCATTAATATTGTTAACATTTCAGTTAAGACTTTATATTTGAGACTAAAGAAAAGGTTTTTTTATAAGTAAAACCTGTTGTTCATATGAGATTTATTTGGTCTATTTTTTCATGTAACACTTTTCTTTGAAATAAAATAGGAGAGTAGGACTGAATGAATTAACCTTTTTCAAGACCCTTTAGAATGTGGGATAGACCGAAAGAGCAGTTAGGAGTTTATGTAGAAATTCTACATGATCTATGCAAAACTTATTTTATCTTTATGATGTGTGATGTTGGCCAATACACAAAAAATCTTTTCTTCCTCTGCATCTTCAGTGGAAAGATAGTGACAGAGAGAAAGAGGTATAATACTTAAATCAGAAACCCTGATGTTATTGTTCTTAAGTGTGCAATAATTACTTATTTTTCAAATTGTTTTTATGCATATTTTAAATTTTCTTGTAGAACAACTTCATTGGATTTTGTAGCCTATAAGGAGACATCTGTTTTAAACCTTAGCTTTACACTTATTTCACTAATAGAGTAAACATGTTATAGTCCAAAGCTAGTCAAAGCTAGTGATCCCAGCACCCTATGCTCTGATGCTCATCCAGTAGGCCTGGCGTAGAATTCAGATATATGAATGTTTATGAGGTAACCCCAAGTGATTTTGATGTAGGTTGTGCCTGGAATATTGGTATTGGCAACCTCATTTTGCAAAGAGCTAAGTGAGACCCCCAGTTAAAGCCCAATGGCTCAGACCAAGCCACAGAGGGTGGAGGAGGGCAACTCAACTTCAAATCACAGTGCTTGGGTGGGGGCGAAGCAGGCAGTGGGGAGTTGCGGTTCCAGAACTCAGAAGCTTAAAAGGTCTTGCACCATCCACTTATACTCACAAATAGGGTCAGATTGGAGGGCCAACCAGACAGGAATGGTCGCCTGCGATAGGACACACTTATCACTTTCACATTTTCAAGCTTGATTTTTGAGGCTGAACCAACGAGGCTGCATTTTCCAGCCCACTGAAAGCCCAGTTTATGCAGTGAAAAGTGGCAAAGCACAACCATCTCAACAAGAGGAACCTGAGCACAAGCATTTTAAAAATCTACCCCTCCCCGCCCATATTGAGGAGCCCAAATTCCTAAAGTTCAAAGGAAGAAAGGAAAGACAGTGAGAGTGAAATGGAGGAAGAGCTAAAATCTGTGGATCCTGCTTTGGTTTTGAATCTGGAAATTTTTGAGCTTCATTGAGGGCTGAAATCCTGTCAGTTACTCTAGGTCTGTGAATTGAACTGTATGTTTGTAGGGGTGAGAGAACATTAGACTCACTCAGCTGTATAGTTACTGGAGATGTACAAGTTCTTTTTTGAGCTGAGCAAAATGGTTATGTAATTGCATACTTCTCATAATTATTGAGTAATTATATACTTCTTATAATTACTGAGTAATCATTGTTCTATAACTAGAACTTAATGTTACAACTAATTATATAATTACCATGTATTAATGTTGTTATCTAGGAAGCTTAGAATGAAGTGCTACTTATATATCTCCCCCTGCCATGCCATTTTCAAAGCAAGCAGTAGTGTTTGTTTTTTGTTTGTTTTACAGTTCAAAATTTCCTTAAAAAACAAACAAACAAGCAAAATGCAATGGAAAAAACTTCACCAATATTATACTCATACATATTTACTCATTGATTTTGTATTTGTCCCTGGCTGAAAATTTGTAAAATTATATTCTCATGGCTTAATTTTAGAATTTCCATTGTTGCTTTACAAATTTCAATCTTTTATAAGACCTGCACAGTTACGCTACTTGAGAGTCAATTGAATATCTGCTTGAGTCTATAGGACAAGCTGACCTTTTTGAAAGTTTACAATTGAGCATGTAATGACAGCAGAAATACTTCCAAGGAGCTCAATATCATGGGGACAGGAGGAGATCTCCCCATGCTGACCATGTAATTGTTCTTAGGCAATGGTTAGGATGGTCATATTTAATCTTAACCAGGTTTCTTGAGTGCAAGAATTATGTCTTATGTACTTGGGGCATGTTCTCGTCAGTGCCTAGAAAAGCCTTCTCCTTGCATGCAGTTGGAGCTCAATAATCTTCAGTAGAAGCAAGCTGACTAGTTGTAAAGAACCTAGGAAAGCTAAAATGGCATAAATTGGAAATGTCTTTTTAGTGCATAATGAAATTATCAAAGGCTGCTTTGTAGGTTTCATAATGTCTTGCTAATAAGTATTACACATATAGAGGAGTGCATTATCTACTTACATTTTAGGACCTTGAAATCATTCTTTAAGCTATGAATATGTCTTTATCTGCCTTTACTGAAAGTGAATAGAAATTATCATTGTCACGTTTTAGCCCACAAGCACTGTTTATTTCCTTTGAAGTAAACTACTTATTTGGATGTGCCAATTTTGGGTCCAGAGTAATAAATTATATTATGCCATTAGGGCTTTCTTCTGCTCATGAAAAAAACTCCTGAGTATTTTGTAACAGTAGATTTTTCAGTGACTTCCTCCATCCCTAAATGGTTATAAGTATCTTTTTAAATAACTTTTTGTATGTTTTTACAATTTGTTGGACCTACCCATATTTCATGAAAATAGTCAAGTAATAACCAGATATCAGACCCTCTTTTGCATTATTTGATCTTCATTAATTTCAGTTTGAAATATAATCTGATGGGACAATGACACATTGGTAATGGATGAGATTAGTGCTGCTTTATTCATTGAAAAACCTTAGAATTTTGATGAATAATACATTGTTAGGTTGGAAGGGGTAGAGAATAGGTAGGTAATTGCTACTGAGAAAATGAAATACAGAGTACAAAATTCTTAATCACTTGCTAGTTCTGAATGGCTAGAATGTATCAGTTGTATGGATTACAACAAAAACAATAACATCATTCCTAGCTGTTGTTTATGAGCAACTATTATGTGCTGGATATGATAAAGAAATAATCTCACTTAATTTTCACAATAGCACTGCAATGTAAATACTGTATTATCATTCCCAGTTCACAGATGAAGAACCAGACATTCAGAAATATTAAGTAAATTAGCAAAGAGCACATTGCTAAAGAATACAAGAACAAGTTCAAATGCAGGACTTTTGACAACCAAATTTATGTTCTTTCCTTTGCACTATACTTTGCTACTAAACTGTGTTAAAATATAATGTTTTTGTAAATATTGTAAACCTTGCATTTTGTATACTATACGATGCAAGATCACTTTTAGTATGATGCCATCTTTTACTTTTTAAGCATTTGTTCAATAAAGATTATATCAGTATCTGGAGATCTTGCCAGTATGCTTGTTCTTCTCTTTGAAGCTCAATATCATGTGTTTTTTAATTCATTTGTCTATATCTGCAGAATTTGTGTGTGAAAGATTGAATGTACATATAATAAAAAGTGGTTTTATATAGGAAAAAGGTTATTTGAAGTAAATATTGGTGCTCTTTTAGATAAAAAAATCTCACTCTGTGACCCAAGCTGGAGTGCAGTGACACAATTATAGTTCACTGTAATCTCAAATTTGTGGGTTCAAGTGATTCTCCCACCTCAGCCTCCTGAGTAGCTAGAACTACAGGCTCATACCACCATGACCAGATAATTTTTAATTTTAATTTTTTGTTTTTAGAGATGAGGACTTGCTATGTTGCCTAGCCTGGGTGGTACTCTTAATCATTCATTTTTCTGTTTTTTAAGAGTTATTGTATCATTTCTAAAAGTGACAAACATTAAGCAGCATTTAAAAAATTGTCTCATAAATTTTTCAGGAAAGCATCTAATATAGAAAATGTTACAATTTTCATCTGTAGCCCTTTTCTTATTTTAACCCTAATTTTTTACTCTTAACCTGAAATTTAACCTAATGGTGTAAGAGAGAGAGATAAAACACTGTTACTAGGCAGAAGTATTTTCCTGCATTTTGGACTGATGAGATTTAAGAATGGGTTTGCTAAAGCTTTGGAAGGACAGTGGTGTTGGGACCAGGGTGAGGATGTATTAAAAGTGATTCTTTTATATAGCTAGGCAGCTTCTGCATTTTCTCATAAAGCTAAAAATATTAGATCTTCTGATCAAAGTGGACATATAGTACCTCCCATCCCCAGTTGCTTTTCAAGATATTCTGACTAATTGAAATTTAAAAGGGCATTAGATAGAAAGAAATCCACCCACATTTCAAGCAAAGTGAACAGAAAACACCTCAGTTTGTGAAATATACAATATCTGACAAATATGTCTGAGTATAATACGTATATCCAGAACAATTCTATTTGAGGAATAATGTGTTATTTCTTCCTGTCTGCACATCCAAAAAAATTCAGGGATTTTTATTGGAAAAAAAACCCTCAAAAAAGTATAAACAACTCATCAAGTAATCAATTTCTACATTTGTGCAATACTTTTACTTATATGCTTGATACTTGTGATATGGCTTTATCCTACAGTTATCTAAGAATATTCATCAAATTATTTCGATTGCCGTGATGAATGAATTGGCCAGGTCAACTCAGATAGCACTTTTGTTCACAAGATAATAAAATCCAAATATGTGCATTGATAGAAGCACATGTAATGCCTCTTAGAGTGGTAAAGTTACAGACCTATTTGGTACAGTATATTTAGAAACTCAAGAAAATACTCAAATAATAGCAGGAATGAATTCTTAAATATGTATTTATTTTAATAATTTTCTTTTTTAATCAGTAGGTAATAACTACACCCTTCTGAATGTCACAAAAGTCATGTACAGCGGAGAAGAGACAAACCTTTGGGTGCTCATCGATGGGCTGGTTCCTTTTACCAACTATACTGTACAAGTGAATATTTCAAATAGCCAAGGCAGCTTGATAACTGATCCTATAACAATTGCAATGCCTCCAGGAGGTAAGTCTATGCAAATGTTGGCTATCTAATTTTATATAAATGCCCTAGAATTAAGTTTCCATTGAATACCTTGTTTATTTTTAGAGGTATTTTATTTTAGAACTTAGAGGCTCAATTGTATTTCTGGTTCTTTTAATAGTTGTTGTTTTGCTTTGTTTATTCAGATTCTTTAATTGACGATCTTTTATTGTTTTGTTGAGACTGCTTTCATCCACCTCACACTGTGTGTATGTGTGTGTATATACCATACACACATACACACACACACATATATATATCTGGATTTCTGCATGTTAAGAAAATTGGGAAATGATTTTGTTCAAGGCGTTACTTAAAGCCAAAATTTATATTTGCAATTTGAGCTTCCATTTTCTACTGCAAATGGTTCTCATTCCTGGTGTTCTAAATAACTAGTTCAATTGTATACTTAAAGTACTTCATTTGGCAAAAAGGGCAGGGTGCAGATGATAGAATAGGAAAATTCCATTTGCACTACTGGAAAACACCTTTAAATTCCTGATCCTAATAATTACAGTTCAGCAGGGCCACATTCATGTGTGAAATGTGATACAGTCTGCATATTTTTATTTTAAATATTTCTATAAAAATCGACCTATTCACAATTACCATTATTTTGATGTGCCTTCAGCTTCACCATGTTTTAACTCGTTGCGGGAAATAATCGCATTGAGGAAAACCCCTCTAGGGTTGACATGGATGGCCCTTGAACAGAAAGCATGCCTCAAAATGTTAAGAGCATGACTCTCAATTGAGTGCTAAAGAATGTGTGTTTTCTGAAAATCCTGAAGGCAAAGGACCCCAGGACATCCAGCATCTGCCCTGTAGCCCATCTCCCAGGAATGAGTATATTCTGAACTAAGGGAGAATGTCACAATCTTTTATCAGCAATCCGAAGGGCAGGTTAACCCCACTTCCAGTTATGAAGAGTATAAGAACACAAAGTGCTTTATCACTGGAGAAAAATAAAAGGGAATCTTCAGTTTGTATGGAACCGCTCCCCTGCAAAAAAGATTCATTACTTGTTGTATCATAAAACCACACACTATTATCTACCTTTTATGCCATTATTAAAATTAATGAATTGATGTTTACTAAAATACTTGAAACTGTAAATGTCAGAAGCTACATTACTTAAGAAAAGAATGCATAAAAGAAACTTTTGAGGCTGATCAACTCAGGTTAGTATCATATTTATTGAGACAATAATTTTAAAAGGGAATTGAATTTAGATATATTTATTTAAAAATTGAGACTGAAACCCAAAATAAAACAAACTCCCCCCGCTAAAATAAACCTTAGGTATTCATATCTTCATTTTTCACTTCAATACACATGCTAGGAAGGATAGAAAACTGTGATGGCTCTAAACCTTAGAATATAATATCCTTTACTCAAATTTAGAAATTAAAGAGTAATCAGTGCCATAATGGAGGTTTTAAGTTATATAGTAATACCTTTTCTACAGGATATATACAATATTTAATAAGCGTGTTTATTTTAGGGTATTTATACTGATTAAATAGTTTGTGATTTACAGTAATTTATATCATATTCATAAAATAGGGCAAATTTAATTCATTGTTTATGTTTTTAGGAATGTATGGTCTAATAATTTGTTATTTATACATATATCAAGATTCAATTAAAAATAGCAAGGTCCTACTGCTAACGGAATATGCGCTATGTGAATATACCTGTCAGTAAAAGGGTTAATATTATACAAATAGAAAGAAACTAAAATATTGTTTTATAGTGGTGCAGTCAAACTGAGTAAACCATTAACTGAGGCTTATCTTCATCTTTGCTCTGTGGATGCTTATCTGTGTCATTACCATAATGCACTGCAGGCCCACACTCTCTGGGCCTGATGCAATCCTCCACTTTATGTATTCAGAAATCTAGAATTTGGGAGTCAGTCCTTCACCAAAGAGGAAGCAAATGTCTTCAAAGACAGACAGTGATTCGCTAAAGTTTATTATGGCCATTAGGACATACTTTCTTTTTTCATTAGATTGTTGTTGATTACAATTAGGAAACGTATAGCTTTAAAATTATCTTTTTTATGACCTTGTGGCAGTTTAAAGGTGATACCTCATTGATTAAATAGGTTTTAGTTCATGCTTCCTTTTACTTAATGATCTGAAAACATATTATCCTGATTTACACATAAAAATCATGCTGAAAAGCATGTGGCATTCACTAGAATATGTGTGTTTAAGTAGAATTAAATTAGTACTGAGAGTTATTAAAGAAATCTTCCATGCCTTTGTCCAGTGAACTGTGTTTCATTCTGAAATGAATAATAAATGGACCAATATACGGAGGCAAACCAACTTATGGGCAGAGAAGGTTCTATATGCTATTTACTTTTCCATTATAGTTGGATTGTTATCATTATTGCCATTTCCTTGATTTCAATATTAGATCTCTCTTATGGTGATGTTGAATTCCTAGTATCTTTCAATGCTGGGTGATGCAAGATTTGTGATGATAATATCCTTAGCTATGCTTCTTTTGCATACTTTTAAAACATAATAAGAAAAGAGTTGGGCAAAATAAAATGCTCTTTTTTACTTCATCAAATATTTGCTATCAAATATGACCTGGAAAATCCCCTTTACCCGTTTAATCTGGCCAAATCCTACTCATTTTTTAGCCTCAAACCTAGAAATTGGTCTATCAGAAAGTCATGTTTTGCCAACAGAGGCTGAGATAGGGCCTTTCTGTATCCCAGAGAACAGTTACATTATACTGAAATTGCCTGTTTAATCTGTCACAATCACTGGTTATAAGATCCTATAGAGTAGGAACTGTTTCTTACTCACATTTCTATCTTCAGCACCTAGACTAAACCTGACACATGGTAGGTGCATAATGAATAATTGGTGAATGAATAAATTAGTCAAGATTGCTTAACGACTTGTTTTAAATTTTAAGCTTATTATTACTCAGGCCCTCCAGGCCTCATCTCAACCTCAGCAACCTTGTATTTTAGCCAGCTGTGAAAGAGACCTTCTCTGTACACCACTGTCCAATGTAGGAATGCTCTGGTTATGTAGATAAAATTGGGAGCTCAAACTGTAAGGAGGGTGAGTGTATTGGAGGTGAGAAATATTCTCAAGTTATGCCAACTCTTCATTCTTTTATTCTTCCCTATAGTGGTTACTTTTCTCAGGTGAGCATAGAATAAACAATCCTTAGTTTAGATAGTAATTTGGAAAGGAGAGGTGAAAGGGTCATACTCCAAAGAATTTTACCAGGATACATCATCTCTTAATTTGTAGTCAGGACACATCTTATTTGCCAGTCCTACCTCTATTTTTCTGATGAGAAAAAATATATAATTAAGAATATGATAAACACAAGTTATTTGAAGATAGAAATTAAAGTAAGAAGATGGTGCTACTAATAACTTGGCACATAGATGAACAGTGGCAAATCCCAATTAACACACATTTTTTATTTGAAAAATTCACTTTAAATATTATTTGGACAACTGGAGGGGCGTCTCTGTTTTTTCCAATTATGTAGCAGATCCTTCCCTACTTCTGCACACTCAAGTTTTTTGTATTTCTACAATTACTATATTTTTAGGTTGTTTGTAATAACATAATGCTCATATTTAGCACTAAGGTATTCTTGGAAATAAAGGATATATTTAATCAGAGCTCTTGAATAGTATTATGGTACAGGTTCAAGAGTTCTAGGAAAAGAATTAAAAAAATAAAAACGAATCCAAATGTTAATCCATAAATATGAAACTTTCCTATGGCCTTTACCCCTTCAAGGTCTGGAGTTACTAATGGGGTTAGGATTTCAACGCTTAATGGGGCTCAGTGCATTAGTGTTTTGTATGCATGGAATTCAGCATTCAGTTTAATAAGTGGTTGACATTGGTGATGTCCCTTAATTTGCTTAAATCTAATTGGCTCTTTTATCAGTCAAACCTGTATGGATTGGCAATTGATCAGAAAGGGTCAGCCATGACTCTGCATGTAGTTAAATGATGGAAGCACCAGTTAAAGTCACAGTTGCATGATAATAAGCAAAAGAAGAACAAATGAGCTTAGAGGAGGAAGGCAAAGAAGCTTAGAAGTTTTGCAGGATCTTCAAGTTCAGAACAAAGGCATTATAGAGTATATAAATTTTAAATACACTGCATTTTGCCTCCAGACTTAAACCTTTTTTTTTCCAGATGAACTGAAATCTTGTCTGAAACTGTCTTTGTTACATCAAAGAACTACTCAGAAAGCTAAAAGAGACAGAAGAAGCATAAAAGGGCATAGTTTAAAATGATTAGTGACAAATTCCATACTGACGAGCTAGAAACAGATTTTTAATGAAAGTTTTATATTATTCCAAAAGGAATAATTCTGTTTATCTTTTTCTGAACTGCTTTATTGTAACAGTGAAAGGAACTTGGAGCCACCCTGGTTTGTGAACCTAATCCAATTTTCCTCTGAGAGTAAATAATTTGTCATTTGTACTTTTAAGTTGATGAGAATTATTATAATCTACAAACAGTGTAAAATACTAGGCTTGAGAAAATCTGTTTATTTGCCCAAATGTGTTATTAGAGAACCAAAAATTGAAAAAGGCAAAATGGTTGCGAGTAGTTTGTTTTACAGGGTCTTTTCGACTCTCTCTCCTTCCCCTGAACCCCCTCTCCACTTATCCACCTAAAATATCAATGAGAAAAAAAAGAAAGAAAGAAAACCATTAGGAAGTAAAACTTAGGCACATCGCAAAAGCATAGACGTTGGAGTCCTAGAAACAAGGATTTAAATCCACCTCTTTCACTCACTGCTTGAGTGACTATGAGCAAATCTGCAGATATAACTGAGCTTCAGTTTGCTCATCCATTAAAGAGGCTGGATGGTAATTCCCACCTGACTGGAGGATTGAACAACATATTATATGTAATGTGTTTAGCGCATTGCCTGTCTTGGTAAACATTTGGTGCTTCCTACCTCTTTTGTTCTATTTTCCTACTAAGACTCTTTTTGGGGACCTGGAAAATGCCCTATAGAAAAAGTAAGTAAAAAAACCTGTCTTTCACATAGACTGCAGAGACCAGAATAATTTCATCTTGCTACATCCCTATCCTTTCCTACACTTACCCCTTAACATGTTGACATACATATGGCCAGGCCAGTAACCCTGCTAAGGGGTGGTTGTGATGCATATTAGATGATGAAGTAAGCAGGAAGCATGGGAAGTGATTTTCTTTTTGAAATACCTTCAGCATCCTCCTCCATGACCTCCAGATCATAATTTGCGAAGATTTTTACATCAAGCTCTCATTGGTCATCTTGGGATTTCACATATTTTCTTAATAGAACTCTTCTTCTGTGTTTATATAGAGCTACTTATTAAATATAATTATGACTTTTTAAAAAATGTCTATTATTGTATATTTTATTCACAAATGCTTTTTTTTACATTGTTAATGCTAGCCCAAAGCAAGTAATTTGAAATTTTATCCTAAGATGTTTTCATGTTTTCTTAATTGTCCTCAAATACATATATTTAAAAGTTACATCTTGGAATTCAAACT
This sequence comes from Homo sapiens, assembly GCF_000001405.40. Lineage (NCBI taxonomy): Eukaryota > Metazoa > Chordata > Mammalia > Primates > Hominidae > Homo > Homo sapiens. The sequence goes on along the minus strand of NC_000001.11, from coordinate 215,929,037 downwards.
TTTTTTCATTTTTCACTAAATAGGAAAGTTTACTAGTTGTTCAGCCAATATGCTTTTGAATAACTAAATAAAATGTTTGCTTTTAAAAGATGTTAGTATATGATTTTTGCCCAATAATACCACTAAAGGAATAATATATTAATGACTAACTTTTTTAGCTTGAACTACTGAATTCCATTCTGTTTAGAATTTAAGAGACTGGAATATTCTTTCGGGTATTGCTGTGTAACGAGTCACTCCAAAAGTCAGCAACTTAAAACAACCATTCTGTATTATTTCTCACCTGATTGTGTGAGTTGTCAGCATGGTTCTCCTGGCTTAAGGAGGCTGGACTGGGCTTCTTCAGAATTCCCAGAAAGAAACTCAGGGTTTCAAGAGTCAAGCCCTAGTGTACAAGCCCTGAAAACCTTTGCTTGCCTCAAACTGTCCAAAGCAAATTTCTTGCCCAAGTCAAAAAGCATGTATGCTGGAATGTATGATTTACTGGAGCCTGATAATTTGTCAATCTTCCATAAATGTCTAAGTGATTGGTTTTTAGATTGTGTATGTGTATATGTACAAACACATACATGCAAGTATTACAGATACATAATTTTTCTTTTAAATTAGTTCTGCTTTTGAAATAATGATGTACTAGCACCAAAAAAAATGAAGAAAGCAGTTTACTAAATTTTTCCTTGAAGAAGATATAAAAAAAAATCTTTCCTTACATGACAATTAATTTTGATGTTTTATTTCAGTATAAAGATCAATAAATGTATATCAATAGATTCTTGTTTAAAATGTTTGTAGCTCCCTATTGGAGGGAAAATTCTGATCTCTTCTTATAAGTAGGTGATTTAAAAAAAAATCTTAGCTATTTCTCAAATCTAGGCCTTGGGTATTCTGATTTCTGCTTGTAACTTTGAACTGTGAGAGTAGAAACTGTGTGTAATTTGAATATTTTCTGTAGCTCCAGTGTCTGGCATAAACTATTTGCTGAATAAATTACCAGAGCCCTTTGTGGCAGTGATAACTTGGAAAATAATCCTGAAAGTTATATTTTGCTATTGCTGTGTCTTTTACTTGGATAAACATTTTCCAGAATTAAATTCAACATTTAGGGTTTAATTCATCCTAAAATTATTTTTAGTCCTGTTAAGATTACCATAACAGTGTAAAAATACATAATATAGGACCCTCTGGAGGTATGTTTATAAATTTGTGTGTGTGTTTAATTGTCTATTTTACCTACCATTTTATTTTTTATTTTTAAATAATTCCATCTTTTATATTATGTTTAGGGGTACATGTGCAGGCTTGTCACATGGATATATTGTATGATGCTAAGGTTTCAGGTATGATTGATCCTATTGCCCAGGTAGTGAGCAGAGCACCTAATAGTTTTCAGTTCTTTGCTTTCTCCCACTGTTCCCCTTCTAGTAGTTTCCACTGTAACCACCATTTTCAATTAACTTATCTATTGTGATTGGTGGTTGAACACTTAACTGAAAATAATGATTAAAACAGAACATCCAAAAATTTAAATATATATTAAACACAACTTTAATTTAGAACACATAAATATATTTATCTATATATTTATCCAACAATCTTGTTATATAGGGCCAAGTTGTTTTCTTGGAGTGTTAATTTAGTATTTATAAGTCCAGCATATTTGCTGCCAAAACTATATTCATAATGCATAGTTTGATTTCCACTTTGAAAACTCCTTTAAAAGGAGAACAAAAATTTAGAGATAATTAAGGAAGAATCTAATTATAGAATTTTTCAGGCTTTTGTAATATCCTAAGTCTTTTAGTTATTTTTCCTGAACGAATTTCACAGTATTGTTTTATTAAGTCCTCACTGAAAGTTTTTCAAAGCAGTAAATTTTCATAGAAAACGGTTTCTGTTAACAGTGCTCATCAGTTTAAGCATTATTTAATTAAATGACATAATCATAATGACAACCACAATTGACATCACAGGTTTAAAAAATACAGCTGACTCTTTGTGAGTGTATAATTCTACCTGCGACTGCAGAATGTTGCCCTTGAACTACAGAGTAGTCAACTATCCATCTCTGCAATACAGAGTAAATGTAAATTTTTTATTAATCTGGCAAGTCAGATAAGAATAGGTAGGTAAGGCTGGGCGCGGTGGCTCACGCCTGTAATCCCAGCACTTCGGAAGGCCAAGGAGGGTGGATCACCTGAGGTTGGGAGTTCGAGACCAGCCTGACCAACATAGAGAAACCCCATCGCTACCAAAAATACAAAAACTTAGCCGGGCATGTTGTAATTCCAGCTATTCGGGAGGCTGGGGTAGGAGAATCGCTTGAACCCGAAAGGCGGAGGTTACAGAGAGCCAAGATTGTACCATTGCACTCCAGCCTGGGCAACAAGAGCAAAACTCTGTCTCAAAAAAAAAAAAAAAAAAAAGATAGGTAGGTAAAGCAAGTGTCTACTATTTAGGAAAAAGACACGCTTCCAAAGTGGCAGAATGATCCACCCTCAGAGCAGCCTACCCAAGTAGGAGAGGCAGGACAATGCTACCAAATTCTTCTCTTAGGTTAAGCATTACCACAGCTCTGCCTTAAAAGAAAAAAGAAATTATTGATTATATCCCTTCAATTGATTAGGGACTGAGTCTGAGATTTGTGGCATAACTTGCTCAGTGAACTTATTTTTCTCCTTCAGTTTTTAAAGGAAAGAACTGAGCTTTCTCTTCTATTTTCAAATTTCAACCAAAATCTCTTTCTAAGACCTTAGAGCAATGAAATGTGTGGGTAGCACTATCAACCAGCCAGGTGGAGAATGGTATTTTTTTTTTTTTTTTTTTTTTTGCAGGGTCTCTAAGAGAATTAGGGGCAACTAGAACTGGCTCAAAAAGCAAGAATATACGAAAGAGCAAAAGAGTAAATAAATAAGAATTGCAAAAACAAACTCTATTGTATCTTGCACTTTCTTCATGCATTGTAGCACTGAGAATTGTAAAATATTTCTATACCTTTTGTTTGTTTTTGTTCTTGTTTTTTTGAGACGGAGTCTCGCTCTGTCACCCAGGCTGGAGTGCAGTGGCGCAATCTCAGCTCACTCTATGCCTTTTAAAATCAACTTAGTACAATGTCAAGATGCTACTTTTTAAAAATAAAACTAATGGTTCTCAAAAATGTGAAAGCTTGCTTGCCGAGTACAGATATAAAGCTCCTCAATATGTGTTTTCCATTTTTCATCTGCTCTGTATCCACTTAGATTTATTTGAAATATATAAATAGAAACATTAATGTGCAGGTGGCAATGGGATATCTTAAAAATTGAAAGAGTACAAAGGGATGGAGATTTTAAAAATAAACGTAGGTTAGCAGCTGAAATAAGCAATAGGCTAAGATGGTATATTCCCTTATTCAGAGGGTAGAAGGAAAGATGAGATTAACTGCTTTTTATAATGTAAAAGCCACAATGAAGATACAGGATGGTGAGGAATAGCATTCTTTAAAACGACAACATTCTACCACATAAACAGATGGTTTGTCTTTACCTTCAGTATATTAAAAGCTACACAATTTATATTACATCCAGTTCATATGAATCTTTCGAATAGTTGTGCATAATGTTTTACTTCTGTGTATATCTTCCAAATGTGCTGCTATTTTTTCCCTGGAAAAATCAACCCATTGAAAGTAATAAAGTAGGAGAATTCAACAAATAAAAAGTATTTAAATTCTTAATAAAATAAATAGTGTGCTTTCAAAAACACATACCAGGCCATTTAATTTAACCCATGCTTTCTCCCAGGTACGAGAATAGAACCAAAGGATTTATGACTGTCTTAAACATGCTCTCAAATCCTTTCCTGAAAAGTGTTACCTTTACTTTTTTGGAATTGATAGTTTAACCTGCTTTGTGTGTGTGTGTGCATGTATGAAGAGGTATATGTTTGTAATATTACATATCATAAGCCAAAGAGAGGGATAAATTCCTGTTTCATAATTTGTGAACAATTTTTTCACTTTTTGTATTCACCATCTTGACAATGAACTTCCTGCTTATAAAAACACCTTAGAAAAAGACTAACTTCTGAGCTATGGAGAAGAGGGAAGGAAACTTTGAAGTGTGCTTACTATGGACTCAACAAGCCTCCAGCAAAGGGCTGCCAGCTCTCCATATTTGCATACTCTCATGTGGATTATATAGAAATACACACGCCCACACACACAATTAAGTGCTATCTTTAAAGCATCCTGGGGCAAGAGAGAGAGACTTAAAAAAATAAAATAAAATCACATCTTTTTCTTTTTTACCAGGGGAGAGGGGTGGGAAATATTGTTCCTTTAAGTTCCATTGATATTTTCTAACTCACATTTTTAAAAAGAATAAGTACAATTCATTTTCTTTTTTTTTCTTCGAAGACGGCTTTATCCATAACTTTAAGCTTAAAAAAAAAAATCATGTCTGTCTGACTGACACTGCAGTCTAAAAGCAACTTGAAGTTTTATTTGAATTTTTATAGTGCCCTAAAGAAATTTTTGCTTTATTTCTTTAAAATAATATCTTGTTCCTCATTTTTTCATAGACAAACTGTATGCCTGACTTGCATAAAATTCTATGAACATTTACCTGCCTATATAAATACTCACAAAAGTGAGAAAATTCTTAATATGTCTTAGATACTTAGAGACCATATTTCCAACCTCTTTTCATCAGCAGCATCAAGAAAATCCCTTTTTCTATCTCTATAAAGGCATATAGACCCCCCAGAGTCTAAAAGAAAACTTAAAAACTTAAGGAAGAATAGATTTTGACAACAGTAGGGAAATTCACTTACAACCACTATGCTTTTCATGATTGTTAATTAATTGGGACAAATGAAACTAGAAACATGAGGGTATCTAATATATACTTTATTAGATTAATCCCTCTTACACTTTGATGACCATTTTCAAATGTATACTATCTTTCATTTTTATTTAAATGTTTCGTATGCTTGTATCATGTCTTATCTACTAGATGGGGAAGATAAAACGAATGGGCTGGGTGTGGTGTCTCACACTTGTAATCCCAGCACTTTGGGAGGCTGAAGTGGGAGGATTGTTGAGCTCAGGAGTTTGAGACCAGTCTGGGCAACATAGTGAGACCCCATCTCTATTTAAATTTTAAAAAGAAGAAGTAAAATGAAAAAAAAAATGAGTGGGTGAATGGAGGTAGACAGAGGAGTCACAGCTGGTCTCCCTTTTTCTTTCTCTATCCCTCTCACCATTTACCTTGGCTCAGGCATATAATAGGATATTAGTAATGATTACTATCATGCTCTTGTGCAGTCCTAGTGGCCTGGGGCTATTTTTGCACCCAGCATACCTTCACCCTTTCTTTTGATGACAGGGCTCCAATTTCCCTCTCAGCACCCTGGGCTCTTTCAAGATCAGAACATGCACATGCGCTGTGTGTGAAGTTGACTGCATCACCAGGTCTGACCAATGAGGACACTGTATTCTCCTAACCACAGTGATTTTTTTTCAGGAATGACAGGCATTCCAATCAAAGCCACTGAATTGCAGTAAACCAGTACAGTAAACAGAGGCATGTCTCTTGCCCTGTATTTGAATATGGGATTCGGCTCAATTTGCTGCCAGCCATGTTGCCCCTCAAAGAGTCTGAGAAATTTAGTCAGCAAGGAAGAAAGCAGAGTGGGTATGAGAGAAGGAGGTAGACTAGATTCTGGTGACGTCATTTGATCCTTTGAATCCAGCATTGCCAAAACCCAGCTCTTTCCCTTGAGTGTTTTTTTGTTTGTTTGTTTGTTTGTTGATTACAGGAACCCACTACCCATCTCATTGCTTAAGCCTCTATGTGTTGTGTTTTCTGCCACTTGAAAACAAAAGCATTTGCCACAATGCTTGAGAGAAAGGAAAACAAGTAGAGAGCATTTAGAGAAGTCTCATCACTTCCTGAAAATCATGCCAAATGCTAAACTTAACATATGTGTTTGGCTTTTGCTTGGGCTCTCAAATTAGGAAACCTCAAGAAGTAAGCTGGATGTCACATGAGATAATATTTTCTAAAACTGTGAAATGGCTCATCCCATTCTGAAGGGTCTCCTCAGAGCCACTTCATTTGACAATCTTCTGAGCTGTTTCTCCACTATTTTCAGGTCTCAGAGCCCTGAGTTCTAGTAATAACTCTTGTGCTAATTAGCTGTTTGGTCTGACTTAAGTAACTTTACCTGACTATGATGTTGGTCTCTTATCTCTAAAATGGCAGATGTGAATTAGATCAGCAGTATCTATAGTGTGATCCCAGACCAGGAACTTCAACATTCCTTGAAATTTGCTTGAAATGCAACTTCTCAAACCCTACTCTCAACCTACTTAACCAGAAATTCTGAGGGTGGGGCCAAGCAATCTGTGTTTTAATGAGATTCCATTACCAACTCCCAGGTCACTGGGTGCCTTCACAAGTTTGAAGACCACTGAGCTAGACCATCTTTAAAATACTTTCAAAGAAAAAATATATGATCTTGTCTATGACTTTATTCCATATTCATATTTGAGACAAATACTCAGGGAAAAATAGGTATAATAGGCCTCCATGCTCAACTGGTCTTTGAATATATAAGTCACATTCGTAGGGCCAGAGGTCTTTCCAATGTAAGAAAGCCATCGTGTTGCTCACAGTCTTCCTGAATGGGCCAGGAACAGATACCAAAGATAACCAATTCCAGATGTTGAGTTCTACCTGTGGCACCAGAAAGCAACAGGCATGATGTTTTATGCACTGGGGAACACTAATCAGCCCTACTGTGAAGACACTGTCAGCTAAATTTCCTTTGCTCTTCAACTTCTTCACAGAACATCTGCTATAAGAAACTCCTTGTAACTAAAACCTGAGTCTTTCCCCTCTGGGGAATTTTCTTTAATGAGCCTCTTGTGGCTACATCTGTACAGTTTTGAAATATGTTTCCTCAAGTCAGTTACATCTTCATCCTGGATTCTAGGGTTTGCTGTCTATTGGACCTCATAGCTAAGATTTTTCCTTCTAGGAGTTCACAAACACAACTCCAGAGTAGGTTGACATAGTGCCCAGTATCTAGAGAAAAATTAAGATCATGTAACCTTTTATTTGCTAAAAAGAGATTTTTGATGTTGTGATCACTCATACCAAGATAGCATTTATTAATACTAGGTGCAGGTGTGGTTTTGCATATATTAACTCATTTTATTCTCCTCACAAACCCTGTAAGGCAAGTGCTATTATTATCCCTATTTACACATAAGGAAGTTGAAGAAACAATATTGGCTTGCAACTAGTAAAGGTCATCTTACTAGTAAAAGGCAGACACTGTATTTAAACCTAGAGACTGACTATAGAAGCCTAGTTCTGAGCCACTATACTCTATTGTTCTACTGACTGTAGAACTATACTCTATTTCTTCTACTGACTGTTCATATGCTCTCTTGGCAGCAGCAACACAGATTTTGATGCCCCACTAATCAATGCAGATCTGAAGAGGTGACTTGACTCTATAGTAGGGTCAAATATAATTTTAAGGGTATTGTTGGTTGAACTAGTAGGTTTTTAAATCCTGTTGCAGATGGCCTAGAGAACTGTCCTCAGTGACTGTATAACCCATGCTCTAAAGTTTATAATGTCATAAGAGAAAAAAAATGTAGGTAAAACATGTTTACAGCCTTACAAAAAAGCATTAAGCAGAAGCAATATTATGTGGTACGTACCCTGTGTGGAGAAGGCAAAGAAACCAACCAGTTGGACTCATCCTTTGCCAGTGTGGATATAAGTACTTAACTTGCCCACCAAGTATTTTGCCCAACTTCTGTCATATTTACCTATGAACTTCTATTATAAATTATTATAAATTGTGATCTTCTGATTGTACATAGTTTGCATTCTTGTGAAGAGACTTAATTTATCTAATAGTGTTAATTTTGAAAAATTAACAAACTTTCTTAAAAGAGAGCAAGAAAACTTATATTTGTAAAAACTAATGAAAGAAAGAATCTTTTTCTTCCTGTACTAAAACAATTTTCTGTGAACAGTTGAAAAAACACTCTAGTCAGGTGAAGACACTTATTCATATGTGGAATATTCTAGAAATAAGCCATGTGAACAGTATGAGTATGTGGGAAAATTGTTCACTGGAATGGCCACAAAATGACCATGCGTGACCTCTGGGCCATAAGAAAGCAGGAATACTTTCCTCATCAAAATCTGAAGTTGAGGGCATGATCACAGGAAAAAGCTTAAATCTTATTCCCATGGTTGATGCTATAAATCAAGTAAGCGTGTATCTTAGACTGTGCATTTGTAAAGCACAGTGTCTATCAAAATATCACAATTCAACTTATCCACCACTTGCTATCCCCAGCATTTTCATTTCCTGATTGTGTGACCTTGAGAAACTTTTCTCCTCTCTAAGCCTCATTTTGCTCATCTGGGAAGGGGTTTCATAATTACAGAACTTTCCTCAATGGGTTTAGACAAGGAATAAAGAATGTGTGTGCACTGAGATTAGCTGGCACATTAGGTAGCTGCTCAATTCTTTGTTTAAAGGACATAAAGCATGATATATAAATACAAAATATATGTAAGCTTATCACTATTCAGTTGAAAATTAACCTGTAAACATCTACATTTTTATCTTCTTTGATGATTCCAACAGCTGTCTCTAAAACTAAGTGTAAGGAAACAGCAGACTGGTTGTGGCATATTAAATTATAAGTGAGGACTAATTTGAGGATCAAAGATGCTCTTTGGGAGATATCGCCTGACTAGTAGGAAAAGCATTAGCTGTCTCCCTCTGTCTCATGTATTTGTTCTCTCTGTCTTGGAAATATCCTTCCCCACAGTTTCTGAATCTTGATGTTTAATTGAACACAAAGGTCTTTGAGAAACACAACAGGGGGTTGTTCCTGGTAGTTCTAGCATTGAGGAAATTGAAATGTACATTTTTTTTCTCATTTATCAAAGAAGGGCAAGAATCTAAACTGACATTTTATATCAAATGAATTATGAACTGTGTACTTTGTACCTAAGGGAACAACAACTAAATTAGAGTTTTAGTTAAGAGAGAGAGAGAGACAAAAATAGGCTTTGAATAAAACATACAGTAATTTCTGCTACTGTGCCTGACAGTGACATGGCCAGATACAGTTCTATTGTAGAACTAGTGACTGGATGCAGGCTACTCTGAAATCTTTAAATGTATTTGAGAGACCGTCTCAGAAAAAATTAAACCTAAATTTCTTATGTTGTTAGACTTTATGGTCAGTGAAATAGTCTTGATAATCTAAAGTTAACTTTCAGCTTTTTATCAATGCTTACTTTCTTAAAAAAAATAATAGTTGCAAAGTTTTACTTCTTGAGAAAGTATGAAATTATAGGTTGCTTGAGAGGGAAAATACAATGCAGAATAAAAATAATATATATGAAAATGCCACATTCCATCTCTCCTCTGATTATCTGTAACACCTACACAAATACTACACACTACACTCATATGTTATTGTGCTCATAAAGAGTGTGAATCCTAAGATCAGTGGGACTTGGTTCAAATCTTAATTTCCCCCCTCCTACTAGCTGTAAGAGCTTCGGCAAGTTATACAATCAGAGTCTGCTTTACTTTGTTCTTCTGTAAATGGTAGTAAATAATAAGCACTATCTCACAGGATTGACACTGAGAACTTAATTATGATGATGCCTGCAATAGATACAACGTGATGCAGTACACATAGTAGTTGTTACGTTGCACAGTTGTTTCCTTCCCTATGTGAGAAGATTAGGCAGCAGCAAATTAGAACTCCATTATTTAATGGCTGCTGATTCCTGAAGTATAGGAAGTATTAGAATTAAAATTTTAAGGAGAAGGACCCTATAATGTCTGTGCAATATATCTAATAATCATTTTTTAAATAACCAATTGAAAATTCTTGGGAATTGGGGGTGATTCATGCTTTCTTCTTCTGGACAAAGCTATGTATTGATTACCATATTTTTCTTCACAAATAAGTATTCCAATTTATGCAATATAAAAATAAAAGAAGCGTTATTAATATGAATACATTTGTTTTAGACTTCTAAATCCCCCTAGGTTCATAAACCTAAAAGTGACAAAATTCCTTGATATTAATCCCATATGCTTTCTGATGCCAATGCTATACTGGATAATAATTTTGTGACTAAATTACTAGAAACAAATAACTATCACTGATAGCCTGATTACAAATTTTCTTCATATAATTATTGATCATTGCTGTGGTAAAATGAATATCATAATTTTTATTCTCAAATGTTGATTCTAACTCTACTACTTATAAGGTGAAATCAGTTCTTAGAAGTCTTTCAGCAGTTTAAATTCTGCCAATGACTATTGTTTTATTCTTACTAATAGATAATGTGAAATTAATGGCATGTTGAGGTAAGGGATGCTGTCTTGTCCGTTTAGGCGGCTACAACAAAATACTATAGACTAGGTGCCTTACAAGCAACAGAAAAGTATTTCACACAGTTCTGGAGGCTGGGAAGTCCAGGATCAAGGTGCTGACAGATTCAGTGTCTAGTGAAGGCTCTTCTTCATAGACAGTCATTTTCTTTACTCTAACTTCACATGGCAGAAGGGGTGAGAAGTCTCCCTTGGGTCTCTATTACAAGGGCACTAACCGCATTCATGAGGGCTACAATATCATAACCTGATCACCTCCCAAGGCTCCATCTCCTAATATTATCTCCTTGGCGGTGAGAATTTCAACGTAAGAATTATAGGAGGGACATAGACCATAGCAGACACCCCACATTTAAGTATTTTAATGCTAGATCTAGTTAGTATTTGAGTAATTTAATTAATAAACTTGAATATTATATCCAATCCCGTTGTTACAATGACTTTTATAACCAATCTGCTCTGATTCTTCAATCATTAAATGACTAAATTTTTCTCCACTATTCAAAGATCACTTAATTTCTTGGTATTTGATTGTATCTTAGAATAGTGGATTCAATGGCACCATAGAGGAAGAGTCCAACTCTAAAATATAATGGTTTATTTTCTACACGACCTCAGTCATTTTTTGTTTTGTTTTTGAGAAAGGCTCTCACTTTGACACCCTGGCTAGAGTGTAGTGGCACAGTCACAGCTCACTGCAGCCTCAATCTCCTGGGCTCAAGCAATTGTCCCACCTCAGCATCCTGAGTAGCTGGCAATACAGGCATGCACCACCACATCCAGCTAATTTTGTATTTTTTTTTTTTTTTTTTTTTTTTTTGTAGTGATAGGGTTTCACTATGTTACTCAGACTCGTCTCAAACTCCCGGGCTCAAGCAATCTGCCCATCTCAGCCTCCCAAAATACTGGGATTATAGGTGTGAGCCACTGTACCCAGCCCCTCAGTAATTTATTTTGCTATTTTTCTTGTTGGATACATTCAACAAGGGATAATTTAATGCAGTCTTCCTGAAAAGAGTGGCTTTGACTTGAGCTTGAATTTATTTATTGTTAACCTTGCTAAGCATATCAATTTTTAATTTCACAAAGACTAAATTCTTCAGTGAATTATTTTAAATGAAGTCAATGAGCAATATTAGAATCAAAAATAAAATAGAATTAATTGAACAGTATTGTTGTATATATTTTAAATTATTTTTCCAATTGAAGATATGCTTTAAACAAAGGGCTCAAGCAATCAGGTACTCAAGGAAAAAGAATTTAATCTATGCTGCCTAGAAACTAATTGGATGAATATGATCGTATTCAAAATAATAGGAATGCTAAGAAATGCTCTTAGGAATACTAAGACGAATTCAAATGTCGAAAGCAAAGGCTTAACTAGAGTGTCTAAATGTAGGAAGTCTCTGTAAGGAAAAGGAAAAAAATTTGGTTGGTGGTTTGAGACATAACAAAAAAAAATTCTTCTGGGCATTATGACCACCAACTTCAGGGCCTCTAATTAGTCTGACAAAGTGACAGTTCTACATTCTAGTTGAACAAATAATGTATCTAATGAAATTCAAAATCGCTATTTTTCTCTGAGCACAGTGAGCTGCATCATTCACAGCTTTGGGGTATTTCAAAATTAACAGAGGATGACTTCAGTCTGTCTGATGTTTCTTGGTTAACAAATTCACTGAAATTGTCTTGCAGAGCAATTTTAAGCAATTCTTTAATCTTAAACCACAAAGAGAGGTGGAGGTGGAGGTGTATTACCTTGGTCCTATGGATGCTAATGTGAAGTGGAATCTTTTATTTCTCAAAATGGTCAACAGCAATTAGTATTCAGTGGTGTCTTTTTATTCTGGTGCCCTTGACCCACCTCTGCCCCCCTTTCTATATTACTCCTATTATATACTGTAACTGGGGATATTCTTGCTTCTTTTCCATTCTAATTAAAGCATTCTTAGTGAACATGGGAACCATTTTTCATTTCATGAAGAATAATTACTGGACCTAGGTGAAATCTGCCCATTGGGTTTTATATAATTTTTGACAAATATTTGCACGAATTTTGACTGATCTATTCTTACCATTTCTCCGTGAAATGTTGGAGAAGTTTTCAGTTCCCTCAGAACAATAAACCTAAATATGTACGTGAAAGACCAAGATAAATGTTGTACCACCTTCAGGTTGTATTTGCTAATGTACTTTAAAATATTTTATTTTGTCACTAATATAAGAAATAATGATGACTTTTTAACAATTTTTTTTTTTATTTTTGCACATGTTTCTTTCCTAGTCAGAGTTTGACCTAAATACTCTTCTACTACACTAGTGACAACCTTGAGAAATATCATTTATTTAGGTTGGATCTGTAAAACCTATAGCTCTTGTTATACATCTTGTTTCTTTTTTTTATTTTATTATTATTATACTTTAAGTTTCAGGGTACATGTGCACAATGTGCAGGTTTGTTACACATGTATACATGTGCCATGCTGGTGTGCTATACCCATTAACTCGTCATTTAGCATTAGGTAGATCTCCTAAAGCTATCCCTCCCCCCTCCCCCCACCCCACAACAGTCCCCAGAGTGTGATGTTCCCCTTCATGTGTCCATGTGTTCTCATTGTTCAGTTCCCACCTATGAGTGAGAATATGCGGTGTTTGGTTTTTTGTTGTTGTGATAGTTTATTGAGAATGATGATTTCCAATTTCATCCATGTCCCTACAAAGGACATGAACTCATCCTTTTTTATGGCTGCATAGTATTCCATGGTGTATATGTGCCACATTTTCTTAATCCAGTCTATCATTGTTGGACATTTGGGTTGGTTCCAAGTCTTTGCTATTGTGAATAGTGCCGCAATAAACATATGTGTGCATGTGTCTTTATAGCAGCATGATTTATAGTCCTTTGGGTATATACCCAGTAATGGGATGGCTGGGTCAAATAGTATTTCTAGTTCTAGATCCCTGAGGAATCACCACACTGACTTCCACAATGTTTGAACTCTTGTTTCTTTATTTTTCTCTAGAGTCCTTTCTCAGAGCCAAGGGTGTCTTGACAAGTAAAAGAGAAAAAAGTTACTAAACAGAGAGAAAGAGAGAGTAACAGACTAAGAAAGACAGAGACAATTTCTTCAAACCTCTACTCCAAAAAATCCTCCTCAAAATTTAAACGACACATTTGTTTAAAACCTCAAAATTCTTGCATTCTTTCAAAACACTGAGCTGTTAGATTCTACCAACAGTATCCGCTCTCCAAGTTAGTTCTTTAGGTTCCTGTGTGTTGGATGGGGAAGAGGTAGGGAAAGGAGGCTAGCTACCTTTTATGTCTGTGAGGAAGGGCAAAGGTCTGGTTTGGCTAATTTTAAACAACATTGTTTAAAATAACAGGAACTTGAACTTTGGAGACAGTTGCTAGATTCAAACAGCAGCACAAACCCCTCATTACTTGTGTGGTCTTGTGCAAGTCATTTATGTTATGAAGCTTCAGATTCCTTGACCCACCTACTTCACACCTAGGACTATTAGGAGGATTCAGTGTGATGATACATACAAAGCATTTAGTCCATTGCCTGGTGTACAATAACTGCCCAGCATTAACTCTGACATTGTAGTGTGCTTATGTTTACAAATGAATATCAAGATGTTAGCATTGTTCAAGGGGCAATTAACCAAAGTCATTCATTAAAGTTGTTGAGTTGTTTAATAAACAACTCAATTAACATAAAGACTCTTTACCAAAACTTTGAACTTTGTTCAAATTTCATTCATCCAAAAGCAGTTGCTGAGCTCTTTCTAGCCACCAGGCATAACTCTAGGTCCTGTGCAAAACAGGCTTTTGGAGCAGATGGCGTGCATTCCCTGATGGAACTGAAGGCCCTGGCCACCATTGTGGTGAAGTTCATAACTGCACTTACTGCATGTTCTGGCTGGCTACTTAAGAATTCCCTAAGGAGATATTGGATAGATCAAGGTACTTAGAGCTTGGTTTCACCTTCTAGGGGGAGAAAGGGTTGCTCTTAACAAAAACTAGGACAATAAATTTAAATGTGTTTATAAATAATGATGTAAGACAACTATGTCAATGTTGTTAAAGTTGGCTGTTACTTTTAAGTACAAAATTGCATATTCCTTATTTGGTGGGATTACTGTACATAGTTATTTTTAGAAATCAGAAAAGTTAATTGATTTACTGTGATTCTCTCGTTTTACAAAAATGCAAATTGTTTTATTATATAAGAAGAGTCCATTTTAGACCAAATTCATTCCCATAAAATGAAAACTTCTTGGAAAAACAACAAAAAAGAACTTTTTAAGAAAATGTATTGATTGGTAACTCATGACATTTCTTTTCTGTTTTGCTTTTTGGCTCCTGTGAATCTCAGAAAAAAAAAGTCTGTTGCTACTCAGGAGGCTGAGGCAGAAGAATCGCTCGAACCTAGGAGGCGGAGGTTGCAGTGAGCAGAAATTGCACCACTGCACTCCAGCCTGGGTGACAGAGCGAGACTCTGTCTCAAAAAAAAAAAAAAAAAAAAAAAGTCTGTTGCTTGACAATGGCTAACCTTAGTAGAGGTTTTGTGGTACAGTTCACTGATCTTTTTCCTTCATTATTCAGCTTTGTTTTCTTGAGTTTTATATTAAATGTTTTTAAAAATATTTTGGTAATTATGCAGGTTAATAAATTATAAAGGATATCTATAGTTTTCCCCATCTCTTTCTGGCATTCTAATGACATGAATGCAGATTCCTTATTGATCCATATAAGAATGAGCTCCCAGAAGTGAGTGTAATGGAATCAAGTAGCCAGAAATACTTAGTAATTGGATTGTTTTTCACATTCTGCACTCAACTTTTATGGAAAAAAAAAACTCGAATCAAAGTATATCAATAAGATGATAAATCCATTCATTCCTTTTCAGTATCCAGTCCAGTCCATTTACCAGGGAGTAGCCACCACCATCTGTGCCTCAATATTTTCAAACTAAACAACAATTGTAGTTTCTGTGCTTAAAATATTGATGGAATTAGTGATTCCCCATCTCCTTCGTATACATTTCAGACTCTTTATCTGTCCTACAAGACCAGTGTCTCCCACCCTTGCTGCCTTGCTTTTAATTCCTCAAACAGTGAGATCACCATAGAGCTTCCGGCCCATAACAGGTCAGCAAAGTCTTAGTCATTTAACAGGTCCAAACTTAAATACCACTTCCTTAGAAAGCCTTTCTTCTTTCAACCAAAATTAAGTCGGCCCCCTTTAATGATACCTCTTAGCACCTCTGTTCTCCCTCCTAGCACTTTGTGTACATTTTAACTACATATTGCTTTCTATTTGTTTGATGCCAGTCTTGCTCCACTTGACAATATTCTCATGCCCATAATGGTGTGACTCTGGCTAGTTTGTTCTTCATTATGCACCCATCACCTGGCACGATGCCTGGCAAGGGAGTAAAGGAGGATGGGTAGATCAGTTTTTCAGGGAATATAAAAATGACAGCACAGTTTTATCACAAATGTTTAATCTTTCTGTATTTCCATATTTATAGCTTGGAGATTGCATAGTAAACAGGAAAGAGGATGAGGTTTTGAATCAAAATTCTCATGTTTGAATCCCAGCCTGGCACTTAGCACAATCACAAAGAACTGTAGGAGGAATGCAATACTCACATCATCTAATTCATGGTATGGCTGCAAGGCCAAATGAGAAAAATGGAGATGCATTCAAAAGGTGAGAGCTACATGAGAATTCATGAACACAAAGAAGGGAAAAACAGACACAGGGCCTACTCGAGGGTGAAGGGTGGGAAGATGGAGAGGAACAGAAAAAATAACCTTTGGGTACTAAGCTTATTACCTGGGTGATGAAATAATCTGTACACTAAACCCCCATGACTTCAGTTTACCTACATAACAAACCTGCACATGTACCCCTGAACCTAAAATAAAAGTTTTTTAAAAAGTAATTGAAATGTTCGTAACTCAAAGGATAAATGCTTGCGGGGATGGATACCCCATTCTCCATTGTGTGACTAGTTCACTTTGCATATCTGTATGAAAACATCTAATGTACTTCATATATATATATATATATATACACGTATATATATATATATATACACATATATATATATACGTATATATATATATATATATATACACATACCTACTACCTACCCTCAAAAATTCTTAGAAATTTTTTTAAAGAATAAAATTAGACCCCTATCTCTCACCATGTACAAAAATAAAATCAAAATTGGTTGAAAACTTAAGTCGAAGACTTCAAACTATCAAGTTACTACAAGAAAACATTGGGGAAAATCTATAGGACATAGGTCTGGGCAAAGATTTCTTGAGCAATATCCCACAAGCACAGGCAACCAAGGCAAACATAGGCAAATGGGATCACATAGGTTAAAAATCTTCTGTACAGCAAAGGATGCAATCAACGAAGTGAAGGAACACCCCACAGAATGGAAGAAAGTATTTGCCAACTATCCCTCTGACAAGGGATTAATCACCAGAATATATAACAACTCTATAGGAAAAAAACTAATAATCCAATCAAAAAATCAGCAAAATATTTGAATAGACATTTCTCAAAAGAAGACATACAAATGGCAGTCATATGAAAAGGTGCTCAGCATCATCAATTATCAGAGAAATGCAAATCAAAACTATAATGAGATTTCATCTCACCCCAGTTAAAATGGCTTATGTCCAAAAAACAGGCAATAAATAACAAAAGCTGTCAAGGATGTGGAGAAAGGGAACCCTTGTACCCTGCTGGTAGGAATGTAAATTAGTACAACCACTATGGAGAACCATTTGGAGGTTTCTCAAAAAACTAAAAATTGAGCTACCATATGACTCAGCAATCCCATTGCTGGGCATACACCCAAAAGAAAGGAAATCAGTATGTTGAAGAAATATCTTCATTCCTATGTTTGTTTCAGCACTGTTTACAATAGCCAAGATTTGGAAGCAACCTAAGTTGCATCCATCAGCAGATGGATGGATAAACAAAATGTGGTACATATATACAATGGAGTACTATTCAGCCGTAGAAAAGAATGAGATCCAGTCATTTGCAAGAATTTGGATGGAACTGGAGATTATTACATTAGATGAAATAAGCCTGGCACAGAAAGACAAATGTGGCATGTTCTCATTTATCTGTGGGATCTAAAAATCAAAGCAATTGAACTCATGGGTTTAGAGAGTAGAAGGATGGTTACCAGAGGCTGGGAAGAGTAGTGGAGGGTTGGGGAGAGGAGGGGATGCTTAATGGGTTAAAAAAATAGAATGAATGCATAAGACCTACTATTTGATAGCACAATAAGGTGATTATAGTCAATAATAACTTAAGCGTATATTTTTAAATAACTTAAAAAATGTAATTAGATTGTTTGTAACTCAAAGGATAAATTCTTGAGGGGATGGATACCCCATTCTCCATGATGTGCTTGTTTCACATTGCATGCCTGTATCAAAACATCTCATGTGCCCCAATAAATATACCTCCTATATGCCACAAATTAAAAAAAAATTAAAAAATTAAGAAAAAAATTGTTCTCAAGTGATTAAAACTAAGATGGCTGGGTAATTTAAGCTCTGTATTGGGTATAAGCAGAACATACTTTTTCTAAACCTTGTGAATTTTTTAAGTGGTTACAAAATATTATAGGATCAGACTTTGTAATTTCATAAATATTATTATTACAAATAATGTATCCAGAGCGATCTCAATTATGAAGTCATCAAGGATGGGTAAGAAAATTACAGAGAGAAGCAATAAATCTGAATGTACAGTGCTTATCTTCAAGTAACTTAAAAGGAACTATGAACAAATGTTCATAGTTTTTTGGGATACATTAAATGACTTAGTGATACTTAAGAAGATACTTTGATTGATGTTACTAAGAAATAATAAATGAGTAAAGCATGATTGTAGTTATGGTGTGAGTAATGATATGACAGGATCATGTGATAGACATTGGGGGTAAGATAAAGATCATAACAATAGCAAACACTTATATAGTACTTATGATGTGTACTTTATTATATTATGTATATATTATATTGTGTAACCACTTGATACATTAACTTATTTAATCCTCCCAACCACACTCTATGAAATATATACCATCTTAATCTTTCTTTCGTTGATGAAGAAACTGGGGCACATAGAGATTTTGGTACTTGCTCAGTAAGTAGCACAATCAGGATTTGAACCCAGATAAGTTGGCTCTTAACCAATACACAGATCTGCCTCTTTTGTGATTTAATCAAAATAAACTCTAAATAAAGACATTACAATAAAGACATTAATTAGCTGCTAATCAGCTAATTAAGTTAAAAATGTAAAAAGTGCTAATTGAACATAAAGGAGAGTGACAAAAGTGTGAAATGTTCAGGATTATCTAATATAATAAAAAGCTTATCAAAGGTAAAAAAGTTTTCATTGGAAAAGATTCATGAACAAGCATTCTAGAAATTAAGAAATGGTAAATGGCCAATAAGCATGTTGTAAATATTTCAATCATAGTCTTTTGGTTTTCAGTGCTATCTATAGACTGACACCTTCCTTATGTATATGCTCAGGCCTAAACACATGAACTCCAGTCCCCCGTAGTCAATGGCCTTCTAAAAATATCTTAGGCAATCCAGAACCAACAAATTTTTTTTCTTCCTACACCAAGTGTCCCTCCCTTAGACCAGAAGCTTAGGAGTCAAGCATCCTTCTTTCATTCTCTACATCCCTACATCTGTTCCATCACCAAATCCTCTATGAACAATACTTTCCAGACTCACGTCAATGAGGCTTCTGCCTTGGGTCTGCTTCATTTGTGCTTCTCCCAGTGATCTGCAAATCTCAACTCAGATAAAACCTCATCAGAGATGCCTTCCCTGCCTATCGCATCTAACATGCTAACTTTGCTCCACTCCCTCCCTCATCACTCTCAATGCCCTTATATTAGAAATGCTTCTTTTTTTCTCATTAAATGTTAGTAGACTTTATTTTTAAGAGCAGCTTTAGGTTCACAGCAACATCGGGCAGAAGGTGCAGAGTTCCCATTTATCCTTGCCTCCACACGTGTATACCCTTACCCATTATCATCCTCTTCCACAGAGTGGACCTCCACTGACATGTTTTTATTACCCAAAGTCCATAGTATACACTAAGATTCGCTCTTGGTGTTGTACATCCTATGGCTTTAGGCTAATATATAATGACATGTACTTACCATTATAGTGTCATATGAAGTAGCTTCACTGCTCTGAAAAGCCTCCGTGTTCCATCTATTCATTCATACAGCCCTCCCCCAACCCCTGGCAAACTCTGATCACTTTTTATCGTCTCTATAGTTTTGCCTTTATCTTTTTTTGTCTTTCATCTCACCCCTCTTAATAAAAACCATTTTAATTTGTTCATTACTATATTCCCAGGTTATGGAATAGTGCTAGGCATATAATAGATGACTTTTAAATAGCTGCTGAGTTAATGAATTATTATATATATACACACACATACATTATATCAGTCATATGTAATTATATACAAATTATATGACATGTAGATATATAATATATTTAATGATATACTTGTATTATTATTATATATGTATATATAGATATATATAGGCATTATATAAAATACTCATTTTGATGGGGATACTGGGAAGTGGACCACTCATATCTTAGTGATGGTAGTATAAATTCAATGTTCTGGAAAACAATTAGTCAACTAATATCTGAAATAGTAGAGCATTCATCAACGTTTACCCGATAACTCTAAAAAGTGTCCCTAAAGATGCATCATTCTGTATCCATCAATGTCAGCTTTGTTAAGTGAATGTTCCACATCTATAAAAATAGTACATGCAATTATTTGAAAAGTTATGCTACCAAAAATACTGACTGGCATATATAGTAAAGCAAATAAAGTTTACTAAATAATATGTAAGTATTCATCTTAATGTTTTTCTTAATTATGTGCACATATATTTGTATAGAAAAAAGACAGGAAAGATTATCTATAATAATTTTACCATGGCTATCTCTGGGTAGTGTAATTATGGATCATTGTTTTCTTCATTTGTTTTATAATCTTTAAAGTTTATATCATAAACATATTTGTACTTAGGAAAATACAGATAGTACTTTTAAAAGAGTTCTGTTTAGTTCTCCAAGAACTAAATTTTATCATTTGTTTAATAAGTATTTCATGAGCAATACTAAACTCTCAAAATTTGTTAAGTGCTCTGAAGTTTACAAAGATAAATAAAAAGCATATCTGCTCTCAAATGGTTTATGTTATCATTACCTTGGTTTATCATGGGACAAAGCAATAATTAGACTTAAATTTAAAATTTAATGGGGTTTTGGGAGATGAACTATGGTCTTGAAAACAAAAGGGACATGTATGAAACCACAGGTTTCTATCTACTATTCATTGAGACGTTGCTTAGCCTTTTCTAAACTCAGTTTTTATATCTGTGAAATAAGAACATTGAGAGAAACGAATGATAAAATGAATGTACTCTAAAGTAGTATTTCAGATTTCATTTGATAATACCTCCAAGCAATTAATCTCACTTATGTTAAAAATATTTTTCACATTTTTTTGTAATTTATTTGTAAATAGAAAATATGTTCGGGATTCTAACAATTGTTGGGATAATGACAGAAATAATTTTCTCTGCAGATCTTTCCCCCATCAACTCATCCATCTTTCCCCCATCAACTCATCCATCTTTCCAACCATTGATTCATCCATCCATTCATCCAGTTTTTATAGGATCTTTCCTAGACAAAGCACTGTGTTGGGCACCATGGTATCTCTTTAATTACTTTTCTCCTTTAACAGTCCTTTAAGACTATGTATACATTAGAAAATAATTAATCTGGTATGGTCAGCTATCTATATGACCATTTTGAGTCAGCTACATAGCTGATATGAATGAACTTGATGAACTCCAATATTAAGCAGGCCAAAATTAAGATGCTCAGTGAAGTTTCAGCAGCATCACTTGAAGAAAGGAAAGTCAGTGCCTTCCTGTGTTGGGCTGTGGCCCAAACACACAAGGAGTGTAAGTTTAAAAGGCATTCTCAAACTGGAACACATCCAAATCAGTTAACAAGGCTAGAAGATGGTTGAGAAAACATACTATATGGAAACTAGTTGGAGAGAACAGAGATGTTTAACCTGAAATGGGGAAATTTAGTGGAAAGGAAGGCAAATGCTTAAAAATACCTGAGGTTCTAGCCCACGAATGGTACCAGAGGCTTGCTCTCAGGGATTAGAGGTAAGGTTCTAAGGAGTTCAGTGTTGTTAGCATGACCAACCATATGCACTTTTTGCCCAAGATAGTCCCAGTTTATGCCTGCTGCATGCAGCTCAGTTCACTCCTATTAATTACTTAGAGTGCCCCATTTCACTCAGAATGTCTCAATGTGAACAAAAGGTTATATTTGCCCTAAGTTTTGTAGAACCCATACAATTCTTTGTTCTACATCAGAAAGAGCTTTCCAATGATAAAGACTATTCAATAATGTGATGGGACAACTTGCCAAGTGACTATTTTCCTGTCACTGGTAAGGCACAAGCAGAGACCTGGGGTCACCTGTCTGGGATGTTCTAGGTAAGGATTCCTTATTTGGTGAGAGGATAAAGTTGGTGACTTTTAAGTTTTCTGCCTTCTGATTTTAAGATTCTGTTGTTTTGTTTTTGAATATTCTATGGTCAAATATCAGTTCCATGACATACCTACGAAAACACAATTTTTAAAATATACTCTTTCTCTCGCTAACATGAAGACTTCTCCATTTTACATTTCATTGAATTTCTGTGGATGTTGACTAATTCTGGAGATGTGGCAAATTCATACTAGTAGTTCTGTGTGTGATACCTTGTGGAATGATGGGAATCCCTGCTATGATAAAGAAATAAGACCGGGAGGTACTGTTTAAGAATATGACCTGGACAGAAAATAAATCCAACATTTATTGAAATTTGTTTATTTAATATTGTAAATGGTTTGCTTTTATATAGATTTAATATATTTAATAGTTATTCTATATTATAAATCATTCACTATAGCAGGCTGTTTCAGGGTGTAAAATTAAGAGCGCACTGCCTTTGAACTTAAACGGCCCATGTTAGAATCCTCAGTGTGCCAGTTACATCAGTTCTGCGATTTGAAATGAAATATTTAACTTCTCTCTGAGCCTCACCTTATTCCGTATATCCTACAAAGAGAAAACACTACAATTTTGGAGTGTAATTCTGAGGATTAGAAATAATTATGTTAAATAACCTTGTACACAGTATGCTTTCAAAAAGTTCGCTCTGGTGAAAGACTGTTTTGTGAACATGAAATCTATTTTAACCTACTTGTCACTATTTAATGCTGCTCTGTTTGTGCATCCTTGTGTTCAAGGTTGACTGTCCATTTGTTAGCACATCTGCATATTCCTCATAATTAATATCTTTTTAAATGACATATGGTTTAGTGACTGGAAATCGAGTCTTGCCTTCTGTTTTCAATTTGTTCATGACTCAATGACTCAATATATGTGTCTGAACTTTAATTTTCCATTCTGGAAAGTAGAATTTAAAACCCTTGCTCATATGTAGCTATTTCGGAAAATGATGAAGAAATGTGTAATCCAAGGATTTTGAATATGTGCCAGGCTATTCAGCGATGCAGCATATAGGTAAAAGGCCGCAGTTTCTCTAATGTTAACAGAGAAGCCTAAATGAGAATGCCAAAAATGTAATCCCTGAAGTGAGGGGATAATTTGGGGTAGGCTAGAGTCAGATTCCTAGTGAATTAGCAAGAAGCACCACATCTAAATGGAATGAGCACAGGAAGAGTTGGTGGGAGCCCTAGGGAATGAGGCTGAGAACATCATTAACCTGGATGAACAACTGATAGTACCCCCAGGGCAGTGCTTCTGCAAGCCAGGGATCTCTGAAAGACAAGGCCCAGTGCACCCCTGGAAGTGAGTTTCTAACTTCCGAGTCCCCCGTAGCATTTATACCTCTTTTGTGCTGAGTACTCTTTTTTTGGTGATACAGTTATTTGAGTCAGGTCTAATCTGTTAAACATAAAGTAGATTATTTGATTCCGCCTTCTACCTATTCTGCCCTTTCCCTGCCTCTAACAAGAACCTTGTGCAGAGTGGTATTCAGTGTCTTGTATTATAGAATTGAATTTGATACAAAATATTACAGGCTTATTTGATATTTTAATGCAGCATTTTATTTCACTATTTTGAAATGCACACACACAGGCAAAAAACAAAACACACCTCAAAAGTAACATGTTGGTGGGATGTCCTGAGAAAGAATTCAGTGCATATGGAAAGCACAGTGAATTCATTTTCTCCCTAAAATATTCTTCTTCTTGTCCCCACAGACTTGGTAGCCACCAACTACGTTTGTAAAGCCTCTGTTTTTGCCTTTGAGAGCTCACTCCCAGAGTTTTATAAATCTGCAGGGAGCAAAGGTTTAGGACATGTGTAAATAAATCATTTTATATTTTTTCGTTTGTTTTATTTTGTTTTGTTTTCTTAGAGAAGTTTAGGACATGTATAAGTCATTGTCTATTTGGTGTTTTGTTTTCTTTTGTTTTTCATATAGATGAGAGTCCAGTGGCGTATATCATTTTTAAAGTTTAATAAAATTATACATTCAAAAGATTATACCATCTCAATTATTCCAATCTGTGATTTAATTTATTGCTTAATGTTTTGTATGAATTTGATTTTCTGAAGCAGGTTAAATTTGAAATTTTATTAAAAACCCACTTCCTTTGAGTTTATAGATTGGGATAGCTGTTTTATCTAGTCGCTGTGTAGAATTAGTATTTACTGGACAAGATGTGTTGATTCAGGAGGTTGTCTTGGAGTGTTTGCCCCGTGAGGGTCATATTAAACTTGAGAGAAGTTCTTTGAGCAACAGAGCATCTTGGAGACAATATATCAAGCTGATGGATACAGGGCTCTTCTGTTAAGAAACCAGCAGTGGAATTATGGCTGGCTCCCAGTTATTGCTTTGGTGCTAAGGAGCCTCTAAGGATTAAATCTAGGATAAAAGGGGTTAAACAGAGGGGAAAGGAAGGTTTCCAGAATTCAGTGTTACTGGAAGCATACAGAATGAGTAGTTATATACAAATAATTTAAGATGACCATTCTGTTTGGAAATATTTCACAATTTAATATATTCAAAGTGTACCAATTTAGTGGAGCATATTGTTTTGTTATTACTCAGAAGAGAATTCGTGACATCTTATTATTATTATAAAGCCTACTTTGGGGCACTTCTTCCTACTGTCTTAATAGAAAGGTAATGTAGTTTTTAACACATAAGGGGTTTTGTGTGCATATTAAAAACTAATTTTTTCAGGGCTAATGACTTGAAATTCAGAATTTGGATTTTCAATTACATTATACTCCTTGATGTAGAAAAATTAGACAAAAATAATCAAAAGAGAGACATGGTTTTATATGTTATACATTGTATGCATTTTGCACTTTATTTTTTGCCTGTGTTTTCACAGTGCTCTTTTTTCTATGTATGCACTTATTATAAATCAATTAAAGTATATATGTCAAATAAATTATGATTGTTAAAAACCATTTGTGTTCATAGATAAAAATATCAATTAAAAAGCCTTTAGCAATGAATGTCCTTCAAACCAAAAATGTGAAGGTAAGAAGTGGATAGTTGGCCCTGGACAGCAATCTTCTTGCACTTTCTAGTCATGCCACACTTTTACTAATTGAGAGAATTATTTCATATCATTTCCTCTTTCTTCAAGCCTCCATTTCATCCACCCAATTTGTCACTGAGCCTTTGCTTTTATTTTGCTCACTAAGAAACTGCGCATCATCAAAGGAGATCTTTGCTATTATTCCATCACTGAATCTACTCACTGCTCTACATCTTCATCTGTGCATTCACTTTTGCACAATGGGAGAACTATCCCTGCTCTGTTTGGCAGCCAGTGTGCACTGACTCTCAGTTGATTCAAATGTGCACTGGCTCACCTCTCTCTTCCCACACTAGGACTTTGCTCTGGCAATTCTTTCTTTTACGGTATCATTTCCCCTAATCTGTGTTAGATTCTTCCAACAAACATGCCTATATGCTGCAACATCTTCCAGTCTTTAGAAAACCTTCCTTTGATATCATGAGCTTTTCTAGCTGCTGCCCCATTTTCTAATCCCTTTTAGAATAAATTCCCTCTAAGTGTTGTCTAAGCTCACTGTATCTGCCCTTTACCCCCTCGTTGTCTTCACAACCTTAGCTCAGACTGCTATGCCCAGCACTGCACTGCATCTGCTCTTTGCAAAGTTATCAAATATCTGCACTTGGCCAAATGCAAAGTTTCAACTCCCAGTCTTCTTCCTCCTTAAACTCTCAGCCGAGTTGATACAGCTGATACGTTCTTCCTTTTTCATGTGCCTTCTTTCTTTACTCGGCTTCCAGTCTGCACCTTCTCAGTTTTTCTCCTACCTCACTGACCATTCCTTCTCAGTATCCTTTCCTAGAGAGGCCTCCTCCTGACCTCAACATTTTGGTGGATTCCAGGGCTTGGTTCTCAGACCTCTTCTATACTCATTCTATCAACACTCACTTCCTAGTTTATTTCACCATCTCAGCCTTTAAAGATCACATATATGCTGACCTACAACTCCTATGAAGGCTACAACTCCTATGAAGACTTTTCCTCTCCCTCTCCTCCTTAGTCCGTGTTAGCCACACTGTTCCTTAAACACAACCAGAATGTTTTCCTCCTTACTGCCTTTGAATGTACTGCTATCTCTGGCTGGATTACTCTTCCTCCAGACATTCGGATGGCTACCTCCCTCATGCCAGTGAAGTCTCTGTTCAAATATCACTGAATTGCATTTTCTTCCTATAATCTTCCCATCGAATTGAAGTTGTTACCTAGTAACTAAAACTGCCCAATTCTTTTTACCTTCTCTTTCCTTACACTGCTTTATTTTTCTACAAAGCACTTATGGCCACCTGGTATTATTGTATACACAGTATTCATTTGTTTACCACCTGCTCCCTCCACTTGAATGTAAGCTACCTAGGGGCAGGAGTGGTGTCTATTTTATTCAGTGCTGTTCTTCTTCCACATGAAGAGTACTGCTTAGCACAGAGTGGAGCCTTAATAAATGTTTATTGAACAAATGAATGAATTATTAATGAACTCAAACCCATTACAGCAGATTGATGAAACATGTAATCTAATTCTTCTGTTCTCATCACTGGTCATTCATTAGCCTCATTGTTCACAGACAGCTTCTTCTGAATTGGAGAGTATGTAAAATTGACACACTACACAAGGTTATGTATAAAATAAAGTTGAAAATGGACCCTGATATTTCATTTGTTCTCATTATTTTGATCACTTCTCCTTCTTCACCAATGGCCTCTGGTAATTTGTGGTCATTAGGAACCTATATTACAATAATCAGAATGTTCCCAACAAAGTATATTATACTAGCAATTAAATTATGCTAAAGAAAGTTCAGGTCAGTCCAATGTAATAATAGTAATAATAGTTAGTGACTAATAATTACCAGGGTCTAAAATCAGGTGCTTTATTTATATGATCTCTGAACTTCACAACAATTCTATAAAGGAAAAATATTATACCTACTTTAGAGATCAGAAAATATAGGCTCGGAGTCATTAGGTCATTTTCCTAAAGGCAGAGTTTTGCTGAATTTGCTTTCAAGTTTCTGAATAGCTTTGGAACAAACTGATATGATTTGGAACAAGCTGATATGACAGGCTCATTTGAGTTATACCAGTTGGAAAAAATTAATTAAATAACCAGAGTCATCTTATCAACTTTTTTTAGTAGAATAGGCTTTAGTTTTACACATTCCTGTTAGGCCTTCTAGAACCATTCAAAGAGATTTCCCTGGTAGATTGTACCAAGCAGGTATGTTGAAGTCAGAACAGATTTGCCGGAGACTCAACTAGACTAGAAAAAGTGGTATGCATGTTCCAACTTGCAAAATTGAGTAAGGGCAGGAGAAGGGATAACTCTGAGAAGGGTAATTGTATAAAACACATAGGGAAAAAAGTTTACTTTTTATATTTTCATGGGTGAGCATTAAGGCTGGAATACACTGTATTCAGCCATTCATGTTTATTTATCATTCCAGAAAAATACAATTTTAGCTAACTTCCCTTCCTCCAAAAAAAAAAAGAAAGGAAAAGAAAGCCATTGTGTTCACATGTAGTGGTGTGATTAAGGCAGCAATGGATGATATCGGGGGGAAGAATATGAGATCTGGACTGCTTCAGTGTTCAATTGTTTGGTCTGTTGAACAAAGAGTTAAATGAAAAAGGTACTTTAATATTTGCTTCACTAAATTCCCTCCATGTTTTCAATTAGATAAACAGAAGTACAGGTGGGAATGTGCTGCATATTCATTTGTCTTGCTGTTTGGGGGCCGGCTTTTAAGACTGAAATACTAATGTAATTGTGTTGAAATGAACAATAAGGAAGTACAGGAGTTCAGGAATGAAAATGTTAAATTAAATGGACCATGTTTAACATTGTTGTTGATCCTGAGGAACAGTTTTTCCAGTATATGGAGCATTTCGATTCCATCCAGCATATGTTCTCCACAGTTTTCTCTGCTCTAATTCATCTGTGTTTTTCGACAGCTCCAGATGGCGTGCTGCCTCCCAGGCTTTCATCTGCCACTCCAACCAGTCTTCAGGTTGTCTGGTCTACACCAGCTCGTAATAACGCTCCTGGCTCTCCCAGATACCAACTCCAGATGAGGTCTGGCGACTCCACCCATGGATTTCTAGAGTGAGCATTCTACTTTGTCCATTCTATCAGCTGGGTTATACAATATAGACATAACATTTTTGAAGAGTAGGTCAGTTCTCATTTGCAAAAAATATAGGTTACCTTTTAAAAGTACAAAAAAACCCCAAACAATTAGAGGATAATCATTTGCTTTGCAAAAATATCTATTTTTCATTTATGTAGCATTTAAAGTAGGATTTCTTCCCACTGAAACTTTTCATGAGCACATGCATTACATAAAGCAATGAAACTAACAAAATGATGTCTGAACTGTCGCTAACAAATTATAATACCTATTCTACAAATCCACATGGCAGTCAGTCTCAATACTACTAGGATTTACATCTCGTATAAACACAAGATTACAGACTCAGCCAATGGCTACTTATTTTAAAAGAGATCTCATTTGATGGCAGAAAATTACAATACTTAAATGTATGTTGACATCCTCTAAAATTTTTTTGTAGTAAGAAATTTACTTGCTTTTATTTCTTTGAATGTCGAAAACTTCCTAATTGACATTTATTTCCCATACAGGTTATTTTCCAATCCTTCTGCATCGTTAAGCTATGAAGTGAGTGATCTCCAACCGTACACAGAGTATATGTTTCGGTTGGTTGCCTCCAATGGATTTGGCAGTGCACATAGTTCTTGGATTCCATTCATGACCGCAGAGGACAGTAAGTGGTCTGAACAATACACAGCCAAATGTCTTCTACATAGGGAGCTTAAAATGTCTTCAATTTTTTCCAAAGCAAAGAAATGAGCCTCCCTTATTTACTTGTTGTTTAGTGACAATAACCTTTTCTAGGGCAAGAGAGTGAGCAAAGGTGGTCAGTCTCTCCAGAAAGAAGAATAATGTGGTCTTGGAGGGTTGGAGGGTTAGGCCTACAGACAGGACAAAGTAATTCACTATAAATTATGATATGGCCCCATTCTATCCTTCAGGGTACATCTTAGCGCCCTGCAAGAGAAAGGTTGTCATCTTCTGCTTTATGACTGAATGTTCTCTGTTTCGGAGAAATTCTGGCAGGCAGAAGAAAATGAAATATGGACCTTACTTCATGAGGCTGCTTACATATACTTGTTCCTGGAAACAGGTTTCATTTTCCTGCTTCTACTCATACCCCAAAGACAGCCTTCAGCATAGAGAAGTATAATCTGATAGCAGTATATTACAAAAGGTGGATTAAGATTTCTTTATTCAACCAATAAAGAGAATTTTCTAGTTGTTCACTAAAAAGTTATTTTTGCATATATTTGCTAGATTATATTTGGGAATAAATACATGACTATAACATTTGGTTTTATACAAATTACCTCTATAAAAGCATATATATGAAAGTAGAGGGGTTTTTAAAGAAAAGTTAGAAATTAAATCAAGCTACACAGAGTGAATAAGGACATTGTATCTTTGAACAGTTAGGTTTTTTGAGTTAATCTTGTGAAGTCTTTTAATCATAGGCTTCTTAGGCAATGTTCTCTGCTGGCCCATTGCCATGCTGGCTCTATATCCAATGAGAACGTTAAGTGACTTTCAAAAGCCTAGATATTAACACAAAAGTATGGTATTTGCAACAATATCAATTGTTTATTAAATGTATTGTTTTATTTCTATAATACCTTTAATTGCATTATTTTAGTGAAGATAAGACATCAAATTAGACATTATCAGTACAATCTATCTTGTTTAAAGTTGACTTTATTTTTACAAAAAAAAGCCACCTTTATGAGCAATAATGTATGTTACTTAATTCATTTCTTCCAATTCGTAATTACTCCCTGGGAGAAAGTTAGCTACTTTGCAAGGGGACACTCAGTGTTTTTGTTCTCAAGGGTATCATTTAGTAAATTATCAGCACAGTACGATAAATGGCACCCAAAGTCCAGAAAGCATTAATTCACCACCTTTTAGGAGGAACATTACATACACTCTGGGGAATCTGGACACCATGATCACCAGATTTATGGACTGAAGACTTCACACTCAAAATAGATTTTTGAAGAAACATTTGAAACAACTGAAGATAGATTTGTAATCTCCTTCTTATATATAGCAGCATGCTTGATGGCACTAAATAAAGATTAGCCAAAAATAATTATTCAACCCACTGCAGAGGTGATGGCTCAATAGAATGCTTGGAAGAAGGGAGAAAGCATTTTTTTTTTGGCACAGCATTCTTTATTCTCCTAGAGAAAGGGCAACACTCAAACTTCCTCAGCGGTAATCTCCCCACAATTTTCACTGAATGAGGGCCATGACCTGCCATCTATAGGCAGGGAGGTAGCACATAAATAAGCAAAAGTCCAAAATATTGTAAAATACCAATTAGCATAGCATCCTTTGTTGAGCAAACTTACCTTTGGTCTCCTTTTTACTATAAAACAAGCCTTATAGACCACACATACACATCGTTAGAATTTTCATACCCAGAGACCCTCCATTGTTGTGGTATTTAGGGCTTGAGTTTAAAGTGAGTGGTATTAACCCTTCATTTTCCTTAAGTAAGAATTAGTAACACTTGAATAAATAGCAGGTATCAACTCATAACCATTATTTGTGTTTAAATCCGTTCCCCAAAATGAATGAACTCTTCCTTCCTCTGCTTTGTGTATACACTGTGAAGTCACATACATAGCAAAGAACTGGAAGGAGGCCATGTGTACCTGCAGGTTACGTTAGCAGTGCACCTGAGACATGGTGACAGGGTACTGTATATTTTAGATGTCAGTGGAGATGGATGCCATCTCTGAAAGGATATGCAATTGAGTTGACAAAGACTGAGTGATTGGCATTGGGCACAAGCAGTTTTTCTGTCAAGGCTACAAAGCATTGCTTATAAAACCACCCATGTTGACAGCTCCATGCCAGAATCACACTTCTTACTTGATCCTGACCAGCACCTCCTGCTCACCAAAGTGCAATTTTCTTTCTCTTTCTTTCTTCTTTCTTTGTTTCTTTCTTTCCCCTCTCTCTCTTTCACTTTCTTTCTTTCTCACTCTCTTTCTCTTTCTCTCTCTTTCTTTCTTTCTCTTTCTTTCTTTTCTTCCTTTCCTTCATTTTTTGAGACAGCGTTTCACTCTATCGCCCAGGCTGGAGTGCAGTGGCACCATGTCAGCTCACTGCAACCTCTGTCTCCTGGGTTCAAGCAATTCTTCTGCCTTAGCCTCCCAAGTAGCTGGGATTACAGATGCCCACCACCACACCCAGCTAATTTTTTTAATATTTTTATTAGAGATGGGTTTCACCATGTTGGCCAGGCTGGTCTCGAACTCCTGACCTCAGGTGATCCAGCCGCCTCAGCCTCCCAAAGTGCTGGGATTACTGGTGTGAGCCACCTCACCCAACCCAAAGTGCAATTTTCAATGTAGAAATTTCACATATCGTCTTACAGAACGAAACAGAGAAGTCGCCTCGTGCCCACATTTAAATTCCATACCATCAACAGGCACCTTTCTGCATCAGCCACAGCCTCACAGCTTTCCAGTGCCAAAATGGGTCACCAATGGCAATATTTTTAGTGTGACATTTCAAGACAGTGATTTTCAGCAAGCCTGTGACACAGGTGAAACCACAAAGAGAAATCTAGGCAGGCAATGAGCTACAGCCAGAGAAGCAAATGCATGGGTGCAGAGAAGTTATCATGGACAGGGAAACAGGATGTGAAGAATTTTAATAGATTTTTTTTTCAAATAATTTGTCATTTACACCAGTGTGCCACCAATATCCAGTTCCATGCATTTTTAAAAATCTAGTGTGCTGATGCCAAATAATCATAATGCACATTTCCTATGAATATTTTAAATCCTGTTAAATGTGTGTTAATAAAAGATGTTTGTTCCAGCCAATTTGGTCAGTGTAGTGTTTAACTGGTTGCAACCAGATAAATACAAACAACACATTATTTTTTAAATGTGCTGCTGGCAGTCCAAGCACCTGGCATGTCCACAGCTTGCAAAAATGTCCTAAGATTATGTTAGGCTTGGGAGCATGTGATTAATAAAATGAAGGCACTTGCCTAGCAGCTGAAAATGTTGATATCTTGAAAACAAAGATAACCATCACTCCTGATTATATGATTGTTCCTTCTCTCTCGTATGTTTGCAATTGTTTTCTGTATAGTACATGCATGTAGAAATTAGAGTTGGCAGGGAGGGCAAGTTTTTCAAACCTCAGCTTAAATGTGGATGTATTCTTTTGCCTACCGAAATCCTGCCTTGTGTTAACTATGAATTAACCTACTTTTTCTTAAAATTGTGGATTCCCCAGCCCAAAAAAGTTAGATAATCTGTTTCTCTTAAGATTTCCCAGGAAATAAGATTGAAATATGGAATATCTAATTTCAGTCATTTTAATGACAAACATATATGGCATACACAAGCAATTAGATCAACTAATGAAATTGAAATCATTTTCTAAAAATCACTTCCCTACCCTCAAAAAAAAAAACCCCAAACTTGAATTCACTTTAGATTTTAACAATTTAGTTGTCATATATTTAAAAATGTTTGATCGTTTCCCAAATTTGTAGTTTAAAATTCCATATTTATATTTTTAACCACTAGTCTAAGAGGCACTACTGCATAAAACCTGTAGAATTCGAACAGTTTATTCTGTAGGTTTACTTAGACAACTTTTCATTTGTTCATTATTTTGATGACACAGTGATATTTTAAGTACAGTTATATGCTGCACAACATTTCAGTTGATGATGAACCACATATATGACGGTGGACCCATAAGATGATGATATCATATTTTTACTGTACCTTTTCTGTGTTGAGATACACACTTATCATTGTGTGACAAATGCCTACAGTATTCAGTACAGTAACATGCTGTACAGGTTTGTAGCCTAGGAGCAACAGGCTATACCACACAAACTAGCTGTGTAGTGGGCTATACCATCTAGGTTTGTGTAAGAACACTCTAGGATGTTTGTACAACAATGAAATCGCCTAATGGTGCATCTGTCAGAATGTATTCCTGTCATTAGGTGACACAAGACTGTACCATTGCCATGCTATATTTGCTCATTGCATTACATCTTGTTATTTTTTCACATTTATAATTGCACTGTGAACAGAGGAGAGGGCAATGAAGGAAATTGTCTTACTGCCTGGGTCCTGCTTTACTTTTCCCCTCAGCAACCTTCATCCATCCTTCAGATACTCACAGTAATTTACAAAGGAACAGAGGTTCTTCTGGAGTAAGACAGAAAGGCAATGTGAGGTCAATTGAAATCTAGATCTAACAGAACATGCTTCTTCCTCTTTTGTTGCCTGACATAATTCTACACATTCATCAAGCCCCAGCTCAAGTGTCACTTCCTCTGTGAAGTTTTCCTTCTTGTTGCTCCCTTAGAATTTTGGTTTGTGTTTACTAGTGAATCATCAATATCCCCTTCTGAATTGTAACGTCTCAAGACCTAGGGATCTGTCTCAACTATCTTTCTATCACCAGTGTCTGGCGAAGGGTCTGATATAGAGTAGGTGCCCCAAAATTCTTACTCAAAGTACTGATTAAAAGCAGAGTTTGATTGAAGTAAATCCACAAAAACTCAATCAAGCAAACATTTACCGTGTACCTACTGTGTACCAGGGACTAAAAGAGATATGAAAGTTGCAAGGATGGATATGATACTGTTTTTCCCTTGAGATTTCCTCTGTCTGGCAAGGAGCACACACAGTAAAACCATAGTTAGAGTGAAAGAGCTGAGTTGTCCATGAGAGCAAGCTCAGAGGAAGGGCATGGCCCCTCAACATGAGGGCCAGGAAAGCCTACCCAGAGAAGACCAGGAGAGGAATTGGAAATGATTTATATTTGGAGTGCACTTTAATATCAAAGTTCAAATTTACACCATCTCCACTTGTTCAGGGTAAGGCTGGAAAGCAATTGCTGTAAGAGAGCACTGACATATGAGACCTGAAGAGGGACTCTCAGGTTGTCCTGTCGGTCGTTCCAGCCTCTGAGTATGAGGCGAGGAGGGTGGGGACAAGAGGTGAATGTAAGAGAGGGACATCCCAAAAGTGATTCTCATTTTTTTACCTTGGTCAGAGGCAGGCTTCTGGCTGTCCCTCTGATTCAATATTGGCTGCTGTCTTGGCTAGGTTAACGAATGTTCTAGTTAGAGAGGCTTCTGCCAGCCCCAAATCATGTGCTATTCGGAATGAAGGGGAGGGATGTGTAGAAAGAATTCTAAAACAAAACCATTTTTCCTGTTTTTATTCTCACAACCTGTAATAAGAGTAAAATACTCTGAGACCGTGTAACAGAAGAGGAAGGAAACATGTGGTATAAAATTTGATAAATTGATCAAGATAATTCTAGAGTAGGACTTCCGAATCATTTAAGTGCACATATGCCCTTAAGATTACTGAAATTTTAAAACTAATATTGCATGACAAACATCTTATGTTTAGGGCATTTTAGAATTTAAAGTTTCACTTGCATCCTTAAAATCATTCTACGCAACACAAGGAAAATCGGAATATTTTTAAATGAGAGTGGAACATATTTATATGAGTACATTTTATTTAATGAAGAAAGAGGAACTACAAGTTTCAGTAGTGCTACACAACTATTTTGCTTTCTCCATTCCAAATATTTTTCCAGTTGCCTTAAGTACTAACCTCTGATTGCTGACATGTTTTTCCTTTCAAACAGTAATTCAGGTATCTATTTTGCATAGAACAGAAGACCCATGATCAAAAATAACATTTATAATCTTCTGATTTTGAGAGCAAAATGGTTCTGCATGTTTTCACTACATACTTTGTTTTCTGTTGCATAGATTTTCTCCACAAATTCCTGAATTTTCAGAATTAACAAATTCAAATATTTACAATTATTTTTATATTTTATTTTTATAATGTAAGATCAAAAGGAACTTATTCAAGCCAAAAATGACCAATACGGAATCCTTTGAAAGGATGGATTGATTAATCAAAAATTCTATCCACCTTGCCTCAATTTCCCACTTAAGCTCTCGAATCTCCCCTGGGCACTTAAAGCACACTCCTCTTCCAAATATAGAGTGCTTGTAATGTCTGTGTTTCTTACAGCTGAAGACTGCAGGTGAAAGTAATGAAAAATCAAGTTTTTTATGTTTACTTTAAGAAATTAATGAAAAATAATTTTATCATAGCTGCCTTATTATCACTACTTAAATTTTATTGAGGGTGTATTATATGCAAGACACTTTAGCAGGAAAAGTATATCCTCTCATTATCCAGAAATGCTATCTGCTGGCCTTCCACTATTTTTAAAAACTATTCTTGTTCTTTAGCTTTGAAAAAGTTAAATTGTCAATATTTGAAAACTCTCAGTGGACTATGTGAGATCATTCAAAGATAATTGCCACAGGTTGATATTTAATGGCATGAGTTTAGTTTTAATTCTCAAATCTTAAATTCTTAGAGAGTCAAGTATCTAAAAACTGCTGGTTATTAACAAAAAGATGGATGTTTACCATAATCATTTTCTATAGCATTTTCTATAGCACCTGCCTATAAAAGAACATTCTGCAATGCTAAAACAATACATAGATTCATTTAATCTTGTTGTCTTCCTCATTTTGATAATGTACCTGTAAACAGAGTTGATTTGCTATATTTGGAATAATTCAGATAAGTTTTGCCCAAATATAAGGAGTGAATGTGATGACCTTTAGGTTTTTTAGGATGTTTTCCTGACTTCATGAATTCTCACATCAATGCATTTTATTTTCTGCACCAAATTATCGCAGATGCATCTACTACGATTCACCCCACAATATGCCCCAGCTCTAGAGGTTGAAACATTCTTTCTAAACAATACTCTCCTGATATCAGGAGAAATAGAGAAAAATAGTTCCCGAATATTGGTTCTCCTATTTGCAAACTATCAAATAATGTCCTTCCAATTCCAACAGCCTTTTAGCCTTCAGAGGTTTCTTTCATTAAATAATGTTACTTATGTTATACAGCCCATTTCCTTTTTTATCAGAGTCAGGCTGAAAGTTCATTTTTCTGCAAAACTGCAGTGCCCATTCTTAATTTTTGTTTTGAGAAATAACTGTTGTACCCTCTTTATTATCACAAGATTAATAATATTTCTTTATTTTATTGCTCCTCTTACATTTGGATCTTTTATTATGAGCTGTCAAAAATTCTTTTGGGAAGTAGTTGGGGTATAAATAATAAATCGATAAAAGAATTCATGATTAAAGACAAGATAGAATCCATTATTCTGTTAACATATCAGTAGTGAATAACAAAAGGCTACATTGACAATTAGCATGCAATATATTGCTTTATATAATTATACATCCATATATTTGCCACTTTGATTTTTAATTCACTGGTAAATTTAGGGGATACTCATTTATGGAGTTAATATTACCAAAAAGAGTTTTTAAACTGAGCGAGGCTTTAATTAGAATGGTAAAATATTGCTTCAGGGCAACAATGAGAATGTAACAAGAAAACTGACTGATCAGTCATGGGTAACTCGAATAGCAAACAAGTAGAGAAGACTCACAAAACCACTGAAAGTTATATACACACTCAAGTTGTGAGTCATTCAAACTGGGTATTCATACACATGTATACAAATACAAACAAGTGTGTGCGCACACACCCTTTCCAATATACACACCTGAATATAAAACTAAATAAGCAGATTCCTCTGTTAACAATTTTATTACTCTATTTTAGGCTGGGGCTGAACTTTTGAAGCTGATGAGCAAAATAGTTTCCCATAAAAGATAATTTCATTTGCCAAAATGAAACTACTTTCCGTTATTAATGTTGCAATGAAATGGTTTGAAATATGAGTCTGTGATCTGGACAGAAAGGATGCTCCTGTTCCCAGCTCCAAGAGGGAGTTCTCTAAACAATTACACCCACGGAGAGCGCTGTAAGGTTGTATTTTCATCACCGGCCAGCTGAGCTGTGTGCCTGTCATACTCCCAGTCTCCCCTCCAGTGACAGCCGCATTGACAACATGTTATACTCCACATTGATTTTACAGTTAAGGAGCTGATTGTGATATATAGAGATTTTAAGAATTCAGCTGAGAGGCTGACTTTTGCCTTTTATCATTCCATTAAAATTTTATAACCATCTTTTTCATGTCATTTCATCCATGAATTCTTACTTTAGAAAGTGATAGCTACTGCTGTGAGCATAACTTTTCTCATGTTCAGAGCTTTTTATTGTATTAGCAAACTACCCCAATTATAGTTATTACTCATGTTTTACATAATTGTGGTGGCCCTTTCAACCATGCAGTTGCAGGCCAGTTGATTTGTATATAGAATTAGATGATTCGGCTTATCATTTTAAAGCACTAAATTGAAAGAGTGCCAGGAGTCAGGTTTTAACACTTCCCTAGCCAAAGGAGCTAATTAAGCTGCTTTCAGCTTCCTCTCCAGAATCACACAAGTTAAAGGACCCTTCTGCAACAAGAGCAGCGAATCTACTCAGCCAGAGCAGGAAGCTAATAAAATGTATGCTGGCTTTTAAGGGGGAAACAAATCATGAAATTGAAATTGAACACCTCTCCTTTCCCAAGATAAGAGATCATCTTTAAGAAAAGGCTGTGTATTGTGGGGGTTTGAAGTGCAAGTTCATCTCATTATCATGGATGTTTCACCCATAATACTATCATCATATGCAGGAGAAATAAAAGCCTTATCCCCCAATCACAGAGAACAAACTGCATCATTGTTGTTTCTTTTCCCTGAAGATGCTCACAGTTTGATAGTTCACATATGAGGAATAATTATGCAAGACCCAGATGAAAACCCTAATAAAAAATATTCTGATTTTTAAGTGTATATTACTCTCTTTGGGGAAGAGAGGGTGAGATAAGGTTAGACATTAAAGACTTGAATCTCCACCATTGATTTTACGAAACCCAATCTCAGGGGATTTGGGGGTTTTTTTAGATTTCAAAACAACATTGATATCTTACAAGACTCGTACTTGCTTTTCTCTGGGAAATAGCCAAATCTAGATGACAAGCATAAATAAGAAAGGAGCTGTATCCCCATTTTGATATAATAATTGCTACTGCTACTGTATACCAGAGAGCAAAAGTAAGAAATGGCATAGTGGTTTTAAGAAAGCTTTAAAATGAAAGCTAACAAGAGACTGAAACGGAAAGTGTGATTTATACCATGACTGCTGGTTTTAGGGTTTTTTTTAGGGATTTCTCTTCAAATAGGATACATTACCAAATTGTCAGAAATAGCTTGATTTCAGAGTTAGTGCACTATAACATCTTTTGCTTCGAAAAGTGATTATGATTCTACCATCAGTCCAGTTGGTGACAAATACGTGGATCCTGTTGTGTGAAAGTGTACTCATATAACCAACTATTATTGCAGTCACTGGCCCTGCAAAGCAGTGGTTGCATTTAAAATTTCAACCTTCTTTGTAACACTGAATCGCATACACACACTCACAAGATCAACGCTGTTTTAAACAATTACTAAATCCAAGTATATCTTTTTTAAAGATTTTCAATAAAATCTAATGTTCACAGAAAAATCTCATAAATGTCAAAATTGCTGTGGGCAGAAAAGGGGGGATACAGTATTTTCTTGATCTGTTTTAGCAATTTATAGATTTCAGGCCGTGGTTTATAAGAATGCTAAATGTTCTGGAATTACAGCTGTTACTGATCAGTGATTGAGCCAGATTTGTGTTATTGCACCATGTTCTTGCTTGTACCTAGAGAGCAGTAAAGCCTCAATATAATAAAAAGCACCTGCATTTTAAATGAAATTTCAATTGAAAAACTTAACAGCCCTTCAAATTGCAGAATTTAACGCAGCCCAGTAAAGCTTAAATAACACTTTGCCCCCGCAGGCTGAGGGGTTTGCATTCAAGGTGACTTGATTGTGTCGCATGGTGAAATTATTTACAATTAAGGAATTTCTCTGGAGGGCTGCAGAATATTTGCTGTTCCACAACACCTATGCAGGCATATGGTGGGCCTTTTTCAGTATTCATGGAGCCTCCTGAACCTTTATGATAATTGAATCAGTTAGAGTGCTGAGTGGAGCAAGCATAAAACCTGTTAACCTAAAGGTCAGATCTGTGCATTGTTTATTTATCAGTAGGTGAAAGAGCTAAATCGGCAGCTTCTGTCACAGCCACAGTAAAAAATCGCCTATAATATTAACAGGGAGTAGATAAATTGCAAAACATGGATTAGAATGATAAACAGAACCAAGTATAATATAGAATATATAATGAGAGATGCTGAAGGATTTTACTGGGCTGTAAAATATGCAAGTTTGTTATGATAGTGTTATTGATTATAATTAGTTACTGGGGCTCTAGAAAAAAATGTAGGGGAAGCTAGAACTTTAGTAACAACTACCCTCTTGTATGTTTATTAAATTTATTTTTTTAAATCCTCATTTTTTAACCAATGGCTTGAATAAAAAGACATGATTTTGATAAAGCTGTCTTAGAGAGGAAAATGATCATTTTAGTTTCATAATATTCAACAAGTATTTCACACGCAAAATTTATGAGCAAAGCAATCACAGTCCTTGTCTTTATGGCACTTATTTATTTACTTATTGGCCTTTACCAAGTGTTCATTTTCATATCCTTGTAGCAGAGCTATCACTCATTTTAGCTTTGAGGAGAGGTGGGACATTTCCAAGAGGTCTGACTTTCTGGATTTATTTTACTTTACAGAACCTGGACCTGTAGTTCCTCCGATTCTTCTGGATGTGAAGTCAAGAATGATGTTGGTCACCTGGCAGCATCCTAGAA
The DNA here is from genome assembly GCF_000001405.40 of Homo sapiens. Classification (NCBI taxonomy): domain Eukaryota; kingdom Metazoa; phylum Chordata; class Mammalia; order Primates; family Hominidae; genus Homo; species Homo sapiens. Next base: position 215,888,976 of record NC_000001.11, on the reverse strand, counting down.
AATCCAATGGGGTTATTACCCATTATAACATTTATCTACATGGCCGTCTATACTTGAGAACTCCTGGAAATGTCACTAATTGCACAGTGATGCATTTACACCCATACACTGCCTATAAGTTTCAGGTAGAAGCCTGCACTTCAAAAGGATGTTCCCTTTCACCAGAGTCCCAGACTGTATGGACACTCCCAGGGGCACCGGAAGGGATCCCAAGTCCAGAGCTGTTCTCTGATACTCCAACATCTGTGATTATATCTTGGCAACCCCCTACCCACCCCAATGGCTTGGTGGAGAATTTCACAATTGAGAGAAGAGTCAAAGGAAAGGAAGAAGTTACTACCCTGGTGACTCTCCCGAGGAGTCATTCCATGAGGTTTATTGACAAGACTTCTGCTCTTAGCCCATGGACAAAATATGAATATCGGGTACTGATGAGCACTCTTCATGGAGGCACAAACAGCAGTGCTTGGGTAGAAGTTACCACAAGACCCTCACGACCTGCTGGGGTGCAGCCACCTGTGGTGACAGTGCTGGAACCCGATGCAGTCCAGGTAAGATACTGACTATTCTCTCTCCTTTGCAGACTTAGGAATGTACCCTGGATTGACTCTGTGTTGAACAGAGCCATCTACTGACTAAACAAACGCATTTGTTGTTTTAGGCATTCACTGGAGAAACTGGGTTTTGGCCTTTGGCCCAAACTATCTTAAATTCGATGTCAGTTTTTCATTTATCCCTGTATCCCCTTAATTATATTGTTGAGATGCTTCCATTTGCCTCGCACACCTGAAATATTTTGAATGCCACAATGATGCTTAGCTTAACCACCACGTCAGATTTAAATAGATCAGAAAATGAGAAGAGATGGGAAAATAAGGAGGAATGAATTAGCATATTAACAAAATTTTCCATTACCAATAGTCTGGTATTTTTTAATAATCAAAGAATCAAAGTAATGGGGAAAGAAATAAAAATAGCATATTAACGGGCTATCCAGAAAGTGTTCAATTATTCACCTCATTCTATTGGGAATGAACTCTAGTGGACAGGATAACTACCATTGTTTTGGCTGGCATACAAACTTCATTCAAGGGAAATTAGTGTAACCAAACAGGAGGGAGTTTTGTAGCTTAGAAGCCTCTTTTGTGTAAATACACACAGGCTTCCATGGATTCAGTCTTGTACTACTGCCAAAAGCATTGGTACAGTAGCTTGCTCACCGGAGCACAAAACAAAGGACATTTGCATAACAGCAAAGTTCATCTGCTGAAATTATTACTTGGATCTATGTTGTGTGTTCTCTCTCCCCCACCAAAAGCAAACACTAGGTGATGCTAAACAGTGTAAATTGTTGGAGAAATTTAATTTAACCTACAAATTAAAAGCTATTTTTAAAAGTCTTTGTTAGTTTTAATATGAAGCTGGTCAAAGCAACACACATTTTTGATATAAATATGTGTATAGAATTCCATTCATTAAACACTAATGGGAAATTAATTTTAAGTACACGATATACGATGTTTATTGTATGAACTGAGCAATGTAAAGAATTGCTCTTGATTCAAAATAAAAACAAAACCAAAAACAAAACCCAAGCATAGAGTTAATAATCATTCCAGAAATGACTTTTTTTTTCAATCTTGGGGGAGTTTTGTAAAACTTTGGTAGCAGTACCAATCACTATGATGCAACAAAACAAACACAGTCTCTTTACAAAGGCAACACTACATAATGGACATTGTTCTGGATTATTTCGAATAAAAATCTTATAACTAGGCGTTACTGATTGTGGCCGATCTGAAAAAGAGTAAGTATTTTCAGGCCGGGTGCGGTGGCTCACGCCTGTAATCCCAGTACTTTGGGAGGCCGAGGCAGGCAGATCATGAGGTCAGGAGATCGAGACCATCCTGGCCAACACAGTGAAACCCCGTCTCTACTAAAAATACAAAAAATTAGCCAGGCTTGGTGGCGGGCACCTATAGTCCCAGCTACTCGGGAGGCTGAGGCAGGAGAATGGCGTGAACCTGGGAGGCGGAGCTTGCAGTGAGCCGAGATTATGCCACTGCACTCCAGCCTGGGCGACAGAGCGAGACTCCATCTCAAAAGAAAAAAAAAATAAGTATTTTCAGAGGAGGAACTCAGTGTACAATTCTGCTTGATTCAGCATATATAAACAATAATTAAAAGTATCAGCTTGCCTGGCTTTTTCTTCACATTTTTACCCTCTTTTGATTTTGTAATATCATCCATGAATTAAACAATATACATGGCTTGTCAGCCTGCTAGAGAAGTTTAGATTAGCGTGGCTAGAAAGCTGAATCTCATAGGCACTCACCTGAGGCCACAAGGCATTGGTAACCCCAAGTCAGGAATCTCAATGTCTCTAAGAAGGTGTCTGAAATATATGAACATGGTACACTAGTAATATTCTAAAAATTCACACTTTTTATTCTCATCTTATAACTAGGAAATAAAAAGTTATCAATAGAATCAGCAGGAATATTCAACTGAGTCTAGTATTTAATGCTATATACTATTTAAAGAGTATTAAGATAACATATCTGTCCTTCAGTATTATTGGCTCACATGTTCAGAACGATCTTAAGACTTTACCGAAGTGGACGTTCTCGTGATATAGCTTAGCTGGTAAACAGAGGTATATGACAGCTAAACAACGACTTCTCTTTGTAAAATATGAGATTTAAAAGTCCAAATTGCAAATAGAAAATATTTTATATGAAATAACAGAAGGATAGTCATTAATGCATTGGTTAAGAAATTAATTCAACTATTTATCATAGAGGGTTGTTCCAGGTATTAGGATGGATGAAGGAAATTGACAGTAATATTAACAGCAGTAACAATAATAATTTCAGTTCTATTGACATTTACGGAACATCAGTACATGAGTGAACATCTTTGTAAGTGCCTCTTTTAGGCAGTAGGGACACAGAAGAGATCAAGATGAAGTCCCTAGGCTCATGGCGATTACATTTTAGACAGAATGCAAACAAATAACTATGTAATATACCTGGAAGTAATAAGGACTTGGGGGAGAAGAACAAATTGAGTGTAGAGAAATATGGAATGCCAGCTGATAGGGTGGGGGATAATACAAGGAGCAGAGTTGGTATTTCACCTTAGTGTTACTCATTTTGTGCAATGTGGTTTTTTTCTCCATACAATGCCACCTGTAAGAATTACAGTCCAATAGGGAAATCAAGAGAGACAACACATACTTAGGCTAACTAGAAAATAAATGCAATGTAACATATTAGTAAGTACTAAAAGAGGTGATATGACTTGGTATAAATATGAGCCTTGAGAAAGGCAAATTGGAGAGCACAGCAGCATAGATGAAATAATATGCTTAAAATCTTATTTGATTACAAGAAAAATAAATATATAATGTCAAAGAGTTGTGTCACCTGAATAAGTGAAAGCCATGCACTTTTATTTAATATTTAATCACCTAAGAAAATGTATTTCATTTTATAAGGTTGGTAAAAATGCTCTACCAAGACCTAAAACAGTTCAATGAAACTATAGACTAATTTCATTTATGAGTACAGATTCAAAATTTCTAAATAAAAGATTACCAAATTGAATTAAGCAGTATATTAAAAGAATGATATACAAGGACAAATTGATTTCATTTTAAAAATGTAAGGATGGTTCAACATCAAAAAATCTATCAACATATGTCTTACATCAACCAATTAAAGTAGAAAGCCCATATGGTTTTTTTTTATCAATAGATGCAGAAAAAAAGGCATACAATTAAGAAGTTATTTCTAACAAAAAGTCAAAGTAAAATCAGATTAGGAAGAAGGTACTTAAATGGGATAAAGTCAATGTATAAACTGCTGTACTGAAGCCTTGAATTGAGGATTGATAAGAAATAACATGTATAAATAACTAAGTTGCATGACTATGATGCACCAAAAAAAAGAAAAAAAAAACTTCTTTTATGATAACATCATGAGCCTGTAAACCTTGATGCCCCTGTCCACTTTTTCACAGGTGAAGCAGAATAAAATAGAGTAATCCTGCAGCTGTCAGCTCCTCTTATACAGTAGGGTCCTCACTCAGCTCAGACAGGTGAAGCCACCAGCCTTGGCAGGTGCGCCACAAGGAACAGTGTCACCCAGACCACAAACATGTGTAGCTTCCTTCCCTCTGCTATGTACACTTAGGGTCACTCATTTATGGGTTTGATAATAAAGCAAAGTAAAAGAAGTTGAGTCTTAATCATCATCCTCATTGACTTTTAAAGATGGGCCAATGTTTGATGTCTACTTAAAATAAACCACAGACAAAAAGTATAAAACAGAGGAAATAAAATAATAATGAAAATATATTCACTGAGTTCATGTTATGTTCTAGAAATTGCTTTCATTTAATTCTTACTACAACTGTGTCAGATAGATGCTATTGTCATTCCCATTTTACAGACAGGAAAACTGAGAATGAGGGATTAAGTAATCTGCATAAGATTACATAAGGAGTAAGAGTTGGAATTCACACCCAGGCAATAGGGTTCTGGAGCCTATGTTCTTCTCTACTTCTTTACACTGCAACAAATGGAAAAAAAGTGCAATCTTCCTGGATGGAAGGACTTAACTCCATAACAAGACAATCCTTCCAAAGTCAACATATAAACTGAACATCATTCAAATCAGAATGCCGATGTTTTTTGTTTGTTTTATTTCAAACTGGATAAAATAATTTTTTATTTTTTATTTTACTTTAAGTTCTGGGATACATGTACAGAACGTGCAGGTTTCTTACATAGGTATACATGTGCCATGGTGATTTGTTGCACCTATCAAACCCTCATCTAGGTTTTAAGCCCTGCATGCATTAGTTATTTGTCCTAATGCTCTCCCTCCCGTTACCCTCCACCCCTTGACAGGCCCCAGTGTGTGATGTTCCCCTCCCTGTGTCCATGTGTTCTCATTGTTCAACTCCCACTTACGAGTGGGAACATGTGGTGTTTGGAACATGAGGTGTTTGGTTTTCTGTTCCTGTGTTAGTTTACTGAGAATGATGGCTTCAAGGATGAAGCTGGATAAAATGATTTTGAAGTATAAATAGAAGACTAAATGATTGAAAATATTATAGAAAATTGTGGAAGAATAATGAGGTGGTACTTTCTGTAGTATGTAAACTTACTTTAAAGCCATTGAGTTATAATAATATGGTATTGGCATGAAAAAGACAAATGGTCATTGGAACCAACTAGAGAGTTTAGGTATAGATAACGAGTATTTGTTGAAATGACTTATTGTAGGTAGAATCTGCATTTTATTTCATTGGTAAAGAATGGTTTGCTTTAAAAAATGATACCAGCCCGACCAACTATCAATGTGTACGGAAAAAACAGATCCCTTTATCATATCATATTATAAATAAATTCCCATAAATTAAAAATGTTAATGTTAAAAAAGTAAAAATCTTAGAAAAAAAGGAGAATTTCATGTAATCTAAATGTAGGGGAGCACTTTCTAAAGAAAAAAAGAAACTCAGTAGCTTAAAAAAAAAAGATAGCTATATGTAGCTAGAAACAATCTGATTGATTTTCTAAGGCATAAACTTCCCCCCCACCCACCAAAAAAAGTTAACATCCAAAAGATAGATCTGGAAAGTACATCTGTAACACATACTACAGACAAATCAATTTCACCTTAATATGCATAGGCCTTCTAATAATTTATAATACAAGATACTTTAATAGAAAATAATTTAGGTAAGAGGATATATTAGGTTGGTGCAAAAGTAATTACGGTTTTTACCATTAAAAATAATGACAAAAACCACAATTAATTTTTCATTCATACCTCACATAAAGTCAAGGGAGTGAAAATTAATTAAAGAAACAAGTAATATTAGCAAAAACGAATATCAGTAATTTCAAGAGTTTGTGGAGGCACAGATCACGGATAATTTCATTGTTTATGATAAAGTGAATTTCCCCAACTTTTTAAGAAAGTAGTATATCAATAATGATTAAAATTAAACATGCATTTTCCTTTTGGCATGGCAATACTTGGTAATCTTTCCAATATGAAATAAACACAAGAGCACATATTGCATACATTTTCAAATTTTATTTTTAGCATAAAATAATGTCAGTAGGATTAACAAATAATTTGTTTTCAACCATGAAAGGAATATTATGCAACCATAAAAAATAATAGGGTGTGTCCATAATCAATTAAGTCTGAAAAGCAAGTTCCAGCATAAGTGGTAGAGAACTTTTTTTCTGTGAAAAGTTTTTAAAAAATAAAAGAGAAAGAGAGAGAGACCTAGGATATGCAGGAGTATATTTGCTTTGCTTGTACGAGCATACAAAAAGTATGGAAGAATAAACTTCAGACTATTAAGTTTTCACCTGAGTGAAATAAAACAGAGCCACAATTAATGTTTCTTGTATTTATATATTTGTACTCTTTCTCTGTCTGATTGAAAAAATACAAATAGAATATTTGAAATTAAAAATTAAGATTAATATTTTTAAAGGAAAGGAAGACATTGTGAAAGACAACTTTATTTCAACAAATATTTATTGCACATCTTGTTCTGTATGAATTTTTCAGGGGAGTCCATCATAAGAGGAATTACTACACTGTACGGAGTCAAATATTCCCACATGATCTTTCTTTATGGTACATTTTTATCTTCTATTGACAAAATACTCTTAGAATTATGCAATCTTATGTCTACACACGATGGCAAGGATTGTCTCATCACATTAGACATGAGGGTTCCGAGGCCTGGAGATGTTAAATGTTTTGCCTAAAGCCACACCGCTTTGAGACATTTATCATCTCTTAGTCCATTCTTAACCCATATATCAATCTTTATAAATGCTCTTATTCATGAAGTTCTTCAAAATAGTTTGATGGAGTTAAAGAAGTGAGGAAGTTGCTTACTATGCTTTTGGGTGTTACTCTTTTCAAGCCTGAAGCCAATCAACTAACCTGCATGTCTAAGTTTCTGCTTAAAATGGGGAACTTTGAAGGTGCCATGATTCTTTTTAGAGAGACTTTTCAGGGATGTAAAAGAGCTGCTGAAAGTCAATCGTTCCTTAAACACTTAACCGGCAATTTAGCCGTCCTATTTTCTGAAGACTTACAATAAACAGAAAAAATGGAAACCTGAATCATTAAGAACCACTCAAATAAAAGAAGTCATTGTGATAGGAAAGCCATCTCTGAAATAAACATTTTATTTCCAGTGCAAAACTATAATTCTATTTAAAAGTTTTAATGTAATATTATTGTTTTAAAGAACACATTTCTTGCTTATTCAGGCCAATAACATGTTCTTTTGTCTGAATTTTTAGGGATGCAACAATATTTCATAATCTTTCTTATGTACAATGGATATACAAAAGGTCATAGGAAATTAAACAAACTGAAAGTTTTAATCTCATATATTTTGACCACATATACAATAATAAATGTGGTCTTAAGCATAGAAAAGAATAGAATACAATATTTAGTTAACTGGCTCCTTAAAATTCTTGGACATGGGCAGGGCGTGGTGGCTCATGCCCGTAATCCCAGTATTTTGGGAGGCAAAGGCAGGTGGATCACCTGAGGTCAGGAGTTCGAGACCAGCCTGGCCAACATGGCAGAACCCCTCTCTACTAAAACTACAAAAATTAGCCGGGTGTGGTAGCACACGCGTATACTCCTAGCCACTCAGGGGGCTGAAGCAGGAGAATCGCTCGAACCCAGAAGGCAGAGGTTGCAGTGGGCTGAAATCGCACCGCTGCACTCCAGGCTGGGTGACAGAGTGAGACGCTGTCTTAAAAAAAAAGAAAAAACTTGAACACATTGATTAATTGATTGATTGATTGATTGAGATGGAGTTTCACTCTTGTTGCCCAGGCTGGAGTTCAATGGTGCAATCTCTGCTCAGTGCAGCCTCCGCCTCCCTGGTTCAAGCAACTCTCCTGCCTCAGCCTCCCAGGTAGCTGGGATTACAGGCACCTGCTACCACACCCAGGTGATTTTTGGTATTTTTATACCTTATACAAACATTAATTCAAGATGGATTAAAGACTTAAATGTTAGACCTATAACCATAAAAACCCTAGAAGAAAACCTAGGCAATACCATTCAGGACATAGGCATGGGCAAGGACTAAGTATTAATGGTTTAAAGTGTTGCCAAGCTCTGACCTGAACTCTCAAAGTATTCTGGTCTAAGAGGCAAGAAAGCCGTATTCTTCAGATTAGTCAGGTTGAATTTAGCTGTGATAGCTCTTCTTTTTTTCATTTCTGTTACAAATACCAGGAAGCTCTCTGAGTTTGACCTTGACTCATTTTCCGGGTCCACAGACAGCATTGCACCTCCAAAACAAATAGCGTCCTATATCTGTGCTACAACCTTTGCTAGTTTTAGGGTGTTTTTAAAAATATTCCCCACATCCAGGCAAATCCTCTATGTTTATAAGGAACACATCTAAAACTTCTCTTCATCCCAGCCTCTCTTCTTAGAACTCTCCAAAAAGTTTTTTTAAGATTCACAATGATTTCATCCCCTGTAGTATAATTTGGTAGATATTGGCCCATTGTTAATTATAAATTACCAAAGTAATCATCAAGCAATTGTCCAACTAGCATGTGGTGAGAGCCCTTTTGTCACCAATTATTAGTAAGAATACTCTTTAAAAAATCTCAGGTCATAGTCTTCCTGGATGAAACCTTCTCCCTTTGATTTAAGATAGAAAATTATGGTCAGTCCTTCTCCATTTTAATTTCTATATTGCTCCTCTTTGGTTTGCATAGGGGTACAAATGTACATATAAATATGTCACCTTGTAGAAACCTGTCTCTTAAAGTTTCAAAATAACTGTATGCTAGGGAAAAAAATATAATCTAACAAAACATGACTCTAATTACTAACTGAACTCCACCTCTGTGCACATGGTACTAAGTGAATGTAGAGTTTATCCCTGCTATGAAGAAGCTTACAGGCTGGGACATGAGATATATATCCTGGCATTTATATAAAGAGCACTAGAAGGTACCAATAAAAGAGATGAAAGAGGATAACATGTAAATAAATGATTTTTGTCATGGCCTGTGCACATTTTTTAGGATCTCTTTCCCCATAAGAACATGAGTGTGTTACCACTATGCTCCTGTAGAGTTTAGCCAGAAAAGAAAATAAACTTCAGACATTCTAGAATTCTACTACAAAATGTTGTTCTTTCTTCTGATGCTCAAGTCCACATGTTAGCTAAGCACAAACATCTTTGGCTTCCCTTTTTCAAAGCTTTCTATACATTCCTTATCCCTGAGAAGAGGATGTGCTATTAATGCTTTAATTGCTAAGTTATATATAAATAAGATTCAGGAACTCAATTTTGCATCTTCGGAAAATATGAATAATGATTTCTCTTTCCCTTCCTCCAAGAAAAAGTGACTTATTTGGCAGTCACACTAACAGTGCAAAGAAATGAGTTCTGATGTTTCATTTAGTTGAGTTATAAACATGAAAACCATCAAATCCTATGCAACCCTATTGAAGCATGTGGATGTGTGAATTTTCTCCATGTGTTTGCTCTGTGTCCTTCAGAACACCCACAGTGGCGATGAATCGCTAAGGTGTGTATCAGTCTGACAGTCGTAGAAAGTGGCAAGACTGAAAGCCAAACCCAGGAAACAGCATTTCATTTAGCTCCTGGAGTACTGCTAATTGATCTCAAACCCTTCATTACTGTCTAGTCCAAAGGCCTCAGGAGAATGTAGCCATTTAGAAAATGACTTAACTGAAAACAAGAGCAAAATTCTAGGCCTCGTGAACTTCAATTGCTCTATTCCTGTATCGTCACACTGATTCTAAGTTTATCTTTCATTTCAGGTCACTTGGAAACCCCCACTCATCCAGAACGGAGACATACTTAGCTATGAGATTCACATGCCTGACCCTCACATCACTTTAACCAATGTGACTTCCGCAGTGTTAAGTCAAAAAGTTACTCATCTGATTCCTTTCACTAATTATTCTGTCACCATTGTTGCTTGCTCAGGGGGTAATGGGTACCTTGGAGGGTGCACAGAGAGTTTACCTACCTATGTTACCACTCACCCCACCGTACCTCAGAATGTTGGCCCATTGTCTGTGATTCCACTAAGTGAATCATATGTTGTGATTTCTTGGCAACCACCATCCAAGCCAAATGGACCTAATTTGAGGTAAGAGAAGGTGACTATGATTTTTATGTTGCTGTAGTCCTTATCTCTCTGAGAAGTAGGGAAATGAAGGAGGCTTTTATTCCTATATGAACATAGAACTAATTTGGCATTGAATATCCCCTGACTCATAACTTTCATACACTATCATACTGTACACTTCAACTTATTATGGAAACATCAAAGTTTATCAATTTGAAGAACTAAAAACCCTTGAAACCACAATCACTATTGTCTAAGGATTCGCTACATAATCCATCACTTCATTTTCAACATATGCTTTTATTATATGTTAGGCAAACCTGATGTAGGTTCTATATGATACATTTGCACAAATGTACCTCAGAATTCTAAGGCTAACACAGTAATTCTTTGGCATGTTGTTAGCTTATGGAAACTTGTGAGGAGTGTGGTCAGGGAGCCCGATACGATGAAAGAAAAGAGCTGTGATTCAGAAATGGTTTTGCAACCACCCAAACTTGATACTTGGCCAAGAATACAAAGTTGATAATATTATCATCGTTTATAAAGTATTGATAGTCATAGGAAACCATTAACTTGATAAGCTTTGTGTATTTCTACTTTGTGCGAAACTGGCAGTAAAGATTTGGCACATCTAACTTAGAAGAAATCTAAAATGCTATCATTCTGGGAGATAATAGTAAAATGCGAATGTAACTGATTCTTCAAAATATTAAATATATGGAATTTGGTCCAGAAAAAAAAACGTTCATCTGAAACAAAACCACGTAACTGTAAACTTAAGATGTTATTCTTTATGCTTCCACGCATATATCACACGCACATGCCACAGAACAGCCTGAGTTTTGGTAATCTCAATATGAGTTGAGATAATCCTGATGTTCCTGCTTGTCTTTTGCTTTAGATATGAGCTTCTGAGACGTAAAATCCAGCAGCCACTTGCATCAAATCCCCCAGAAGATTTAAATCGGTGGCACAATATTTATTCAGGAACTCAGTGGCTTTATGAAGATAAGGGTCTTAGCAGGTGAGATTACAAAAACTATAAAAACAAATGCTGGCATTTAGTTCTGGGCATGTTGAATAGTTCAAAGTATCTCAGTGTCTTCATTGTGTGAGCGTGTTATCAGTTATGCAATAAAACATGTTTGGTTATTATCTGTGGCATTAATCACCCAGCTGTAACAGTCAGCATGTTTAATGTTTTCCATCTTAACTGCATGCTTAAAATAAGCCTTTTGAAGTTGAACTTGTAGATGTTCAAGCCTTAACCTATTGCCTTTGTCACGGCTCCATCTAGACATAAAACGTTATGGAAGAATTTGGAAATATTGAACACATACAAAATGGGGAAAATTCCTGGGCACTTGTAGAATGCTTGCTATTTCTAGAAATGGCTTATAAATGAATTATAATGACTTATAATTGATTGTAAGTTATTGATTCAGTCCGCAAAAGAAAACATTAGTGAACAGGATTGGGACTTGAAAGAATTCAATCTAGAGTTCAAAGACATTCAGTAAAGGCTAATAGGTGACAGTAGAAAAGGGTGCTACATGGGAGAGTTAGGAGATCTGGTTCTGCTTTAGCCTGTGCTGGAGAACTAGCTTTGTGACTTTAGGCCACAAAGCTTCACTACTTAAAAATCACTTAACTTCTCTGGGCTTCATTTTTGTTGTCCATAAAATGAGGTGATTTTATAGAATTAAATGACTTCTAAATCTTCATGAGTTCAAGCAATGTGATTAAATTTCAGAAAACATGAACGTTATTTTATGAAAACTCCTCGATCATATGTTTCAGTAACTTTTCTATGTGGGTCATTATTTTTCTAGACCCACCACTGGGTAGCTGTAGTCTGAACCCTGTTTACCATTCTAGCCTTGTCTCCCATCCCTTTCTTACCAAGGCCTCTGCATTCCAGCCACATTTGTATTGCATTCAGTACCTCCAACATACAACACTTGCTCTTTCAGCTTTTCCCCATAGTTGCCTTTTCCTGTTGCCTGACTAGATCATCTGCCACGTCTTAGCCTGGAGGTTTCTTCCTCTAGGAGGCCTTTCCTGCCAACACTCTTGCTGGTCTGATTCAGCTCCTCTGTAACATTTCCATAGGACATCCCCTAACATATCACTATTGTCATTGTAGTGTACTGGCCTGACTGCTTGTCTAAACACCACGTTATATTATCAGATCTACCATAAGGCAGGGGTGCGGTCTTCGTGACTCTGTCTTCAGTTCCTAGCATGGTGTCTGGCACATACCAGCACATAGTGCCCTACACCTGAATACTTAAAAATAGGTTAGCTCAATCAAGAATTAATTCACTGCTCTGTACCTTAGGAATATTAGCTGTAGTGTTCTTCTCTCTGGGGAATGGCAAAACTAAGGAAAATTCTCCTGTCCTCTTAAAAAGTTGTGGTGGGAAAACATCCTAGTTCTTGTAAGATTCTCAGAGAGAGGCATCTCGTAAATCTGATCAAGCAACAGAATGAACTATATGAAACTGCCACTTTTATAGGTGAAGATTGGTCAATTACTAGCAGATCCATGTTGCTTATCCTAAATTATAATGCTCATTATACTATTCTCAACTACTTTTAATTCATTATTTACTTAATTTGGCATCCCTATATGATTATCACTTCAGTAGAATAAATTCATTTATTTTTGCTTATTTGTGCTTACTGTGTGCTGAGGCACTGTGATAAGGAACAAAAGATAAATACATCTTAGCCCTTGACCTCAAAGAACTTATAATCTAGTGGAGGAACCCTTCCCCCCGCCCCCTCCATAGAGAGTGTGATATAATATGTATTTTTATATATTATATACATTATTAATTATATATAATAATCAATATATATTATATATTTATATATTGATTATTATATATAATTAATAATATATATAATTAATATATATATTAATTGCTGTCCTCAGAGTTATCTACAAAGTCACCAATTCTGCCTAAAGAAATCACTTCAAATAGTAGCTTCCTGTGACCTATGAACTCTTAAGTGCTTAAATATAACTATTTCAAAAAATAAATAGAACTTGACTCTTTAACATTACTGAATCTGAGTTTTAGCCATGAGCTACTCAGCAAAAACAAAGAATAAGTTTCCAAAAGTTAATTTTGTTTCTTTATACAAGAAATGAAAACTTATTAAATAATTAGGACCAAGGCCATGAAGTTAGTTATGAATTTTTAGTGATTCCTCTAAGGATTCTTAATGAGAAGTTCAAATCTAAGATTTCAGGAAAAAATAAAGTGAATTTCCACAACTTAAATTGAAACATGAATTGACATAAACACACCCATGACAGCTGCTTCCGGAAGGGAAGTGTGCAGATAACAAAATTGTGTTAAAGGGATATTTTGACTAGTTTCATAATGCCAAATGTCATTTTTTTCCGGTAGTACTTGCACAGATTTTTTTTATTTATTAAAATAACAGCTACAACTTACATTAAGCTTGTAGAAAAAAAAAAAGCATTTCTTCTTAACATTCAGTGTAAATGGCGTGAGTCTTTATAAGAATCTCTTTTTCTAGCCCTCTACCCTTTATAAGTCCATAAAAAGCTAGGAGTGCCTTTAGCCCAAGGGGGAGTGTCTTGCAAATATGAGAGAAAACCAAAACTTGATCCCCTGGCGGGCAGGATATTTTTCTCTTTAAAGGAAGTGATTTTGTTTGGTTAGATGGTGCCACTGGCCACCTTGGCAACATCCGGGGCTCCTTGTTCCTGCTGGTCAGCTAGTGGTCTGTCAAATTGCAGAGGGGGATGAAGCTGAGTGTTCATCATGTGTTGGTTCACCCCTGTGTTACTGTTCCTTCATGGCCCTTCCTTTGCCTATATTTGTTTTGCTGATTTATTTGTTTGGCCAGGTATGTTTTCCTGGGTTTTTAATTGAATTCTAATATCTTTGGGAGGATTATGTAATTTCCTATTCTCCCCAGATTCCACCATCCCAATTTCCTTCTTAACTTAACGTCTGCATAAATAAAAGGAGCACTGAAGTGTTTCTTACCATCTTGACTTGAATATCACCATAGTTACATTTAGAATCAGCTTTTAAATGGCACTTCTCCTGATATAAAAAGTAAAATTAAGATTCACTAGACATCTCTTTATGAATATATTTGTGACAGTAAATATAAGTTGAAGCCAATTTCCTAGTTCAAGTGGTCTATTTTGGCTAAGTATGTGTTTATAACGCATAGAAAAGCACCAATTTAATTTAAAACATCATTATATTTGGAACTTCAGATCATTCTAGTAGTTATTTTTTCTTTTATATCTACATGTACAAAACAGTCTCAAGTCAATTATCCAGATAATTTAATTCTAACAAAAATACTTTTTGCTCTTATGATTATCTTAGGTAAGGAGTAATTTTTGTCTAAATTGCACAGCTAGTTGCCTCATTATCGAATTTTGCTCTGCCTGTGTAGACACGAATTCCGTATAACTACAGGTTTATACTGCTTGTCAGTTTCTAACTTTTCTTCCTTAATAATTCCTTGCAAAGTGAGCAAGTTATGGTTGTTGGGGGAACTATAACTTTGGGTTTCCTGACATTTTCATCACTTAGAAAATCTGGCGAACGTGCTGTTATCATCTGAAGCTGCCGAAGTGAGTCAGGCAGGGTTTAACAAGAGGGCGGCGACCTCCTTCATTTTAAGCATCAATCTACCTTCACAATTTTCAGCACCTAACAACACTGCCTTGGTTCCTAAGTGATCAGATAAAACTGCTAAGAATACAATGAGCATGTTCTCCTTTTCGTTGTGGATTTAAAGAAGAACAAGTTATAATAAACAATAGGGTTATTTTACTATTATAGAGAAAATATTGACTGTCAGATTATAATTTAGATTTATAAATTAGCTTTCATTAAGTTTATGAAGGAATGTATGTTCTAATTGCTATTCCTTTTAATTATTTATACATTTCTCAGAGTATTTTTTTTTTTTTTTGCAATGACAATTTGGATGGAGACCTCTATGTGATTCCTCGAGAATCCACTAATTGTATTACATTTAAATTAAAACATTCAAAATTAACACATTTTCGTCTTATTTTTCAAAGAAGGGTAAGACTTAAGATGTAAATGCTTAAGCTAAATATATCATAAATTCTAAGTTTAAATCTTATTGACATATATTTTCATATATATTTTTAAATCTACTAAAATAAAGATGTTTCAAGTCCTAAAAGAGGATGCCATTTCTGTGGGGGATAATATTCAAAAGAACATAACTTTTGTTCCTCTTCTTTGTAATGAGATTAAATATGTATAGATGACATCTGCATCTTTGCTAGTATGAAAGACTGGGTCAGTTCCATGACACGTGTTTCTATAATATAAATAATGTCAGATTGTAGCTATTAAGTGAAGAAGTTAACTTTGTACATAGAAAGGGCAAGTGAAAGGAAAGCTTCTCCCGTGACTACCAAGATGAGATAGATCCTGTTAATTTATTCCTTAATATGGGAATGTGAATAAAAATTGAGTCTAAGAATGAAAGCCAACTTCTGTCAACACTAGTATGCCATCTCATAGCCATGCACTTAATTCAAAAGGAGTAAACATGTCTTTCACATTCAAATTAAATTGGTCACAGTGTTTTTTCCCATTGGATTTTTTTTTCAATGCCTTACATGCCCTACACGATGTCCTTTTCTGTGTCATCATATTATGTGTTACCTCCTTGTATTAGCCCATTTTGCAATGCTCTAAAGAAACACCTGAGACTGGATAATTTATAAAGAAAAGTTTACTTGGCTCATGGTTCTGCAGGCTGTACAAGAAGCCTGGTGCCAGCGTCTTCCTCTGGTGAAGGCTTCAGGGAGCTTTTACCCGTGGTGGAAGGTGAAAAGGGAGCAGGTATGTCACATGGCAAGAGAGGGAGCAAGAGGGCGCTGGGAGGAATGCCATGCTCTTAAACAACCAGCTCTCCCCTGAGCTAATATTGTGAGGGCTCACTCACTACCACAGGGATGACAGCAAGCCATTCATAAGGGATTCACCCCTATGATCCAAGCACATCCCATTAGGGCCTACATTCAACATTGGTGATCACATTTCAACATAAGATTTGGAGGGGACAAATATCCAAACTATATCACTCATGAAAAATGAACTTCTAAATCCAGAAGGATGTGTTTTGTCACAGGAGGTTTTTTTCCCCTAGTGTTTTCTTAGAATAAAAAAGCAGAAAAACTACTTTCATTGGCTGTATTTCTTTCTCATGGTGATGACAAAGTAGAACAAAGATGGAAATTACTGCAAAATTATCTTAGGTCTGACAATTCTGGTAGTGTAGATATAGATAGCAACAGAAACATAACAGCTTCAAGTTTCACTCACAATCTAAAATGTCTCATATTAAAAATATTCAAGTGTGATCAACATTACTCTTCAATTTTTGAAGCAAAAATCTTCAATACTATTTTTAGAATCAACAAATAGATTTTTTAAAGTGTCTACCATCAGCTGAAAATTTTAATAGCTATAGACTTAAGCAATGGAAACAATATTGCATTTCATTTTTCTTTGTTTGCTATTCCCACAAAAGATTTGAAGATGTAAGGAAAAGTATGATTTATGAGATTTCTCAAATCCACACTTGTGTGATGGTGTACTGAAAAATACTTTGGGTTGTGGCAGAGATGAGGAAGAGTTAGTGGAAGAAGCAACTAAATAACCTGCATTTTCAGAAGCGTGATTTATATTGGTGACAATATTAACACATGAATTCTGTTAGGACATCAATAAAGTTGACACATTTTTAATTCTGATGAAAATAACCCCAGGCATTCTGCAGCTGCCCTGAAGAATTTTGGTTTCCCACAATATATCAGTCCCTTCCAAGATACAAGCCTTCACATATTTTGCCCTGGACAAATGTCTTCACTGGATAAAATACCACTTCTTATCAAAACCTGCCCCAAATGTTACCTCCTCCGTGAAGACTTCCCAGCTGGATATGGTTAAATTAGATGCTTCATCTGATGCGTGTTCAAAGAATAAGGAATAAATGAATAAATTAGATGTTCTCATTTAAAAACATATTTCTGTAAAATTTTATATACATTATGGCTCCAGGTGGACAGATAACAATTTTATTATTTTTAACACCTGGCATATTGGTAATATCCAATAAATATTAAATGAATGAACAAATGAATGAGTGAAGTGATGTATTAAATATGAAAAAGCAATATAATTTGTTTTCAATATATTTTTAAAAGCACTTTGCTAAGTTTCAGCAGAGATATTCTTTCTATTGGACAGGTAGATTTTTATCTCACTAACCTAAAAAATTATATAAGTGACCTGAAATTTTTGAGACTGAGTGCTTAAATAACTATGAAACATCTATTCATTCATTTATAAAATTATCTATTCAGTAAATAAACAAATTAAAACTGCATCATTTAAACATAATCTAGTTTTCTAATTCATTGGAGTAATAACACCTGAACCTTGAAATGAATATTGTTCCACAAGTAAGATTTTAACACATATTATTTTTTATGAGGAAAATTACCATAGTCATGTCTATACCATAATAAAGTTTACAATTTGCTGTTTGGGGAGTGGAGGAGGGAGAGACCGGAGGATGGTCTCAAGCAAATGGGGGAAAAACTATTGTAATAGTCCAAGTATTCCTAAATGGACCCAAAAACAATTGGTTTTACTGGCTACATCATAGACTCAATATAAGTATTCACTTACTTTGAATACTTATATTGCAAAAGTTTTTTCCTACAGAGTTTAAAATGGACATTTTTCAAGACATGCCTAGAGAACACACTTTGTATTTAGAGAAGAAATTGATTGATACACATAAGTTTTGTCATAAGTATATGATGTTAATTGATCTAGCATTTTTGTTTTAAAATGTATTCTTTTATCATTTATTAAATGGAATGTCCCATTTAATATCAACAATCAACACGTAAGTCCATTTGAAAAACAGTATACATAGAGTGAATGGAAAACCACTTCAAGCCAACTAATACATTCTTTTTTTGATATGAAGTGGTGAAATGTGAATCAACATATATATGTAGACAAGCCATAGGTATATATTCTTACTAAATACAGATTGGAATTCAGATGAAATGAAAACAGTATATTTTAGTATTTAAGAGGATTCAGGATCTTGTTTCCTCGGCCAGGCGCGGTGACTCACGCCTGTACAGAATCCCAGCAGTGGGAGGCCGAGGTGGGTGGATCATGAGGTCAGAAGATCGAGACCATCCTGGCTAACACGATGAAACCCCGTCTCTACTAAAAAAAAAAAAAAAAAAGCTAGGAGTGGTGGCTGACACCTGTAGTCCCAGTTACTCTCAAGGCTGAGGCAGGAGAATGGCGTGAACCCGGGAGGCGGAGTTTGCAGTGAGCTGAGATCGCGCCACTGCACTCCAGCCTGGGCACAGAGCGAGACTCCGTCTCAAAAAAATAAATAAATAAAAAAAAAATAAAAAATAAAAAAAAAATCTTGTTTCCTTAAAAATTTAACTTAACAATGAAAGTTAAAGTACAAAAGACAAATGTACGGCCTCAAATGAAATATCTACTGATTTCTCAATTAAATTTTTAAAAAGTGGAAATAGTGTAATATTGGAAATGAATAAACCCTATGTCCAGCTACCCCATTAACTAGTTGTGCAAACTTACACAAATCCACTTGTTTCTCAGGGTCTCAGGGTTTTTTGTTTAATCTGTATGATGTAGCACACACTTTATTATTTGTAGCAGATAAACTCTAAAGCCATCTCTTACTCTAAAATTTTAGAACCACCTTGAAAACAGGCATGCAATTGTGTGTATCTATGTGGCCTGAGTTTTGTAGACGTAAATTGTGTATTTCGCCATAACTAAATTATTGTGAAATCTCTTAAAGTATTATAAAAACTAAAGCCCTATAGAATTTATTTACAATCAACCATTTTAGCGCCACCTGATATTGTTAATTCCACATGTAGGAAAGAACCACAAACATGGTATCACTTTAAATCCATAAAGATTATTAATTGTATAATAGCATAGACATGTGGAAGAAAAATTTACATATTATAGGAGAGGAGGCTAGGTATCCAGACTCTAGCTACATTTCTTTTAAGTCATTTTATGAAGTAAAATATAATTATAAGTATTTTACCCAGGGAGAGAGCTAATGAAGCCAAGGTCGCTGGTTCAATTCCCTTGTGAGCCATTAGCTTCATTTCATTCCATTGTCATAGGCTTGCTACCCTCTTAACCCCGACTCATCATCCTTCATATTCATACTATTGGTTGCAAAGGAAATTTGGCCAGACTGTTTGAATGTGTAAGCAAAAATCTATTCCCTCTGCTAGAAAAATAACGCAAAGTTCAAGCCTTAGTGATATGACATCATCCAAGTATGGACAGAACAGATTATCATTATGATTGTTATTATTACTATTATTATTATCATCACTATTATGTTGGCAGTATAGCATCATGGTTAAAAGAGCAGGCTCTGAAATCAGACTGCCTATATTTGAATCTCAGTCCTCCTACTTATTATCTCAATGACTTGGACAAGTTATTTATCTCTCTGAGCCTTGTTTTTCTTATTTTCAAAATAGGTATTATAATAGCACCTTATAGAGTTTTGTGAGGAATGAATGGGTTAACATCTGTAGAAAATGCCTGACAGCTATTAAGTAACTATTATTATTTTTTAGTTGTCTGGATTATGTGGACTATTCAGCACTTGCTAAAAAGCATATGTATTCATTTTCCAGGGCTGCAGTAACAAAATATCACATACTGGGTGGCTTGAAACAACAGAAATTTATTCTCTCACAGGTCTGGATATAAGAAGTTGCAAACCAGTTTGTATTCTGGACCAGACTCCCTTCCAAAGCTCTGTAGAAGAACCCTTTCTTGCCTCTTCCAACTTCTGGTAGCCCTAGGAAATCCTTGGCTTGTGACAGCATAACTCCAATTTCTGTTTCTGTTTTTACATGGCCATCACCTCCCTGTGTGTATCCATGTGTCTATAAAATTTCTCTCTCTTTTTTCTTCCAAAGACATCAGCATTGAATTTATGGTGCTGCCTAATCCAGTATGACCTCATCTTAACTTGATTACATCTGCAAAAACCCTATCTTCCAATAAGGTCGTGTTCACAGGGACCAGGGGCTTGGGCTTGAAAATATCTTTTTGAAAGATACAGTTCAACCCACTACAGCAGACAAAGCAGAAATAAAAGAGGCATTAAACACCTGAGAAGAGATGGTAAAGCAGGGAGGTGTAGAAGATCTGATGCAAGCACATATTTAGGAGAAATAGATAAATAGCCTCAAAAAGTCACTAAGTTTTACCTGTAATTACAATAGAGCAACACCTTTCAATGTGGGTCAGGCAGAAACCTGCAAACGTATCTTCGGGCTATGAATAAGAAACAGGATGAGTCAAGCAGATTTCTTCTACCTAGGTGGCAGTAAAATGCTCTGAGGATCCTGATATAATTTTGGTCAAATTATTTAACACAATCCTGCAAATGGCACCTACCCACCCATGCCACACCACCTTTGCATCGTCAAATCAGAGATTGTGACATATTGAGACAAATACTGTGGGCCTTACACTGGAGATGAGGTATCCTTGATCATCTAATAAACCCAAATTAGGTAATGATCTGAGGCCAGTGTTTGCCCTGTGTCCTGGATGCCTCTGGGATGGTCGTGTGTTGCACTACATGTTTAAGCAAGTATCTCAGTCTAAGCTATTGTCCACTCATAGACTGACTGTGTCTGTTTATGGCATTTCCTTACACAGGTAGTTCTGAACCAAGCAAAGGAAGCCTGATGGTCTTCTGCCCAAAACTGGTTAAAAAAAAATGGTGGCTTTACTCTATAGTCAATTTAATAAATGACTTGGAAAGTCCTCCTCATATCACATCAGCATGTCAGTTTTTGCCTTCTGCAAAGTAATATTCGGTTTCCACTGTATTGACTCAAGTAAATATGTTCACACTATGGCAAAATACAGCTCACTGTAGCAAAACTCTCAGCGGGAGAATGTTGTACACTTTGGTCACAGTTACAATTTAATTTAGGGGTTTATCTGTCTGCAGTGAGATTATGGGAAAGAAGCATAGGTATCGGAAGAAAATGTTGATGAGGGATTCTGATATTTGAAAATGGATGAGTTTCCAAAAAGAAGAGCATAAAACTCTCTGGATCAAATTCAGATAGAAAGCTGGCAGGTTGCCTGATTTGTAATTGCATCTTGAATTGAGCTGTAATCCTCACCACTTCTGAAAACAATAAGAATAAGAAAATGATAAACCACATTTGTTTTCAATAGCAATATTTGTTCAGCATTCCTAATAAAATATTTCCCTGATGTTTTGGTTTATGCTGGCAAGTCACAAAATTAATGATATGTGTTGTGTAAGGAGGGAAAATAAAATAATGTATTTTCTAGGGAGGAAAAGAAAACAGTATTTTGTAGAGGGGTGGAAGGAAATCCTGTATTTTGTGAAGAAAAAAAGAAATTATTTGTTAGATTTTCTGTAAAGTAGAAATTCATATACTTTTTTTAACAAAACAACATTTTAGGTTTACAACCTATGAATATATGCTCTTCGTACACAACAGTGTGGGTTTTACACCGAGCCGAGAAGTGACTGTGACAACGTTAGCTGGTCTTCCAGAGAGAGGAGCCAATCTCACTGCGAGTGTCCTTAACCACACAGCCATCGACGTGAGGTGGGCTAAACCAAGTAAGTAAGCTTCTCATACCTGTGTTAACACTTTGTGTATTTTTAAAAGCATATTCTTTCTTTACTATGAACCTCCCCCATGTACACATCATTTTGATAGTGAAGTGTTACTGGTAAATTTTTACCAATTGCAGATTGACAGGGCTGTCATTGAAAACTTTAGAAGGGCCATTTTTATTAGTACCCAAATAAATTAGAAATGGACACATTAAAACTAAAACCCTGGGGCCCCTGTGCCATTCTTAAGATGCAAACTCTCTCCTACTTTGACATTGTTCTTGGGCCTCCTGCTCTCCCTCTGTCATTTCCTTTGCATGAACAACGTAATTTCTATCATACCAGGCAATTGTGATAGACATGTCCATGTATTAATTGGATACAATGTACTATTGTTCACCTTCCTTCAGAGAGCTCTGCCCTAATATCTTGTAACTCGTCGCTCATTAGCAAGAACCATTTAATTGGATTGCAATAATGGAACAGATTCTTCCCAGTGGATCATCTTCAGACTGGCTATGGGCAGAATTCCAGCTTGATCCAGTAAAAGGAAGCCTAGACATCACCACTGGATCCACTTAAATAATGCAGGGTCGACCCTGGACCTGCTGGGAACACTTTTTTAACAGGCATTTGGAAGAGTTCACAGAGTAATCTAATCTGTTCCTGCAACGTTAGAAACCACAGTAACTGAAATTTCACAGTTACTTGGTCAGTAGGGTAGTATTAACATGTTAATTTGTTGTGATCTGTTAATTTGTGTCAATCCCTGACGACTATCAGGAAAAAAACCCTGAATCTACCATGAGAATATGTATTAAAATCAGTCTTATAGGTATAACTTGAGATCTGGCAAATAGTTTCATCAAAACTTGTCAGAATAACACCAAATATTGAGAAATACCTGATCAGGAAAGACCCACTCAAAACATTTTATTTATGAAAGAACACTCTGCTCACTGGGGTAATCATCTATTGATGATATAAAAAGATGAAAAGTCACTACTGGTTGGGCAATGTAACCATGTGATTTTGGTTACACTGGATCAGCCTTGAATTTGGTTACAGCTTAAGAAGAGAGATGCTCCATTTAGGACACCTGAGTGATATCAATTGTGAATTAAAGCCAGAATTGAGGATATCAATTGTGAATTAAAGCCAGAATTGAGGATATCAATTATAAATTAAATCAGTAGGTTAGGTTTATCTGTGTTTCCACAAAATAATCCATCTTTACAAAAGAAAACTGTCTTTCTCTGGTTTTTATAAGGCTGCAGGTTTCTAATGATCTGTGACACTTGTATTGGGATCTCTTAAACCATTTTAATGGAATAATATAAGTTAATTGATGCTTATGGCTACCCTCTGAAACACCTCTGGGAAAAATACAAAGTTTTTATCTGGGGATGTGTTTTAAGGCATATTTCCATTCATCTCCCTCTTGCTCTCTACTCCACCTCACTAACTGATTCATCTTAAAAGCCTACTCATAAAGGTAGGCTCTCCCCCCTCATCTGACATTTGAATACTTCTGTTAAGATCCGGCTGGTGAATTTCCACCAATATAGGTCCTTTATGTTATAATTGCATTCCTGAAGTAACTGTGCTTATAAAAACTGACAAACCTAATAGATCTGAAGCAGCTCACTGAAGTTTCATTACCTTGGTAATCTGAACCTCTGACCTTCGGGATGTAGGTAATGCAATCTGCTGTTATTTCCATTCATACCTTGGAAATTTTTCAGATAACTATTTGTGAGCACAAAGGTTAACTCTCAGAAGAGGGTCAGTCTTGCGAAAGCTTGTTGCATTATCATTTTCTTCTTTTGGGCAACTTGCTATCTTAAGTAAATTAACTAGTCGATCCTCTGTGAAAGGTGGCCTATTTTTTGCAATTTTAATTTTAAATTGTTGTCTTGATTGGATAGGAAAAACATGGCATACAGTCTAATATGCTCAAAGGCAACAAACTATAGATTGAAAATACTTTGCAGTGGAAAATCATGTTTTAAATTTATAAATATTTGCTTATTAAAAATCACCTTCCAATGTATATATATATATTTTAAAGCATGGTCTTTGTCTATTATGACCCTCCCCATGTACACATCATTTTGGTAGCAAAATGTTTCTGGTAAATTTTTATCAATCACAGATTGATATGTATAAGTTATTAAAAACTTTTGAAGGGCCAGTTTTAAACATTAGTATCACATACATGATATGTGAGATAAAAGCGTCCCTGTGTTACTTCAGTTCATTTTTGGAAGGCAGATGTTGCAAATTGGCAACACAGTGGCCATATTTCCTTCCTCCTCCAGCTTCCATACACTGTTTTGCCCACAGTATTTGAAAAAATAATATTTGCAAACATTTAAGAATTATACATAAAGATAATTTGAGGATTCACTTGACAAGTCAAATGATGGGGTGAAACAATACCCACATTTCTGGAAGGAAACTATCAGCTGGAACTGGCTTCCCCTTTAGACAGATCATGCCCTAAAAATCTGACCCGGTCCCCATTTTCCTGGTCCCAATAGACAGGTGATGTTTATCCCTGCTTTATATGATAATACAAAATATTTTGCCCTAAACAAAATACACCAAAGATAAATTATATTGTAATTTTGAAAAATCACAGTTTTTGTATTTGAAAAATACCTCACTTAAATTATTTATACAATCCTCAGAAAAGCACAATGAGATAGAAACCAGCCCATAGTAACTTACCAAAAATTATAGAAAGTACCAGTTCCCAAACTCAAACTTAGGACTCAGGCATCAAATTTTCTATTTCTCATGCGTTTAGACTTAACAGTCATTAACACTTTAACAAGAAGGATTTAAAAGGATCCTTCTCATCTTGACTGCTCAGTCTAAAATAGAAGGCAAAATAAGAAAATGCCTACCAAAGGGAGTACAGTGGAGAGATAGTGCCTCCTTTGAAGCTGATTCACTAAGGAAGTCAGTTGTGGCCAGAAAAGAGCAGTAAAACACTGGAGGGAGTGAGAGGGCAATGCTTTGTAAAAGAGGAAATGAAAAATCATCAAAATATTGTCTACTTTACTGTCTGTCAAGAGCTCACCCCAACCTTCAGATGTTCATATCTTGTATCATATAATCCTCCTGGTCTTGCTCTCTCCTTCCTCTTTTTTTCCATCTTCCTTCTTTCTCTATTTCCTTTTTTAAAATGTTTTTGTAGAGACAGGTTCTCCCTATGCTTAGGTTAGTCTCGAATTAATGGGCTCAAGTGATCCTCTCTCCTTGGCCTCCTAAAGTGCTGGAATTACAGCCATAAGGGACCATGCCTGGCCATTTGTCTATTTCTCTTCTTCTACCCTCTCTCTCTCTCTCTCTTTCTTCCTATTTTCCTTCCTTCCTCACAGATACATTTATCACTTTCTCTGTCCTGAGCACTCAGTGAACTCTGGAAAATGCATAAAGTATGAGGGTATCATCATTAAGAGGGCAAGTTTAAAACCACAGAAAAAGCATTTGTCTCATCCTGATCTCTTAATCAGAAACTACCAGGTTTGATAGCTAGAAGTATATCTGACTTTGCCTGAATTTATCTGATTAAGGTGGCAATATCTGTAAATAATTCCAAATCTCATCTCTTCTAAAAAGCACCTACCATTGTTGCCTCACCTTGTTCCTCTGTTCTCTTTTCCATCACTTTAGTTATCAAATAGAAGAGACCACATCTGACTTTTCCATTGTCTTCCTTCTCAGTCACTTGTGCACCTGTTGTAATCTGTCTCTCTTCACTTGTACTCTACATGGTTTTCTTAAAGTCATTAGTTATCACCTAATGACCCATTTCAAAACTCTCTTCTCAATGCCATCCTACTGTGTTCCTCTTGTATCCAGCACTGTGAATGATCCCTTACTGACTATAATTCTTCCCCAATAATCATTACTCCCCTCTTCTCACCAACTACTTCTTCTCATCCCTAAAGATGTTTCTCAAAGTTCTTTCCTGAGTCTTCCTATCATACTCCTGTTCTCTTGTTGGTGATTCCATCTATACTCAAGGTTTCAAATTCTTCTAATTACAAAAATGACAACCGCCAACATTGTATGCAGCCATATGAATAAATAGTTTTAAAATAGACTTTGGGATCAGGGATACTTAAATTTGAATCCCAGTTCCAATATGTTTTGGCACTACGACCTAGAATTTAACCTGAGTTCCAGTTTTCTAATCAGAAATATGAAGATAATAACTGCCCTGAAATCTGTTAAGGACTAAATGAAATAATATATGTTTAACAATTAGTAATCACCTAGTATTTGTAATACAGAGTATTATTCTATTTCTAAAATGTGCATGGTCCTTTCAATACCATTTTATATAATATATAAAAGGGGAAGCCATGTCTAGTAAAAGCTTGGAAGTTGATTTTGCAAGACTATTCAGATAAAAGCATTTTTTTTATTATTATTATACTTTAAGTTCTAGGGTACATCTGCACAACGTGCAGGTTTGTTACATATGTAAACATGTGCCATGTTGGTGTGCTGCACCCATTAACTCGTCATTTACATTAGGTATATCTCCTAATGCTATCCCTCCCCACTCCCCCCACCCCACGACAGGCCCCGGTGTGTGATGTTCCCCTTCCTGTGTCCTAGTGTTCTCATTGTTCAATTCCCAACTATGAGTGAGAACATGCGGTGTTTGGTTTTTTGTCCTTGCTATAGTTTGCTGAGAATGATGGTTTCCAGCTTCATCCATGTCCCTACAAAGGAGATAAAAGCATTTCTACAGTGAGTTGAAGATGCATAAAGAATATATGTTATTTTATAATTACCTGACTTGGCTAAAAGATAGAAATTTAAAAATCTAGTTAAAATGTTGAAAACTTAGTCTGGGTTCCATGGCTCATGCCTGTAATCCCAGCACTTTGGGAGGCCGAGGTGGGCGGATAATGAGGTCAGGAGATCGAGACCATCCTGGCCAACATGGTGAAACTCCGTCTCTACTAAAAATACAAAAATTGGCCAGGTGTGGTGGTGCATGCCTGTAGTCCCAGCTAGTCGGGAGACTGAGGCAGGAGACTCGCTTGTACCCGGGAGGCGGAGGTTGCAGTGAGCCGAGATCGTGCCACTGCACTCCAGCCTGGTGACAGAGTGAGACTCTGTCTCAAAAAAAAAAAAAAAAAAAAGCGAAAACTACTAACTATTGCATGGCATCCATTCTCCTCTTTTTCTTTTAGTGATAGCCTTGCCCCTTATCTAGAAACTGCATTTACTAACCTCCCTTGCAATTAGTCATGGCCAGGTGAAATACCAGTAGTATGTGTTTGTGTCAATAGAAAGTGAAAGACAATCTGCATCTTTTTGGGTATTAACCAGAAAACACTGGGTGTGTGCCTACTTGTTCTCTTTTAGCCCTTCCCCTGGACTGGAATGAGGACATGATCATGTTCTCAGGTTCAACTATGCAGTCGTGTACAACACCCAAAGAGATCCAAAATCCCCATAAGAGAAAGTTCCTGGGTTCTTAAGTGACCACATGGAGCACAGTCTGTTTTGATCACTTTGAAGCTATTACATGAGATACAAATTAACATGGATTTTATTTAAACTATTATATTTTGGAGATTTTAGGTTTCACCAGCTTCGCTAACTAACTCATTCCCTGTTTGCCCATATCAATTTACCTTAAAAGTAGAAATTAGCTATCCTGTTTTTTAACTAAATATAAAATGATGAATAATTAATATATCTATTATACTATCTCCTTTAAATACAGTTTTCTCTGGCAGGCCCCTGATAGAAGCTGGAACACTATGAGAGACTAAAGTAGCTCTGGAGTTTCCAAAGTGCAGGTGTTTGGTTTTGACAGATGGGTAAACTAGAGACAAGACAGGAGATATGCTGCTCGGAAAACTAAGGAGGCTGACTTGAAGGATTATTGCCCAAGAAGTTAATCTTTCCACTTCATGTCAGCAGTAGTACCCTCAGGCAGAGTAAAGAATTTTCTCAAGAGCAGTTTTGACAAGCTCAAATTTTCCAAGAGCTGCTTAGTTGGTGACGCAGAGCCCTGCACCATAGAACTTGGAAAATTGGACTCTAATTTGGAGATTCTGCGAGCAAGATCAAGACTTCCATCATAAAATCAGCTTAATAAGGTCCTTCCAGGTTTTTACATTTGAGCAACATTACCTCCCAAAATGAGCCTGCTAATGTGAGATGTCTGAAGAATTTAGTCCTAGACAAATAAATTAAGAGATCTAATAAATGAAATGATTTACTATAATTGATCTGAATCAGTACAACAAACTTTTTTTGTAAAGTGTCAAATATGTATAATGTTAGACTTTGAAGCCCATACAGTCTCTGTCTTAACTCAAATTTGCCACTGGAGCACATAAACAGCAATAAGGTGATTCTGATTTTTAAATAAGCATGGCCATGTTCCAATAAAACTTTATTTTGGACATTGAGATTTGATTTTCATATATTAGGTTGGCACAAAAGTAATTGTGGTTTTCGCCATTGAAGTAATGGCAAAAACCACAACTACTTTGCGCCAACCTAATAATTCTCACATGTCATGAAATACTTTTTTTCTTTTGTTTTTTTCCCCCAATCAAATAAATGTACAAACCATTCTTAGCTTGCAGGGGGTGGGCCACACTAGGCCAACAGGCCAGATTTAGCTCATGGAACATAGCTTGCTGACCTCTAATGTAGATGTTAAAAATCTAGAAGACATAATTGACATTGATAATTGTCTTGGTCTGTTTGTGTTGTTATAACAGAATACCTGAGGCTGGGAAGTCAATAAGGAAAAGAGTTTTGCTTAGCTCATGATTCTGCAGACTGTACAAGAAGCATGGCTGTAGTATTTACTTGGTTTCTGGTGAGGGCTTTTGTGATGCATTAAACATGACAGAGAAGGTCAAAAGGTGAGTGGACATGTGCAAAGATGCAAAATCCAAGGGATGCCCGGCTTTCTAAAAACCCACTCTTGAGGGAACTAATTCATTTCTTCAAAAACTAACCCAGCCTTGCCAGAGCAAGACACCAAGCCATTCATGAGAATCTGGCCCCATGCAACAAACACCTCCAACTAGGCCTCATCTTCCAAAACTAGTACACTGGAGGTCACATGAGGTTTGGTGGTGATATAAACCCTTGATCCCCCTTTGCTGGGAACCATGGCAATAATTTAAGGCCATGTAAGAAGCACAATCTACTTGCTGTTGCAGGATAACTTTTAACTAGCCCGTCTGTTATGGACTAAAGCCCTAATTCTCAGTGTAGCTGTATTTGGAGACGGGGCCTCTAAAGAAATACAGTCATCCCTTGGTATATGCAGGCGATTGGTTCCAGGACTGCCCCCTAAGTACACCAAAGCTGTGCATACTCAAGTCCAGCAGTCAGCCGTGCAGAATCCATGTATATGAAAAGTTGGCCTTCTACACGAGTTTTGCATGGGAGAATACTACTTTATTTTTTTTGGAGATGGAGTCTCATTCTGTCACTCAGGCTGGAGTGCAGTGGTGTGATCTCGGCTCACTGCAACCTCCACCTCCTGTGTTCAAGCAATTCTCCTGCCTCAGCCTCCCAAGTAGCTGGGACTACAGGCACATCCCACCACGCCTGGCTGATTTTTTGTATTTTTAGTAGAGACGGGGTTTCACTGTGTTAGCCAGGAAGGTCTCAATCTCCTGACTTCGTGATCCTCCCGCCTCGGCCTTCCAAAGTGCTGGGATTACAGGCTAGAGCCACCATGCCAGCTGAGAATACTATATTTTCAATTCTTGTTTGGTTGAAAAAAGTCCCTTTATAAATGGACCCAAGCAGTTCACACCTGTGTTATTGTGTTGTTCAAGGGTCAACCGTAATTAAGGTTAAATGAGATTATAAGAGTGGGACCTCGATTTCATAAGTTAGCACACAGGCTCGCTTGCTCTTTCTCTCTGTCTCTCCCCCAACCCCTTCTCTCCCTTTCTCCGATCACAGAGGAAAAGCATGGGAAAACTCAGCAGCTAGAAAGTAGCTCTCCAAAAGCCAGGGAAAGAGCCCTCAGCAGAAACTAAATTTGCTGGCGCCTTGATCACGAACCTCTAGCCTCCAGATTGTGAGAAATAAGTTTCTGTTGTTCAAGCCACCCAGCCTTTAATATTTTGTTAAGGCAGCCCGAGCAAACTAATACATATCTAACTACTGTTAAAATTATTTAGGAATTCATTATAAAGGAGAGGAGCCTGTTCTATATTTGAGAATTTGCTCCAGCTAAGATAAAATTTCTGACCAA
Organism: Homo sapiens; assembly: GCF_000001405.40. NCBI lineage: Eukaryota > Metazoa > Chordata > Mammalia > Primates > Hominidae > Homo > Homo sapiens. The sequence goes on along the minus strand of NC_000001.11, from coordinate 215,858,734 downwards.
GGATTGGAGGTTGCAACTAAAAATAACATTTAATAGCAAAGCTCTTATCCAAAAAGGTTACAACCTTTTTCAGCTCACTGAGATTGTAATAGTCTGTTCTCACATTGCTATAAAGAAATATGCAAGACTGAGTAATTTATAAAGGAAAAAGGTTTAATTGACCCACAGTTCTGCATGGCTGGAAAGGCCTCAGGAAACTTACGATCATGGCAGAAGGTGAAGAGACGACATGCGAGATAGGTGAGAGAGAGAATGCACACATAGGAGGAACTGTCAAACACTTATGAAACCATCAGATCTTGCGAGAACTCACTATCATGAGAACAGCGTGGGGGAAACCACCCCCGTAATCCAATCACCTCCCACCAGGTCCTGCCCTTGACACATGGGTATTATGGAGATTACAATTTAAGATGAGATTTGGGTGGGGACATGGGACCTAACCATATCAGAGATTAACTTGATATTCCCACAAGTAGGGCAATACCTGCTCAGATAAATTTATGTGGTCCACAAAATATGCATCATACATAATAGGATTAGAATATCTGAGAAAATATATCCCAATATACACATATTTAACATAATCTCACAGGAAATCCCGATTTCTTTCTATTGCATCAAATACAAGCAAGTACAAGCCTTAACTCCATATTGTATAACTGTAACTCAAACATTCACATTGTAGTTTTTAAGTTCACCTAGTTGCCACAGAAACACTTGAAAGATAACAAAATCCTAAGCTCCAACAACCATCTGAGTGGATCCCCACTTGGCCAAGGGGACACCAGAGCAACCTTGAAAACTGAGTTCTTGGCTACAGTGGGATGGGAAGTCAGACACCCCTCCCTGGCTATACACCATTAGGGTTACTTCCCTAAGTGCTAAGCAGAAACCACCCTTTCAAAAGATTCCACCACTGATATCAACCAACCACCTGATGCTGCCCCTCTTCTACTAACTGATGAGAGACCTCTGGCCACAGAGTTGTCATGGCCAGTGTATGGAGAATCTGCAGTCAGGGTCTTCATGTCCTCTTCTTCACTGCTTGATGTCAGAGGGCTGAAAACTCCACCCTCAGATTGTGCTAATGCTGCCATTTTTGTACGTGGGATGCACCAGGGGATGTAAAACTCAATTGCACATGTGCGTGTTTCTCCTTTCATAAATACTCATGACTCTTCCTGAGGCTTATTGAATATGTATATTCAGTCACCCCACTCAGCATAAATTCCTGTTGCTCCTCCCTTGAAGAATCTTTTCTGGCTTCTGGCTTAAGGCTACCATATGCTTCCCAGGCTGTCTGAATGGCCATCCTGCAGGCTGCAACCCTTTATGAGAAGTAAAGCTCTCCTTTTCAAATTTATGAACCTCTTCTGTTGACACACTTCAAACTCAAGAAGTCTCAAATGAAACAAGTTTCAAAATCTCATCCCATAATTCCATGTTTTCTATCTTATTTAATGGGATTCACCCAGAAACTAAAACCAAAAATCTAAGCTATAGCTGTATCTCTTCCTTATCCCTTTTTAATTTGTTTATTTACTTATTTGTACACGAATAAGTTCTTTAGTGGTGATTTTTCAGATTTTGGTGCACCCATCACCCAAGCAGTATACACTGTACCCAATGGTTAGTCTTGTATCCGTTGCCTCCCTTCCACCCACTCCCCCGAGTGCCCAAAGTCCATTGTATCATTCTTATGCCTTTGCATCCTTACAGTTTAGCTCTCACTTATGAGTGAGAACATATGATGTTTGGTTTTTCATTCCTGAGTTACTTCACTTAGAATAATGGTCTCCAGTTCCATCAAGGTTTCTGCAAATGCCATTATTTTGTTCCTTTGAATGGCTGATACACACACACACACACACACACACACACACACACACACACACACACCAAATTTTTTTATCCACTCATTGATTGATGGGCGTTTGGGCTGGTTCCATGTTTTCACAATTGTGAACTGTGCTGCTATAAACATGCATGTGTAAGTATCTTTTCATATAATGACTTCTTTTCCTCTTGGTAGATACCCAGGAGTAGGATTGATGAATCAAATGGTAAATCTACTTTTAGTTCTTTAAGGAATCTCCACACTATTTTTCATAGTGGTTGTACTAGTTTACGTTCCCACCAAGTGTAAAAATGTGTTCTTTGTATCACATCTATGCCAAGGTCTATTATTTTTTGGTTTTTTGATTATGGCCATTCTTGCAGGAGTAAGATGGTACCATATTGTGGTTTTCATTTGCATTTCCCTGATCATTAGTGATGTTGAGTATTTTTCATATGTTTTTTGGCCATTTGCACGTTTCTTGGCCATTCTTCTTTTGAGAATTGTCTATTAATGTCTTTAGCCCACTTTTTGACTTGATTGTTTGTATTTTTCTTGCTAATTTGTTTGAGTTGCTTGTAGATTCTGGATATTAGTCCTTTGTCAGAAGTAAAGATTTTTAAGACTGTCTCCCACTCTGTGGGTTGTCTATTTACTCTGCTGGTTATTTCTTTTGCTGTGCAGAAGCTTTTTAGTTTAATTAAGTTCCAACTATTTATCTTTCTTTTTGTTGCATTTGCTTTTAGGTTCTTTGTCACAAAGTCTTTGCCTAAACTAATGTCTAGAAGGATTTTTCCAATGTTATCTTCTAGAATTTTTGTGGTTTCAGGTTTTAGATTTAAGTCTTTGTTCCATCTTGAGTTGATTTTTGTACAAGGTGAGAGATGAGGATCTAGTTTCATTCTTCTACATGTGGCTTGCAAATTATGCCAGCACCATTTGTTGAATAGGTTGTCCTTTACCCACTTTATGTTTTTGTTTCTTTTGTCAAAGATCAGTTGGCTGTAAATATTTGGCTTTATTTCTGAGTTCTCTATTTTGTTTCATTGGTCTATATGCCTATTTTTATACCAGTACCATACTGTTTTTGTGACTATGGCCTTTTAGTATAGTTTGAGGTCAGGTGATGTGTTACCTCCAGATTTGTCCTTTTAGCATAGTCTTGCTTTGGCTATGTGAGTTCTTTTTTGATTACATATGAATTTTAGGATTTTTTTCAAGTTCTGTGAAGAATGATGGTGGTATTTTGATGGGAATTGCATTGATGGGAATTGTGTTGATGGTAATTTGATGGGAATTGCATTGAATTTGCAGATTGCTTTTGGCAGTATGATCATTTTCACAATATTGATTCTACCCATCCATGTATATGGGATTTGTTTTCATTTGTGTCATCTATGGTTTCTTTCAGCAGCATTTTATAGTTTTCCTTATAGAGGTCTTTCACCTCCTTGGTTAGGTAGATTCCTAAGTATTTTACTTTTTATTTTTGCAGTTATTGTAAAAGGGGTTAAGTTATTGATTTGATTCTCAGCTTGGTAGCTCTTTGTGTATAACAGTGCTACTGATTTGTGTACATTAATTTTGTATCCCAAAACTTTGCTGAATTTATTTAACAGTTTTAGAGGGTTTTTGGATGACTCTTTAGTCATCCAAATGTCTCTAGGGTTTTCTGGGTACACAATCATGTCATCAGAAAACAGCAACAGTTGGACTTCCTCTTTAGCTATTTGGATGCCCTATATTTTTTTCTCTTGTCTGATTGCTTTGGCTAGGATTTACATACTATTGATATAGGAGTTAAAAAGAAATTAGGCAGATAGGGATGGTAAGAGAGTCCTCAATAAGGTTTTCCTTTTAATGGAGAGCAGCAGCCCCCAAATTATCTCTTTTCTGACAAAGAGCAGCCTGTTAAATTGAACTGCAGACATAGATAAGCAAGCTGGAAGCTTGCATGGATGAATGCCAGCAGCTGCACCAACAGAAAAAGGCTACCTGGGGGCAAGGCATGTTCAACATAGTGGCTCCATCTGCCCTTTTCTTTGTCGAGCACATGTACAGTAAGAAACAGACAACATGGCACTGGCCAGGTAGAGAACCCATCTGCATAACAAAAGATTAGGATGGGGTGACCAGGTTATTCATGCACTATGTAAATGGCACACACAGTCCCATCAATCTTTAGGCCCTATGTAAATCAGGCACTGCCTCCTCAAGCCAGTCTATAAAGCTCCGTGCACTTTGCCGTGGACTGGAAGACCCATTTGGGAGCCCTTCTTTCTCTGCAGAAGAGAGAGCTATTCTCTTTTCTCTTTCTTTTGCCTATTAAACCTCCACTCTGAAACTTACTGTGTGCCTGCATCCTTGATTTCCCTGGCATGAGATGATGAACCATGGATATTTACCCCAGACAATGATGCTGCTTCAGTATGTTGAATAAAAGTGGTGAAAGTAGGCATACTTGTCTTGTTCCAGTTCTCAGGGGGAATGCTTTTGATATGGTTTGGCTGTATCCCCACCCAAATCTCATCCTGAATTGTAGCTCCCATAATGCCCACATGTTGTGGGAGGGACCCAGTGGGAGATAATTGAATCATAGGGTGGGTCTTTCCTATGCTATTCTCATGATAGTGAATAAGTCTAATGAGATCTGATGGTTTTATAAAGGGGAGTTTCCCTGCACAAACTCTCTTTTCTTGTCTACCGCCATGTAAGATGTGCCTTTCACCTTCCACCATGATTGTGAGGCCTCCCAAGCCATGTGGAACTATGAGCCCAGTAAGCCTTTCTTTTGTAAATTGCCCAATCTCCAGTATGTCTTTATCAGCAGCATGAGAACAGACTAATACAGTAAGTTGGCACCAGTAAAGTGGTATGCTGCTGAAAAGATAGCCAAAAATGTGGAAACAACTTTGGAATTGGGTAACAGGCAGAGGTTGGAACAGTTTGGAGGATTCAGAAGAAGACAGGAAAATGTGGGAAAGTTTGGAACTCCCTAAAGATTTGTTGAATGGCTTTGACCAAAATGCTAATAATGATGTGGACAATGAAATCCAGTCTGAGGTGGTCTCAGATGGAGATGAGGAATTTGTTGGGAACTGGAACAAAGGTGACTCTTGTTATGTTTTAGCAAAGAGACTGGCAGCATTTTGCCCCTGCCCTAGAGATTTGTGGAACTATGAACTTGAGAGAGATTATTTAGGGTATCTGGCAGAAAAAATTTCTAAGTAGCAAAACATTCAAGAGGTGACTTGGGTGCTGTTAAAGGCATTCAGTTTTATAAGGGAAGCAGAGCATAAAAGTTCAGAAAATTTGCAGCCTGACAATGTGATAGCAAAGAAAGTCCCATTTTCTGAAAAGAAATTCAAGACAGCTGCAGAAATTTACATAATTTACCTAAGTAATGAGGAGCCAAATGTTAATCCCCAAGACAATGGGGAAAATGTCTCCAGGGCATGTCAGAGGTCTTCATGACAGCTGCGACCAACACAGGCCCAGAGGCCTAGGAGGAAAAAGTGGTATCAAGGGCCAGACCCAGGGTTCCCATGCTGTGTGCAGCCTAAGGACTTGGTGCCCTGTTTCTCAGTGGCTCCAGCCATGGCTGAAAGGCCCCAATGTAGAGCTTGGGCCACGGCTTCAGAGGGTGCAACCCCCAAGACCTGGCAGCTTCCACATGATGTTGAGCCTACCAGTGCACAGAAGTCAAGATTTGAGGTTTGGGAACCTCCACCTAGATTTTAAAGTATGTATGGAAACACCTGGATATCCAGATAGAAGTTTGCTGCAGGGGCAGGCACTCATGGAAAACCTATGTTGGGGCAGCACAAAAGGGAAAAGGGGTGGGTGCCTCCACACTGAGTCCTCATTGGGGCACTGCCTAGTGCTACTGTAAGAAGAGGGCCACTGTCCTCTAGACCCCAGAATAGTAGATCCACCAACAGCTTGCACTGTGCACCTGGAAAAGCACAGACAATGCCAACCTGTGAAAGCAGCCAGGAGGGAAGCTGTACCCTGTAAAGCCACAGGTGCAGAGCTGCCCAAGACCATGGGAACCCACCTCTTGCATCAGCATGAGCTGGATGTGAGACATGGATTCAAAAGAGATCATTTTGGAGCTTTAAGATTTGACTTCCCTGCTTGATTTTGGACTTGCGTTGGGGCCTGTAGCCCTTTTGTTTTGGCCAATTTCTCCCATTTGGAACAGCTGTATTTACCCAATGCCTGTACCCCCATTGTTTCTAGGAAGTAACTAACTTGCTTTTGATTTTACAAGCTCATAGGCAGCAGGGACTTGCCTTGTCTCAGATGAGACTTTGGTCTGTGGACTTTTCAGTTAATGCTGAAATGAGTTAAGACTGTGGGAGACTGTGGGGAAGGCATGACTGGCTTTGAAATGTAAAGACATGAGATCTGGGAGGGACCAGGGCAGCATGATATGGTTTGGCTGTGTCCCCACCTAAATCTCATCTTGAATTTTAGCTCCCAGAATTCCCATGTGTTATGGGAGGGACCCAGTGGGAGATAATTGAATCATGGGGGCGGGTCTTTTCCATGCTATTCTTGTGATAGTGAATAAGTCTGATGAGATCTGATGGTTTTATAAAGGGGAGTTTCCCTGCACAAGCTCTCATTTCTTGTCTGCCACCATGTGAGATGTGCCTTTCACCTTCTGCCATGATTGTGAGGCATCCCCAGCCATGCGGAACTGTGAGTCCATTAAACCTCTTTCTTTTGTAAATTGCCCAATCTCAGGTATGTCTCTATCAGCAGCATGAGAACAGACTAATACAGCTTTCCACTTTTCCCCATTCAGTATGTTAGCTGTGGGTTTATCATAGATGACTTTTATTACATTAAAGTATGTCCTTTCTATGCCTATTTTGCTGAGGGTTTTAATTATAAAGGGATGCTGGATTTTGTCAAAGGCTTTCTCTGCATTGATTGAGATGATCATGTGATTTTTGTTTTCAATTCTGTTTATGGGGTGTATCACATTTATTGACTTGCATATGTTAAACCATCCCTGCATCCCTGGTATGAAACCTACTTGATCATGGTGAATTGTCTTTTTGATATGCTGTTGGATTTGGTTATCTAGTATTTTGTTAAGGATTTCTGCATCTATGTTCATCAGGGATATTGGTCTGTAGTTTTCTTTTTTGTCATGTCCTTTCCTGTTTTTGGTATTAGAATGATATTGGCTTCAAAGAATGATGTAAGGAGTGTTTCTTCTTTCTATATCTTTTGGAATAGTGTCAATATGATTGGTACCCATTCTTCTTTGAACATCTGATAGAATTCCGCTGTGAATCTGTCTGGTCCTGGACTTTTTTTGTTGGTAACGTTATAATTACCATTTCAATCTCACTGCTTGTTATTGGTCTGTTCAGAGTTTCTATTACTTCCTGGTTTAATCTAGGAGAGTTGTATATTTCCAGGAGTTTATCTAGGTTTTCTAGTTTATTTGCATAAAGGTGTTCACAGTAGCCTTGAATGATCTTTTGTATTTCTGTGGTATCAGTTGTAATGTCTCCTGTTTTATTTCTAATTGAGCTTTTTTGGATCTTCTCTCTTCTTTTCTTGGTTAATCTTCCTACATGGTCTGTCAATTTTATTTATCTTTTCCAAGAACAGGTCTTTATTTCATTTATCTTTTGTATTGTTTTGGTTGTTTGTTTCAATTGCATTTAGTTCTGCTTTGATTTTGGTTATTTCTTTTCTTCTGCTGGGTTTGGGTTTAGTTTGTACTTGTTTCTCTAGTTCCTTGAGGTGTGACCTTAGATTGTCTATTTGTGGTCTTTCTGAGTTTTTGATATAGGCATTTAAGACTATGAACTTTCCTCTTAACACTGCTTTTGTTATATCCAAGAAGTTTTGATAGGTTGTATCACTATTATCATTCAGTTCAAATAATTTTTAATTTTCTTCTTGATTTCATTGTTGACCCAATGATCATTCAGGAGCAGATTATTTAATTTCCATGTATTGGCATCATTTTGAGTGTTCTTATTGGAGTTGATTTCCAATTTTATTCCACTGTGATCTGAAAGAGTACTTGATATGATTTTAATTTTCTTAAATTTGTTGAGACTCATTTTGTGGCTTATCATATGGACTATCTTGGAGAATGTTCCATGTGCTGATGAATAGAATGTATATTCTGCAGTTTTGGGGTAGAATGTTTTACAAATATCTGTTAAGTCTATTTGTTCTAGGGTATACTCTAAGTCCATTGTTTCTTTGTTGACTTTCTGTCTTGATGACCTGTCTAGTACTGTCAGTGGAGTATTGAAGTCCCCTGCTATTATTATGTTGCCCTTTTTAAACTCCTATGTGTCAATTAAAGACAGGCTTTTTCCATCTAGTGAATCCACCATTCCCCAGGGCCTTAGAGTCCTACCTTAGATGGGAAAACTAGACCCTCATAGACGGCCAATTGCTCCTTCACATCTCAGTCCAGATGCATGGGGCCCAGAAAATGTAGTTCAATGATTTGACAAGAAGAGAAAAATGTTGGTATTAGGGAGTTCTAGAAATCTTTGCCTTCAGATTACAGAAGATAGCTTTTATCTTCCGACTATATTTTAAAATTTAAATGGTATTAATGATATTAATGGTTACTAATGTCTTTCTCTGTTTTTTCATGCCATTCTATTTTATATGTAATAAAGAACTTAATATGCTGTTACTTTTCTTGCCTTTCTCATCTGCTGTTTTCAATGTTCAGTTTATTATTATTGTTAATATTGTTGTTATGATATAATTTTTTTATGCAACTATTTTCTCTAAATAGCTTCAGTACTTATCAGCAATTCTTAAACTTTCCCAATCTTGAGTTCTGGATCTTGATTAATCTTTCTGTCTTCTGAAGAAGATTATTGGATAGTTTTATCATGAAACTTAAAAAGATCAATTAATTAGTTTTATGTTCTCTAAATGTTTGGTGATATAAGAAAGTATTTCTCTCATCTTTGCACATTCTCTTAAATTTGCCCAAATAAGAAAGTATGTCTGTTGTTTTTACACATAAGTAACCATTTAAATGTGTATAAAATTCTTGGATTAAACTATTTCCCCTCAAAACTTGTTGAAATTGTTCCATTGTCTTTCAACATTTGACATTCCACATAAGAAGTTTGAAGCTTATCTGATTTTTTTCTCCTTTATAAATGTTCCTAATTTTTGGTTTACCTTTAAAATGTTTCAATATTCCATGATATGTCTATGTTTGGATATATTGTGATTATTTTGGAGAAAACTGTATTAGTCTATTCAGTTTGTAGACATAAGTCATTTTGGGTAAGGTTTATTGGGGCATTTCATATCCATAATTATTTATTGCATTTATTTTTAAGGTAATTAGACTTTTTCTGTTCTCGATGTCTATAATTTTTACTTTCACTGATGTCCTTGTCATTTTCCTGTTAATTCTTTGATATTGTGCATTTTTAACTCTGCTCATTTCTGCTTTCAACGTACGTTTTAATTCTGCCATTGCTTTACATGGTTCCTTGCTCTCCTTTCTTATTTAAGGCAGACCCCTTTACATCTCTGTCTTTGTGGCTGTCTTTTTATGATTTTACAAACCTACTTCATAGAGGCTTCTTTTTCATAAAGTAATGTCCCTTTTTTATTTTTGGTACACCATGCAAATATTTTATAAAACCTCCATCCCATTGTCATAGAAGTAATATACACAAAACTTCTGCCTTGGAAGGTTCTAGACAAGATTTCCCTTGTCTTATGCTAGGAAGAAGCCTTGTAACTTATGTTTTTCTATTTAAAAAAGGAGAGATACATTCAGACCCAGCTTTTCTCAATAGACAGGGAGGGTGAAATTTACTTGCCTCTTCATTCAGCTGTTTCCATGTTAATAGCCTTCCTCTCTCAGAGGTAAAATCAAGGTCATCAGCCTTTAATTTTGTGCTGGTCTATTGAACTGAAGATGTATCTTCTGTTTCTTAGATGGTTCACTGACTTAGGAAGAGTACATCAAAGTTTAAAGACCTTATTTGAGCAATGAAAAAGATGCTTCTATGCATGTACTGCTCCCAGAACTTCTCATGTGATAACCAGGAACATGTATAAAATTGTATGTGTTTCTACATTTTTCTATGTTTTGGACTTCCAAGTGTAACATCCACATGAGTGGAGAAACAAGTGTTGAAGCAAATGTTGGAAACAGGGAGAATAGGCCAGAAATCCGGTACTTGTTACCCAGAAGTGCTGCCTGTTTCTGTTCTCAAGAGCCTCCATATCATGCAGTAAGACATAAACAATGGAACGGAATCACCATCTTTTCCTGTTGTCCTAGGTTCTGTTCTGTTTCAGAGGGACTGGCATACGGTGCATGGCTAAGAAAGGACATTTAATGGGGTCTCATCCAGACATTGACATGTGATCTTTGCTCATCTTGAACTTGTGCTAGTGGAAATATATTTAATGTATCTACATAGGTATATTAATTGGAACTTGATAGTGCAGATAACAGGCACATTTAATAACCCAAGTGAAATTAATTTATATACGTAAGTGAAGTTTGAAAGCATTTCATTAATATTATATCTTTAGGGCTTGACTTTATAATCAGCCTGCTCACTTAACAAACTAAAATTCAACATAAACTACAAATCTAGTACACTTTGCATTATACCATAGCAGCCACAAATTAATGAGTAATAAATAATGCTGTGAGACAGTAGAAAATGATGCTAGTAACAGAAGAAACGTTTGCACTCACTACACCCATGGCTTTGCTGTACTTGACGAATATTATCATTCAGGAAAATGTTAAGGGATTTTAATAGTCAGTTCCTGCCGATGATCAATAATGACCTCATTATTGCATGTGCTTACATTTTTGTGACATCAGAGGAAAGAAACACTGCAAAACCCAGAATTTTCCAAATTAATTGCTAAAGGTCTTCCAATACAAACTCTTCCAACTACACTGGCACATCATACCCTTTTAACTATTTCTAGAGCTAAAGTGAAAGCAGTAGTGTATTTAGGAAAAACAAAAAGAAAAACCTAGTATTCAGTTTTTATGCAAAATCACCAAGACTTTAATGTAAAGGGGTCCTTTAAAGAAACATACTATTCTCAAAGCTATATTACTTTATATGGCCATATGCTGGGATCTCACATATAAGTGAAATTGGACTTCAATAGCCATAAGGAGAAATGCCACTTTTTCCTCCCAATCCTTGGACTAATGCTGTTTAACTTTTTTTCTTTTTTTTTTTTTCCTGAGACATGGTCTCATTCTGTTGTCCAGCCTGGAGTACAGTGGCACGATCTCAGCTCACCACAACCTCTGCCTCCTGAGCTCAAGCCATCCTACTGCCTCAGCTTCCTGAGTAGCTGGGACTACAGGTGTGTGCCATCACACCTGGTTAGTTTTTGTGTTTCATGTAGAGATGGGGTATTGCCACGTTTCCCAGGCTGGTCTCGAACTCCTGAGCTCAAGTGATCTCAGCCTCATAAAGTACTAGGATTACAGGTGTCAGCCACTGTGCCCAGCCTGAGCAATTTTTGATGCATAATTTGACATGAAATTTCAGAAGGCTTGTAAGCCAACACTCCACCCCCATCCTAACAAACTAAGGTAATCGTTTCTGCTTAAAAGTCTCTGAAAATAATACTGATGTAAGTAGAGCAGCATAATACTTCCTACCTAAGAAAATATGGCTGTTTTCATGTTCTCTTGTTAAAGAATCATTGTGGGCAGATAATGAGAAGCAGAGCCTAAGGAAAAGAATGGATAAATTGGGAGGAAGAGGAGAAAAAATAATAGACTGGTCTTTGAAAGGATAAGGGTTGAAGAATTGATGAGTTATATTTGCAAGACAGTTAGTGATTGATTTTGGTATCTTTTAAAGGCTTCTCTACATTATAGAAACACATTGAACTAGAAGAGAAGGATGAGAGCCCTGATAAAAATTTAAGTATTATCCTGAGCCAGTCCTTAAGGGGAGCATGCTATGTAGCCCTGCTACATTGACAATGTATATAAAAGGATATCTTTCTAAGCATCCTTCTAGGTATCAGTTAGCGAATGTTGTTAGCAAGTTAAAAAAATGTCTCTAGGATCTGTGTCAGGAAATGCTCTTATTTGTATTAGCCTAGTCTTCTCTCTAAGATTATGTTACTTATGAGCAGAAGTTGTTCTATGTACTGTATACTTTCATTTTCATCTTAGTTTCCTTTCATAAGTGTTATATCAAAGTTCTGATGATTCATTGAATAATTATAAGTAGCAAAATTAAAATATTTAAAGGAAATTAAAAAGATGAGACTTTTATAAGACTCATATTCCTACATAAGACTGCAATTAATTATGAGATTGGGAAAAAACGCAAATTATTAAAAAATAAAAACTGACCAGGTGCAGTTGTTCATACCTCTAATCCCAACAGTCTGGGAGGCTGAGGTGGGTGAATCACTTGAGGCCAGAAGTTTGAGGCCATCCTGGGAAACATAGCAAGACCCTGTGTCTACAAAACACTGATAAAAATTAACTAGTGTGATGGCCTGAGCCTGTAGTCCCAGCTACTTGGAAGGCTGAAACAGGAGGATCGCTTGAGCCCAAGACATCAAGGCTGCAGTGAGCCAAGATTACACTACTGCACTCCAGCCTGAGTGACAGAGCGAGACTCTGTCTCAAAAATAAATAAATAAAATAAAAACTATCACCACCAGCACCACCAAAAAGGAGATCTCATAAGCTTTTTTTAACATTTCCAAAACAAAGGCTCTCTAAACTTCTTTTTTTCTCATTCTAGAAAGCTAATGATAGAATTTTTTTTTTCCCCTGAAAGCCTCAGCTACATTCACCATGTCCTGCATTTATTGTTGACAGCTGTTCAAGACCTACAAGGTGAAGTTGAATATTACACACTTTTTTGGAGTTCTGCTACCTCAAACGACTCTCTAAAAATCTTGCCAGATGTAAACTCTCATGTCATTGGCCACCTAAAGCCAAACACAGAGTATTGGATCTTTATCTCTGTCTTCAATGGAGTCCACAGCATCAACAGTGCAGGACTTCATGCAACCACTTGCGATGGGGGTGAGTCCAGATTCTAAAGGATATTTGCCTCAGAGATGCGAATGAAATTGATTGATTCTTGCCGGGGTTGAGATCAGTCATCCCTCCATTATAAAATTTCCGGTGTGGGAGGGAAGGGGGTGGAGGCTAAAATGCTTAAGTGCTCACTGTCATCAGTAGCAGATCAATAAGCAGTCCCATTGAGACAGAAGCACAAGCTCTAATAATGAGATATTAGCCCAGTTTGTTCCTGTTCTTTTCAGTGTATACTTATTTTAGAACTGAGTTCACATCAATAAATGGTGACATTTAGAAACTTTTTTTTTAAGATTTGCCCTCAGAAGCAGTACGTTTTTCAAAACGACAGCCAAACACAGTGAGAGCCCTCCCTGAGTCACCAGAAATGGTAGGTGGAAGTTCAGCCACTGAGAAAAATTGCCTGTGACTCATTTCTAAGCCAGTTAGCAAGGGGGAGGAAGCAAGGGAAGCAACTTGTGAATCTGAAATGTGTTTGGAATGGTCTTTCTAATCTTTTTTGGCTTTATAAAGTCTCATTATAAACATTATAATATCATTACCTCCCAAGCAAGTGTTCCAGGTCATTAGCAGAGCTCTTTAAGTGTGGAACCCATTTCCCTTTGTGGTGCCAAAGGTCGGCACCTTTTGTTTATAAAATAGGGTAGATCACAAGGACAATTCTTCAACTAGTTAAGATGGGTTCTTATGATAAAAATAGGTCTTTGCATAGTTATTTCTGACATGCTTGAATAATTATGCAATTTAACGCTAAGCAAGATTTTTTTCTTATGTTAGATTTCATCATTACCTATGGTAATCAACATTCAAAATCATTTACATAATGACAATATTGCATTATTGCTTCATATTGCTTGAGTTACAAGCTAGTAACATCAAATGATTTTTCACGTTCCACCAGCCTCATTGTATTTGAGTTTTATTTTTTGCTCAAGGAGCAAATTTTATTTCCTTCCCTCCCTCCCCTGCACCTTGGAGGTATAGAGTGAAAGGATGGAAAAAAGACAAAAAATAGATAAGTGTTAGTGGTGCAGATGGGTGAATAATTTATCATCATATCCCACTGGTCACATAGTATTGAAGATTAGCACTATGCTGGTGGTATAAAGCATTTTACCACCAATTCTTATGGTTTCTAACTGAGAGTATAATAAGCCAATTTACAGAGGACTACAGACTGTGATAACTTCATCAGCGAAAAGCAGATAAGCGAGGAACCCTTTGCTAAACCTAAATACTAATCTGCATTTAGCTTAACATGTGCTTTTTCAGAGACAGCTGGAGTTTATTCAGTTTCTTCCTTTAATTCTAGAGCCTCAGGGCATGCTTCCTCCAGAGGTTGTCATCATCAACAGTACAGCTGTACGTGTCATCTGGACATCTCCTTCAAACCCAAATGGTGTTGTCACTGAGTATTCTATCTATGTAAATAATAAGCTCTACAAGACTGGAATGAATGTGCCTGGGTCGTTTATTCTGAGAGACCTGTCTCCCTTCACTATCTATGACATTCAGGTTAGAACATTGTTTTTTGATGGTTAGGCTTATGGATATGTTAAATAAAACATGCCAGGCTATGTCTTCAAGTGGATATCTTCTGTCTTGGTTACAGATTATTTCTTTGGTGGGGAAGGGAAAAGAGAGAAGGGAAATTGATCAGAATTAAATCTGTGTGCTGTAGGCAAACATGTGAGTCTCTGGAGAGAAGATAATGATAATATGGAAAACGATGGTGATGAGGATGGTGATGAAATTCTCACTGGCAAAATAAAGCTAATCATGTATTCTAAATAAATCTTGTTGAGCAGCTTACCTTTTCCCAGGATCTTTTACTGAAATCAAAATCAGAATCAGTTTGTAAATGTGGAGATGTTTTTTTCTCTTCCCATTTCTCCTATTTACTAATTTAATATCTCCAGAGAAGTTATGAAACTTCACTTGGTGTCAATTTCCTCTTTTGTAAGCGCAATGGACTAGATGTCTTAAAACATTCTAGCCACCTCTAGCATTCTGTGATTCTGAATGCAACAGGAAGACATATATAAAAAATATAGCAGACAAAAAATATTAAAAGGTTTTATCTGAAGGTGAAAGAAATATATTTATTCATCACTCAAAAAATGTTCAATGTTCTCCGCATATGTGAGAGCAATTGTGGTTAAAATTTTTTGCCCTTGGACTTCTTTGAGAATCTTATGAAGTCAGTGTACTCTGCCTTAGAAAAATATTTATGCACTTGTATGACAAAATTTAACACATAATTTCAGAAAGTGCACTGATCACTTGAAGTCAAATTCATAGACTTCTTCAGGGGCTACTGGCCTTAAAAGTAGAAAAAGTATAGGGAATACTAAGGCATATAAAACAAGGAACTTATCTTCACGGAATTGGAAATCTTGTTGGAGTACCAAGCCATAAAAGATAACAAGGCTAAATGTGCAAATGAGTGATAAAAAAAAATCAGAGTATTTCAGAAACCCCACATTTAGAGAAAGCTTGCAATTTACAAAATTTTTTAATAAACTATGCTACTTCTAAAATTCATAAGAGCTTCGTAAGATAATTTTCAGAAGATATTAAGCACAGAAATTTTATATGACCACAGAAACTTTTTACTGGTTCTATCCATTTAATAGTACTACCTCATTCAGGTTTCCATCTCCTTTTCCTGACATTTGAGGTTAAGACATATAATCATCTGGCTACAACCAACACTTTAGTCTCCCCTACTCTGACTCATAGACCTAGCTTCCTAAGAAAACCAAATAAAAATATCTTTGAATAAAGAAGAAAGGTACATTAATTATTTTTCTTTTTTTTTCATTTAAATGTATTTTATTTTAAGTTCCTGTATACGTGTTCAGGACATGTAGGTTTGTTACCTAGGTAAACGTATGCCATGGTGGTTTGCTGCACCTAACAACCCATCTACCAGGTATTTACCTGTACATGTATTATTAGCTATTTATTCTGATGATCTCCCTCCCCTGATGCCCCCCCAACAGGCCCCAGTGTGTGTTGTTCCCCTCGCTGTGTCCATGTGTTCTCACTGTACAGCTCCTACTTATAAGTGAGAACATGTGATGTTTGTTTTTCTGTTCCTGTGTTAGTTTGCTGAGGATAAAATGGCTTCCAGCTCCATCTATGTCCCTGTAAAGGACATGATCTCATTCCTTTTTATGGCTGCATGGTATTCCATGGTGTACATGTACCACATTTTCTTTATCCAGTCTATAATTGATGGACGTTTGGGTTGATTCCATGTCATTGCTATTGTTAATAGTGCTGCAATGAACATATATGTGCTTGTATCTTTATAATAGAATGATTTATATTTCTTTGGGTATATACCCAGTAATGGGATGGCTGGGTCTAATTGTGTTTCTGGTCCTAGGTCTTTGAGGACCCACCACACTGTCTTTCACAATGGTTGAACTAATTTACATTCCCACCAACAGTGTAAAAGCCCTTCTATTTCTCCACAGCTTCACCAGCATCTGTTGTTACTTGACTTTTCAATAATCACCATTCTGACTGGCATGAAATGGTATCTCACTGTGGTTTTGATGTGCATTTCTGTAATGATCAGTTATGTTGAGCTCCAGGTGCCCACCACCACACCAGGTTATTCTTTTGTGTATATTTTCAGTAGAGACAGGGTTTCACCATGTTGACCAGGCTGGTATCAAACTCCTGACCTCAGGTGATCCACCTGCCTAAGCTTCCCACAGTGCTGGGATTACAGGTGTGAGCCACTGCACCCAGCCAAGTATCTACTTTTTGAATAATCCCTTTATATGTCCCTTTTACAAAGAAATAATAATTTCATTTTTATTCAGTTTTACCTCTTTTTAATATAAATATAGTAAGCTTTATATGTTTGTTGGCCGCATAAATTCTTCTTTGGAGACGTGTCTGTTCATGTCCTTTGCCCATTTTTTTTGATGGGGTTGTTTTTTCTTGCAAATTTGTTTAAGTTTCTTATAGATTCTAGATATTAAACCTTTGTCAGATGGATAGATTGCAAAAATTTTCTCCCATTCTGTAGGTTGCCTGTTCACTCTGAGGATAGTTTCTGTTGCTATGCAGAAGCTCTTTAGTTTAATTAGATCCCATTTGTCAATTTTTGCTTTTGTTGCAATTGTTTTTGATGTTTTTGTCATGAAATGTTTGCCTGTGCCTATGTCCTGAATGGTATTGCCTGGGTTTTCTTCTAGGATTTTTATAGTTTTGGGTTTTACATTTAAGTCTTTAATCCATCTTGAGTTACTTTTTGTATAAGATGTAAGGAAGGGATCCAGTTTCAATTTTCTGCATATGGCTAGCCAGTTTTTCCAGTACCATTTATTAAATAGGGAATCCTTTCCCCACTGCTTGTTTTTGTCAGGTTTGTCGAAGATCAGATAGTGGTAAATGTGCAGTCTTATTTCTGAGATCTCTATTCCGTTCCATTGGTCCATGTGTCTGTTTTTGTACCAGTACCATGCTGTTTTGGTTACTGTAGCCTTGTAGTATAGCCTAAAGTCAGGTAGTGTGATGCCTCCACCTTTGTTCTTTTTGCTTATGATTGTCTTGGCTATACAGGCTCTTTTTTGGTTCCATATGAACTTTAAAGTAGTTTTTTCTAATTTTGTGAAGAATGTCATTGGTAGTTTAATGGGAATATCATTGAATCTATTAATTACTTTGAGCAATATGGCCATTTTCATGATATTTATTCTTCCTATCCATGAGCATGGAATGTTTTTCCATTTGTGTCCTCTCTGATTTTCTTAAGCAGTGGTTTGTTTTCATTGCACACCATGATTCCCATAGCCTACCTGAGTTGTCTTAGCATGGAATATGTGGACTGATGTTTATGTTCATGATTCTTATGGTGAGTCCATGTATGCAGGTAGACCATAGGCCAAATTATGAAATAGAAATCATGCTCCAAATAAATTAGAAATATAGCTATATAAAAAAGGCTAACACAGGAAGGTGATGGAGGATTTGCCGTATTGTCTTCTTTTGACCAGTGTTCGGGAAAGCTGAGTTTTCAAAGGCACCTTATTCATTTGCTTTACCAAGACTCGAAACACACAACCTAGAAGTGAGAACACTGTGTGCTGTGCATGCATGTGCAGCTCAGCTTTCTGACTCTGGATCAAGAGTTAACGTTTAAAAGTGTTTAAGGCCTATTCTATGGAAAAGGCTTTATTTATACCACTACTGGTTTGAGTCAGGTATAAATAACTCAAGCCAGTAGGTATAAAGCCTCCTCTTCTGGTAGCCTGAGGAGAGTGGAAACAGATGAAAATACAAAAGATCAAAGTAGAATCCAATAATAGAATTTTGTTATTAGTGCCTAAGATATTCTTATTACTGATTACTATATTTTTTGTGAAGCTTTTTGCAGTCCAGGAATACTGTACTTGATATAGCTGTTGCATTTCTGGAAATTTGAACATCAAATTTCAGTGATTTTCATTACGATGTCAAAGGTGATTTAGTTTCATTTAAAATAAGCATTTGATTGGAATGCCTAATACTTTAGAATTAAGGCTCTCTATGCTAACCCCATCTGTAAAATAGCTATTGATTTTAAAGCACATAACACACTCAAGTATCTACTTTTTTTTTTTTTTTTTTTTTTTTTTTTTTTTGAGACAGAGTCTCACTCTTCTCACCCAGGTTGGAGTGCATTGGCACGATCTCGGCTCACTGCAACCTCTGCCTCCTGGAATCAAGAGATTCTCGTGCCTCAGCCTCCCAAGTACCTAGGATTCCAGGTGCCCACCACCACACCAGGTTATTCTTTTGTGTGTATTTTCAGTAGAGACAGGGTTTCACCATGTTGACCAGGCTGGTATCAAACTCCTGACCTCAGGTGATCCGCCTGCCTAAGCTTCCCACAGTGCTGGAATTACAGGTGTAAGCCACTGCACCTAGCCAAGTATCTACTTTTTGAATAATCCCTTTATATGTCCCTTTTACAAAGAAATAATAATTTCATTTTTATTCAGTTTTACCTCTTTTTAGTATAAATACAGTAAGCTTTATATTTGTGTTTCATTCACATGTTATACAATATCGTTTTAGCACTAGAAATAGGTCCCAAAATGGAGACTGGGAATGTTAACATTAGTAAGAATAAAAACATATTGGCACATTTCTCTAACATTTGAGGTTAAAACATATATAATCATCTGGCTACCAGCAGTAGTCATTGGTCATTTTCCTTTGACCAATGAATCAAAAGAAATGTTTTCTGGAGAAACATTTGAATATACCTAAGTAGTTTAGAGCTTAAAGTTATGTTTAACATTTAGATGAGAAGCCAGTAGGGTACAGTGGAGAACAACTCAGATATCCCAAATCTTACCAGCTTGACAATATTCCCTGGCTTCTCTGCAAATTTGTTTAAATGGAGTTATGAGGAATCAATACGATTATTTGTGCATATATCCATTATAATATTTGGCACATATTAGATACATAATAAATTCAGTTGAATTGATTCTGGGTTATCTCATTATGTATCACAGAATCAAATTTTTCCAATATGTATAAAGTTCATTTTCATTAATTATATTACAGCATTATATTTTAAGTTCATCTGCCTTTATTTCAGATTTAATTGGACATGCTCAGAATGTAGGCCCTTGATAGTGTTTAAATATCCACTATTAATACCTCAAAAGACTATATGGCATCAATAAGTAACACAACTCATACAGCATTATGAACATATGCCTCAACTAACATTTAGGTACCCTATGAATAAAATAGCATATCTAGTAAATACAAGAATCCCATTTGCCTTTCCTCAACCACCAAAGGAACAGAGAACTGTTTCACATAAAAGCTCGGAATTAATGTTTAAGATTCATCAGTACCTAGCTTGCCTTCTCTATTTATATATTAGATGCTTAAAGTAAATTAGCACTGTAAAAAGTACAGTTTCTCTTTGGTTTATCCTTTAATTGAGAGCAGAATGATATCGCTTTGCAGATGTTCCCAATCTTTTGCATATTCATTTCTCTCTCCTCCCTCTTGGTTAACGTGTTCCTTTTGTGTGACTAATGCTTGATGAACCCCATTTCTAATCTTCAGTTATTCCACCCTCCTCGGTTTTTATTCAGATTAGGTGGCAGAATTAAAGGGATGAATGATGATTTTCTGCTGTGATTAAGGTAAAAATACAATTGCATCTGGAACAAATGGATATAAAATACCTCAGCCATATTGGAAGGCTTCTCTAGGCCTCATTTTTCCTCCATTAGACATTAGCATTTAGGCTATTTGTTTTACAGTGTCAAGACTTCCAGAAGATACCATCATTACACTACTTAGTTATAGATTTAGAGAACAGTGAGCAGTGATAACCTGTTATGCTTGCAAACTGTCACTTGGGCATCTTCCATTCCTTGACTATGCTCTTCAGTAGATTAATGTATCTTTCTCTTTGTGAATAGTTGCAACCAGAGAGTAAACATCATCATTCCCATTACTAAATCAATTATCTTGATCCCAATTCCGTACCTTCCTCTGAGCTCATTCCTTTGGAGTCAGTTAACATCAAAAATGAATATTGATTAAACCTCAAGAGGCTATAGAGAAATACAAGAGATTCATGTGAAATGAGGGAAGGTGGGATTCAGACTATTGTTAGTAAGTATTTCAAAAATGGTTGCATTTATTTTTTCTAAACTAATGTTTGCAGGTTGAAGTCTGCACAATATATGCCTGCGTGAAAAGCAATGGAACCCAAATTACCACTGTGGAAGACACTCCAAGTGATATACCAACACCCACAATTCGTGGCATCACTTCAAGGTACAAAATTTTGTGTCAGTTAAATCTAAGGAACTCTGATCAGAAGAAATGAAAATAAAAATCAAAGGTATCCTCTCAGCCATGACAATCTCATTTAATGGGTTATTATAAGTATGTGTGTAAATCAAATTTTTGATATTATTTCACAGATATTAATCTTCACTGGACATCCAATGGCATTTAATCTTTAATTTCCCTGATTGCCCAGCCTCAGATTTCTTATTTAGTAACCTGTAAGCAAATACTTGAAATACATGTCTCCTTATTTGAATGTGTCCTTTAGTGAATCCTTTTGCGGAGCATAATACAAGCTTAATTGTAATGACTACCTTCTAACTTAATCTTTTTGAAAAAAAATTGATTTATATACATCAGAGTGCCCTAAAGCTAGAAATCTGTAAAATTAGTAGGGCAGATAATGTTTAGATAAGCATTACCAATTTTGTCAGCTTCTTGGTAGAATCACTTTATTTTTCTTTATTCTTTTGTTGCTGAGAAATGACCATAGTTTGAAAGCGAGTCTCTTTATAATTCATAATTAGTAACAACAACAATAATAATAATATTTGGTATTGTTTCCAAAGCTGAAAATAAGATGGTAAATTGTTCATCCGTTTGTATCAAGTTGAGGCTGGGAAAAGAAATCTTAGTGCTTTCACATTATACTTTTTGCTTAAGCCAAATGAATCACCCTTCTCTTACATGTGCAAACAACACACACACACACACAGACACATACACACACTGAAATAATAAGTCTATTATTAATGTTTCAATTCTGAAGGATTTCTCTATGACATGTTGAAATTTCTGGATCTTAAATCAGTTCAAAAAATTAGTACTGGTTTTGGCAACCAATGGTTAAAATAATTAGAAAAATTCAACTAACCTGACTGTTAGCTGTTCGTGGCAATAATCATATCTTGTCTGCTTGAGTATATCTTCTATCAAACACATGATAGATACTGATCTAATTTTTGGCATACTAATTAGTTTATAATCCCCCCAGCAGATATCCCCCAACCTATTCACAGTATTATCTACTATGCAGGGAGGAAATAGTCATATTAAATGGGCGTTAGAGACCTTTATTCTTTAGCAAACACATCTGTGGCTATAATAATATAGAAGGCAAGGTGGGGCGTGGTGGCTCACGCCTGTAATCCCAGCACTTTGGGAGGCCGAGGCGGGCGGATCACAAGCTCAGGAGATCGAGACCATCCTGGCTAACATGGTGAAACCCTGTCTCTACTAAAAATACAAAAAATTAGCAGGGCGTGGTGGGGGGCACCTGTAGTCCCAGCTACTCGGGAGGCTGAGGCAGGAGCATGGCGTGAACCTGGGAGGCGGAACTTGGAGTGAGCCGAGATCACGCCACTGCACTCCAGCCTGGGCGACAGAGTGATACTCTGTCTCAAAAAAAAATATATATATATATATATATATATTATATATATATATATAATATATATTATATATATATAATATATATTATATATATAATATATATTATATATATATATATAATATATATACACACACACATAGAAGGCAAAAGTAATACAAAAGAGCATAAGACATGATTCTAAATTTGCAAAGTTCCAGTCCACTGGGGAAGATACTCCCCTAAATAAATGTTTATAGAACAATGTAAAAAACACTATAATAAGAGGTTTAGATGTGCAAGAACATAAAGAGAAAAATAGCAAACTTTACCCAGAATTATCAGTGAAGGCATCATGGAAGATGTGACCTTTGACTTCAGTCTTGAAAAGCTCAAGGAAGAATTATAGTTAGGTGGGTGGATGTTTTCAAATTCTTGTCTGCTGGCATCCCCATGACTCAAGCCCATGTGAATGACGTAACAGAATATGCCTCATAGTACATATTTATTTATAACTAAAAATAACGTCTAAGCTTTATAAGAAATGGAACAAATGTGACTGTGTCTCTAGGTTTTTTTTCCTTTAAGAAGATTATTGCACATAATAACAGAGGACAAATATTTTTAGTTGCTATTAAAAATTGCTTGTATCCAAATACATTAAATTGATGACAGAAACATTAAAAAGAGTATTATACAACAAGAACAAGGAAAGTGAGAGAGGAGACAACAACAGAAAAGAGATTGCAACACAATTTTGTAAGCAATATTTGTCAGAAAGAAGCAAATGATTTAATACAGTGGAGAAATTTACAACCAAAATATTGGTTGACAAAAGACAATAATGACAGGAAACAAACTGTTTTTTCCACAGAGAACTGGAGAGGCTGAGCACTTAGAAGTTTTAAGGATGTAAAGAGGAGGAGAGAGGGTAGGGTTTAAAGCTGAAATCATGGGGTGAGACACAACTGTTAACAAATAAGTGTTTGGAATCCCAGGTCTCTTGCATCTTTGCTGTGCATCCAGGGGTCTATTTCTCTTCCTCCACATGACAAAGTCCACCGACCAGGAGATTAGACATTTATTCTCTGGAGAAACTGAGGGCTACTAGGCAGAGGGGAGCTGAGATGAGACACAGAAGTAAAAACAGTGATAAAGTGAGACTACAACCTGAATGGTGGGCTTTTTGGCTAAGTTTCCCAGTTCTGCCCTCAAAAGCAAGTAGACAAGTCATAAACACCTCCAGATAGGAAACTGAACATAGTTTTCTAGAAAAAAAAGAATGATCTCAAAAAAAATACCTCCAGATAATAGCATATAGGGATCCCTAACAGTAAAAACAACTTGTCCTCTGGTCACCCAGTAGGGAAGTATGCCAATCAACAAGGCTCACCTAACTATAAAGCTTTTAGTCAGCTTTTTTTTTTTTTTTTTTTTTTTTTGGTGCATCACTCTTAAAGATAAAAAGGGGACCAAAATAAACAAAAGACATGATACAATAGATTCAGAGATAATGCAGGTGAGGAAAAAAAATTATAGCCTCAGACAGATAAAAGAAAATTCTCTAACCATAAAACAAAACCAGCATACTTAAAAAAATAAATAAATAACCAACGAGGAGAAAACTTCATGGAAATTAAAAGGGTGAAAAGCTGAATTGAAACTTTTGAAGAAAGTTCAAGGGAATGTCTCTGAAAATGCAATGAAACACAAAGATTTAAAAGAGAGAGAGACAAAGAAAAAACAATAGAGAGTATCCAGGAAGTCTAATATTTGAATAATAAGAGCTTCAAAAGAGAATCAAAGGAAAAGAGGGAGAAAATTTAAAAAAAAAAAAGACAAGAAAGTATCCCAGAACCAATGTACTACTGTGCAGATCAAAAGATTCCCTGGATACCAACAATATGACTAAAAAGTGATTACATATAAAGGGATATTATCAGGAAATTGCAGAGTACCATGTTTAAAAAGCACATCCAAAAAGCTGCCAGGAAGAACAGACACTACCACAATCAGGATGTGAAGCAGCATCATGATGTCGGTCTCCATTATTGCTAACCCCTCTTCTACCCTTCCTAAAACTAAGCAAACACTGCCATGTTTTGTTATGTATAATTCTGCCTTTTCCATATTGTCATGTAAATGGATCACATAATATGTAGCCATTCAAATGGCTTCTTTTAGTTAGCATAATGCATTTAAGATTTGTCCATCTTATTATATACATACTAGCAGTTGTATACATACTAGTAGTTGTCAGTTTTTGTTGCTGAGTAAGATTCCATTATATGAAAGTTCTACAGTTTGTGCACAGTTTGGATAATTTTCAGTTCTCCGTGACCACGATTAAAGTTGCTGTAAAACATCTATATACAGGTTTTTGTGTGAAGATATATTTTCATTTCATGTGGGTAAATACCCAGGAGTTGGATTGCTGAGTCATAAACTGCCAGACTGATTTACAAAGTGACTGTAACATCTTTCATTCCTACTAGCATTGTATGAGAGTTCAAGTTGCTCTACATTTTTGCTAGAACATGAGATACTATGAGGTGTTTTCCTCTTATTTTTTAAATAGTCATTTTAATAGATGTTTGTGGTGTGTTATTATGGTCTTAAATTACATTTTCCCTAATGACTAATGATACTGATAAGCTTTGCAATTGCTTTTTGCATGCACTTTGGCATTTGTTTACTCTGGGAAATGGTATCTCCAAATCTTTTGCAAATTTCTTAATTAGATTCTTTGTTTTCTTATTTTTTGAGTTTTGAAAATTTTTTAAATATATTTTGGATTTGAGTTTTTGTCACATATGTGATTTACAGATATTTCTTCTCTACCTTATGATTTGTTTTCAATTATCTTATTTGTGTGTTTTTAAGAGAAAGAGTTTTAACTTTCCAAGAGAGTTAGATTTGTTACTTTTTCCTTGACAGTTTGTGCATCTGGTATTTTATCTAAGAACTTTTTGCCTGAGTTAAGGTCACAGAGACTTTCTCTTGTCTATTTCCTAGAACATTTGTATGTTTACATGTTGAATTTATGTCTATGATTGGTTTTGTGTTAATTTTTGTATACACTGAGGCATGAGTCAAGGTTAATTTTTTTTGGCATGTAAGTATTTAATAGTATCAACAAAATTTTTGGAAAGATTATCTTTTCTTTATTGAATATTTTTAGATTTTTGTCAAAAATCAATTTAAACACGTTTTGTAGGCCATTTTTGGACTCTCTTTTATGTTCAATTTATCAATATGTATATCTATACCAATATCGCACAATCTTGATTACTACAGCTCTATAGTAAGCTGTCAAATCACATTGTATGAGTCCTCCAACTTTGACCTTTATAAAAATCATTTTGGCCTTTCTCACTACTTTGCCTGTCCATATAAATTTCAGAAACAGGTCATTGATATCTACAAAACATGTGATTTTGATTAGAACTGCATTGAATTTGTGGATCAATTGGTAGAGAATTGACATCTTAACAATATCAAATGTTCTGATTCAAGAACACACTCTTGCTCATTTATTTGCATCTTCTTTCCTTTATTTTATCAGTGTTTTATATAATCCAGTATGCAAATACTGCACATATTTTATTAAGTTTATACCTAATTACTTATTTGGGGGGTGCTATTATTATTGTTTCTTTAAAACAAATTCAAATCCAATTGTTGCTAGTGTGTAGAAACACAATTAATTTTGGAATAGTGAGCTTACATCCAGCAAACTTGCTAAACTCCTTGTAAGTCTTAAGAGCTTTTTTGTAATTCCCTAGTCTATATAGATCTTCTACAAAGAGAAACTGTTTATTTTTTTCATTTCCAATCAGTATGTCTTTTATTTCTTTTTCCTGCCTTATTGCACTGGATAGTTTAATAACGTGATAAGAGCATATCCTTGACTTGTTCCCAATCTTTGAAAGAAAACTTTCAGTCTTTTACCCTTAGATGTGATGTTACGTATGAAATTTTTGGCCATGCCTTTTATCACGTTGAAGAACTTACTTTTTATTTTTAATTTGCTGACAATTTTCATTATAAATGGACATGGAAATTTGTCACATGCTTTTTTGACATTTTAAATTTGTACTATGATCGATTATATTTACTGATTTTAAATTATTGAACTAGTTTGTATTCGCTGGATAACCAGAACTTCGTTGTGACATATTTTCTTCTTCATATATTGGGGGATGCAATATACTATTATCTTATAGAAAATGTTCATCTGTGTTCATAAAATATATTGGACTGTGTTTGATTTTCTTGTAATACCTTTGCCTGGATTGGGTATCATGGTAATTTCTGGTCTCATACTAACTTGGGAAGCATTTCCTTCTTTTCTATTTTGTGGAAGAGATTGTACAAAAGTGTTATTATTTCTTAAATCTTGGTAAAATTCACCAGTGAAACCCATATTTGCCTGGAGTTTTTCTTTGATGGAAGGTTTTTTAACTTGGAATTCAATTCCCTTAATAATGTATGATATTTGGCAATTTATTCTCCAGTGAGTTTAGTCATCTTGTGGGTGCAGAAAATAGGTTAATTTAATCAAATTTGTCAAATTTATTAGCAGGAAGTTGTTTGTAGTATGTTTGTACTACAAACAACAATTTGTTGCAATTGATTTTATTCTTTCATTTCTGATATTGGTAGTAAGTGCCCCCGTTTTTCTGTTCAGCCTAGAGTTTTATCAATTTTGTAGATCTTTTCAAAGAACCATTTTTGGCTTTATTTATTTTCTATATCATCTACATTGTTTTCTATTTTCCATTTCAGTGATTTCTGCTCTCTATTGTTTTCTTCCCTCTTGCCTTGCTATTGCTTCTCTAGTTTCTTAAAGATGAAAACTTTCATTATTGATTTGAGACCTTTCTTCTTTTCTCTCAGTCCTGCTTCGGTATGAAGCTCACAAATTTTGAAATGTTGCATTGCACTTCATTTATTCAAAATATATTTTAATTTCTCTTGAGACTTCTTTAACCCATGGATTATTTACAAGGGTATTGTTTAATTTCCAAGTATTTGGGGATTTTTCAGATAAGTTTCTATCTGAGTTTCCAGTTTAATTCTATTATGATCTAAGAACATAATTTTAGAATTCCAATTCTTTTAAATTAGTTACAGTTTTTTCAGGGCCCAGAATATGATCTATCTTAGTGAATGGATGTGCACTTGAGGAGAAGGTACAGTCTGTTGTTGTCAGATAGAGTGTTTTGTAAATGTCAATTAGATCAAGTTGAGTGATAATGGTGTTCAGATCATCTATATACTTACTGATTTTCTGCCTGCTTGTTTTATCAGTTATTGTGAGAATGGTGTTGAAGTCTCCAAATGTCATTGTGGCTTTATCTATTTCTTCTTCAGATCTATTAGTCTTTCCTTCATGTACTTTGATGTTTTATTATTAAGTGCATACATGTTTAGGATTGTTAATGTCTTGATAAACTGGCTCTTGTATCATTATGTGATAAGCCCTTTTACTTCCTGATAATTTCCTTGTTCTTAAGTTTATTTTGTCTAATATTAATATAGCCACTCCAGCTTTCAATTGCTTAGTGTAATTCTGGGTGATTTTTCGATTGATTCCTTCACATTTTGAATATTACGTTATAAAAATCTGACTCCTGTTAAAATCCTTTGAAGAAAGTTAGAGTTCTTATTTACTTTTTTCAGCAGGTTACCAACTGGTTAGCTTCAGACTCCAAATTCTGTTTTCCTTTGCCAGTGACTACAGTCAGTTCCTATTTTTTCATAAAGTAGCATAACAAAGCTATAAACTTTGCTTTACTACTCTGTGTCTGCACAATGGCTAATTTGGGATTTGGCTGTAGAATTATGTAATAGTTCTGATCTCAAAATCTTCGCTGTGCTGCTTGCATAGGCTATGCATGTGAGGCAACCATAAATGTGCAGCTTGGAGTTGAGTCAGGACTTGCGTTCGTTCATTCATAAAATTAGCTTCTAGCTTTCTTCTCTCTGAAATGTCCCCCATCTTTCCAGCTCCTTTGGACTTCCTTCCCTGGATTTTTGGCTAGAATGATATGATTTCTTTTGAAATGTTTGCCTCCCAGCCTGCCTCCAAATTTGCATAACTGGAGTTGTTCTTAGGCAATGAGGTAAGAGGAATTCGAGAAAAAAAAATAACAAGGACTTCCCCCACATTCTTTGGACTATAGAGGCCCCATTTCCTGATTTCTCTGGACAGAAAGATTTTTCCCCCCGTTGGGGCTTTAGATTCCAATTTGGCCACAGCTGCCGCAGTGCAGCTCCTTGGCTCTGATCATCCTCGGAGCAGGGCCCAGCAGAAAGAAGACAAAACAAAACAAAAATGGGGGTTTTCCCTATACTCTCTGGCTTGCAAGGCATTTTGTTCTAGATACTCTAGCCGGAAAAAATTTACTTTCTCTAGGATTTTGCTTCCCTAGTTCACAGTTTCACACTGATACTGCCCTTGGGTTAAAGATGGGAAGTAAAGGAGGGGGAAAAAAAATGGGAAACTCACCCTGTAACATTCATTCTTAAAGTTTTGTCTCCCCTCCTGATCAGCCTTATTGTTAGCTTTTCAGAGTCCTCAGGTAGTTACTTTATATAATTTTTGCAGATACTGAGTTGTAATCAGTGGGAGAGATAAGCTGTAATGGGCTTATTCCATATTGGCCTGCATGGGAAGTCCCCCTCCACCACAGTTTTCTTTCTTCCAATGCCTTTGGCAACTTTCCTTTTCCCCCCCAGTCAGAAGCCTAGCAAAAACTTGATAGAAATCATTCATAACCAAATATTGGCATGTAAAATCTTTCCTTTCTTAAAATGATCCATAGTAGCAGAGTAACATTTTCCAAAGGCAAGACTCTAATGAGCAACTATAGGCTGCCAAGCCATTAATCAAAATTATACCAACACCAAAGCAGTTAGCCTTGTGTGTGTATGGTATTGTTTGTGTAATTTCATTATACTTCTGGCAATGTATACTTGTTAGTTATGTTTCTATTTTGGTTTTAAAAAATCTTTCATATTAGCAACATGCAAAATGAAATGTGAAATCCTTCCAGAAAAACATCAGCAGACGGGGTCTACTTCTCTAGCATTTAAAATAATTTGGTTTCTAAGAAGCCATACATTTCTTAGATTCTTTGTTTATTTTTGGTGAAATTCAGAAGTCAGTAAAATTTAACTCATATATTTCAATAACATACAGATAGCATACCAGCCTGTTTGATTATATGCGTGCAGTGTACCAACTCATCTTTGTCTTTGGCCTTAACTTATGCCTTGTTTTTGACTACATCTTCAGCAGTACAAGCCCTTATGCATGTTTTTCCTCTTATATATAAACCAAAGATTCCATAGCACACAAATAATATAGAAGAATCAAATGGACCCTTCTAGTTTTATAAGCTGCTGCTTCAGAGACAAGCCCTGTTTCTACATTGCATTTTCCATACTTCTCATATTATCATCAGCTCCTTCTATATCCCAAAAGAATACTAACTACTGATCGATAACCCGGACATGTCTGGCCATGGCCTACATGTGCCCTGGGTAGTTCATTTATTTGTCTTGGTGGATTTGCTAGAGTGGAATTTAATCAATAGCTAATTCATTAATTCTGGTCCTCGAGAATGTAGAGACTGACCTGGATGAAGATAACGGGCTGGGTCTGGCTTTGATAGAAATATGACAAACACTGCAGCTGACAGCTTCACTAGGTACTGTGCTATGAAGTTTAGTTATTTATTCCCCATAAATGGAGACACTAAGAAAATAACACAAACAAGAAAGATGTTTTATTACATTACTGTTAGTATTCCAAAATGCATCATTTCCAGGCATGAGGCTCAAGGGAAAGTAGAGAAAGAACTCAGATCATGTCTTTTAATGTCTTTAATTGGAACCATGGCAGTTTTTTCACATCCAAATCAGTTTGGGGATGTGTTATTGATAAGGAGTGTGAGGTATAAAGTCTTCGTAGCACTCACAAATAATTGTTTTAAGATTTGCTTCTAGATGCTGAATGAGATCAATGATATTCTTATACACAAACTTTGCAGAAATCTTTCTGATAACAGCATAGGTTAGATGTCTCTAAATGAATGCTAAACCACTATCGTTATTAATGAATATCTATATATTTTTTTCTTTTTTGTTGTTGTTGTTGAGACAGGATCTCGTTCTGTCACCCAAGCTGGAGTGCAGCTCACTGCAGCCTTGACCTTCCAGGCTCAAGCAATACTTCCTCAGCCTCCTGAGTAGCTGGGACAATAGGCATATGCCACCACACCCAGCTAATACATTTTTAAAATTATTTTGTAGAGTTGGGGTCTCACTGTGTCGCCCAGGCTGGTCTTTCGAACTCCTGGGCTCAAGTCATCCTCCCGCCTTGGCCTCCTAAATTGCTGGTATTACAGATGTGACCCACACAGCACCCGGCATCCCCCTATATTTTTAAATTACTTAATGTGGGGTTAAGTATGGTTCAAGAGGTCAGAGCTTGTGGAGAAAGAGGATTCTCCTTTTTTCCTCACCAAATTTTATGAGACATGCTATGATATACTTTTTATGCTATGACATTAGATATCAGGGAATCTCTTCTATCCTTGATTTTTTCTGCCTAACTTTTCTCAGTGAATGATAGCTTCAACTGAAGTAATGATTTTACAGTTTTGTAAAATTAAAAGAAAAAATTAATATTTTACATTTAATTTAATTATTTAACATTACAAGAAAAAATTAAGGCCACATTTCTGTTTGTTTGCTTTAATAGGGAGAGTGTTGGGCTGAAGGATACAGAATGTCAAATCACTTGTTTTCACCTGTATACCAAACTTGCTTACCAATATGGGCAATTGTAGACTATTTTTAATATGGACTAAAACTGTCTGCTTAAACCTTTAAAGGATATGGGTAGAACCTTGAAAGAGAGAATTTGGACTACACTAAGTGCAATTCGTACAGATCCAATCAATAGCCTTATGGTCACCATGGCTTTTAGGAAATATTACTCATTTGATGGCCATGAGTTCTGATTATCACATTCTGTTTAAGGAGACCTTAATAGAATAGTGTCAGAATATAGAATGTAAACAGAAAGACAGAATATATAGAAAAGAGAATATTGGGCTTATTATTATGGCTCTGCTATCACTATTTTCATTTCCTTACCTCCCTCTTCTTCCCAAACTCCTCCTAACTTCTTTACCTCTTGTAGCTCCCATAGAAACAGCTCGGTCGCTGAAGTAGCCTTTGAGTGCCTTTCAGCAAAATCCAGTTCTTCCTCCTAATTCACTTTAGCCCTCAACTGCCACTTTGTCCCTGGTTCTCTAAACATTCATTGTTTTGTTTTGTTTTTATTGGTTCCATTAAAAACCCACTTATGCATTCTGGGTGTCCTCAGGAAAAAGACTCCCTACCTTGCTCAGGTAGTTCAGTCTTGCAATTTTAAGCCATACTGATGTCTCAAAGATCTCTGGCCCTGTTTTCTTCCTAAACTCTAATCCCACATACCCACTTGCCTATTGATTTTATGTCATGATATTCACCCATCACTTCCATAACCATGAGATTCACAAGTTAATTCTTATCTAACTCATCATCTTTTCCAACACTCACTTCTGCAAATGTACCACCATCCTGCATATTATCGAGGACATATATCTTTGAAGTATTTTTAATCCCCTAAGTTTATTAAACACTGATTTTAGTACATTTTCTGTTGGAGCATCTTCTCATATATGTTACTCTTCTCCATTTCCACCACTACCACCCTGGTTCATGTTTTCATCGTTTAAGTTTATATAACCATTTTATGGAGCTGTCTTAATCCAATTAGATACAAAGAGAAAAAAAAATCCTTTACTTTTCACCTGCTACTTACTGCCTTAAACACACTGTTTTGGCTATCCTTCCCTCAATTCTCAAATACCCCACAGGAACATCTTATGGGTTTCCAATTATTTTTAGTTATGAGTCTCACTTTGATAATTAAGATTCATGATCAAGTATTAAAAAGTCCATTCCATCACCATCAAAATATTAGCCTCGCATCTAGTTCAAAGATTCTATCATTTCTAAAGCTCAGGCCTAATTGTAGCTTGCTCTTTTCTTCCCTCTTACTCTTTCTTTCCTATTCCATTTTATCCAAATATGTTCCCTTTCAATTTTATTACTTCACTGCCATCACTGTTTGACAATCACAGCTCTCCATTGGCAAGTGATGCTTTCTTGGGCAATTGTATGTTTTTCTTGAGAGGTCCTCATGAGAATCTTTGAATAGCCAAATTCCCTCACACGAGTGTTGCCCTTTATAGCTGATCACTTGTGGTGCCAAAAGAGCAGAACATTCCAAAGACTCTTCCTGCTGGAGTCTCCTCATGCCAGAAGGCCACTGTCCTGGGCCATGTACCTTCAAGTTAGCTCAAACCTAGCCATCTTGCAAGGCATCCACTTGGCTCTTGAGAAACTCATCCATCTATGCCATGCTATAGATCAATATTGTGGTATTCTAGGCTTAACCTTTCATTGCAGAACTGCTCTGGCCAATCTCTGGCCACTAGAATTCTCTAACTGAGAAGTAAGCTTTATTTCCTATGCTCATACAGACTGCCAAATTTAAGAGTTCCCTGTCAAGCTGTCCCAAGATCTCTTCACCACATTTTCCTCCAAGGACAAAAGGAGGGAAATGTGTGTTCCTTTTTATTAAAAGAACATGGGTTTTGCATTTTGACTTTTTACCTACTACAATTTATAATAAACATCTCAGTAGGATAATTAAATATTCAGTGACTTGACTTGAAAGCAAAGAATTAAATTTGTCATATTACATTTATTTCATCTTTGTTAAAAGTGTTCTGATCATTTTTGATAACCATGATCTGGAATAATATTGAAGAACTTGAGTGTTACATAAATGATTGACAAAAATGACCAAATCGATTAGAAAAAAAGCCTGTGTAAACATAACCAGATAATCTAGAGCTATTTAATCCATAACAATTTAGGTTAATATCTTAGAGTGTATGAAGATTTCTTTTCTCTGGTCAAACAAAAATGTTTTGAAAAAATTGGGGAAAAATATTAGAATGAAATGTTAAAGAATAGTAATGTGAACCTGTCTTCATAAAAATTTGATCTGACTTGTATCATTTTGATATTCACCTGTGTAAAGGTAAGTGATATCAAATTATTTTCCCTACACTCCTTTGTATCTTCAATGGTATTTTGTACTTCAAGGGACAACTGGAAGTGATGAGATCTGGGGAGGGTGAAATGCATCTGTAATCCTAACTAGTTGGGAGGCTGAGTCAGAATTGCTTGAGGCCAGGATTTGAGTCCAGCCTGAGCAACATAGCAAGATCCCATCTCTAAAAATAAATAAAGAAGAAAGTGATGACAACTGTGGGGGTGGCACAATAGTATGTAGTAGTAACAGTAATAAAATAGTAATTCTGCTGACAATATGACATAATTAAAAAGAAATAACTACAACTAGAATGTCTGAACACTTGATGAATTCATGTACCAAAATATGTGTAAAGAACTTCCAGTTCCAAAATGATGACATAGAAGCAAGCTGGCTTCACTCCTCTCCACAGAAAACAGAAACAAATGTACAGAACTGAGATTATCACAGCAATATCCCAGAACTCAAATATGAGGACAAGACAGTTCCCAAAGTCACAGAGAAGTGAAAATCTCCGAGCAGATGGTAAGAAAATTGGACTTTCATATCCACAATGCCCATCTCCCCAATATATTCAGCACCACGCTTGTGGAAAATATTTTCCTGACCCTTGATTTCTGCACTGGAAAAGTGCGATTGAAGTGGACAGTTTCCCGACCGTCTTAGGTTACCTGGCAGGAGACCTTTACCTGCCTCAACCCACAGGAAGCATCAGGAGTGCCCGAAGGGCTCTATCTCTGTGAGGACATCCAGAGACAATGTGGGGAGATGGGACTACCATCACCAGCCCTGGAAATTCTGCTCTGTAACTCAGTAAAAGGAGATGCCAAATCAGAGTGGCTGTTCAGCAGCACCACACTGTAGTAGTTTTGCTCCACAGGTTTCCTGGGCACCAATCCTCAGCCAGCCTCCTCACACTACCAGGATATCCCCTTTGGAACCTCCCCTATTTGGGAAAGGTGGTATTCTGATAGTTTACTGGAGACAAGGCAAACCTGGACCTGAGGCACCATCTAGTGCCAAAAAGGAGGCAGTGACCCAGTGAATTAAAAAAAATGAAAGAAAATGAACAGAAAAATTACAAAGAATCTCTATGCAAACATACCTAAGAAAAACCAAAGCAAGCCAGAGAAGACTGCAATAAATAACTAATCCTTCAATGCAAAGACATAGACATATATCCATAAGAAATGGAGAGAAGAGTAATATATGAGAGGATGCTCCAAAAGAAAATATACTAAAGTTGCTGTTTAATAAATTCAGGGAATTAAAAATAATTCAAAGATACATATCCTTGATAATATGCAGGACGGTGGTGTGTTTGCAGACATACAACTTCTTTAAACAGGGAAGTAGGATCTTCTCAAGCTGACAAAAGCAAGGAAACAGTGAGTGACCCTAACAAGATGGTGATAGGTGAACTCTATGACCAAGAATTCAAACAGTTTTAAGGAAACTCATGATCACCAAGATAGTACATAAGATAAATTCAGACATTTCTCAACAGATTTAACAAAGAGATTAAAATGGTTCAAGAAATTAAAAAAGAAATCTTGGATCTGAGAAATACATCTGCTGAAGTGAAAAATTCATTAGAGGCTCTCAATAGCAAACTAGATCAGAGGAAAGCATCAACAAACTTGAGACAGGCTATTTGAAAATACAGAGAGGTGGGGATAAAAGAATGAAAACAAGTGAAGATCACCTACAAGGTATATAGAAAACTACCTGAAAAGACAAAATCTAGGAATTATTGGTGTTCAAGAGGAAGGTAAACAAGAGCAAGAGGTAGAAAGCTTTTTAAAAGAAAGATTAACAGAAAACTTTGTAAAATGTAAGAAACAGAGAAATATCCAGATATAGAAAGGTCAGAGAAGACCAGATTTGATTAAAATAAGATTATTCCAAGGCATATAACAATCAAATTCTTAAAGGTCAGTGACAAAGAGAGGATCCTAAAAGCAGCAAGAGAAAAGAAGCAAATAACATATTTAAAAGCTTCAGTTTGTTTGGCAACAGTCTACTCAACAGAAACCATACAAGCTAGGAGGAAGTGGGATGACATTTTCAAAGTGCTGAAATAAAAAAACAAATGCCATATAAAAGTACTGCATACAATAAAGCTATCCTTCAAATATGAAAGAGAAATGAAGTCCTTCCCAGATAAAAAGCTGAAGTAATTTACCACTATGAGACCCATCTTATAAGAAATACTAAAGAGAGTTCTTCAAACTGCAAGACATAAAAAACTAATGCACAGAAAGAAAACATTTGAAAGTAAACCCACTGATAAATTAAGTACACAGACAAACCCAGAATACTCTAATACTGTAATTGCAGCATGCAATCCACTCATCACTTCAGTATGAAGCCCAAAAGACAAATTTATCAAAAACAATAGTAGGTACAGCAACGTGTTAAGAGATAGACAACATAAAAATATACAAATTGAGACGACATAAAGTCAAAATATGGAGAAATACAGTTAAATTTTAGAGTTTTTTCATTGTTTCTTTGTTTTTGGCAACCAAGTACAATAACCATATGATCATTTCAATAGATGCTGAAAAAGCATTTGATAAAATTCAATATGGCTTTATTATAAAGTCCCTCAAGAAACTGGATATAGAAGGTGCATACATCAAAATAAAAGCCATGTATGACAAACCTATGGCTAACATTGTACTGAACTGGGAAAAAATGAAAGTCTTTCCTGGAAGAACTGGAACAAGACAAGGATACCCACTTACACTTTTATTCAACACAATACTGGAAATCCTGGTGAGGCAATTTGTCAAGAGAAGAAATAAAGGGCATCCAAATCGGAAAGGGATAAGTCAAATTAGCCTTGTTAACAGATGACATGCTCTTATAATTAGAAAACCTAAAGACTCCACCAAAAAACCTGTTAGAACTGATGAACAAATTTAGTAAAGTTGCAGAATACAAACTCAATGTACAGAAATCAATAGCAGTTATATACACCAACAGCAAGCAATCTGAAAAGAAATCAAGAAAGTGGTCCCATTAACAATAGCTACAAAGAATATAAAATACCTAGGAATCAATTTAACTAAAGGAGTAAAATATCTATACAAGTAAAACTATAAAATGCTGATGAAAGAAATTGAGTAAGATACAAATAAATGGAAAGATATTCCATGCTCTTGGATTAGAAGAATTAATATTATTAAAATGACAATTTTACCCAAAGTAATTTACAGATTCAATGTAATACATATCAAAAGACCAATTACATTCTTCACAGAAATAGAAAAGTATTTCTAAAATTTATATGGAACCACAAAACACCCAGAATAGCTGAAGCAATCTGAGTAAAAAAAAGACAAAGCTGGAGGCATTACACTACCTTACTTCAAAATATAGCACAAACCTAAAGAAACCAAATCAACATGGTATTGGCATAAAAACAAACACATAAACCAATGGAATAGAATAGAGAACCCAGATATAAATCCATGCATTTACAGACAACTCATTTTTAACAAAGGAACCAAGAACTTGCAATGAGGAAACAGTCTTTTTAATAAATGGCACTGGGAAAACTAGATATCCATATGCAGAAGAATGATAGAAGAGACAGAAGAGATAGACCCCTATCTCTTACCGCATTCAAGAATCAACTCAAAATGGATTAAATACTTAAGTCTGAGACCTGAAACTGTAAAACCAATAGAAGAAAGCATTGGGGAGATGCTCCCAGACATGATCTAGGCAAAGGCATTTGTGTAAGATCTCAAAAACACTGGCAAGAGAAGCAAAAACAGAAAAATGGGATTACATCAGGCTAAAAAGCTTCTGCACAACAAAGGAAACAATCAACAAAGTGAATAGACATGCCATAGAATGGGAGAAAATACTTGCAAACTGTCTATCTGACAATGAATTAATAACTGGGATATATAAATAGCTTAAACAACTCAAAAGCAAAAAACAAAAACAAAACATCTGATTAAAAATGGGAAAATGATCTGAATAGGCATTTATATTGCCTATTGCCTATTCAGAAGACATACAAATGGCCAACAGGTATATGAAAAAATGTTCATCATCACTAAAGAGATGAGAATTGCAACTCAAAACCATAATGAAATATTATGTCACCCAGATAAAATGGCTTTGATAAAATAAAAAAGCAGGAAATAATGGATGCTGGTGAAGATGTGGAGAAAGGGGAACTCTATTTACACTGTTGGTGGGAATGTAAATTTGTACAGCCACTATAGAATATTGTATGGGGGTTCCTCATGAAACTAAAAATTGAACTACTGTATAATGTAGCAATTCACTACTGGGTGTATATCCAAAAGAAAGGAAAACAATATATTGAAAAGACACCTGTACTCCCATGTTTATTGCAGTGCTGTTCACAGTAGCCAAAATATGAAATCAACCTAAGTGCCCATCATGAATGAATGGATAAAGAAAATGTGGTACATATACACAATGGACTCTTATTCAGCCATAAAAAAGACTTAACTCCTATTATTTACAGCAACATGGATGGAACTGGAGGTCATTATGTTAAGTAAAATAAGTCAGGCATAGAAAGACAAACATTGCATGTTCTCTTTCATATGTGGGAGATAAAAAAGTGAACCTCATGAAGGTAGAGAGTAGATTGGTGATTACCAGAGGCCTGAGAGGGTCATGGGGAGAGGGAGAGGAAGAATAGATTGATTAATGGATATAAATTTACAGTTTCAATGAAGAGATAAGACCTAGTATTTGATAGATCAGTAAGGTGATTTATAGTTTACAATATCTTTTACATATTTCACAATAGGTAGAAGGGAATAATTTAAATGTTGTTAGCATAAAGAAAAGACAACTATTTAAGGTGATGGATATGCCAGTTACATTGATTTGCTCTTTACAAATTATATGAATGTATTAAATTCTCACATGGACCCTGAAATATGTACATCTATTATGTATTGATTAAAATATATTTTTTTAAACTCCAGGCTTCCCCAAGATTGTAATCCACCTGTAATTTAACTGACTGCTAGTAAAGCCTGTTACTTTCAGAGGAAAACAATTCAACCTAGAGACTTTGCAAAGTATAATCCACAATGTTGTGTGTATGTGGGCTGTGTGTGTGTGTGAAGGAATGAGAAAATGTAACCCAAACATTTGAGAGAGAAAAAAATGTGTGTAGACATGGTGACTTTTATCAGAAGTTGTATTAAGGTATCTTAAATTTCAGTTCCTATTACTTTAAAATCTAAAAAAAACTATAACAGTTATTTCATGAACAAATCTACCAAAAAAAATTCATTCAAATATTTGCAATCTGTTTATGTTTATGCATGAGTGCCCAAAAGTATCTTCAGCTCTTTTTCTCCAATATTTAACATTTATTCCTGGGATTGAAGAATGTTCCTTCTATTTTACTCTTAAACATCAAAGCAATGAAACTATTAATCCCGCTAATAATGATGCATATTTCTCAAAGATGCCTTTCATTTTCAGATCAGCAACCAAAGGAGTTTCAATTGTCTCTCCAGTTGGCTCTAATGAGAGATGTACAGATGTTAAACCCAATACTCTTCTTAATCATTTTCCTTCGTGTACTTGATTAAATCCTCAAAAGCAAACTGTTCATGTTCTTGCCGAAAATATAGGCGGTCTCACTTAACAGTTATGTTGCACAAGAAAGGGAAGTTATAATGGCATGGAACGTGCTCTACGTGGTATTTTCTAGACTTTACTAGTTCACGAGCTTTTGTGGATAAGTCAAACTCTTGAATGTCACTTAAATGTAATCTTTTCTGTAGTTGATTATGCAGAGAATACAAAAGGTATCTGCAGAATGTGGAATTAATTTTGAAAGTTTGATAAAAACTTCAGAATAATAGCTGTGGCTGTACAAGTCATCTATGAAACTGTTCTCTCATAGGTGACATTAATTTCCTATCTACAGAGTTTTATTACTGAATGTGTTATGTTTGTACCCCCACAAAACTGAAATAATAGTTTTCTTTTTTTAGCAGTCTATGAAAATGTTGAGGTTTATCTTGACTGCCGCTTTTTAACATAAATATTTGGGCTTCATTGAATTCCTAATATGTGATGTCACTTGGAATTCTGATAGGGTCCAGTAATTTGGCCTGCAAAGACATATTTTACCTTAAAATGAAAGGGATAGTTGAAATGTTATTTTACACGATAGCAAAAAAGCATCCAACATAAGTTGTGAGATTTTTATTGCTTAACTTTTGAAATAGAAGGACAAGGTTCTTATGTGCTTGCTTTATTCCAAAGTATATATGGGAATGCTAATGCTTTATATGTAAAATGTACGCTACACATATTTGTGATTAGTTAATTTTTATGGCTAGAAATTCTAGAATCATAAAAAAGAACTAATCTTGAATGTCAGAGCTTCACCTATTTTTTTAAAAACAATGAGAACAAAAAAATCATTATAATTTTTATATTTACCTTGTGTTTCACAAAAAGGAGGTTTTCTTTGCTGTGCTACACTGCAAGAATATGTCATGTTCAAATCTCTGGGGCTTTATTAAAAACTTTAACTACTGTCTTCTTATAGAGATTATTAAGCAAATACTAAAGATAGCATAGATGTGTGGTCTAGGCAGTATTTTTCTGGCAAGTAGACCTAAGTGCAGAATTTAAGTTCTGTAACATTAACCTGAGACTAAATCATTTTATTCAGGGTTGTCTCCTCTGTGAACAGCTTTATGTTATGACCTCATTTGCTACAGCAAATGAAATATTAATAGATCATTGAAAATGCAGTAAAGTTTTGATCAGATGTTATACCTTCATTGTATACCAAACCCTGCCTCTCATAAAAACTTTCTACTTGGGTTTAAATTGAAATTATCACTCAATTTTTTAAAATCAAACATTTTCTTTAAGAACATGACAATGTAAACATATTTCTTACGGGAATCTTTAAGTTCTATATTTTTCACCAAAAATCATTTCAGACCATGCTAGTTAAAGAGTTATTGAAAAAAAAAAGAATCTATTTAGATGAGTCAAAAAATTAAGCAAAGTATGTTTTAAATAAGTTAGTGACTATAAAATTTCTCAATTTGGGCATTTATTTTGACTGCAAGTAACAAAACACCTGACAAAAGAGACTTAAGTAAATAGCTCTAGATATATAGTTGACTCTTGAACAATGCAAGGGTTAGGACTGCTGATCCCCACCCAGTCGAAAATCTGCATATAACTTTTGACTGTCCCAAAATTTAACTACTAATAGCCTACTGTTGACCAGAAGCCTTAATGATAACATAAAAAACTGATTAAAACATAGTTTGCATATATATTTATACTATATTCTTACCATAAGTAAGCTAAAGAAAAGAAAATCTCATTAAGAAAATCATAAGGAAGAGAAAATATATTTACTATTCATTAAGTGGAAGTGGATCATCATAAAAGTATTCATCCTCATTATCATTATATTGAGTAAGCTAAGTAGGAGAAGAAAGAGGAAAGGTTGGCCTTGCTGTCTCATAAGTGGCAGAGGTGGAAGAAAATCTACATGTAAGTGGATCTGCACAGTTCAAATTTATTTTGTTCAAGAGTCCGCTGTGGATAGTTGTTGGCATTGGTGAACCAATGCCAAATATAATGGCGGCATCTTTGTGATTGTTTTGGCCTTTTCAAATAACTGAAAGATGATTGCTGAAGTTGTAGACATCATGTTTAGCGGAAAGAAAGAGAAAAGGAGAAGGTGGCAGCTCTTTCAAGAAAGCTAAAATTTCCTAGGAACCTCCATAGGAGTCCCATCATGGTGTTCCCGTGGCATCTCTGAGCAGTTATGTTTCATATCACAACTCCTAGGTAAAGTAAGGCAAAGGAGAAGCAGGTTAGAAGTAGGCATTAAGTTGCCACATGTTCTAATTGTCACCTTGTTTACCAAGTCATGTATGTCTTATCTTTGCTTACCAAACAAAATGCTCTGATTTTCTTGATTAGCCATAGTGACACTTGCTTCTTGTCTTTGAAACTGAAAGTAATAAACCACCTCACGCCATGTGTTATTCTTCCAAAAGCTAACATAATTTTGATTGATTTGAAAATATATGATTTCATATATAAACATATATAATTATATATATATATTAGTATCTATTGCTGCCACTTTTTACTTAAGACTGATAGCATCAATGTTAAATAGTGTCTTTTCAGAAGTATTGATTATTCTCTCTGTTGCAGATCTCTTCAAATTGATTGGGTGTCTCCACGGAAGCCAAATGGCATCATTCTTGGATATGATCTCCTATGGAAAACATGGTATCCATGCGCTAAAACTCAAAAGTTAGTGCAGGATCAGAGTGATGAGCTCTGCAAGGCAGTGAGGTGTCAAAAACCTGAATCTATCTGTGGACACATTTGCTATTCTTCTGAAGCTAAGGTAAGTCTTTTCTAACTAATCAGTGAACCATGTTTTTCTCACTCAAGACTCCAAGTGAAATTATTAGCTTCTCACACCATGATGTATTATGATCAATATTTCCACTACTCTATGAAGAAGACTCCACGGAAAAGAAAGGATGCTTACAAAAATCACTATCACCCTCATGAGCACTTTAGCCTTCCCATTTTTTATTATCTTCACAAGAAATATAAACTTATTAGAATAGGGTACATCCCAAATTTTATTTGATTGAGTGACTTAAAATTTTCTTTACAACAGATCTTTTCAGCTACAAATAGGTGTTTGTTTATATGGCACTGATGAGTAACTGTGAGGAGGACATTTTATGATTTGTCAGAAATATTTTAGCATTATAGTCATTTGTAGATTAATGTTCATATTAGATGCGGTTTAGAAATCAGATCAATAATACAGCCAGACAGAGGAGTTTGTAAATGACTTTTATTGACAAACAACACAAAATCCTTAGTTTGAAGGTAGAATTTTATATAATGAAATAATGTTCCTATTTGGCAACAACAGCATCACACATTCAATGGCTAAAGCTACTACTAAATTTATAAGATTTACTGCAAAAGAACACCATAATTAAGAAAGTGAGTTACTGAAGCAATATGGATCAAAATACAAATTATTATGGCTGACACAAATTTAGCAGGAGTTATCATCTAAGAAATGCATAAAGCCAGCAGTTACTAACTGTGCATTTTTTGATACTTAGACTCTAAAATTATCATTATGCCTACATTTGACATCATTTTATGCCATTAAGTATGCACATATTTAAATACACACATCTGATGAACATATTTGTATAAAATTAAATTTGGGATTTCTGAGAAGAAAAATACTAAAATAAATTTGCCCATTAAACATATCCTCCACTTAAGAAAAACTTGGGAAAATGTTGGCAAAATACGGAATTCACTTCTCAATTTTTTTCTTTGCTTCTATTATTTTAATATTTATTATCTGTTACGAAGTGGACAAAGAGAGAATAGTTGTATAGGCATACGAATAAATGATTTAAAGTTTGTGGAGTGCAGAAAACAATGTGTTCCATCAAAGTAAAAACTGATTCTGGCCAGAAACTGTCATAGTAGTTTAGGTGTGTATAATGGATTTGATAAGTTTCAACCCTATAACTTTAGTGGCAAAATCAAAGCTAAGTAGAGTAAAACTAGTAAAGATAATGTTTCCATTTAAGTTTATTCTAAAAGATCAAAAGGTGGATGTTCTTAAAATGTTCATATTAAATTAGAATATACCTGAGATAGGGTGAAGAAAAAGTAATGGGATGAAGAAAAATATTAATAAAGTATTAACAGAATAATATTTACCTATGTTTAGGCTAAATTATTTATAAAATTACTCCTACCTTTCTTTATGCTGTGATTTCAGAAACCGCTTTTTGTAACTTTTAAAAATTTACTGAAGCTTTGTACCAAATAAGTGACTGGTTGGTGTAACATTCCTAAATTCAGTGAATGACAAAGAACCGGTTAGTTTAATTTTAAATCAATTTAAAAATGATTTAGACAAATCTACTCTACAAAAAAAAAAAAATCATACGGGTCACCTTTTATAGAAAATAAATGTAAATTGATGAATAGGGAAGCAAAAGTTAGGCTTTAGAAAACAGGCGTGTGCAAATCTCACCACATAGTCTTGAAAAGAAACATCACATTTGGTTATTCTTATAATGCAAATGTCATACCTTATTACACTAAAACGAGACACACTATTTAATGATGCCTTAAACAAAGTCTTATTTTTATTGTTGAGCTTAAAGAGGCAACACAGGTATTGCGGTAAAAGAGAATAAAGGATGTCAGTTAAATTTCAAAAAAAAAATTGTAAAGTTCAGTTTGGGACTAGGTACTAATACACATTTCCTAGCATGAAAGATTGGAGAGAAGTAGAAAAGAGACTTGTATTGCGGGTTTAAAAGCTTTTTGGCTAAATCACTGTAAACATCAATGTTTCCCAAAATACTTAAACAAGCTTTACCATAAGATTACAGCCATGGTTCACAAATCCCAGTGAACGTAAGACCTGGGGGAATTGTTAAAACCTAGGATTTCATAGCTCTAGTCCCAGAGATTCTGATTCAGTAGGTTTAGATTTGGCTGTGAAAATTTGCATTTCTAAACATGTTCCCAGGTGTCTTAGTTCGTTTTCACAGTGCTATAAAGAATTACCTGAGACTGGGTAATTTATGAAGAAAAGAGGTTTGACTCACAGTTCTGCAGACTTAACAGGAAGCATGACTGGGAGGCCTCAGGAAACTTACAATCATGGCGGAAGGTGAAGGGGAAGCAAGGACCTTCTTCATGTGATGGCAGGAGGGAGAGAGAGCGAAGGGGAGAGCTGCCACACTCTTTTAAACCATCAAATCTCGTGAGAACTCACTCGCCTTTAGACCTACAATAAAAGTCTCTTTCCTACTTCTCTCCAAT
The DNA here is from genome assembly GCF_000001405.40 of Homo sapiens. Classification (NCBI taxonomy): domain Eukaryota; kingdom Metazoa; phylum Chordata; class Mammalia; order Primates; family Hominidae; genus Homo; species Homo sapiens. The sequence continues at coordinate 215,814,513 of NC_000001.11, read as the reverse complement.
CTTTCATGCTAGAAAATATATATTCATACCTAGCCCCAAATGAAATTTACAATTTTTTAAATTTAATTAACTTCTTCTGTTGTCTTTCACTGCAATACCTGTGTTGCCTCTTTAATCCCAACAATAAGACTTTGTTTAAGGCATTATTAAAATTTTATATAATAAAAAATGTATATATTTAAATATATCTATTTTTATTATAAAATTTTATATAATAAAAGATCTATATCTTATGTATATATACATATGTGTATGTGTAAGATATAAGATATACATCTTATATCTTTTATTATATAAAATTAAAATTTTATATAATAAAATAAAAGATATAAAATTAAAATTTTATATAATTAAATACATATTATATTATATAGTATTATAATAGAGCACAAAGCATGGTTGAAGACTTCAAAAAAGCTGCATTCTATCAAATAACATTTATAAAATTCGAATGATCCTGGAAAATACATTTTTAAACCAACGAAATATGAGTAATATGGTCTCAGATCTTCTATGCCTTACAAGAAAATAATTATATTACATGAGATACAGTGGTATAACACTCTTAACTAAACTGATATTTCTTTAAAACTGTTTTCAAACTTTCAGGTTTGTTGTAACGGAGTGCTCTATAACCCCAAGCCTGGACATCGCTGTTGTGAAGAAAAGTATATCCCGTTTGTTCTGAATTCTACTGGAGTTTGTTGTGGTGGCCGAATACAGGAGGCACAACCAAATCATCAGTGCTGCTCTGGGTATTACGCTAGAATTCTACCAGGTGAGGGTTATTTCCAGGTGTACTCAAAAACTATGGGAACCTGAAAACATAAACACGTGGTTCATGTCAGTGAACTATTTCAAACACCTCCCTCTCAACAAAAATTGAACCATAAACACATAGCCAATGGCCTGCTCTAAATATTGTTTCTTCCTTCTGCTTTGTTAAAATATAAGCAAGGCTAAATATTAGAAAACGAGAGAACAGAAGGAATTTACAATATCTACTACAGAAAGAAATAAATCTGGAGATCTGGCTAACTCCTTTTATCTTGTGGCTTTTTTTATTAACATGACTATATATTTTCACTATTAAATATGTGAATTGCTGACTGTTCCACCCCATGAAGCTGTTCCCCACTTCCTCCATTTCTAATCTGAACTACACATGCATTGTTCTTGGATAGATCGCAACTGCAAATTTCATTTGTCTGAGAATTCTAGGCCACTGGCAATATTCTCTCATCATAAGTCAGGCAAGGGAAGGAAGAATGCTGCAAAGGGTAGCAAACTGGATTTTTTCCTTCATCCCTTTTTAGTATTAGCCAACTTAGCTAGCCATTTTGCTCCAAATTTCAACTACATAAAACAATGCCTAGTGAATATAATTGGGAATGATGCTAATAATAACTGCCATTTTTAAAGTACCAAGTCTCTCGCAGGCTCTGTATTGAAGACTTTACATGGGATACCTTATAGAATCTTCACAACTCCAGGAAATTTGTATTATACAAGGCAGTTTACAAGTAAGGAAACTGTTTTAGAGAGGATCAATAACATATCCAGATTCACAGATGTGCATAGAAGTGAAAGAACTAAAATGTGAATATAAGTATGTCTCTCCTAAATCTATGCTCTTTTGTGTACTTTACTGCCTCTTTAACCAAAAAGCATCAACCTCTTTTGACAATTTTTTTAAAAGGACTATTTAAGACTTCTAAACTTCTTCATTACTACCACTGTCAGTTACAATTTATCCTGCAAAAGTAATTGAGAATACAAAAGTAATTGAGAATACAAACTTTTTTCTACTACTTAAGTTTGATACTGATATCTTCTTTAAAGAGCAGGAAATGGATATAGGAGAAAGACAAGAAAGCCAAGTTTTTTGGAGGCCATAGGAAAGCTGAATACTTTGAGATATCTAGTTTAGGGTGAAATTTATGCCCAACGTCTGGTTCCTGTAAATTATGTTCAGTATAACTATATCCATCCAAGGCATGTGAAATGAGACACTGTCTAACCCAGTGTCTGTTTTGCAAAATACTGGAGCAAATATAGAAGGCGTGCAATCACCTGATGGGTTCATCTTGCCCATTGCACAGATAGAGCCAATTTACCAAAACAGTGGTATTGCAACAGAGAAAGAGCTTAATAAATGCAGAGCCAGCTAAGCAGAACAGGAGGTTTTACTCAAAACAGTCTCCCAGAAAATTCAAAACCTAGGGTCTGTCTGGGCACGGTGGCTCATGCCTGTAATCCCAGCACTTTGGGAGGCTGAGGCGGGTGGATCACCTGAAGTCGGGAGATCAAGACCAGCCTGGCCAACATGGCTAAACCCCATCTCTTGTAAAAAATACAAAAAATTAACTGGGCGTGTGGCAGGCTCCTGTAATCCCAGCTTCTCGGGAGGCTGAAGCAGGAGAATTGCTTGAATCTGGGAGGCAGAGGTTGCGGTGAGCCGAGATGGTGCCACTGCACTCCAACCTGGGCAACAGAGTAAGACTCTGTCTCAAAAAAAAAAAAAAAAAAAAACCCTAGGGGTTTTTTTGGTTGGTTTTTTGTTTGTTTTTGTTTTTTGTTTGTTTTTTTATTTGTTTGTTTGTTTTGAGATGGAGTTTTGCTCTTGTTGCCCAGGCTGGAGTGCAATGGCGTGATCTCCGGCTCACTGCAACCTCCACCTCCCAGGTTCAAGCGATTCTCCTGCCTCAGCCTCCCAAGTAGCTGGAATTACAGGCATGTGCCACCACACCCGGCTAATTTTGTATTTTCAGTAGAGACAGGCTTTCTCCATGTTGGTCAGGGTGGTCTCGAACTCCCAACCTCAAATGTCTGCCCACCTTGGCCTCCCAAAGTGCTGGGATTACAGGTGTGAGACACCACACCTGGCCCAGCCTAGGGTTTTTTTTAGGATAGTGCAGTAGGCATAGGGCTAGGGAATGAGGAATGCTTATTGGTTGGGGATAAAATTATAGGGAGTCAGAGCTGTCTTCTTGTCCTTAGTCAGTTCCTGGATGGGGACTATAGGATCAGATGAGCCAGTTTACTGGTCTGGGTGATACTAGCTGGTCCCTCAGAATAAAGAGTGTGAAAAATAGCTGGTCCCTCAGAATAAAGAGTGTGAAAAATACGTTGAACACCAATCTTAGGTTTTACAATAGTGATGTTATCTATGGAAGCAGTTGGGAAGGTTAGGAATCATGTGGCCTCTGGTGCCATGAACACCTAAGCCGTAGTTCCTTGTGGCTAATTTGTTAATTTTATAAAGGTGCTCTGCCCCCCAAGCAAGGAGCAAGTTTGTTTCAGGAAAGGACTATCATCAGTGTTTCGAAGTTAAACTAAACACCTCTCATAGTTATCTTGGCCTATGCCCAGGAATGGACAGGGTAGCTTGTAGGCTAGAAGCAAGATGGAATTGGTTAGGTCACATTTCTTTCACTGTCATAATTTTCCAGTGTCAGGATTTTCTTACTGTCATAATTTTTGCAAAGGTGGTTTCAGGTGTCCTGATTAAATACTGCTCAAGTTTTCTCAAGGCAGAGAACCTTCACTCATTATTTTTCCTTATAATTAATAGAAAAAAAAAGTTTGTATAGCAGTGCTGTTATTTCTTATTCTCTATCAAAAATATTTCAAAATTGAATAAGTTCTAGTAAACCAGATTTTCCACTTAAGAAAAAGTAAAAATATATATGGAAATAAGGATTTTGTAGAAAACTGTTAAACTTCTTCATACTACAGCTCACGATGTCAACAATGGATCAAATACTGTTAAATGCTTTACTTTCTCGAAGTAACTTAAATTTGGGGAGTTTTCATGTATGATTCATATCTGCCCTTGATTACAAATCATTGCTATAAAATTATAATTACAGTGATCAGATGGACGTTTTGTGTTGTTCAATTCCTACCATTCTTCACACCAGTAGACCAAGTTGATCATGGAACTAAGTAATAGTGTTTTCATTTCCACATCACATTAAAATTTTTATGTTATGATTTGCAACAAACTATTCAAACTCTACAAAATATCCTCTGTCCCTTAAAACTAATGAAAAATTCTTAGTTACATCTTCACTGCTGCTAACTCAGGAGACTGGCCTGTGACTTTCTCAATGCTAACATAAGTAGTCAGATTTTGAACCGACAGCACAATCTACTTTTGTTAGGTTTCAAAATAAAATTTAACATTTTTCTTAAAAATGAAATAACTCATGGAAGCTCAGAAGTTGTCATTGATATTATATAAGCCTTTAATAATTAATTTTTAGACCAAGGATTTAAAAAATATGTATTGTCTGTATGTATAAATACATGTTTCTGCACACCTAAAGCATTTTAATATCTACCAAACCATTGAGCATGCCCCAAATTTTGATTCTTTTTTAAATAGTTCATTTTTCATAGCATTAGAATGCATACCCTGGTGTCAAGAAAAAAGGAAAAAAGCAATCTCATGAAATAATCAAAGAGTGTTTTGCTCCAATCATTAATCCCACTGTACCTAAATGAAGAGATTATTTTGTGACCTCTGTCCTCAGCCCCGTGGTCTTTGTTAGCTAGTTTAACACTGGTTACACTGAGGGGGAAAAAAGCGCAATGGTCCCAAATCCTGTTGCATCTAAATGTGATTTAAATCTGGTCACTAGTCTGCCAGTTCAAGGCCAAGATGGGTATAGGCATTTTGATATTTATGGATTAGCCTGAAATATTGGTAAATACGTACTTTATTTTTTTTCTCATGACTTTCTTCCATAACACCCCATAACAAACAGCAGAAGAGGAAAGAATGCTCATTTCTCTCCCTTTTTTAATAAATATGCTAATAACCCCAAGTAAATGTTAATGTGGGTCATTCTTTGATAAGAATAACAATTAACTGTTAGACTGCATGGTAGTTTTTAGAGAGAAAACATTTTCAAGCCTGGCCTGAAATAGATTCATTTTGAGAGGTTAATGAGAAGGTGACTGATCCTTGTATCTTATGTCTAATAGCCCCTTTTTGAGGAAAAAAAAATAGTTTTATTTTTTATTGATATAATCCACATCTTTTTTTTTTTGAAGACTTTTCTTCTGTCAGTAACTAAATAAGATTCTGAGGGATTCAGAAAGACATAGCTAAAATATCTAAACCAATTAACATTTATTATGCTCAAAAGAGGCTTTAAAAAAAAGTATTGGCTTTCGCCATGTAGATGTGTATACTATGTTTCCTCTAAGCTCACCATTGTCCTGAGTGGTGTTTAATTAACTGTTGTTGCCCTGTACCATGGGATACATTATCTTAAAGTTTACCATAGAGGGACATTATGTTCTTTGACTGTGAAGACAAAAAATATGGCAACTACATTTCAGACGAAATAGAATTATTTTACCCAGGGGAAGATAACAAATACAGTAACTTTACTGTTTACAATAAGCTCGTTGCTCCTTCATTGGTCTCTGGTAGCATCATCATGGAAACTTTTACTAAGTTCCCTTTTTCTTAGAGATACCATATTATAGGATCCTTTCAAAGATAATTGACTAAGCCAACTGTCTCCTGAATTCTAGAAATTCATATTTTGAGAAAATCCTGAGTATGTCTTGATCCGGTCCTGGATATTTACCCTAGAGAAAAGCAAATTTATGTTTACACAAAAACCTGTACATGAGGGTTTACAGCAGCTGTAATCATTACTGCCAAAACCTGGAAACAATTCAAATGTCCCTAAGTGAGTAAATGGACAAATGTGGAACAAAGGAATACTATGTAGCAATAAAAAAGAACAAAGTATTGATAAGTGCCAAGAAGATATCAAGCCCAGTGAAAGAAGCCAGTCTCAAAAAGCTACCAACTGTGAGACTGCATTTACATGACATACTATACAAGACAAACCATAGTTTTGGAGAAAAAAGTTGACAATTGCCAAGGGTAATGGATGGGAAGGGAATGTGACTATACAGGGATAGCGTGAGGGTGTTCTGTGGGGGTGATGAAACTCTTTTGTATCCTGATGGTGTTTCTTCATTAAAATTCATGGAAGTGTGCACCCAAAAAAACTAATGGTCCTGAATAATATTTTTAAATGAAATATTTTTAAAACACTATTTCCATTTTACACATAGGAAAAATGGGACATAGAAACATGACCAAGACACTCAGCTAGTCAAAATAGGAATTTTCATGGTTAAATTTTAGGTTGAGCTCCTAGAGATGGTGTGTTTTATAATAATGTGATGACTGTGTATGAGTGACTTAATATATTTTTCTCATATGTTAGTAGAACAGTAAGATAGCAAATATATTTCCATTAAAATTACAATGAACATCCCTATCTTTAAAAGAAAGCAAAAATGTCTTAGTCAGTGATGACTATTTCAAGTAATATTTTACATGATCACATTCTTATGAAAGCATAAGTTTTGTGTAGTGTTTCCGTGGTTTGATGCTGAATAATTAGTGAATAAGATATTGGTTCTGGAGTCAAACTGCCTGGCTCCATATCCCATTTCTTTCACCTCTTAGTTGTTTGACCTTCATTAAGTAACTTTAGGAATATTAGCAGGGTATTAATGTTTCTGATGTCCATTGGGCTGCTGAGTTAGAATACTCAAAGCTAACCCTATCTTTTATATCTAAATAGAAAAAAAATGTTTAGTAATTGAGGAGCATATGAGTAAAGAGGGCTAACAGGCCTCCTTTAAATGACAAAGTTTCTAATGAATCTTTCCAGAGCAAGGACTCAGGGGTGTCCACTTTCATCAGATCATGTAAAGGGATAGCCAGTTCCCAAAAGCTAAGATTCAAACATCTAATGACCTTTGAGATCCTATGAAACAAAGGATCCTTGTTGATCCTATGAGGCCAAGCAATTCTCTAAGTTGACTTTTAGCAACTAGCCAGGGAAAGTCATGAAGAGCTTCCAAACTTTGAAGAGAAAAAGACTTTCCATTTTGCAAAATGTCACAGCCTAGAATTTAGGTCCTAGAAAAAGCATTTTGTTCTGACAAAATTGACATTTAGAGACTTTATGTCGATTGTATGCTACCACTATTGACAAATAGAGGGAATCAATTTTTCAAGTCTATCTGGAGAACGTGACAGATGATCATTCACATATTGCACAACAGTTGAATCTTATAGGGGAAATTAAATATCGCTCAGTTTGTTTCCTATTGCTGCTATAAATCATGACCAGACACTTCGTGGCTTAAAACCACACAAACTTACTTTATACATCCAAATATCAAAAGTTTGAAATGGGTCTCATTGAACTAAAACTAAGAAGTTAACAAGAGCTGCATTCCCTTCTGGAGGAGAGAATCCATTTTCTTGCCTTTTCCACCTTGCAGAGGCTGCTCACATTCTTTGGCTTGTGGACCCCTTCCATTTTCCAGGCCAGCAATGACCAGTTGAGCCTTTCTCACTTCATATTATTAAACTTAATCACATCTGTTGTCTTCATTCCCCTTTGCCATGTAACATAACATAGTCACAGGTTCCAGGGATTAGGATGTGGACATCTTAGGGAGGCCATGTTGTGCTTACCATGGTAAGGTAATGGTTAAGCAGTTGTGAGAATTAAGAAAGCATTGTCGTAAACTCTTGGGGAATAACTGTCACAAGTGAAACAAAAAAAGATACTGTGAGCCTGAGTGCAAGAATATATGAAAAAAATGCTAAGTATAGATTTGCTATAAATTAAGCAGCTGCCTCAGGGAGTGGCAGTAGGATGATATTAGGGTTGGGAACTACAGGGAAATGGGGGAGTGCAATCTTGTTAATGACACTTAAATCTTGTACAAAGTGGTACACAAGTCTTTTATCATTTTGATAGAGTGAACAGTGAACTACAAGGACTGGTACAGGGGATAATGGGGTGTTATGCCAAGCGAGGTAACTTTCTAGAGGTATGTAGATACAATGGACCAAGTTATTAAATATTGTTCTTTTTAGTAGATTTTGGGACAGTTTCAAGAAATGCATAGCCAGATTGATAGACATCTTTAAGGGGTTAGCATCCTGTATGAATCCCACATCTGAGCAGTTTTTGCCCCAGAGGATCTTGGAGACACATTCAAAGTCAGAGATGTTGATAACAAAGGCATCAGGTAATTAGCTGGTGCTACCACCAAATTATAGGCCAGGCATTCTTCTCCTGGGAGTTACAGAAAGAGACTTTCAGGTGCACATTTAATGCTGGTATCTCATTTACAAAGTGGATCTCTTCTCAACAGATGCACTGAAGTGGAATTACTAAACAAAAAATATGTTGATTCAAGAGAAAGAAAAGAAAAATAAAGGCAGAATCTGAAAATTATTTGATATGTGTACCGCTGAGACATTTGGTTATTCCTAGAAAGGGATAATGGAAAATTAGAAGGGTTTTTGATAGATAATATACCTACCACCAGTATCAATCTTCTATTTTTACAATTGCATAGAAATTTCTCACTTTCTATGTCAAGGGCAGTTATGGATAGATGAGAGCAGCTACTTTCACAGAGAGGTGCTGTTTTGTCAGTTTGTCCTTTTTTTTTTTTTTTTTTGATTGTGTCTTTCTAAGATACACTAATAAAGGCAAAGTAGGTGTTCTCCCAGTGTCCCTTACAATATTGAAAGTTGTTTTTGTGCAGACTAGACATAGAGGTGCCCTCATTCTTGGCTTTATCTAATTGCTTAATCCCAAAAGCTGTTAATGTGGTCTGAATTTTTTTTCTTTTTTTCTGAGCCAAAGTATCTTCTAAGTGCTTAGCAAGCTCTTGTAATTTAGAAGGAAGGGACAATCTACTGTCTTATCTTCTGTTTTATGGGAAGTTATGATACCTTCTTCACTGATCTTTAGAGTATTCTGGAAGGTGGTAGTTAAGTGATCTCTGAAGCCAGGCATGGATTTATTTTTTCCTTGTTTACAGGACTTTTTTGTGGTAAAGTATACACCACATAAAATTTATCATTTTAACCATTTTTTAAGCACACAATTCAGTGGCATTGAGTGCATTTGCATTGTTGTACAATCATTACCACCATCCATCTCTAGAGCTCTTTTATCTTCTCAAGCTCAGACTCTGTTTCCATTAAGCACTAACTTTCCACTCCCTGTTATCTTCAACCCCTGGAAACCACCATTCTGTTTTTGGTCTCTATGAATTTGACTACTCTAGGTACCTAATATAATTGGAATCATACAATATTTGTCTTTTTGTGTCTGGCTTATTTCACTTAGTGCATTTTCTTTCTTTTTTTTTTATTATACTTTAAGTTTTAGGGTACATGTGCACAACGTGCAGGTTAGTTACATATATATACATGTGCCATGTTGGTATGTTGCACCCATTAACTCGTCATTTAACATTAGGTATATCTCCTAATCCTATCCCTCCCCCATCTCCCCACCCCACAACAGGCCCCTGTGTGTAATGTTCCCCTTCCTGTGTCCATGTGTTCTCATTGTTCAATTCCCACCTATGAGTGACAACATACGGTGTTTGGTTCTTTGTCCTTGCGATAGTTTGCCGAGAATGACGGTTTCCAGCTTCATCCATGTCCCTACAAAGAACATGAACTCATCATTTTTTATGGCTGCATAGTATTCCATGGTGTATATGTGCCACATTTTCTTAATCCTGTCTATCATTGTTGGACATTTGGGTTGGTTCCAAGTCTTTGCTATTGTGAATAGTGCCGCAATAAACATACGTGTGCATGTGTCTTTATAGCAGCATGATTTACAATCCTTTGAGTATGTACCCAGTAATGGGATGGCTGGGTCAAATGGTATTTCTAGTTCAAGATCCCTGAGGAATCGCCACACTGACTTCCACAATGGTTGAACTAGTTTACAGTCCCACTAACAGTGTGAAAGTGTTCCTATTTCTCCACATCCTCTCCAGCACCTGTTGTTTCCTGACTTTTTAATGATCGCCATTCTAACTGGTGTGAGATAGTATCTCATTGTGGTTTTGACTTGCATTTCTCTGATGCCCAGTGATGATGAGCATTTTTTCATGTATCTTTTGTCTGCATAAATGTCTTCTTTTGAGAAGTGTCTGTTCATATCCTTCACCCACTTTTTGATGGGGTTGTTTGTTTTTTCTTGTAAATTTGTTTGAGTTCATTGTAGATTCTGGATATTAGCCCTTTGTCAGATGAGTAGATTGCAAAAGTTTTCTCCCATTCTGTAGGTTGCCTGTTCACTCTGATGGTAGTTTTTTTTGCTGTGCAGAAGCTCTTGAGTTTAATTAGATCCCATTTGTCAATTTTGGCTTTTGTTGCCATTGCTTTTGGTGTTTTAGACATGAAGTCCTTGCCCATGCCTATGTCCTGAATGGTATTGCCTAGGTTTTCTTCTAGGGTTTTTATGGTTTTAGGTCTAACATTTAAGTCTTTGATCCATCTTGAATTGATTTTTGTATAAGGTGTAAGGAAGGGATCCAGTTTCAGCTTTCTACATATGGCTAGCCAGTTTTCCCAGCACCATTTATTAAATAGGGAATCCTTTTCCCATTTCTTGTTTTTGTCAGGTTTGTCAAAGATCAGATAGTTGTAGATATGTGGCATTATTTCTGAGGGCTCTGTTCTGTTCCTTTGGTTTATATCTCTGTTTTGGTACCAGTACCATGCTGTTTTGGTTACTGTAGCCTTGTAGTCTAGTTTGAAGTCAGGTAGCGTGATGCCTCCAGCTTTTTTCTTTTGGCTTAGGATTGACTTGGCAGTGTGGGCTCTTTTTTGGGTCCATATGAATTTTAAAGTAGTTTTTTCCAATTCTGTGAAGAAAGTCATTGGTAGCTTGATGGGGATGGCATTGAATCTGTAAATTACCTTGGGCGGTATGGCCATTTTCGTGATATTGATTCTTCCTACCCATGAGCATGGAATGTTCTTCCATTTGTTTGTATCCTCTTTTATTTCATTGAGCAGTGCTTTGTAGTTCTCCTTGAAGAGGTCCTTCACATCCCTTGTAAGTTGGATTCCTAGGTATTTTATTCTCTTTGAAGCAATTGTGAATGGGAGTTCACTCATGATTTGGCTCTCTACTTGTCTGTTATTGGTGTATAAGAATGCTTGTGATTTTTGCACATTGATGTTGTATCCTGAGGCTTTGCTGAAGTTGCCTATCAGCTTAAGGAGATTTTGGGCTGAGATGATGGGGTTTTCTAGATATACAATCATGTCATCTGCAAACAGGGACAATTTGACTTCCTCTTTTCCTAATTGAATACCTTTTATTTCCTTCTCCTGCCTGGTTGCCCTGGCCAGAACTTCCAACCCTATGTTGAATAGGAGTGGTGAGAGAGGGCATCCCTGTCTTGTGCCCGTTTTCAAAGGGAATGCTTCCAGTTTTTGCCCATTCAGTATGATATTGGTTGTGGGTTTGTCATAGATAGCTCTTATTATTTTGAGATACATCCCATCAATACCTAATTTATTGAGAGTTTTTAGCATGAAGCGTTGTTGAATTTTGTCAAAGGCCTTTTCTGCATCTATTGACATAATCATGTGGTTTTTGTCGCTGGTTCTGTTTATATGCTGGATTATGTTTATTGATTTGTGTATGTTCCCATTCATGTTGTCGTACGTGTCAGGATTTTATTCCTTTTTAAGGTCGAATAATGTCTCATTGTATGTATATAACACTTTTGTATTCATTTATTCATCAGCGGACATTGGGGTTATTTCTGCCTAGTGACTATTATGGTTAAAGCTGCCATAAACATTGATGTAGAAATGTACAAATTTCTGTTCAATCTCCTGTTTTCAATTCTTTTGGGTTTATACCCAGAAGTGGAATTGCTGGATCATATGGTAATTCTATGTTTAATTTTCATGTTAAGAACTGCCATACTGTTTTGTGGAACATTTTAACATTTTATATTCCCAACAACGCATAAGTGTGCCAATTTCTCCATATTCTTACTGTTTATTATTTTATGTTTTTTATAACTATCCTAATGAGTATCAAGTGGTATCTCATTGTGGTTTTGATTTGCATTTCCCTACTTATTACTAATATTGAGTATATTTTCATGTGTTTATTGGCTATTTGTATGTCTTCTTTGGAAAAAAGTGTCTATTAAAGTTATTTGCCCATTTAAAAAATAAGGTCTTTGTTTCATGTTTTTGAGTTATAGAAGTTCTTTATACATTCTGGATACTACTTCCTTATCAGATATATAATTTTAATATATTTTCTCATGAGTTGCCTTTTCACTTTGTTGACAGTGTTCTTTGATGCCAAAAAGTTATTAATATTAATTATGATGAATCCAATTCATCTTTTTTCCTTATTGCTTCTGCTTTCAGTGTCATAGCCAAGAAATCATTGGCAGACCCAATGTCATGAAATTTCCCCTTTGCTTTCGTCTAAGAATTGTAAGTTTTAGCTTTTACATCTAGATCTTTGATCCATTTTGAGTTAGTTTTGGTATATGGTATAAAGTAAGGGTTCAATATCATTCTTTGGCATGTGGATATTCAACTTTTCCAACATTCTTTAAAAAAAAAAAAAGGTCCTTTCCTCATTAAATGGTCTTGGCACTTTTGTTGAAAATCATTTGCCCATATATGCAAGGGTTCATTTTTAGGATCTCTGTTCTATCCCATTGGTCTATGTGTCTGTCTTTGTACCAGTAACACACTTTTGATTACTGTAACTTTGTAGTAAGTTTTGAAATCAGAAAGTGGGAGATCTCCAACTTTGTTCTTTTTCAATGTTGTTTTGACTATTTGCAGTTTTTTGAGATTCCATGTGAATTTTATAATGGCTTCTTCTGCTTCTGCAAAAAGCATTGGGATTTTGATAGGGATTGAATTGATTCTGTAGATCACTTGAGCAGTACTGGCACCTTAACAACATTAAGGCTCCCAGTCCATAAACATGGGATGTTCTTCCATTTGGTTATCTTCTTTAATTTCTTTCAACAACATTTTGTAGTATTTCAGTCTTTCGCTTTCTTGGTAAGCTCATTCTTAAGTCTTTCTTTTTTTGATGTTATTGTAAATGAAATTATCTTATTAATTTTATTTTCATGTTGTTCATTCTTAGTGTATAGAAACATACCTAGTTTTTCTATGCTGACTTTGTATCTTGATACTGTGCTGAATTGTTTATTAGTTGTAACAGGTTTTTTTTTTTTTTAGAATCTTTATAGTTTTCTCTATATGATATCATGTTGTCTGAGAACACATAGTTTTGCTTCTTCCCTTTCAATTTAGATGCCTTTTATTTTTTTCTCTTGCCTATTGCTCTAGCCATAATATCCAATATTATGTAGAATACAAGTGGCAAAGGGTGGCAACCTTTTCTTGTTTCTGATTTTAGAGGAAAAGTTTTCCGTCTTTCACTGTTGAGTATGACATTAGGTATAGGTTTTTCTCATATACTCTTGATTATGTTGAAGTAGTTTTCATCTATTCCTATTTTCTTGAGTGGATTTATAATGAAAGAGATTGAATTTTGTCAAATATTTGTTCTACATCAACTGAGATAATCATGTGTTTCTTTTTTTTCCCCTTTGTTCTATTGATATAATGTGTTACATTGATTAAATTTTCATATATTGACCCATCCTGGTATTCCAGGGATATATCCCGCTTGGTCATGTTGCAGAATCATTTTGATGTGCTTTTGAATTCAGTTTGCTAGTATTTTGTTGAAGATTTTTGCATCAATATTCATGAGAGCTATTGATTTTAACTTTTTTCTTGTGGTTTCTTTGGTAAGTTGTATGTTTCTAGTAATTTGCTCATTTCATCTAGTGAGATGGATTTTTGGCCAATAAATTTGGAAAGAAAAGATCTCAAGGATAGCTGCTGAGAGTTATTGTCTTATTATTTATACTCCTTATATATCTATGTTTAATTAAATATTGTCCCATATTTTTATATCATTTTGGTAAACAGTACATCTTGCTTTTACTAAACAAATTTTAGGATATCCAGGGCTCACCAAAAGGTGAACTAATTGAGAAGAAGTCCAGGACTATAAATCCCTAAGGCAGTCCTAAATTCTTCAGTGGATTTGTGCCATTTCTTAAGAAAGCTTGACAAGTCATTAATTGGATTATAGAAATCTTACCTGGACCATGGTTGAAGGCCATAAGACCCATCAGATTGGTCATCATACTCACATACCTTATAAGATATAATGAAGAGATGTTGTCCAGGGGAAAAGATATGTTCAAGAAAGAACGGTAGAGAAAAGGGAAGAAGGTCTGTTGAAGGTGTAGGAAGAAGAGGAGGAGCAGGACAAAAGAGAGAAGGAAGTCAGGGTTCCGAAGGCCACGAGGGAAGACAACCACAGTGGGGTCATGAGATAGAGAAGAGAAATGAAGCTTGGATTTCAGATCCACCAAGTTTTTATTAGTTCTTTTGAAGGTATCCTTAAGGGAAGCCATTTACAAAATCTTCTGTCCTTTAGAGTTGTCTTTATACCAAACAAACAAACAAGCTAACTCTTGGTATTTAGAGTATTTGAGTCCTTTGATTTTAAGGTACCAGGCAAAAGATTATCTAATTCTGTTTTTTGTTTTTTTTGTTTGTTTGTTTTTGTTTTTTAGATATGCCCAGGCTGGAGTGCAGTGAAACAATCCTGGCTCACTGCGCACTCTGCCTCCCGCCTCCCGGGTTCAAGCAATTCTCGTGCCTCAGCCTCTCGAGTAGGTGGGACTACAGGCATGCACCACCAAGCCTGGATAATTTTTTTATTTTTAGTAGAGATGGGGTTTCACCATGTTGGCCAGGCTGGTCTTGAACTCCTGGCCTCAAGTTATCCACCCACCTAGGCCTCCCAAAGTGTTGGGATTACAGGTGTAAAGCACCACACCTGGTGGATTATCTTATTCTTATCCCAAATTTCCCAGACTGTCATGTGAAGAGAAATGTAGTAAAATTCAGTGTGTGACATAGCCCAGAGAAGTACTAGCACACTGACTTAAATACAGTATTTTTTACCTCCTCTCATGTAATTAACCTTCCCAATGGGAGTATTTTGTTTGGTTGAACAAATATAGTTTGGTCAAGGAAATTATAGTCATAAGCAATATAAATTTATCAATAGTTGGTTTTTGAATCCACTCTACGTTCCAAAAGAAAATTACACAGAACAAAAAAGTATTCCTAGATGTTTTTCTATAATGCCACATAGTCCATGTCACCAGACCTGATGGTGAGGAAATAGACAACATAGACTTACCTGTAAGTTGCCATGTGTGTATCTGATCTGACACACGTTTATACACAAAAACTTTGGAGTCATTTGGAAATTTTGCAACTCCAATATGATATTATTCTCTTTAGTAATTCTGTCAATCAGTTGGGATCTGCAAGATGATTGTGATAAAAGTTAATTGTTAGTCATAGCATATTTTTTTAACTGATGTAATGATTATTATTGTCCTAAATTGACAGGTGAAGTATGCTGTCCAGATGAACAGCACAATCGGGTTTCTGTTGGCATTGGTGATTCCTGCTGTGGCAGAATGCCGTACTCCACCTCAGGAAACCAGATTTGCTGTGCTGGGAGGCTTCATGATGGCCATGGCCAGAAGTGCTGTGGCAGACAGATTGTGAGCAACGATTTAGAGTGTTGTGGTGGAGAAGAAGGAGTGGTGTACAATCGCCTTCCAGGTAAGGGGCCCAGGTCTACCTTTCAGTAGATGGAGGATCTGAGAAGCAGAGAGAGTGAGAAATTTGCCCTAGAAATAAAACAAATAAGTAATTAAAGCTCACATTGGTTATATCTAATGCAATAATTAGGAACATATTGTTTAACACATAACAATGTAATCTCCCAATTTTTACATGTATCTCATGTATTTCATAAAAACGCATCAATTTTTTTTCCTCTTGAAAAGGTCATGTCCTCCAAAAAAAATTCCACACATGAATGCATTGGTTATGAATGAAAAGAATATTTCCTAGCAAATAGTATACAAAATTATTATAATGATATTTTGTTATAATTCTTTTACTCCCTTATTCTACTGTATTAAGCTAACACTAATATAAATAACAATAAGTATCATTGAATGAATACTAACAGACACTGTGCCAATATTTTATATATTATTACCTCAAATAATCTTCACAATAATCTTACATGATAGGTACTATCAATTATCTGCATTTTAAAAATGAAGAAACTGAAGTTCAGACATTAGATATTAGACATTATCTTGCTAAATACCACACAGTCAGATCCAGATTTTGGGAAGCCTGACATTTATGTTATTGGAGGTGGGGCTTTTAAAGACAAGAAAATTAAAATATGAAGTTAATGTTCACAGTATCTTCACCAGGCATAGATTCCATCTCAAGAAGCCACTTTCTTTGCTCCTCCCTAAGAAGCAACTCCTCATCTGTTAGTTTTATGATTGCAGCAATTCAGTTACCTCTTCAGGCTTCACTTCTCATTCCAGTTCTCTTGCTATTTCCACTGCATCTGCAGTTATTTTTCCCATTTTGAGTCTAAAACCCCTTAGTCATCCATGAGGGTTGGAATCAACTTCCTCTAAACTCCTGTTAATGTTGATATTTTGACTTCTTCCCATGAATCATGAATATTCTTAATTGCATCTAGAATGGTGAATCCTTTCCAGGTTTTCAATTTACTTTGTCCAGATCCATCAGAGGAATTACTATCTATGGCAGCTATAGCCTTACAAAATGTATTTTTAAATAATAAAACTGGAAAGTCAAAATGACTACTTGACCTATGCTGTGTTAATAGGCATGTAAACATTAATTTTCTTGTCTATTTCCATCAGAGCTCTTGAGTGACCAGATGAATTGTCAGTGAGTATTAATATTTTAAAAGAAATATCTTTTTTCTGAGCAGTAGGTCTCAATAATGAGCTTAAAATACATAGTAAACCATATTGTAAACAGATATGTAATCATACAGCCTTTTTGTTCCATTTACAAGCACAAGCAGAATAGATTTAGCATAATTATTAAGGGCCCTAGAGTTTTTGCAGTGGTCAATGAGCATGGGCTTCCACTTAAAGTCACCAGCTGCTTTAGCCCCCCAGCAGGAGAGTCAACCTGTCCTTTGAAACTTTGAAACCAGGCGTTGACTTTTTCCCTCTACCTATGAAAGCTCTAGTTGGCATCTTCTTCCAGTACAAGGCTATTTCATCTACAATGAAGATCTGTTGTTTAGTGTAGCCACCTTCATCAGTGATCTTACCTAGGTGTTCTGGGTAACTTGAGGCAGCAGTTTCTACATCAGCACTTGCTGCTTCACCTTGCACTTTTATGTTATGAAGATGGCTTTTTTTCTTAAACCTCATGAACCAACTTCTGTTAGCTTTCATCTATTCTTCTGCAGCTTCCTCATCTCTCTCAGCCTTCATAGAATTAAAGAGAGTAAGAGCCTTGCCTGGACTAGGCTTTGGCCTAAGGGACTATTGTGACTGATTTGATCTTCTATCCAGACCACTCAAAGTGTCTTCATATCAGCAATAAGGCTGTTTCACTTATTCATAAGTGAATGATAAGTGAAATAGAAATCTTACCTGGACCACGGTTGAAGGCCATAAGACCCACAAGATTTGTCATCATTCTCACATACCTTATAAGATATAATAAAGAGATACTGTCCAGGGGAAAAGATATGTTCAAGAAGGAATGGTACAGAAAAGAGAAGAAGGTCTGTTGAAGGTGTGGGAGGAAGAGGAGCATTTTGATTTTCTTCAAGAACTGTTCCTTTGCATGCATAACTGGGCTAACTGTTGGGCATGAGAGGTCTAGTTTTTGGCCTGTCTTGGCTTTCCACATGCCTTCCTCAATAAGCTTAATCATTCCTAGCTTTTGATTTAAAGTGAGAGACATGAGACTCTTCCTTTCACTTGAACACTTAGAGGCTATTGTAAGGTAATTAATTGGCCTAATTTTAATATTGCTGTGCCTCAGAGAATAGGAAGGCCTGAGGAGAGGGAGAAAGATAAAGGAACGGCTGGTCTGTGAAACAGTCAGAACACACAGGACGCTCATCAACTAAGCTTTCCGTCTTATATGGGCAAGGTTCATGACACGCTAAAACAATTACCATAGTAACATCAAAGGTCATTGACCACAAATATAAATATAAAATATAAAAATTAAAAATATAAAAATATAACAAATATAATAATAATGAAAAAGTTTAAAATATTGTGAGAATCATCAAAATGTGACAGAGACACGAAGCGAACACGTGCTATTGGAAAATTGGCACCAATAGACTTCTTGATGCAGGGTGGCCACAAAACTTCAATTTGTAAAAAAATGCAGTCTCTGCAAAGTGCAGTAAATCAAAGCACAATAACGTGAAGTAAGCCTGTGATACTAAACTACTATATGCCTTTTTAACTCTTATTCTCTCCTATGTGTACAGCAGAGCTTTTCAGATGTTACATGGCATGATTTGCAACAGATCGAATGCAGACTCAGAAAGAAAATTAAATTGACTTCTCTTAACTAAACATTTAAAAAGCTTGCAAAAATATAACACAATGTCATTCTTCTATTTTTTATTTGAAAAACATTTATTTTCATAAATATGTTAGAATGTTATAGATTTATTATTTTATGTCTAAATGCATTAATAAATATTTCAAAAATTTCTGCCGTAAGTTTTAACACAGTACATATCAACAGGTAAAACCCATATAAACAAAAGGTATTTGGGGTCCTCAATAATTCGTAAGCGTATAAAAGGATCCTGAGACCATAATTTGAGAACCACTGCTTAAAGTCATAGTAACGTCTACTAGAAAATTATGGCAACTAATTAGTTATCCTGTACTATGACTAACCAGTTGAATACCTCCTCCTCCTTTAGATGAAGTAGCTAATAACAGGTCTATTAAAGATAGAACCAAGGTGGCAGGGAGGGTGCAAAAGTGTTACCTCCTGTGTACTCTAATACATCAGAGTTTAAAAATGACAGCAAAATATTTGATTTTAGTGTGTTTGTTCATCTGTAGCTTTTTAAAAGAATTAGTCAACTGCTATACTCCGTCCTTTGTTAAATATGTATTATGTAGTAACCATATTCAAGACATCATTCTTGGTGCTTTGCAAGTGTAAAAATGGCCAAGATTCCGTTTTTATCCTCAAGAACTTACAACCTAATCAAGGAGAAAAGTGCCTACAAGGTTATACACAGACCATAAGAGAGGGATGAATGCATGCATATTCTTAAGACGGAGAGATCACTCCAGTCAAGGTAATGAAGGGGGTTGTTCCATTGGATTGGAATCTCAAACAGTGAGTATGATTTTGGCAGGTGTGGCTTGAGCTAAACTGTGAAATTAGCAATCTGCAAAACACAAATAATAGCGTGTGCTTTGGTTTACAGGAGGTATACACTCTGTGTAAGGAAGAAAGGAGATAAATCTGAGTAGGCAAAAGGATTTGAACATTATTTAGCACTCAGGGAAGAGTCAATATGATGATAAGAACTGTAGTTTAAGATTAAATTTAGGTGTCAGAACAAATACAATAGAGAAGGAAAGAGAAGTCAGAACACCCCTGGCATGAAGTAAAATACATCTGTTCTAAGAAGTGGAATGGAGGTTACCGTCCACTAGGACAATGGTTCTTAACTTGTTTTCCTTTTGAATCTTTTGGAAGTTACAAACCCTCACTCTGAATAATAGTGCATGGAATATACACAAAAATTTGCCTGTAATTTTATCCACCCTTGAACTCCATCCATGAACTCAAATTTCAGAATCACTTCTTTATTTACTCCAAGATGATGTCGCATGCCAGTCAAACATTTCTTACACAAATGGTGACAGCCCTCAACTCTTGCGAATCAAGATAAGCTCTAGAGTTTCTCATGGCATTCTACAGCTCTGCCAACTCTGATAATCATAGTGGACTTAAGGAATAATAGTTTTACAAAGGAAAAAATATATCTTTTTATTCTCTTGACTTTCTTTCTGCAGGTTGCACTGAAAATAGACAGATTCCACATGTATTTTTCCTCTCTCTGCTGCCGTTCACTCCTGTAGCCCCTAATGACTGTGACCTTAATGA
Source organism: Homo sapiens (assembly GCF_000001405.40). Classification (NCBI taxonomy): domain Eukaryota; kingdom Metazoa; phylum Chordata; class Mammalia; order Primates; family Hominidae; genus Homo; species Homo sapiens. The sequence continues at coordinate 215,794,505 of NC_000001.11, read as the reverse complement.
CCTTCCAGAATATCCATATGGCCCTTTTTCTCCTCAACCTAGCAACAAACAGCATACCTGCTACATAAGTGTTTGGATCTCATAATATCGTTCCTAAGCCTGGCCTCTCTCGCTGCCTGGCATTGTGTGCCTGCCACGAGACCGGGCTGGCTCGTAAAACATCTCTTTATGTACTTTATTACTTAAACTCTTTTATTTGCCTGCAGGAGCCCTTTAACAAAATCACATTGAATTGACTTTCTCACACCAAATCAAATCTCCCTGGTCCCAGTTCAGTTGTCTTTGTCAATATGTATTTTATAAATGGAGTGAATTAACAGATGCTGTTGGAACAGAAGTGCTGGGGTGGCGTTTATGTTTTTAGTGCTCTCTCTGGGCAGATGCGTTGTGTAGAAGTGTTATACAGGTATCTCGGGATGAAAGTCATGCGTGTCATTTCAGTGGATATGTATTCTTAGCCATTTTCTTTGAATAGATTTTAAACCTATTTATTACTCATTTTTTTCTTAGTGTTTGCTTATATAGCTTTATCATTTATGCCATTAATCTTGGATTGGACTTGATTATATCCCTTAGTATGAAAAGGTGAAAAATTAAAACCTCCGTTTCATTCAAAGAGGACAGATTTTTCTATTAGCCATGGGAAACTGATCATGAGATGACTTTGGAATATATTGACTTATTTATATTATAAACTTTGTCCATGCGGCCTTTGATGTGAAACTCTGAGTTGAAATTGTTTCAGAATACAAGACTGAGTTTTCATGTCCTGGACTCTGACTTCAGTAGAACAAATGACTATCGCTGTTTGTTTCATAAGATGGGAATTTGGGAATTTTGCAGAGGGAAGTATAATTACAGAAGTCCATGGTGTAAGGGTGGCATTGAAAAAACATTTCCCTGGAAGATTTCCATAAAACAGAATGATTTTTTTTTTGAAAAGTGTAATATATCAGTGCTATAAAATGTATCACAATGATTTGGGGAGCATTTTTACTCTACCCTCTGTTTTGTGGTGGTAGTCACAGAGCCATCTACTGGTGAAGACAAGTGTGAATTTCTTTTCTTTCATGCTCTGCCACAAATGTTATACATTTGTCCTAAGGATGACTAATCACAAACCTTTTTTTTCTTCTAGGCCTAAAATATCCCTTGGCTTAAAATTTGGTCCCCATGAACAATCTCAGAGTTTCACAATGATTTGTCATATTCCAGACTGGATTTTACTACTATACTATTTTTATCTCAAAGGCATGATACATAATTCTTGGTCTTCTTTAAAAAAAAGTGGAATCCCAGTTTTGCAGTCTTAACTATTTAGAAATTCATCCAACAGATATGCTTATAAATGCTTTTCTTTTTAGACATAGATATGAAATAAGCATTGGTAACATATTTGAAGTATTAATAATATTGTGAGTAAAAATTTTTTCCTCCACTATTTTCTCAGTTGTGTCCAATCAATGGAAACCATTGGATATATATACAGTTTAGAAAGACAATATATGCTTTTTCATCTGAAAAATAAACACCTACTAGTTTAATGTGTACTGTACCACTTTACTAACATCTGCATTTTGTTCAAAGACACACTCCACCTTTTGTACAAATTTAATGAAGAGGCTCTGGAAGAATGGACCAATCCATCAATAATGCATGACCTATTTTGTTTTTCTTTGGGCATATTTAAAATCGTGCATTCCGTGTGTCAAAGTTCAAAAGTCAAGTGCTACATGTGATAAATTAGGTAGGGGTCGAAAGTTATTGCAATGCAGTTTCGGAAGATTGTCTGTCTCTGAATTTGCAGCTCATTCATGCTGAAGTGATGCACTATGGGAATTACTACCAAACTCTGCTCCGCAACATCTGCTCTCCCTAAGTGAGTTAGTGCACGTCAGACATCTTTATGTCAGAATATTGCAGTGATGGATGCAGTCTTCAGAAAATGCTGCATAAAAATCTGGTGTGCCGTTCTGGCCATTAAGTGAAATTACTATTTAAATTAATGGCACTGTCACAGTTTATCTGTGCAAAGAATGAACGCTGATTAGGGTATTAAGTAATTAGCAATTTATCACACTGGAACAAGGTTGATAATAATTAAAGAAGTAATGGTTTACCAAAGAATCTAAAAAGGGAGTCACTTCTTGTTATGTGAGTGAAATCTTGGCTGAAAATTTCAATTCAGTAATACAAAGATGAAGCTCTTTGTGAAAGAAGGCATCTTTTTTTTCTAGTTTAAAAACAGTTCATTATCAAAATTTTAGTTGACCTGTCAGAAGTCCCTCAGAGTGATCAGATGACTGATTAGGAGTTTCAAATTAGGTCAATGTCTGCATTTTTATTTTATACTTAAAGCATAGTGAAACCATGAAGTAATTTGGGAATGAGAGGGGGAGAATATATTCCGCTCCCTAAAGGGCCAGTTTTCAAATTTTGATTGCTCTTTAAAAGAGAAACATGAATTGTCTTCAGAAAACTGCCAGAGAAAAAATTAACAGTAAAAAAATCCATGGTTGTATTTAAATGTCTAATCAGAAGGGGCAGAAAAATGCCCGAACAATATAAAACTTGAAGCTACGGATTTTTCTTTTTAGTTTATGTGTGTGTGTACACTCATGTATGTATATATTTATATGTATTTGTGTGTGTATATATACACATACATATGCATACATACATAGCTACACACACATAAATATGTGTATTTGGGTATGTACTTATACATACACACATATATACCCACCATAATCCAGACTCAGACTAAAATGAGCCCTGCTCTTTGTATTAATTTGAGATAACTTTTCCTAGAAATGTTAAAACCACTAAAATTATAAATATAGCAGTTAATTTGTAAACCAATTACTTCGAAGAGTTATCACATTAGATAAACATGGTATGCCAAAGCTCTGTTAGAATCAGTGTATATCATTAATCATAAATAAGAGTTTTTAATATTAGAGACTTTTGTAAGTAAAAAGATGAATGAGAGGGTTCTTTGGAGTCATGTGTGGATAAACATCTTTCTTAAGGCATGTGCCAAACCAATGTCTACTTTCAATGATTTTTTTTAAAAGCACTTTTGATCTTTTATTTGAGTGTCTTTAATAATGTAGATGTTTACACAGGACCAGATTAAACAATTCAGGACCCCAGGGCACTTTGAATTTGAGGTTCTTTATGTTATCAGTCGGAACTAATAATAAACAAACAAAATTCCAATTAAAATAAATCATTCATCACATTGTGCTGCTATATAACTGGATATAAATTCTAATATAAAAACACTGTGACATGCAGTATAGCCACCTTGATTTCTAGCTTGATCTGTCTCTAGAGTAGTGTTAATTTATTCCTGCTTTAATGTTAAAATTTCTGCCATTTCTCTTTGATGGCAATATCTAAATGATGCAAATGCAGGTAATTAAACTAAATTTGGTGGGAGAAAATGTCTATTTGGTATCTCAGGTACGTGTGTCTTTCGTTTAGATGTGGGGATCAGTGATCCTCTCTACAAGGTCTTTCTGCGGCTGCCCCCAGCCTGTCACCTGTGTCTGTGATGGGTCTAGAACAGAGTGAGGCTCAAAAAATAGTGGCTGATTAGTGCACCTGATCAGTGAACATGCTCAGCTGATTATGAATAAATACCAAATCCATCTCATGCAGAAAACATGGTTACCATTGCAGCTAAATTCACAAGAAACAAATATTTGTACCCTAAATAAAGCTAAGCCAAAACTTGCACTGCTTCTCCCGCAGGGCTTCCAGTTCTAGGATGGTGCTACCTTTCCACTCTGCCTGGGCTTTTATCCCAGAGTACTTGGGTGACCTTTTCTCCCTTATGAATTTCTAGAGCTTTCTCAGAGTCCCTATAGTTTAACTAACCTTCTTCTGCAACAAGATGTTATCATCACAAAATGCGCAGGCAGTTTTCATGACAGAAATCCTATCTCTTTTTATGGAGCATGAGAGAAGTTTGGCCCAGCTGAATGATTTTCGAACATTTCCTCTTGTGTGTTCTTTTCCTAATTAGTGTCTAGTGCTCTTGGTAAGAAGGACCCTCACTGCACATTTAAATCACCTTGGTAGGGAAATGCTACCTTAGGTATTGCACCATTTCAGCAACTGCCTGAGCCTGACATTTTTATACCAAACTTTATAGCAGCCTCAGTTTTCTTCCCTTTTTCTATTTCATATTCATATATAACATTTTATTGTTGCAGGTATGTTCTGTTGTGGGCAGGATTATGTGAATATGTCAGATACCATATGCTGCTCAGCTTCCAGTGGAGAGTCTAAAGCACATATTAAAAAGAATGACCCGGTGCCAGTAAAATGCTGTGAGACTGAACTTATTCCAAAGAGCCAGAAATGCTGTAATGGAGTTGGATATAATCCTTTGAAATATGTTTGCTCTGACAAGATTTCAACTGGAATGATGATGAAGGTAATTGATAGAAAAGCTCTCGGAGGCGCTGATTTGACAATGGAAAGAGAAATACATTGTTCATAACTATTTTTCTAAAATAGGAATATAAAAACTCCTGTGTGCATTATTCATTTTCACATTACATCCATATTAATACCGAATGAGTTCGCTATGATTGATGTTATTGCAATGAATTCTAAAGGAATTAATAATGATTAGCTGTTCTCAGGGAAGCTTTACCCAGCACTTCAGATTAGTGCAGGACTGAAAGTCTGTGTGCCACTGAAAGAGCCAGCACAGGTCGTCTGGGGCCTCTGCATGGTGCCATTTCATGCCTGGGAGCACTGTGGATGGAGGCAGGAGGAAATTCCCGCTTCTTCTCCCTAGCCCGCCAGCCATCATCCACCACTTTCCTTTGATAGAGACCTTAGATCCAGCAAATTCGCTTAGTTGCATTTATATCATATTCCCTTGGACAATGCAAGATGAGCAAATGCCTGTGTCAAAAGTGAATGAATAGGCTTCTGGGTGTAATCGCTTATGTTTTTGTATGGTGATGGTTTGTACACAGCCATGTCATGTATGTGGGTATTAAACTTGACCCAGGATACCAGAAGCCTATCAATTTAAGGAAAGGACCATGGACACTTTAAAAATAAACATGCTACCGTGTTCTGTAGTAATTTGTCATTATAAGACCACTAAAAATGGGTGTCTTGGTCACAGACAATGGAAGGACGCTTGTTCAATGAGGCAACTACACAGTCCTTGTGTAGACCACATACACTTTGTACACTTTGGGATGTAAAATAACTCATGAGATTGTTAGAAGCCCTGCAAGCACTTTGTATCAATGAATGATTAAGATAACACATAAGGTTGGTTAAATTATTCTAATGAGGACAATATTTCTCCATGCTGAATCAAGTAGTGTGTATACATAATAATGTTCAGTCTGTAGGTTTCATTTTGTTTTCTGAAGACCTACCACCTGGAGACATTTATATCCTGTTCCAGTCTGGAATGGATCACCATGGGATTTTTACATAGCTGGCCCATTCGGTCTTCCCTAAGCTATCAATTCAGGAATTCCTTTTACCTCTTTCCTGTGTTGATTCCCCTGTTTTTTTGTTTTGTTTTGTTTTGTTTTGTTTTGTTTTGGATTCCAAGTTTCATTCCATTTGGAGAATTATCTTCTTGTATATAGATGTATGGAGGGTAAATTTTTTAAAAGCTTAATGTATAAAAATACTATTATTTTACCCTCCAACAGGATTGATAGTTTGGTCTGATATACAATTCCAGGTTAAAAATTATGTCTACTCAGAATTTTGAGGCATTTCTGCATGTTTTAAGCTTCCATTAATATTTTGATTCCTATCTCTCTGTTGGTAACCATGTTTCTTTTCCTATGAAAGCTCTTGAAGATGTTCTCTTTATCCTGCTCCTCTAAAATTTCATGACAATGAACCTCTATGTGGAAGTTAGGATGGTTTCTTTTTGCATTTTGTTTTCCATTTTTGTGATGAGAGCATTTAGGATCTACTCTCTTAGCAATTTTTTTTTTACATTACAATTCATTATGAGTTAGGCAGTTGTCTTCCAAGTAACATCTCTAGAACCGAAGCCCCTTACATCTTGTGATGCTTCATGCAGCCCTTGGATCATAATGGAAAAGGCGCAAGAGGGGACAATTGCACACAGACAGTTCCTACCTGGATATAGAGTACATCCTTTCTATGCACTAGTCACACAGACATATCTAGTCAGGTGGCTTCTCCTACTGCAGCCAGGTTTCAACATCCCATGTTCCCAGAGAGAAAAGGGAAACATGGACATCACTGAGCACATTGCATTGTCTCTGCCACATTCATCTACTTTCCAGCTTCCAAAAAGGTATGCACTGTCTTGTGTGTATTATTTTTCTCCATTTTTTCTTAGACTTTCAACACGTAAACCAGTATTTTACTGTCATTTAGTTGGGCTTTTAGAGGATAGATAGATAGATATAGATAGATAGATACACACACATACACACACACACATATATATATAGTGGGATTCTATTTATGTAGTGTCATCTTGGCTCACTGCAACCTCTACCTGCTAGGTTCAAGCGATTCTCCTCCCTCAACCTGCCAAGTAGCTGGGATTACAGGTGTGCGCCACCAAGCCCAGCTAATTTTTGTTTTTTTAGTAGTGACAGGGTTTCGCCATGTTGATCGGTCTGGTCTCGAAATCCTGACCTCAAGTGATCCACCCACCTCCGCCTCCCAAAGTGTTGGGATTATAGACATGAGCCACTGCGCCCAGACCCACTATATATTTTTGAATGTACTATTTTGATCAACTTGGTAAGAATAATTCAACTTATTTTATGTAAGAGAGAGGCTGAATGGAGATCAATTTTAATAGCAAAAAGTATTCTAAATACATTATGCTACTTATGTAAAGGAAAGGCAAAGTAGATCTCCACATTATAAAACTATTACCTTACTTATAGCTCTTGTAGTGTGGGATGATTAAGTATTTAATTTCCTTGGATTAAAACAAAGTGGTACTTATCAAAAACCATAAAAAATCTGGAGATGTGTCAGAGAAAATGTTTATAAGCGTAAATAATTATAATTACAATGACAGTTCATGAAACATTTATATTTTTAAAAACTTGGATCAGTAATACTTCTAATGGGACCAACTTCCCCAACAACACAGGAAGTGTAAATTCTCAAATATCACATTCTTTATTTTCTCTAAAATTCCATAGGAAAGTATCAAATAGCAAAAATAAAATATTTGTAGTGTGTATACTAAGTTTAAAGACTTATCAGTTTTGAGTCACACAACAAACCTTGGTGGTAAATTATATGATTTGAGTCACACAACAAACCTTGGTAGTAAATTTTGTCTCCATGTTCCCCACTGAAGAAGCTGAGGTTTTGAAAACATAAGTGACTTGCTCAAGGTTACAGAGCTGGGAAGCTGCAAAACTGAAATTTTAATCCCAATTTGTGACATTTCAAAGTCATTGTTCTTCCTAGTATACAAACTGCCTTCATTTCTTTTTATAAATTTTGAAATATTCATTCATCAAGTAAGTGGAGGAAAAATTTCATTTGAAAGTCACAAAAGCCTACCCTATGTATGTCTAAATGAAATTTTTAAATACCCCTCTCTCTCTCACCCCTGCCACTTGACTCAGGAAACCAAAGAGTGCAGGATCCTCTGCCCAGCATCTATGGAAGCCACAGAACATTGTGGCAGGTGTGACTTCAACTTTACCAGCCACATTTGCACTGTGATAAGAGGGTCTCACAATTCCACAGGGAAGGCATCAATTGAAGAAATGTGTTCATCTGCCGAAGAAACCATTCATACAGGGAGTGTAAACACGTACTCTTACACAGGTAACAGAAAGCAAGCTGTCTGCCCATGGCTTAATGGGGTTAGTGAGAAGCTGCTGAAAATGCAGATTTATTTCACTCTGACATCAACTCTCCTTAAACTGATATCAGTACATTCCATCATACTTTGAGGCCAGCTAGTTACAAGGTAATTAAAGGCATAATCTGGATGTATTCAAAGTCAGTACTTTAAAATGTGTTAAAGTCTATTTAAACAAGGTTGTATTCCATATTAAGGTAAATCTGTGGAGATATCTGTGACCTTTACTGCTATATCCAGTTAATTTACAATAAATCCAATTTCCTTTTTCAAAAGCTGCAATGCAGCTTCCACTGAATGCATTGAATGAATACTGCTATACTCTTAAGCAGAAAGAAGGATGAACCTGTCTGATTAATAATAAAACCTAACAGTGCTACTCTGAGGATGAGGTAAACCCAAGCATGACATTTCTCCAAGATGGCTGGTCATCTCCAAAAGAATAACCTTTGCAGTTATTGTAAATATTAATTTCTATGTACCATCTTGGCCCTGCTGAATTAGTCCAAAATGGTTATGCTTAGTTTTGGCTGAGCTGTGTGAGAAACACTGTTAAGTTTAGAATTATCTCTAAAACAGTTCTGCCATCAATTAAATTTGTGTTATTCATCCATTTACTTAAGTCCCTACAAAATGTGTTCTTGTTTTTTGAAAAATCAAGTTTGTGTGTGTGTGTGTGTGTGTGTGTGTGTGTGTGTGTATCATCTATCATCTTGATTCAATAGAATCCATTTAAGTGACATAATTTGAGCAAGCTAAGGTTAATAAACAAGCAAAACATTGCTCCATTCCATCATGAATCATCAGTCTGCTTTACTCAACCAAGGGGCAATAATGGCTAACCTCAAGAGTGCAGAAAGTAAGGCAGGCTACTAAGATAAGAGGAGGAAGATTAGGAAGGGAAGAAAGGAACAGAGATAAGGTTGATTGAACATTATTTAGTCTCAATGTTATACTAGGTACTTTAATTTTTTTATTATACTTTAAGTTCTAGGGTACATGTGCACAACGTGCAGGTTTGTTACATGTATACATGTGCCATGTTGGTGTGCTGCACCCATTAACTTGTCATTTACATTAGGTATATCTCTACACTAGGTACTTTAAAACCTTATCTCAGTTACCAACAAAGCAATCATATAAATATGGTCATTTAACAGATGAGGAAACTGAGGGTCAGATCTGTAAAAGTTACTCGCCATGAGAAAGAAACATATTCAAATAATGCCATCATCAAAAGGGACAGACTTTGAAGACTCCACGTGGTGCAGGAGCTCCTTTCAGAGTGCTCCAAATGCACTTCAAGCTGTTATTCCACCTGAAATGTCCTCCTTTATCATCCTACTCAAGGCCTAGGTCAAGATTCTTTTCCTCAATGCAGTCCCTGTGCTGCTATGGCACATTGTTCACAAAGCTCACTAGCTCTCTCATGTGTCATATGGATTTGGACACTTGTTCCAGCTCTTCTATTAGATTGAAACATCCTTATGAATAGGGCATTTTTGTTTACCTTTGCCTCGTTATTTGGATTTAGAACACTATACAAACAAAAAATATTTCTTGGAATGAATTTAATTAGGAAAGGCCTCAGATAGAGGACAATTTGTCCAACCTTCTATTGTGTTCCCAGTCCCAGTTATAGATTTAAGTCATGGACTTTCATTTTTAAATTATTGAGTTTCCATCTAAGAGAGTTCTCTACTTTTATCTGCCCCTTGTAATCAAGATCAAGATTTTGAAGGGCTTTTAATAAATACTTGTAATAGCCCTCTCCAGAAGTGAATAGATGTTTCCACCTACTGATATAATGTTATGAGGGCTTTTAAAATCCATATTTCAGATTGCTTTGCCTGCAGAAAATACTACAAATTGAATATGAAAAATAACAAACTGTTCTTTTTCATGAAAGATGTTCAGCACACAAGTGGTGCTATGATAATTCCATTGAGAACAATTTAGATTAAGTCAGACTCTTTTAGAAACTTACACTTGAAAGCTGACAATACCAGTGCTGACAAAAATTTATTCATTTATGCAATCATTTATTTATCAAAAATTATTTATTAAATACCTACTAATAACTAGTCACTACATTAGGACTAGCAGCTATGATGACAAACAATAATTTTTCATTGAGATTTCAACCCTATATGAAGAAAGAAGGAAGCAGCAAATGAGATTTGAAATGGTAATGTGGGCTTGAGGATACAGAATAACAGTCATTACCAATAAGTAGTTTAATTTGCTGTAGCAGAAATGTAAAACATATTGACCATCTGAGGGTAGGTAGATGGTCTAGGCAACTGAATCGCACAAGGTCATTCAGGTATCCAGAATCCAGAATGGCAACCGAAGGTATGCAATTTTCTCTTTATAAAATGATGTGGAAGTTGTCAGTGTCTTTCTATACTCCTTCAAGTATTGAGATCTGAGTCATGTGACCACTAGAAGCTACAAAGAAAACTGGCAAATGTGGTTTTCTAAGCAGGAGGCCTCTGACCAGGATGGAAGGGAGAACTGGGGACTCATGGTTGCCATCACAGGCAACAAGTGGCAGATACCCCCGAGCAGAAAAAAATGGAAAAGGAAGATAATGCTTTACATTTGTAGAGCAATCTGCATTTTATGAAGTTCTGCCCCATAATTTATTGCATTGTATTTTCATATTAGTTCTATACAGTGGGCAGGGAAGGGTTTATTGTAAGGAGATGTATATAAGGAGAATGTCTCTCCATTAATCTAAGCATAGAGACTGAGAATTAACTCCACGTCCAATGGAGATGAGCAGGTGGCCAGGCAGCCAAGGAGGAAGGCCTCCTTTTCTGATGCTCAATCTGAGAAAGAGTCATCCAGAAGCTAACACACAAAAATACATACATACTTACTTAAAATTCATCAAATTAGAGACATGGAAAATAAATTTAAATAATTAAACTTTCAAGTAAGTTTTTCAGGGGAAATGTGTAGCATTGGTATTTCCGAAGTTATTAAAGCCTAAATGGAACTAAGACTTTGGGGACACAACTGAATCACATGAGTGTTCATCTAATACAATTTTTGCCAGTTTGGAAAGCTCAGCAGGCTTGGTTTTATTGTTTTAATAAAGTTGGTTGGTTTGTATTTTGGTTTTCAGTTCTGGCTTTTGTGGAAGAGGGAAGGAACTAGATAGCAGAGTATGCTTTCATTTTTATTCACTAACATGGTACCATGATAAACTAAGTTTCAAATCCTGTATATTGTAACAACATTATAATCCATATGATTTAAAATTTTTTAAGTAATATTAACAAAGTAACAGAAAGCAATAATTTATAAGTTCTATGATACTAAAACTATAAAAGAATGTTGCCAAACCTGTCTCATGTAGGAATCAAAACTACATGAATTTGTGAAGCACTAAATCTTATTATACATGATTCCAGTGCTTTTATTTTTCATTTATTTAATATATCCCTCTTTCTCTGCTCAGAAACAGGGAATTCTATTCTGTGCAATTCCGTATCCCTGCATCTAATAAATACTTTAAATGTTACTTATATTTAGAAAATAAAGATATTAGAGTTTTATTTATATACAAAGCGTTTAGAGCATTAAACATTTATTTTTAAATGTCTAAAGTTTTTGATATTCACTTTTAATATGATGGTTAAAAAATGAAAATAAGAGAAACTTCCCTGTCTATTTTTTCTCTTTCCAGATGTGAACCTCAAGCCCTACATGACATATGAGTACAGGATTTCTGCCTGGAACAGCTATGGGCGAGGACTCAGCAAAGCTGTGAGAGCCAGAACAAAAGAAGATGTGCCTCAAGGAGTGAGTCCCCCTACGTGGACCAAAATAGACAATCTTGAAGATACAATTGTCTTAAACTGGAGAAAACCTATACAATCAAATGGTATTGAGATACCTTTAAAATACAAATAACAAAATCCCATAAATTCATAAGAAAATTGAAATGAGTACAATCTACATTTAATTGCCCTATGCATCTAACCACTAGAAAAGTATGTTCCGATAAAGGGAACTGTAATTATGTGACAACTAATCACTCACTTTGTGGTGTAGTCCTCGTAGATTTTTAGCCTAAATAAGTAAAAAAATAGAAATGAAAGTTCCTTGAATCCCAGAATATATCTGAGCTGCTTTCAAAACAAGCAAGGCATATTCAGAGAAGGGGAAAGAGTTTTAATATTGAAAGTAAATTTGTTTCATAGTGAAAGGAAATAAACATAAATGACTCTTATCATTTATGTCAAGAATCCATCTCCTCCATAATAGTATAATTAGGAACTGCTTGAGACAGCAATATAATAGGAAATTAAAATTAAATAAAGCTATAGTATTGCATTTCTTCCGAACACTAAGATTTGTAAGTTGTTTGCAAATAGTTAAAATGATATCACATTCAAATGCAGTCATTTTTCTGCTTCTTTTAGGTCCTATTATTTACTACATCCTTCTTCGAAATGGAATTGAACGTTTTCGGGGAACATCACTGAGCTTCTCTGATAAAGAGGGAATTCAACCATTTCAGGAATATTCATATCAGCTGAAAGCTTGCACGGTTGCTGGCTGTGCCACCAGTAGCAAGGTAAGAGGAGTTTGCCTAAACTCTGGGAAAAGGGGTTCAGTGTGAAGATTATCTGAACATCCAGGTTGTGACTGCTTTTTTCATTGAAGAAAACAATGTCCCTCCTCAAAGTGGTGTTAAGTAGCGTGTTCATGTGTCACGTTAACTGAGTGCTAATACCTATGGCTGGAAGGAGAGATCATTTCAAGGGAGATTTATCCAAATATCAATCTTGTGTTAATGAAAAACAAGTGAAATCTTGAAGCAGTACCATCTTTTCTTCCACATTCTTTCCTCACCAACCAATTTTAGGTAATCTATAAATCTATAAAAATGTCCAAATCATTATTCAGTTAAAGAAAGTTTCTATTTAAATATGATATGAACAAAAATTGTCTGATTTTAAAAAATGAAGAGAAGGGCAAAAAAGCCTGGCACGGAAAACAAAATTGTTCCAAGCCTTCTGCTATAGCCTTGTCAAGAAATAATGAAGACCTGAATTTAGGCAGCAGAGGTCAGAACCGAGAATACAGAATGATACAACAGACATGGGGGATAAAATCTACAAAACTTGGTACTCAATTATATTTACAGAAATAAAAGGAAAGAGTCACGGATATTGTCAAATATCTGCTTGAGTAATTTGTGGATCATGGTGCTATTCTGCAAGCAAATTTTTAAAAAAGAGAAAAATGTTGAAGGTAAAAGAATAGGATTCTGTTTTGTTAAGTTTTGTAAAAAATATATTTAAAGAGAAGGATCAGATAGCAGGGTGGCGGAAGCAGATAGTACTTGGCACTTTATGTGAAAATATCTGGTCAGAAACCAGATTGAGAGGTGACTGAAGTTTCTAGAAAGATCTGTATGGGAAGTTGAAGTAATGAGTATAAATATGGACATGGAAGGAGAATAGAGAGAAACAAATATGGAATATTGTGGATGATGAGCACTGGGGAATGCTACCAAATGAAAAAGAAAGAAAAGCCCACAAAGAAGACTGGAAATAAACAATCAAACAATGTGGGAGTAAAATAAAGAAAGGGACATTTCATAGAAGCCAGCCTTGACAGAGGAAGCCCAGGAGGAAACAAACTTACACAGAGTAGCTCTGATTCTTTTCATATGCTTAAAACTTTAGAAGAGCAACATCTTTGCACACTGTGCAAGAGCCATCCAAATGAAACATTCAGCCACACTGCTCAGCCACAGTGCAAGAATGCAACATTTTGTTCAACAGACTTCTGGAAACCTTTCTGAGTGAGCCACCATTTAGATAGATAGATGGCAGCTGATTGGCCCAGTCAAAAGTTATTAGTCCTAGAACAATTCCATGCTTTTTGCATAGGCACACTTCATGCCTGCTACATGCAAAGCAATTGTTTACAAAGTGAAAAAAGTTAATTCTATGAAAGAAGCCAATTTTTGTCCAAAACTATGTTTTGACAATATTGACTAAGTAATTGATTTATTTTTTTCTTCTGACTTGTTTCTTTCTTTAGAAAGTTGGTGCAGACACTATAAAGTCATCCTAGGTATCATGGGAAGAGTACCGAAATGTCTGCCCATTTATTCTGTTCAAAGCATATTGTATGCAAGCAAGTTCAGATGTGGCTTTTGCTCCATATTTACTGGTGCTTAAAATGTATGAAATCAGGCTGTTAAAATGCAAAGACACTGATGGGCCATATGGAAGAGAGTTATCAAGAGTTCTCTAGTAAGACAGTCTGCCAGCCAGATTTTACTTGTTTAAACACTGAGGGCTGCACTCTGCCGTCAAAATTGTTGTTGAACCTGTTGTGATAAATGGTAGTGTGAGACTTATGTAATATATTCAAGGTCAGATTTCATTGTTTAAATAGGTTGGGAGGGAAAAAAATGAAAAAAAAGGGAAATGCTTCTCCAAGCCCCTGCTAATGATATGCCAGGCCAGACAACATTTTAAAACAAAAGTGACATTCTCATTGATCAGGATAGCTAGTGCACTATTACAATAAATTGCTGCTTAATTCCTACGTCTTCAGGTAGTTGCAGCTACTACCCAAGGAGTTCCGGAGAGCATCCTGCCACCAAGCATCACAGCCCTAAGTGCAGTGGCTCTGCATCTGAGCTGGAGTGTCCCTGAGAAATCAAACGGCGTCATTAAAGAGTACCAGATCAGGCAGGTTGGGAAAGGTCTCATCCACACTGACACCACTGACAGGAGACAGCATACGGTCACAGGTGAGAAAACAAAAAAAAAGGAAATCCTACTGGAGGAGTCTGTCATTGTGGTTAGGGGGGCAAAGCATCCCAGGGGTGTGTGTTTGATATATGAGGTCACTTCGAAAGGACGTGTTCTCTTGACATATGGTCAGGTCCCACTTATCCATGCTAATAGAAGAGCCCACACTGGCAGCAATACGCCACAACAGCAGATAACTTCAGAAATAATTTATATTTGGCCTTGATATGCATTATGTGAAGGGTTTTTGCATCAGTATTAACTTTTTTTTTCAAACAAACAGTAAGATGCATTTTCATTCCCCAAGGATATACTCATAGTTAATGGGACTAAGATAGCCAAGAATATACTGGAAGGCAGGGGAAAATCAGCCAGAGGTTAACATTTGTCTATCAAGTGGATAATTAATACACAGGACTAGTTGACAGTGGAGTCATTGTGACTGTTTGTTACTATTAGGAATGTTAATTAATAGCAATTGTGTTTTTTTAATTTATTATAATGTTTATTATCATTAGCCTTAATAATATACTATTAGTACAGTACAATGATATGTTAGATAATTGCTAGTAGTGATTATGATAATAATTAACAGGTTTTAGCTTAAATGCCACTTCTGAAGGGAGGAGAAGCATTTTCTGACTTACTTGCTCGAATAGGTTCTCTAACACACCACCACATCACTTTGTTTTATTTCCATCATAGACCTCTCACTGCCTGATATTTTAGTGTTTGTTTTTTGTCTTTTTATGTCTCTCCACACTTGAATGTAGGCTCCAAGAGAGCAGGAACCTTATCTACTTGTTCAGTGTTGTACCTCTAGCACTTATAGTCCTGAACACATTAATAGGAGCTAAATAAACGTTTGGGGAAGAAGGGAACTTAATATGTGCCAGACGCTGTCCTAAGCACTTTGAGTGCACTATGCAATTTGATTCTCCATCACCAACCTAAGATGTACAGTGAATTACTACCTTCATTTTACAGAAAAGAATACTTTGAGAAGTTAAGTAATTTAGTTCATTATTCGAGTCTACTGAATCATCCCAAACAACCCTGTTAAGTTTAAATTCTAAGACCATGGGCAAGATTGTATAAACTTTCCCTTTTTTCCCATTGTCAGCCACCTCCTTCCAAGACTTCCTGAGTGGATGACCTCCTTCCATTGGACTGCACTTTTTGCAGGGGGTGTTGATAGCACAGATAATGAAACTCACAGAAAAGTGCAGAAAGGCCTTGGAAAAATGTGACTGATTTTTCCTAAGAAGGGACACAGGTTACACTTACACAGGGTGGCAAAATAAATTCATCACTTTTCACTCTTAAATGCCACAATTCCCTAACACATAAGCAAGCATTCATTGACAAAATCTCCAGTATTTTTCCAAAAGGGCCGTAAACCTGCAGAAGGTGCTTAATACAACTCTTGGCCTGGCACATTGTATTCCTTACCTCAAGATCCTGGGCTAAATCAATGATGATAGTGTTGAGGCTGGGTGCGGTGGCTCATGCCTGTAATCTCAGCACTTTGGGACGCCGAGGCAGCCGGATCACCTGAGGTCAGGAGTTCGAGACCAGCCTGGCCAACATGGCAAAACCTCGTCTCTACTAAAAATACAAAAATCAGTTGGGCATGGTGGTGTGCATCTGTAATCCCAGCTACTCTGGAGGCTGAGGTAGGGGAATCACTCCAACCTGGGCGGCAGAGGTTGCAGTGAGCTGAGATTACACCAGTGCACTCCAGCCTGGGCAACAGAACGAGACTCTGTCTCAAAAAAAAAAAAAAGATAATGGGGTTGGGAGAAGCCCTCATATTTGAATGATCAAAATTATTTCTTTTATCTTATTTTACTTGAAGTGGAAATCATCACAAGTGATTGAAATAATGGTGTTTTACATAATAAAACCTTACTTCTATGTGGTGCTTTATCATTTAAAGAAACGTTTGCATTTTGACTTCTCTGACTCTCATCACATCCTTGTAAGAGATGTTTTTAATAATCATATCTGAAAGATGAAGAAGAAAGCCAACCTACTCAGCGTATCCAAGGCATTCACTGCCTGTATCTGAAAGGAAATCAGAATATCATTTCGTTCTCCCAAAAATGAATTGCCAGCTTGCAGTTTTCCAGATAGTACACTAAGTGGTCTAAAATAAGACTGCTGCTCTTAAGATCCTCTCACGTACAGGGAAGACTGACAAGAAAAGAAATAACTGAAAACAGAGCTCTATACAGGATGCAGTGGTGAAAAATCAAATGAGTCACTTGGAGTAAGCAATGGGATGTTAATTACAGGGTTTTGAAAAGCAAGTTTAGGCACATTAAGACTGTACCAGCAAAGGTTTCACAATAATTGTGATATAAGGCTAAAGAAATTTCTTCTTGTAGTATCTATCAACTTAACCAGCATCAGCTTCGAATTGTTGCTACTTTATTGGTTTGCATTTTTTAGAAATCAGCATTTATACACCAACAGACCAAATTCAATTGTAATGTTCAAACCAACAGGATTGATAGCCTCATTAATTATAAAATAATTGCAAAGATTTTTCTCTAAATAACTTCACCCTACCAGTTCTTCCTTTCATTGACATTTTTAATGGCTATTTTTATGTCAGAGTAGATTTCATACATGTATCTTGGTGCCAGAAATCCTATTATTAGCATAAATATTTTAAGGTTTTTTAATATAATTTTAATTTTTACTTAACAGTAAAAAATCATAATCTGGTAAAAGCCTTTAGGAGTCCTTTGACCAATCTCCCTGTTCTACTTTTGATTTGTTTTAATTTCTATGGATATTGTTTTAAATAGATTTAGAGAGTATTTCACTTGCCCAATACAGCCCTAAAGAGGGGTTTCTTTGTAGAATAAAGAAATAAGTCCTCATTCAGCAAAACCTTACCAAGTACAGAGCCTCCTATATGTAGTTCTTTGGGGACAGGAATGGTGCTAGGCATTAGATAATCGGAAACTTGAGATCTATATAATGTTACTCATTTGCCCAGGAAAATTCAGTTCCACGGTTAGCTGACTGACCAAATGTAGTACTGAAGTATTTTATGGTGTGAATGACTGTTTTATTGAGTTCATGGAATGAACTAAAATAATCAAATTTATTTTCTGTTCCATCTTAAATGTTTGATGGAAATGCTGCCTGAACCCCCTAGGATAAATGTTTTGATTTTCTCATCATTTCCAAAAGCTTGGCATTCCCTAAGCAACACAGCACTAATAAAGCTGTAGCACTAGTCGTCCTGGAGCCTGAAAATCTAGGTCCTTAGGAATGACAGGAGGGAAAGGGAGCACCTTGCCTCGGCCCCATTGTCTCCATGCTTATTTTTAATTACCTCAAAGCTTTAGAAACATGATCCCGTAAATGCTTTGTGGGAATAGTGGCGAATGCACTCATCATGTGAAATCCATAAATTGCTTATAATCCTCTCAAGATGTTAAAAAAAGCATTAAGTAATTGAAGACAGGAAGTCCTCGGTTAATTATTTAGAGGTGTTATCAATGCTTTAAGTAAACTGAAGCGTTTTCTGCTATCTCACTGAGCTGAATACCATGGGGACGAAGGAGTAGCAGCCATCATCTTCTCATATTCGCTAATGCAAACAGCGCATGGCAGCTTGTCAATAAAAGACCTTTTCATATCATTTATTACTAAACACATCCACCATCCTGTACAGAACAATTTGGACATCAGTTATGGCATTGTTTCACTTTGGGCTACCTCTACATTATACGTAGGCCTCCTAATGTGAGTTTAGGAATAGAAGAAAGGATTAACTAAATAATTAAGGCCACTGAGAAAAAAATGAATTAGTCATGTCCTGTTTAGCATAACGTATAATAAGGGCCTATGTGTCTCTTACTCTGGAAAACTATTTTCAAAATAATTAATTAGAAATTACTCATCATTGCATTTCATTTAAAAGGAAAAACTCACCAGCATTAAATTAGCAAGGAAAGAATAATTTACTTTCGTTTCTCATCTTCCTAGAAGTTAATGAAAACTTTGTGTGCTAAATAGAACAAACCCTAACAATGCTGGTTGTAGCAGAAAATGTAATACTAATGTTATACTGAAACAGATACCTTACACTTCACCTTGGAAAAAGAGAAAACATACTTTAACCACCAATACAACAAAATGTAGAAATTCTTTGTAAGGGATTTTATTTTTAGATAACTCTGCTATGTGTTCCCATATTATCTTTGCTCTCGTAGTAATTATCACATTTTATTCTAATAGCCTTTCCTCTTGTCTCTGTTCCACACTTAGTAATAGGTAATGCTTTTTAAGTACAGAGACAGTAGCTTCCTGTTTGCCATTGTGTTCCTGGTACCTATCACAGTACTTAATATATTCAAAAAATGTTTGTCGAATGAATAAATACTGAATAGTAAACTAGTATTTGACTACATTCTGTTTTGAATGGAGATAAAAATGCCACTGTCAAACGTATCTAAATCGCAGACAGATCTGGCAACAAAATTGTGGGGTCCAGTGCGAAATGAAAATTCAGGCCCCTTGTTCAGAAATCATTAAAATTTCAAGACAATGGAAGCAGAGCATAGAAGTAAGCTCATGTGCTTCCAAGCATGGTACCGTGTTTGATTGCACAGTCGAAGCCCACAAAGCCAACCCTGATCTCCAGCAGTCTGGAATTAGCTGCAGTATATTTCTTTAATTAAAACAGATAGCAAGAAAACTAGGATGGTGATAATGTCCTCAAAAAGCTTTGGGAGTTTCTTCTATGGTTGTTTGCAATGCTCCAGGCTGCATTCCCCCCAGTTACTATGTAATTACTGACCACCAAGCACTGGGGACCTGTGAAAATAGAGATAAGAATTTGTTTTCTTTTCATTTTTTCAACTCTGAGAACAACTAAATTTGTGCCTGACCAAAAAAGTAAAAAAAAAAAAGAAAAAAAAAAGTGTGGCATCAACCACTTTTTTGTGTTTTAAAACCTGCCTATTGATAAAATATTAAGGCCAAAGAACTATAATTGATAGCTGCCTAGACAATGATATTTTTTAAAATTCCCCTTAAATCCCAGATATTCCAATGTACTTTGCCAGATACTAGTTCTGTTTTGTCACTCCAGTTCTGGCCACCCCCTTCCCTCTGCAATGTCCTCATTGTCTCACGTTTGAGCAACATCAGATTTTGCTGCCACCTGACATCACATTTTGTTTTTAGAGAAGAAAAGTCTGCCTGGAAATGCAGAGAAGAATCCTCAGTCTAGCATAACACTGAACTTGAAAGAGGAAAAGTATTTATTAAAATATTTATTAAAATACTGTCACTAAAATCAAAATATATATATCACAGATATAATTCATATTATATTTTTGTTGTTATATTTATTCCAGATATACATCAACATTAAGACTATTATTTAGACACCACCAAAGAAAAAGGGTCTTTCCTTGGTGGTGTCTAAATAATAGTCTTAATGCTGATGTATATCTAAAGAGAGTCTGCCAAAGAAGTAACTTGTTTAGGAAAGGCGTCTTGGGATCAGGAAGATATTGGAGAGAGGGGCCTAAGCTATGGCCCAGAATTTCAAATGAAATATAGAATTAATAACGCAAGTTAGCTTATAGCAAGTAGTCAGAACTAAAAGTCATGAAGTGATCTTACTGGCATGTGCAATGCAAGAGTCCCTTTGTTTTGATGTTTTGATGTTCAGTTCATATGAGGTAGCAACTGAATTCATAAAGCATGAATACAGAAAATGGACAGTACAAATGCTGCTCAATGGGGGGGAGGAAATTGGCTTGGGTAAGTGGAATGGGCAGCTGTTGAGATTGTGAAGAATGATACCATCCAGAAAAGATGGCTTTAGCATGTGAACTCCCGAAATAATCCTTAATCAAATCCTGTAAAACAAATTCTAATTTAAAGGTACCTTAGATGTCTGTAAAGTAATTCCATGATGCCTTTGTATACCAGTTTTGAACATCTGGATTTTCACAGATTGTCAGATTGATCTAAGTAGAATGCTGATATGGCTCTATCCATCACAGTCAAGATCACCAGGGGATGCTGGAAGTTCCTGGGAATCTCAGTAGGCAGAGATGCTCCGAAAGGGATCACTTAGTGAGATCCCAGGCAAGTGAGGGCAAAAGGAAGCAACATCATTATAGTTGTCTGGGTATATACTCTGGGGCTCGTTGTCTTGCGCCAAGAAAGAATTCAGGACACAGACACATGTGGGTGTGTTAAGGAGTGGAAAGTTTAATAGAAGAAAGGAGAGAGGAGAGCAGCTCCTTGTGAGAGAGAGAGAGAAAGACAGAGAGAGAGAGAGAGAGAGACAGAGAGAGAGAGAGAGAGACAGAGAGACAGAGAGACATCCGTAAAGTGGGGAGGCAGCGGACCAAAGCAGATTTTACAGGCAGGCTGGAGAAGGCAGTGTCTGATTTATATAGGGCTCACAGATTGGTTCGATCAAGTATGACATTTACATAGTGGGAGGGGAAGGCTGGTCACCCCACCCTAATCTTATTATGCAAATGGGCCTTCCAGTTGATTGGTTCCATCTTGTCTGAGCCTTACAGTACAAGTGGCTGACAAGGAGAAGGGAAGATGGAGCCTCCATCTTGAACATGTACAGTCCTTAGTTCCTGCCCACATTCACCCATGCAAGCACCCAGCTTGTTTACCTATGTCTGCAGCTCGATTTTACATGCTTGCCCTTTGTTAGAAAATTATTTGGGGCTTTTTACTAAAAAGAAAAGGCTTACCGAGGACTCCCATACCTTTACTATCTGCCTAAGTGATTTCTTCTTAACTCCTGTATCATTAGCAAGGACTGAATGTGAGCAGCCGAGGGGCCAGACCACACATCCAGTTTGGGTGAACTGGTGCCAGGACAGATGACTTACCCGCAGGATGGTTATTCACAATACTTTATAAGCACCAAACAAAAACTTTTTAACGTAACTCAGGCCTCTCAGTGCTTGAGCTAATCACTAAACATGCTGATGGAGGAACTCACTGAATTACACATCCTTTAGGACTATTTGGTAATTCTTTAGAACATAGCAGATGACACTATAGAATAATTGGCTGAATGTTTTGAAGTAGCACTTGCTATGTGAAATTATAATGGCTAAAGTGCCTTTTTTTGACTATTTATCAAGAGATTAAAAATTGGAAGCAAGCTGTTCTTTATAGAGTACATCAAATGTTAACTTTCATAGACATGGGTTTTGTTTTCCAAATCATATTTTTATGAACTAAAGGCAGACTTTTTGCAGTCCCTTTTAGCACACATTTACTCTTCAAAGTAATGTTACTTGGAAGTGTAATTGTAATGAGTTTGGTTATATTATGCTTCTTTCCTTTAAAAAAGAACATGATTCCCTGTAGGGAAATTCAGGTAATTTGCAGCCACAGTAATCTTCACTATACTGAAATGTTAAATACTTGGCTTTTCTCCATGTGTTTGCCTTTCTGTACTCTACAAGTGCTATTTCCTACTCTTCTAATTCAATGCTGAGCACTTGAATGATGTTTTCTTTTCTCCTTCTACTCTTCGACTTCAGGATTAAGTTACAGTTGGAATGGTTCCTTTGAGACATCTCTTTATTTCCCTCTTCTCATCCTGATCAATTCATGAGTAGTTTTCAATTGGTGTGCCCTTTTTATTGCCTGTTGCTAGTATGTCATATATATCTCATTTTAAGGACTACCGATAGAGGCTTACTTAAAATGACAGCAAATTCCAGTTGAAATGTGTTCATTTTATTGAGTTTTACAGAGTCGTATATATGAAAGGTCATCAGGTTCATGTAAATCATCTATGCCTGATGGTAGTTGATGCTTTCTTACAGATTATCTGAACCAAGCCTATTAGTAATCCAGTCCTCTAACAATATGAAAAATATAAAAACTAAAAGATAGAATATGGTTTTAAATTTTCTAAATTATGGATTTAGATATTGCCTTCCCTTAAATTAATCTGTAGGCCTATTAAGCAGTCTCTACTATCATGCCTACAGTTTATAGATATAGAAACTGAGGAACCTAGAAGCCAGAAAACTTCCTTGTAGTCTAGTACTTGGTAAGTAGATAAGTATTAGAACCCAAATAGTCTAATTTCAGACTGCTCTCTTAGCACAGAACATGACTCAGTATCTCACTACATGACTCATAATAATATTCAAAATGAAAATATTTAAATATATAGTCCCACTTGAATTTTTTTTTTTTTTTTTTTTTTTTTTTTTTTTTTTTTTTTTTTTTGAGACGGAGTCTCGCTCTGTCGCCCAGGCTGGAGTGCAGTGGCGGGATCTCGGCTCACTGCAAGCTCCGCCTCCTGGGTTCACGCCATTCTCCTGCCTCAGCCTCCCAAGTAGCTGGGACTGCAGGCGCCCGCCACTACGCCCGGCTAATTTTTTGTATTTTTAGTAGAGACGGGGTTTCACCGTTTTAGCCGGGATGGTCTCGATCTCCTGACCTCGTGATCCGCCCGCCTCGGCCTCCCAAAGTGCTGGGATTACAGGCGTGAGCCACTGCGCCCGGCCGAATTTTTTATATTACTGGAAATTTGACTGGGCTTTGAGCTATTTATGTCATCGTTTTTGTTATAAGGCTGGGAAGCCTAACCCAGTTGCTCTGGGCCACATTTCTCAGTGTAATTGCCCAAGTTCCAACCTTGGCCTCACCCTTTCCTTTTCTTTCTTTCTTTTTTTTTTTAGGCAGTCTAGCTACTATGTCACCCAGGCTGGAGCATAGTGGCAGGATCTCAGCTCACTGCAACCTCTGCCTCCCAGGTTCAAGCAATTCTCCAGCATCAGCCTCCCAAACAGCTGGGACTACAGGCATGCACCACCACGCCTGGCTAATTTTTGTAGGTTTTTTTTTTTTTTTTTTTTTTTTTAGTAGAGACGGGGTTTCACTATGTTGGCCAGGTTGGTCTCAAACTCCTGACCTCAAGTGATCCACCCGCCTCGTCCTCCCAAAGTGCTGGGACTAGAGGCATGAGCCACCGTACCACCGGTCCCGGCCCTTTCTTATGTCTGTGATCATAGGTACTTTCCTCCAACTTTCTGTGCCTTAGCTTCCTTATCTGTATAATGAACAAATAATAGCGTGCACAGCAGAAAGTTAGTGTGGGCGTTAATTATATTAACACCCATGAAGTGCACAGAAGAGGGCCAACTAGTAGTACATGCTCAATAAACTTTTGCTAGTATGTCATTTACATAATCTTATAACTAACTTCCTTGAAAATAACTGCAATTCTCATAAAATATATTTAGATAATGTATAGAGTCCAATGAAAAGAGAATTAAAAACAGACCAACAAAAACAAAAACACCCTGAGTTTTGTCTGTTGGGTATTTTTTTTCTTAATTTATAGTTTTTGTGCTGGTGTTTGAACTACATTCTTTTAACTTTTTTTTTTCGTTTTGAGCAACTACAGTGTATACAATTATGACTTGCCAATTAAAATAATATTAATTTTAATAAAGAGCAGCTGCAATGGTTTCTACCATTTTTATGTCTTCTAAATGCTGCTTAATCTTCAGAGGGAAGGCAGCCATTGAGTAACTTAAATACTGTTAGCTCTAGCTCTTATGTGATGGAGAACATAGAGCTTGGTATTCAGGCTTGGGTCATCTATGCACTCCTCAGTCCAGGTGAAGTCAACGCTAAATAAAGTACAAAGCCTGATAGTGGACAAATGACTGGCTTATCCAAGGAAAATGTGAGTTTTGTTATAAAAAGCAGGAACAGACCCTGGAAGGTAAATATGGCAGATGTGAAGTTGCTTGACACACATTAGCAAACATCATTTGAAATGAGCCTAAGTATTACTACCCTTTGCCCACATGGTCCATTAAACTGGTCAGCATGGCTACATTTCAGGGACAGACACAGCTCTTGAGGATAAAGTGCCAATGAATTAGAGTAAAACTGTCATTCTCCCCATATTCACTTGCAGACATGTCTCCCACTCTCATCCTCCTGGTTCTTCAATCTTTGTCTCCTTTCCTCAGTGCACCATGTTGACTCCTCTTGATTTGATAATATGTTTGAACTCCTCTGACTTCTTGACGAAGGTTTTCTGCTCAGTGCTGAGTCTGCCATTCCTCCTTGATTCTAGTACCCCAGTAGCTTCAAGAGAAGCAAATTCCTTCCACCAGCCCTACCCCCATATCCTGCTAGGTGAACCTATCCCATCTAATGTAAACACCTGTAGCAAACTCCTTTGATGCACTTTCCTCCCTCTATCAAAAATCCTTAAGGTGCTGGATGCTCTACTGCTGTACCATGCCTAAACACCTGCCTTCTCAAATTCTAGGCTGTAAGTAAAATGGAGACCACTCAACTTGCAGCAGAAAGGCTTTGTCAAGAAATGACAATTTATATTTTTATATACATTAATTTTCCTTTCAGCTACGATTCTCATTACAAATACGCTTAATCCTCTAATCAACCTTAGCAAACCTCTGTGATTATGAATTTTCTTTTTTCCCTAATGCCCATCCTAAAATTTTATTTAACAGTCACTGCATGTCTGAAATCAGACCAGCCACGACCACAATGAGGAAGATAACTGAGGCCATTGTTTTGCTCAGAATATTCGAGAAAAAAATTTAAATATCTGTTTACTTTTAGCTACCATATTTACATCTGGCATTCAGGAAAAAATCTAGAATATGTGTATTGCCCACAAATTATATTAGTTTCTGTTATTTTATTAATATTCTGCAACTAAAAAATATCTCCAACTCAATGAAATCATTGCTGTGGACAGGGATACCGATGGAATTATGAGGAAGGACCTTTTTGGTCAGGTCACATGGTGATAAACATCGTAGCCTCATATCCCTGCAATCCTTATGGGACACTATGATGGGCATGCTCTTCTTTAAGCAATATTTGTTCAACATTGAATGCCTAAAAATGGGCACTATAGGGGAAAGTGACCTCCCAAAAAGACTCGCTCAGTGATGCCATTTCTACTCTCAAAGGGCTTATATTCTAAATGGGGAAAATAAGATATTCAGGTAAAATGGTATCACACTGGTCAAGACCCCTTTTTGTCGGTAAAGAGAATGAAGGGGAGACATTGTCGAGCTAAACGAGTTTGCCACTGCAACCTCTGAGTTTCATTCTTGAATGTTCCCTTCCATTATTTTGAGCTTTACATTTTGTAATCATAGCATTTTCCGATGAGCTTTTATCAAACATATGTGGCTTGGGTACGGCTTAGATCTTTAGTCATATTCTTCATCTGTAAATCAGGTAAATATCAAAATTATGTAAATCCTCCAAAGCAACCAAATGGAAGATTGTAATCAAATAAGTGCCTGCATCTTATCACTAAGTTGATAAAAAAAATACAAAGGGCTCTGAAGCTAAACCTTGGAGCAGCTCCAGCTGCAGAACATTATTGCTTTAGCAGAGAACCCAGACTACTGCTCTCATTCTAAATGGATGAGATGGGTAATTTTTTCATTCGTTTAACGAACACACACTTTGTGCCTGTCACAATCCTAAGGATACAGATAGGCAAAACAAAGTTGTTGTTCTTTCAGAGCATACATCTAAAGCAGGAGACAAATATCAAATAAGCAAGAGACACAGCAAACATCAGAGACGGTTGAAGGCTCTGAAATAAGAAAATTATGTGAGGGGATAAAAAGGGATGGGTGGATTGTTTAGATAAAGTGGTCAAAATTTTTTAAAATGTAGTATTTGAGGAGAAATCTGCATAAATAGACAAAGTGACACATTAACATCTCTGAAGGAACAGTCATTCCACCAAAAGAACAAAATATGCGAAAATGTAGCTCAAAATACGTGAAAAAATAAGCATAACAATCATTGGATTCATCTGTAACTTAGTTCAATTATTTAACAAATAGGCTCAGTCCTGTTGTTTTAAAATACTATTTTTTTCTCAAAGAGAGCTTTGGCATTGTTTGAACTTTCCCAAGAGTCAAGAGAGAGATGTCTTGTAAGCCTCAATATCCTCCTTGTTGAATGCTGCTGAGCTTTAAAGTTGCTTCTGCTAGAATGAAATACTACTTTGAGTATCCTATTTCATCTTCTCTTGTCTGCTAGATGCTATAATGATTCCCCATTTTACAGATCAGTAGACCAAGGCAAAGAGAAGCTAAGTAACTCTAACAAGGTCACCAGCCACGCACAGAGCAGCGAAATCTAACAATATACAACTTCTATTTTAGATGGATTGTCATTCTTTTCTCCCTGAAAACTTACTGAACAATTACCATACTGCATCATATTCTGAATACGAAAGAAGTAATAAGCACCATCTCTTCTCCAAATTAGCTTTAATCTATGTGTAAAGACAAAATCAACACACCTCAAAAAAGGGCGCATTAGATACAGTGCAAGGTTTAAAAACAAAAGTGTTGGTTAGCGTTAATATGAGTTGAATATGGCTTGGGGCAAGAAAATGTTGGATCTAACCTTCTTTTTATTTTCCTGCCCGTATTTATATAAGAAGCAATTGCAGAGACTGGGATGGTTAGCCTGGAGAAGAGAAGACTCAGGGGGGATTTGATAACTGTCTACAAACATTTGAAGAGCTGTCATGTGGAAAAGAAATTAGATTTGTTCTATATGTCCCCAGGGGTGAAAGTGATAGAAAGATTTCATCACAATATAAGGAAGGACTTTCAAACAAAATAAGGATAACTCTAAGGCTCTCTAAAGATGTAATGGGCTCTTTGAGAGACGGAGTGCTCTGATCCGATAGGCAGGACAGCCTTTTCAATGACATCTTGTATAGGGAATCAAGAGAAGGGTGGATGGTTCACATGAATTTTAAGGTCTTTTCTATGGCTGAGAATTTATTAGTTTATCAGTGATAAATGAAATTTTGCCCAATACTTAGCCTCTTATGAGGTTCAGACCTTCTTTAAAGAGTGTTTTAGAGAGTACTCTTAAATGTTTTGGCTATCATATCTACAACTCTGCATGTTACTTCTGGTACTTAATTGATAATAAATAATCCTCTTAAGGTGCACTTTATTTCTTGCTTGCTTTTTCTAGGTCTCCAGCCATACACCAACTACAGCTTCACTCTTACAGCTTGTACATCTGCTGGGTGCACTTCAAGCGAGCCTTTTCTAGGTCAGACACTGCAGGCAGCTCCTGAAGGTAATGAAACAATATCCATGGTTTGAGGGAAGAAATTTTCACATAGCATTTTGAGGTGGAATCTGTAAACTCCTTCATAACAAATAAGGAAGAGGCAATAAAGTTGATAGGTACAAAATAAAATAGCATTCTAGGTTCCCATTCTTCAGGCTTGATTCATGTAGGTGTAGCTTCCCAAGGTCAGTTCGCTTTCAATTCTTTAACCTTTATAGAGTTGATTTTCTGTGGAAAGAAGAATTATTGAAATTTTTCAAAAACTCAGATGTTAAATATTTTGGGAGCATCTAATATATAATAAGCACCATGCTCACTGCTGAAGTTGTTTAAAATGTTCTCTGCCCTCAAGACTGACAATCAAGTAGAAGTGATAGGAGAAAGATCTGTATGAAGAGAGAAAATCTGAAAGTTGATGTTAAGAAAGAACAAATGAATAGAGTGCTAAGGTTGGCCTGAAGAGGAAGAGATAGAAACCCATCGATGACATCAAAAAAGGCTTTATGGAGCAGATGACTTCTGAGATGGACCACAACAAACAAGGATTTTGACAAATGAACAGTGATGTACAGAGATGTACAACCAGACACAGTTGGAAGGAATGTAAGATGGAATCATCACCTTAGAAGGCAAATTGCAAATGTCTATCACATTTAAATTGTTAATTTCCCATGATACAGCTGTTCTATTTTCATCATTTATGCCAGAAACTGTGCCACACTGCTCAAGGAGGCATGCACCAGGATGTTTATTGAAGCATTTATTTTGTTTAATAGCAAAATGTTGGGAGCAATTTTAATGTTTGTGAGTAGAATTGCTAAATAAATTCAGCTATTCTCATATTGTGGAATTCCATGCACCAGTATAAAAGAATGAGATGATCAGTTCATACAAAGAGGAAGTTATGACATTATATTAATTTATAAGAACAAACTGAGAAAATGGCATTTATTGTTAATGGTTAATAAATAAATGCATTTAAAAATCCAGGAAGTATACACACCAACTGATAGCAATGGTTACCCATGTGTTCAGAGGTGGGATGGCTGGTGTCATTTACTTTCAAAAGAAAAATATACTCAGTGGCATGTGTTAGTGATCAACTAATTATTTTGTTAATCTTCATTATCTGCCTATTTTTCATATGGGGAAACCAAGGCATAAATAAGTTTCTAAACAGAAATGCAATGTTAATTACCACCATAGACTCCTGAACTACTTGTCCATTACTCTTCTAATGAAATGGATTGTTGTACCTCGGAATATTAGACCTGAACTTCCTACCAGTAAATGGGGAATAAAATGGAAAATTCCACATATGGGGCATATGGCTCCTCACCAGGAATTCACTAATGATGTTTTCTATATAAAGAATGTTTCATGTCAAAAAGCTTAGTGTTCCTTTGAAAGGAAGAAACCAGCAGTGGATTTTTTGGAAAGGTAAACTATCAAATGGATACTTTGATGATAATGGATAATTTCTAAAGGATCTATCAACCAGATTTGGCTGAAACTCAACCTGATAAAATAACAGAATCTCTTGTTCCATTTCTCTCTACCAAATTCATATATTTAAATTCATTGGAAATATGAAATTTTCCCAACAAAATTTCTTGAAATGACTTACATTTTATGACTTAAAAATTGTAGCTTTCAACAGTGCAGGGTAATGTGATATGAGAAATGCCCTTGATTTCTTTTTTTTTTTTAACTTTATGTATCTTTCCTCTAACACAAATAATCATGCAAAGAAATAATAGATGAAATGGACTTTCCTCTGCAGAAGAAACATGGATTTAGGGCCATTTTCTGGCTGAATAAGTGCCATTTATATATAACCCATATATGAAATAAATATAGTGTGAATGCTTAACTTGGGAACACCTTAGCAATCACATTAAGTTCTGTTGTTTTACTGTAAAGTGAAAACAAGTATACCACTTTAGATTATCCACCCAGACATAACTAATTATAAAATGCCATTTTCGAAGTACATCAGATATAATTTGAAGATCTCATATTTGAGTATTTTAAGTGGACATGGAAAGAATTAAAAGAAGTGTTTATGCATAGCCAACGCAAGCTGAGCTCTTTTCACTTGCCTCTCATTTTCAATCTAAGAAAAAGTCAATGTACATTACAACCTCATTGACAAGTTGGACACAGTTCTCTACAGTTTTATCCTCATAGAAAACTGTGTACCTGTACCTTTAGTCAAATAACAGGAAGATTTTGAATTGAATTATTACTCTTTTTTTCTACAATTACTGCCATCCATGTGAGTTCTAATTCATTTTAGAGATAAATCATGCAAAATTGCAGACATACTTTCCTCTAGCATTGATAATGTGGAAACAGAAAGGAAAAGAAGACCCAGTCTTTTTCAGTTCATTCCAGATTCCTCTTCCTCTGCCCTTCTTTTAACGTTTACACACCCTTGGTTTTTTCCTCTACTCTTTACACTATAGCACCCAGGCTCTTCTGGAATTTTCGAGTACTGGCTTTATCTCCTAATGAAGGCTGAGAGCTACCAAATACTAAAGCTCTCACCAAAGCTACACTTATGGATTTAAATCCTATGTATTTACTGGTCTACTACATGTTTATATTTAGGTGTTTTTCAAAAACTTTAACCTCAGTACTTCGCCACTTAATTCTTCCACTCCACTCTACTCCTCAACTTGCTTTTCTTCTCTCAAATACTACCACCTACCTATCACCTAAGCCCAAAGCTTGACACTCTTGATGGCTCCCTTTTCCATATGTAATACATAATTTTTTATAAAATCTAATTAGTTTTAAATCTTAAGAATTTTTTTTAAAAAAATTGTTCTTCTTTCCCGTCCCTTTTAACACTGCCTTAGTTCAGATCCTCATAGCTATAAGAAGAGAAGTTCTCTGGATCCTCCTAACTAGGATCCCTTCCTCTAGTCATTTTTCCTCTTTCTCACATCCCACATCCTGATTCTTTTTCCTCTTTTGACAAAATAAGAATATGTCATATTATTCACCTCCATAAAGTCCCATTTCCTTCCAGGAAGACATACATCCATATCTCCTTAGCAAAGCAACATGGACCCCTCAAGTTTTAACTTCCATCAATTTTTCAAGGCTTTCCATCTTCCCCACATGCCATGCAGTGCACCAGCCATGCCAAGGTATGTGCAGTCCTGCCATCCTTGCCCACATTTCTACGACTTTATGTGGGTTCCCCTCAGCCTGAACTCCCTTTCCCTACATCCTCACTCAGTTAACGCTCACCTTTTCAAAACTTGGTTCACGCATCTCCCCTTCTGGAAATCTTCCACTACAACCACCTACTTCCTACCCATCTCCACTTCTCCCCACAGTCTGTGTCAGGTTACCCTTTCTAAGTGTTCTAACAGCTACTGTGCCTCCTTCTCTTAAAGCATGTATCATACTGGAGTACAACTTTTTATCGACTCATCTTTATTCACCATGATACATGAACTCCATGAAGGATAAGAAAAAGTCTTTATCTTCCCATCCACAGTGCCCAACACAGAAAATGACACAAAGTCGGGTAGAATGTTGAGTGAATAAATTAACAAATACTAAATTGTCCAGAATTCAGTGCATCCCTGACATCAGCTAATACAAAATTTGTTCCTATCACCAGATTTCAGGAGAAAAACAATCCACAATAAATGCTGGGAATTTTGAATTGGAATGAAGATTTGTAGGGACATGAGAAGTGGGTAATATGGCATGCAACTCAAGATAAATTTAAAACAAATACAGTAGACATGTTCTACTTGTTGTCACTGTGTAAAAAGGCCCACCAAGGTTTAATTCTACCTTTCCCCTTTTAACCTTGCAGCTAGTTTACCCCACCCCATCCTCCTAGGTTACTTCCCTCCCTACTATTCATTTCTTTCACTTGAACTGCCTCAGTTTGCTCCCTTATTATATAGAATAGGTTTTTCTGGTTTCACCTGAGACTTAGGCCAGAGTTACATGGTGAAGGGGACAAATTCCCCACCTCGGACTCATTAATATATCTCACCAAAGATTGTCTTACTCTAGCAAAGATTTCTTGCAGCTGCCAAGATAACGATGTCCCCATATCACCATCCAAGTAAAAATGCAGCACTTTCTAGTTATATATACATTTGAACTCCATATTATCAATCAAACCAATGGGCATGGAGTTATTACCAACTTGAAAAGAGCTTTTGCCAGCCGGTATAAATAATAAACTCAACTTTTACCTAAAGGTTGAAACAAACCCAAAATTATGTTTCATTTTATTTTATTAGCTCCTCCACATCCACAGGCTTTATTGACTGGTTCAAATCAGAAACCAAGCAATAGCCATTCTAGTACCTTGGTGATTTTTAATACATCGTTCAAGGTGAAAAAGATATAACTGCAGGAAGCAGATTATGAATTAAGATTTTATACTTTATCTTTTGAATCAACAAATTAATATCACATTTAAATCAAAACTCTGATTGGTTGAATCATCTAGCAGCTGTTGGCAGAGAAACCCACATACAAATGTGTACTATGATTTGTGAATTTTACCAAATATCTAGAACAGAGCAGACTCTCAGAACAAAATGAACTACTTTCTTCTCAGGAATATATTGCTCCTTAGAAAGTTGGGATGTTTGAGACATTTTTGAAATCTATCTTGTTTCTTTCAGGATGCTGCTAAATAAATTGCATTTTGTTCTTCTGAAAATTTTTCTTCTAAAAGTGTCAAAATCTTAACCTGTACGGAGTAACTTACACAGGAGATACAATCAAGCAAAAGCTATTGATTACAGGGAACCTAATATTGAAATGAGTTTTTTTTAATCTCCAGAAGAGATTTACAGTGTCTAATCAGAGTATAACTAGATGACAACATAAAGTGGTAGGACTGAACTTTCTCACTGCTGGCTTCTCCATCGATGGATTTGTACATCTATAAGAGTACTTGAATGTTTGACATTGAATTACAGTTGTTTGTGTGTATATTTTATTTTTTAGACAGAAGTATAAACTCCTTGAAAGTGAGCCACATCTTAGTCATCTTTGCATTCCCTAGAACTGCCTGCAGTGCTTAGCATAACATTTTGCAGGAGATATATTTACAATAAATCTACTCATTAAACATGTATTAGGCATTGTGTTATCCATAGAGATACATTGACGAATAAGACAGAGAAGATCCCTGCTACCATGGAACTAACTTTGCATCAAAGTAAGAGAAAGGAGAGGACTGCACCATCATATAATGTAAAAATAATAGTATGTCAAAGAAAGAATTTGATTATGATGTCTTGAGTGTTAAGAAGGAAATAGAAAAGGCCATGCGATACAGAGAAACTAGGTTGGGACTCCATTAGATGGGGTTCAAGTTAGAGTTAAGAGAGTGCTAAAATGAGGCCTTATCAATAAGGTGATAGTTACACAAGTAACTGAACTATGAGAACATATGAGAACATTCTACATATAAGAACAATTCTACATATGAGAACAAAATGCAAAAATGTCATGCTGTAAGGGAACAAAGGTGTTCCAGGCCAAAGGAACCGAAGTTCAAAAGCCCAGGTGTAGGAAATAACTAGAAGCATTCTAGGGATAGAAAGGAATCTGGTATGGCCACAGCTCTGTGAATGGTGCAAAGAATGCTGCCACTTAGGCCAGAGCCAATAAAATGTGGGACCATATGGGTCACAAAAAGAAATTGGGATTATATTATATGAATAAATTCAAAAGGGTTATATGGTTCATAAAGATGACACTGGCTTACATATTCACTTTATACACTTTTACAAAGATTCCAATGGAATATGGAAGGCCAAGATTTCGACATGGAGGCAAGTTTAGAAGCTATGACAGGAGTTTATGAGAGAGAGAAACGTGGCTTGGACCAGGAGAAGTGAAAGTAAAGATACAGGAAAGTATACATTATAGAATCTTCTGGGCTTTATGTTAGATTACATTTGGGCGTATGAAAGGTGAAAGTCTCAGGGATCATTATTTTTGTGTGTTTTGTCCAAGAAAATGGATAGATGGACAAGATTGGGAGGTACATAGATTGTAGACAGGAAAAACAAGAGTTCTGTTTTGCATGTTTTTAGTTTTTGATATATCATCAGTCATCCAAATGGAGGTGTCAAGCAAACAGTTGGATTCTTGAGTCTCACACTCAGAGTTTCAATCTAGAGATATGCCTTTGGGGGTCTTCAGCATATGCATATTTAAAACCCATACTGAATGAAGATCACCTGGGAAGCCGGTGTTGGAAGAGAAGAGAAGAGAGAAAAAGAAGAAGAGAAAGGAAGAGAGAAAAGCAGAGGGGAGAGAGAGAACAGAGCATACTGCTCTGAGGCATTACATCCTTTCAAGGTCCAGGAGGGGAAGAGATCCCAGTAAATGAGGCCAGAGGCATAGCCAGAGAGGAAAAGAGAAGCATCACACTGATGTGCAAGAAGAAGGGAAAGTGCACTCATTTGTTGAATTGTATAATTCAGGTACATACTCGATTATGCTTACTTTCACATATTCCAGGTAAATTGTATTAAAAAGTTTGAAATCCCCAGATGATCTCTCAGGCCTTGATTTAAAATACTCTCAGAGTGACAACCAAGGCAGAGAAATTATCCACTGCTAGTTGTCTGACATTCACTTTCCAAAGGCAATTCAAAAATAAAATAATCAAAGTAATAAAAATATATTTACACCAATTATGTATTTTTGTTCCATACAGTTAGATATTTTTTAAAATCAACAGAAAAAATATCACAGTTCATGGGGGGGATGGTGTGACTTTTGATACACTGTTTATTTTCTCCTAACAATAAAACCTCATTGCGTTATTCTTGCCAGGAGTTTGGGTGACACCTCGACACATTATCATCAATTCTACAACAGTGGAATTATATTGGAGTCTGCCAGAAAAGCCCAATGGCCTCGTTTCTCAATATCAATTGAGTCGTAATGGAAACTTGCTTTTCCTGGGTGGCAGTGAGGAGCAGAATTTCACTGATAAAAACCTGGAGCCCAATAGCAGGTAAACTAAAAGAAAACTTTACCAATCATACAGCAGGATTTGTACATTTCTCTGGGTTGATAAGAAATGCATGTCCCACTGAAAGTTGTTAAATTGTTTAATTAACTTCCTCATTCATTGGCCATTCAATAACTGATGAAAGTGCTAAATCATTCAGTCTTTAGACTTCACGAAATTTCTTAAAAATATAAATAATTCGTCTTCTGTTTGACATAAAAGCATGAGAATTTTTAAATATACAAAATACATGAAGTATTAAACTTTAAAAATTACCAAATTATCTTCAAAAACACGCATCCTTGAACTAGCAATAAAAGAGATGTAAAGAGTTTTGTTTTCCGTCAACTCTCTTTTCTTCTTGTACAGTGTTTCTCTACTTGCTACACCACATATAGTTGTGAATAGTTTTAGAGGAAAAAGTTCCACATATTTGCATTTCATTCCCATTCATTTCTCAGCAGAGACAAAAACATATCTTAAATCAACAGATGTTTTACTGTAGAAAGTAGAGATCAATTTCATTTTATTGTAAGGAATAGCAGATCAATTTAAAAACATCTTTCTCTAAACATATTTCCCTGAACTCCAACCTATTTAAAAATGGGGAAGATTAATTTGAATCCTCCACAATCCACCAGCACACTCCAAGACTTTCCTGAAATCTTCAAGAAAAGCTATGAATTACTAGCAGGTTAAAAATAAATTTAAGAGCAGCTGAAATTACAATGGCTTGGAGACAATGTTGCCTGTGCAAGAAAAACTACCAAGTCAAGTTTCTGGAAAGGGGGCAAAGAGTTTGCAATTTGTCACAAATTTAGGACTAAGCAATTGATACAAAAACTAGTAATCATTGTTCAAGTCTCTTGTGCATGGCCTTACCACAATTCTTCTTTCTTTTTAAATATAGATACACTTACAAGTTAGAAGTCAAAACTGGAGGTGGCAGCAGTGCTAGTGATGATTACATTGTTCAAACACCTATGTCAACACCAGAAGAAATCTATCCTCCATATAATATCACAGTAATTGGGCCTTATTCTATATTTGTAGCTTGGATACCACCAGGTAAAAAAAAAAAAGAAGTATGTGTGTGTGTGTGTAAACATTTTAAAGGAATTAATTAGAGATAAGAATAGAACTGTTAATTTAGTAAATCAGAAAGACATAGTCGGTCTCCTGGATAAATATGAACAGAAAAATCTAAACCACACTTCTAAGTGTATAGACGCATGAGTACATACATACATACGTAGAGATATAGGTATCTAGATGTCGATGTAGATATGTAAGTATATACAGCTTTCTATGAAAGCAACACTTTCAAGTACAAGAGACTAAAAATCTTTTTACTCATCTATTTTTTTTTTTTTTTTGAGACGGAGTTTCACTCTTGTTGCCCAGGCTGGGGTGCAATGGCGCAATCTCAGCTCACCACAACCTCCGACTCCTGGGTTCAAACAAATCTCCTGCCTCAGGCTCCTGAGTAGCTGGGATTACAAGCATATGCCACCATGCCCGGCTAATTTTGTATTGTTTTTAGTAGAGACAGTGTTTCTCCATGTTGGTCAGGCTGGTCTCGAACTCCAGACCTCAGGTAATTCACCCGCCTCAGCCTCCCAAAGTGCTGGGATTACAGGCATGAGCCACCACGCCCGGCTTACTCTTCTATATATCCAATGCAAGTCATATAGGTCAGAATTACCTTGAACATTCATTTCCATGGGACTCCTTAGATTGGATCATTGACATTATACCATTCCTTTTATATTAAATCAGTGAATGGGGAGTTTGGAAAGACAGTTGTTCACTTCACCCATGTACCTTGGGTTGTGACCACTTATGGTAGCTGCATTTTTCCTCTGTAAGCTGAATAGCCTTCATTGAGCCATTTAGTCATTATTGGGTTGCCTTGTGACTTAGTGCAACATTATATTTTGAGGTAAGCACCATCCTCAGGTAAAATCCTGACTGCATTAATACTGTGGAGTAAAGAGTAGAGTGAGAAAGGACATATGGAGGACTTTTCTTTCCAAGTAAAATTTAAAAATGGTTAAGATGTTAAAAACACTTCAAAATTATGTGACTTTATTTTTAATATCTAGTCTTAAGATGAAATTGTGACACGCCCTTTTTGTCGCCATCAGAATAAGTTTAGCCACAGTTCAAAGTGGCACCAAATGGTTAACAGCCATTTGAGCCATCGGTAGATCCATTCCATAACATAATTAACATAAGCCTATTTTTATTGAATTGAACAGTCAAAACAGGTACTATTGTATAGCTATAAAGAGAGCGTAAAGACCTAATACATAAAACTTAAGTTTCTTATAGACCAACACCTTCTGCTATAATCTAAGATCAAAGAGAAAAAGTTATTTTCCCCTAAAATTCAAAAGAAAGTTTACAAAGAGCTTTATAAGCAAAGAAAAATATAAGTTGCTCTAAGATATTAAATGTACATGATTTCACCCACTTTTGTTTAAAATAAATGTGCAGCATATTAAACAAAATATAAAGGAATAATTAGTAGTGGCAGAATGCATCACAAAGTGCTATAATCTTTATGTTGTAAGAGCATAGATATTCTTGAACTCTGTTCTTAATTTCGATAGAGGAAAAGACATATCTTCTGCTGTGGGAAATATATAAATTTACAGCCCCCTTTACAGAATTTATTTCTACTTTTGTTTAATTTTATTTATTTATTTATTTATTTATTTGTTTGTTTGTTTGTTTGTTTATTTTGAGACCGGGTCTCTCTCTCTGTCACCCAGGCTGGAGTGCAGTGGTGCAATCTCAGCTCACAGCAACCTCCGCCTCCCAGGTTCAAGCCTCAGCCTCCAAAGTAGCTGGGACTACAGGCACACACCACCATGCCTGGCTAATTTTTGTATTTTTAGTAGAAATGGGGCTTCACCATGCTGGCCAGGCTCGTCTCGAACTCCTGACTTCATGATCCGCCCACCTTGGCCTCCCAAAGTGCTGGGATTACGGGCATGAGCCACTGCACCTGGCCACGATTTTTTAGTATATTTCTCCTTGGCATTTTTATTGTGCTGTTGTGTTTTTGCACCACAAAATAAAATGAAGCTGGATAGAGCCAATCTAATACCATATTTAGCCTATTGACAAGAAAGTTTTAGATTTAGACCAGGGTCTTCTACAATCCAAATTCTCCAAGAGCAATACGGGAAATTTCAGGGTGATGAGCAAGGTTGATGATTTCTTTGCCATATGACTGGGAAGTCCCATGGTTTATCAAAATATCTGTTATTTTAACATTATTTAACATATCAGTTGCCATTGCTAATCTGAAGACTTCATGTTCAGTACGAATTTGAAAATATCTTTATTTTATGACTATGCAAGTAAGAGAAATGAAAAAGCCTGGATTCATATCCCAATACTGCCACCTATTAGCTGAACTTAAACGGTCTCTAGGCCTCAATTTTCTCCATCTGTGAAGTGGAGATAATGATGATACCTACATGTAGGCAGGTAGGGTTGCTGTAAAGATCAAATGAAGTAATTTATATGATAAATATATTATCTAGTTCTATATAATATTCTATAGATACCAATGGTGATTGTTTGAAGAATTATTTTTTTATCTTTAATTGCTCATTTTTAAAACGTATTTGTTCCAACATTTGCTGGGTCTCAAAGCCCCAATTTTCAAAATAATAAAACCACCTACTGAGGATTGGATTAGTAAATTTTCAAGACCTCTTTCAAATTTCCCAGCGTGTCATTTTTTTCTTTGAATTCAATATCACACTTAAATGTTTAATGTATCATGTTTCCATTTAGAAATGTATCATTGTGGAATAAAACACAACTTTCACTTGTTTAATATGACCTTAACTCTCACATACCTCAGGCTTTGTATAAATTGTTCATTCTGGTCCAGCCTAGGGGATATTGTAGAATGCTTTACACACTAACTCTGACCATTTAACCAATGGTTAATAAATCTATAATATTCAGACCTGTCAATCTTATAGTTTAAGATGCACAGAATCCATTTCAGAAACCATATAATATAAGGAAAGATTAAAATCTTCAATTAAATCTTTTTCCTGGTGTCTAGAAGGATTTCAAACTCAGTAAACAGTCAGATGATTTTGACTTGTGTATAATCTACAGTTGATTTTATTGGAAAGTACCTCATGCTGTGTTTTGATTTGGATAATAAAAACATGTTTCTATTCCTGAATAGTCACAAATATATATATTTTAAACAGAAAGAAAATAAATTTGTAAGTGGAGATTGTTTATTTGCTCACAATATAAAGAGTTTTCTAGGTATTCATCATACTCCCTGCCATTACAAAATGACTACATCACAGACAGAGCTGAATAATGGGCAAAACAGTCCATGCCTGCAGTTCCCAAACCTGAATGAGCATTAGAATCACCTAGGAAGCTTGTGTAAAGACAGATTCTCAACCCCAAATTTACTGAATAAGAATCTCCTGGGATGGAGTCAAGAAATCTAGAGCTTTTTAAAAACTCCACATATGACTTTGATGTGCTACCAAGTGTTTTTGAAATAGTAGCCCAGAGGACCAAGGAACAGATCTAGGTATTGCTGAAACCAAATGATTCTGGGAGAACAATGTTTGACTGGGTGTGTAGTGGCGTGCCAAGACTAGAAGAGTTAATTGTGGAAAATGGCAAGCCGCTGAAGGGAAAACAGCCACGTGACAGCAATGATCTCTGCAGCATGAAGAAACTAGTAACTAGAAAGCTTTA
The DNA here is from genome assembly GCF_000001405.40 of Homo sapiens. Classification (NCBI taxonomy): domain Eukaryota; kingdom Metazoa; phylum Chordata; class Mammalia; order Primates; family Hominidae; genus Homo; species Homo sapiens. Next base: position 215,754,904 of record NC_000001.11, on the reverse strand, counting down.
CCTACCCATCCAAAAATCTAAAAGGAATAGATGTGATTTACCAAAAACATGGATCACACTCACCAAGTGAGACTGGTGAATTACAATAACTGTTTTCTCTGAAAACATGAGTCCGCCAGTTTCTCTTGAATGTCTAAAGCAAGCTTATCCAACCTAAAGCCCAGGATGGCTTTGAATGCCACCCAACATAAATTCAAAAACTTTCTTGGGATCTTTGCAATTATTTGTTTTAGCTCATCAGCTATTGTTAGTGTTAGTGTGTTTTATATGTGGCCCAAGACAATTAATCTTCTTTCATTGTGGCCCAGGGAAGCCAAAAGATTGGACACTCATGGTCTAAAGCCAAAATACTGGCTAAATTGTATTTGTTTTTTTAAATATGCATTTTTTTTTTTGTGGTCAGTGTGAACAGAGTAACCTTAGACAGGTAAGCTGCTGGGAAAAAAAATGTCTATGTGGTTACTTGGCAACTGAAAAATTACCTAAGCAATTAACTGAATTTTCAGTTTTCAAACTATTGTTCTAATGCTATAAATAAACTAAGCCTTAGTACATGTTTATAAGTCCTACTAGTGAAAGGGTAAGGTCTAGGGAATAGTGACAATACCCAGGGGAAGAGTACCCGTGATACTGATAACAAATGTCGTGTACATACGTTCATATTACTTGGTGTATTTGCCATTTGTTAAATTCCTACTATATGCCAAACACTGATAAGCTCCTTCTCTGCCTTACCTCAGTTAATTTTTATGCAAACGCTAGAAGACAGGTAATAATATCATTATCCCCATCTTAAGATAAGAAATTCGAATCTCAAAAAAGTAATATAATATGCTCAAGGTCACACTGCAGAGCCAGGATTCAAATTCAGGTCTACTGTCTGCTACTGCCTTTTAAGACCAGTTCCTTTCTGTCTTTGGCTTAACCCTTAAATCCAAATCGACTTTTCATTTCTTGACCAAAGTCTCTCAGATTTATGATGGATCAACTATGATGTTTGAAATAGTAGCCCAGAGGGCCAAGAAACAGAGCTGGGTGTTGGTGAAAACCAAATGATTCTGGGAGAATATTTTTTTTTAATTTTTTTTCTTTTATTATACTTTAAGTTTTAGGGTACATGTGCACAACGTGCAGGTTTGTTACATATGTATACATGTGCCATGTTGGTGTGCTGCACCCATTAACTCGTCATTTAACATTAGGTATATCTCCTAATGCTATCCCTCCCCTCTCCCCCAACCCCACAACAGGCCCCGGTATGTGATGTTCCCCTTCCTGTGTCCATGTGTTCTCATTGTTCAATTCCCACCTATGAGTGAGAACATGTGGTGTTTGGTTTTTTGTCCTTGTGATAGTTTGCCGAGAATGATGGTTTCCACCTTCATCTGTGTCCCCACAAAGGACATGAACTCATCATTTTTTATGGCTGCATAGTATTCCATGGTGTATATGTGCCACATTTTCTTAATCCTGTCTATCATTGTTGGACATTTGGGTTGGTTCCAAGTCTTTGCTATTGTGAATAGTGCCGCAATAAACATACATGTGCGTGTGTCTTTATAGCAGCATGATTTATAATCCTTTGGGTATATACCCAGTAATGGGATGGCTGGGTCAAATGGTATTTCTAGTTCAAGATCCCTGAGGAATCGCCACACTGACTTCCACAATGGTTGAACTAGTTTACAGTCCCACCAACAGTGTAAAAGTGTTCCTATTTCTCCACATCCTCTCCAGCACCTGTTGTTTCCTGACTTTTTAATGATTGCCATTCTAACTGGTGTGAGATGGTATCTCATTGTGGTTTTGACTTGCATTTCTCTGATGGCCAGTGATGGTGAGCATTTTTTCATGTGTCTTTTGGCTGCATAAATGTCTTCTTTTGAGAAGTGTCTGTTCATATCCTTCTCCCACTTTTTGATGGGGCTGTTTGTTTTTTTCTTGTAAATTTGTTTGAGTTCATTGTAGATTCTAGATATTAGCCCTTTGTCAGATGAGTAGAATGCAAAAATTTTCTTCCATTCTGTAGGTTGCCTGTTCACTCTGATGGTAGTTTCTTTTGCAGTGCAGAAGCTCTTTAGTTTAATTAGATCCCATTTGTCAATTTTACCTAGGCAATACCATTCAGGACATAGGTATGGGCAAGGACTTCATGTCTAAAACACCAAAAGCAATGGGAGAATAATATTTTACTGGGGGCATCAAAACCAGAAGAATTATTTGTGGAAGTGGTGAGCCCCTGAAGGGAAAATATCCACATTGCAACAATGACTTTTTGCAGCGTGAAGGAAGTAGTAACCAGAAAGCTTTACCTACACATTCTAGAAGGAATAGACGTGACTTAAAACCAGATTCCAGGTGTAGGAAGATTTTAGTTAGGTGGGAGGGGAGGAGAGTCACTTCTCAAATTGCTGTAAAGAGATCATCCAAATTCTATTTTAAAGCCTTGGTAAATATTCCCCTGTCTCCCATGTAAACCTTCATCCACTTTACCTTATTCTTTCTTGATAAATGTCAGTAGTAACATTACCAAAACACTCTAAGCTCTAGAAAATCAAGATCTCTAGCCTTTTGTGTATCATTTGAACCTCTAAATCAGGTGACATACAAACAACATATCCTTATAAAAATTTTGCTGAATTAATGGAGGAACACAATGGTGAGCGAGCCTCCACAATTTATTATGCAGTCAAATGTAAATTGTGGATATCCTGCCATTTAAAATTACTCAAACATTTGATTTTCTCTTAAAGTCATCCTTCGTCTACATTAACTTAATCTTAAACAGAGACATACACACAAAGAGAGAGAGAGGCAGAGAGACAGAGAGAGAGAGACATTTCTTCTTTAATGACAAACAGAGCACATACACATATTTTCCAAAGACTGCATCTTGTCTTATGGATGTGCAATTTTTTCACCTTTCAGAAAAGGTGGTATTGTTTTCTAACATGGAATGGGCTTCACTATTTAGTTGTCCTCTGGCCTTGGGCAAGCTGCACAATGTTTCTCAAATTCAGGTTTCTCATCTGTACAAGGAGAAATTAAATGCCTACCTTATATTGTTATATGAAGTAAATGAGATGGCATGGTAAAACTCCATTATTGTTTGAACCTTTAGGTAATGTAAACAACCTTAGATTATTCCTAAGCATTCCCTCTCACCTTTTACCAGCTCTCAACATTGGGTCAGGACTTTTGTATTCATATTAAAGAGAACATTTATATTAAAGAGAGCAAAGGATATATGTTACCTTAATAGGTGAAAAATTATGGAAAATTAAATAGCAAATGCTTCATGGAACATAAGTGGTTTACTCAGAATGACAATGGAGATAGATATCCCTGCTGTTTAAGAATCTAAACATTCAAAATTATTTAAACTCTGAAGGTAATAATGAGTCTTTCTAATTTATCGAGATGATGACTATATTTTGAACTGTTCTAGCCCTTAATCATGTTCTAATTAACAATGCCATTGCATTTAACACATACTTTTTCTCACTAAGGATGGTGAGTCATTTAGGTTTAACGTACAATATAGAAATACTGGTGCTTTTCCTTTAACATTAATATCTTACTCCATTAAAGAAGGAATTAGCAAGAATTCTACTGATAAATAATTTTTATTAATATTGCTCTAGAAATACAAATTTTTTTATTTATCATTTTGATTAAAGGTTAGCTGGCCATAATATGGTCTATTTATGGACATTAGACATCTTGGCATTCAGTTAACTCATCAGCTGCAGTGTATTATTTCAGATACTATGCATTTAAAGTCAAAATTTACATTAATCTTTCTAAAGGATTCACATTACATTAATTGGGATGATTCAACATTGACAGTTGTTTCACTTTTCTTAACTTATAAATGCAATAACCAAATGACAAGGAGTGGTGAGTTTCAGAAGAAAATGTGAAACTCACTTCAGTGGTTTGTATTTTATTTTGGATATTTTAAAATGTATCTTTCATTACTGAGCTTTAATATATGCTAGGCATTTTGCTAAGAGATTAACATATATCTCATTTAGTGTTCATAATAACTTAATATAGTATGTCCTATTGTTTTGCTCATTTTACTAATGAAAAAGGTCAATTTAGACACTCCAAGCTATTTTCTCTAGGTTATTCTTCAAGCAGGTGTCAGAGCAGGGCTGACCCTCATGGGTGTGAGTCCAAGTCTGACTCAAAACTACTATTCTATATTTTCTCAATATTTTTCCACCTAAACGTGCGGAAAGCAAATGATTTTTCATGAGTTCTACTGTAATCCCATTTAAAAGCTAAAAAACTGATTTTTGCTTTATATATAGGAAGTATGAATGAGGACAATGTAATTCAGGATCAGTCGACCCAGTAACCCAATAGAATAATTTTATTTGTGGCTCAAAACTTCATGAGATGTAATTCATTTGCCTTTGGGTATATTGATTCCTCTAGTCATTTAACTAACGTGGAAATTATTTCTGAGCCCCACTCAGGGGCAAAACATGATGCTGGACACCCTAAAAGTTACAAAGAGGAATGAGACACTGTCCCTCTTGTCAGGAACCCTACCATCTAGTAAGGTAGAAAAGACATAAATGATAACTATTATACAACCAATGTTAAATTTCCATACAATTGGTATGAATGAGTTCAAGAGGGTCCCGTTTTACTTCTGTTCCCCCAAAAAGGCCTAATCAAGGTTTCCCTACCTATACAGTGGAGAATTTAGCTCGATTTGTTAAAAGCACCATGTTAAGTGCAACCAAGTGTTTTGAAACAAATGCCTCTATCAAACCGAATTAATAGTTTTTCCTCTTAGAATTTTTCCTGTTCCAGCTCCTAAAAAAAGACTTAAAAAGGATTATTGATTGACTTGTCCCATTGTAAAGTATGCACCTGCTGTGAAATGAAGCCATGGAGAAAAATAGTTGAATAATTTAACTTTTTTATTTGTAAAGATAATCAGGGTTTTTCTGATTACATCTTAACTTCATAAATGTTAAATAACCTATCAGCATCTAGTTGTTGTAAATTATGAAAAGGAGCATTGCAAGGAATATTAACCAACGAAATCCTTGTTCTTTAGTGAACAAGAAAATGTGTTATGGCAGCTTGTCATTGTGCGACTGGTAACTTTGACACCAAATAACAAAACTGCCATTTGCACTTAGGGTAAATTGGTTCACTTGAGCTTCCACTGCTCCTCTTGCTCTGACATAAATTTATGAACTCAGGAACTAACCAAGTCGTGTGGCTTCCCAGCTGACTTTAACAAATATGCCCATTTCATTTCATTTAGTCATCAGAATACCAGGGGGCTCAGTCATTTCAGACTCATTGCAGATGGTATAGGGTTTGTAGGAACACCAGAGACTTTCGTGTCACAGTCCTGGAAATTATGATAGTGGAGGGGGCCCACTTTCCTAAATGCATGCCAGTGTTTTACGTGTTCACAGCTTAGAGGAGCATTTTCTGTTTCAGCACCTCATAGGTATATGTAAAGGACATTTATTTCCAATTAATGAAGAGGTGAAAAATACATTTTCTATGCTCATGGTTTGGCTAGCCATGTTTAAATCTGGATTAAGATTATGTTTATATTTGACATGCGGTAGAAGCACAGTTTTGTTCCTTCATCCTCTGGGAGTCCTGTCCTTTTTATAACAGAAGTTACTTCTTGAAGGATGCAAGGCCTGGAAGCAGAACAGTAGGTACAGACTGAAGACATAAAGTAAAACAACCTCAGATGAATTGGAGGGAACGCCACTCCAAATTACTGCTAACAATGAATAATACAGTATTTTCGTAGGAATGCAATTTGATCATATCCAAGTACACATAAAAAATAAAACTAGATAACAAAATAGTGTTACAAAGACATTAACTTGAATGAATGTAACATTTATTTGTAGTTGGAATAGCAACTTTATATGAAAGATGGATTCAAAAGTGTTTGAGGGCACATGGAAACAGTGCCATAGTTGTTTTTTGTTCTTTATTTCATTTTGTTCCATTTTGTCTTGTAGAGATGTCAGCCATTTATTAAGTACTTTCTATGTTATGGGAATATATTGAAAGGCTTACAGATATTTTCTAATTTAATCCTCACAACTCTCTATGAGGTAGCTATTAGTATCATCATTTTACACATGAAGAGACAACATCCATAGAGGTTAGTTAATTTGCCAGTGGTCGCTTGGGAAATAAGGGCAGCAGAAGGATTTGATCTATCTGACACCACTCTGTGGTTTGTCTAGTTCAACAAGAATGATGGCATGTTTCTTATGAATGTGTGTCTGTCAAACTTTTCTGCAAGAACTGTCCTAGGAACAAAGAAGACAGGATGAATATGCAATCCCAGGAGGTCTGAAAACAGAGCCTGAAGCAATCATCATTAGCTTGCAGTTTCTTTAAGGTCTTGCTTTTTATCTTAAAAATTCATGTAAATTTGCCATTGTATTCCAGTGTTTGTCTTCATCCAAAAAATAATATATTATACAACTTATCATTTGGGAAAACATTTTCTACTAATCTCATTGGCTAAAGAGTGATAATGCTGTTATATTTCATGATATTAGGAAGATCTAAAGAAAACTAAGCCCAATAACAGGTTCAAGGTCCCGGCAATTCTTCCCCTCTTCATTTTGTCATAAATATGTGGGTTCACCGTGAGGCAGAGGTTGCAGTGAACCAAGATCATGCCACTGCACTCCAGCCTGGTGGCAAAGCAAGACTTCGTCTCAAAAACAAAACAAAACTTGGGAGGCCGAGGCGGGTGGATCATGAGGTCAGGAGATCCAGACCATCCTGGCTAACAAGGTGAAACCCCGTCTCTACTAAAAATACAAAAAATTAGCCGGGCGCGGTGGCGGGCGCCTGTAGTCCCAGCTACTCGGGAGGCTGAGGCAGGAGAATGGCGTGAACCCGGGAGGCGGAGCTTGCAGTGAGCCGAGATTGCGCCACTGCAGTCCGCAGTCCGGCCTGGGCGACAGAGCGAGACTCCGTCTCAAAAAAAAAAACCAAACAAACAAACAAACAAAAAAAAACAAAAAACCTGTGGCTTCAAACAACAGCCTTTTATTCCTCACTGCTTTACTGTTATGGCAGGGTAACAATAGGGAGAAATGCCCAAAATGTGATATGGAATGCTTTGTCATTCTAGGATACTCTGGATGGAAATTTCTATCAGCATATCCTCCTGCTGAAGGTCAAATTGCAAACTGAGAGGGTCCCCGATTCCTTCTTCAATCTCTCTTACCACCTCAAGCAACACCCTCCAAAAAATACTTTTTGCGGAGAGGAAGAAGAAACCTGATTATATTACTTTTTATTTTACCTCTGGCACAGTACTTAAATTTTTCTCATCCATTAATGAACTGAGTCTCAAATGGTCTCTATAATCAATTCTCCTTATCCAGCTCTCAAATTTCATTTTAATTATTGCAGTCTTGTTGAGAGCAGTAAAAACTGCCAGTTTTGTCGTGGAGTGGTGAATTAGGCCTCGAAGAATAGCCTTTAAATAGGCCTATTATGTGTATTCACCATACCAGTAAAGAGAAAAATAAAGTTATTTTTTAGGCATTTAATTTTTGTTATGATATCTTTTCCTGTTTCTTTATGGAGAAAAATAGTATAGAACTCTTTATTACCTGAAACAAAGTGGAAGTGTCATGGGTCAGGCCAACTTTTCATCCCATGTCTAGGGTAGAAAATCCACATTGAGTTCACTTTAAAGCAATAGCGAGAGACTAACATTACATTGTCCTTTGGTTACAGTATGAACAGTTATACTTGTTCAGCACACTGGCACATCAGCATAAACATTTTCTTGTGTCCTACAGTTGGTTCATTCTGTGGTGACTACAGAGTCTTCAACTCTACAATTGGCTAGCAAAAATTCTAATCACTCACCATACATACAATTCTCTAATCTTGAACTTTTAGAAAGAAAAATTCACACCCAATTTTTGTGAACAAAGAAACGGGGATTCTGCTGGTTCCCCTTCCTCAAACAGGGAAATCCTGTGTTTCCCAAATTTTCCATATCAAAGTGATACTCCAAAAAAAGGCACAGTAAGTCCTTAAGGTCATGATAGGTTCTTGGAAACTGCAATTTTGAGTCAAAAGATATATAAGGAAACCAATTTTACCTTAGGCTAGTTGATATAAGCAAGATTTAAGTTGCAAGGAATATTTGTGGTCACAAAAACGTCACCAAACTAAATATCATCAAAGAAAGACCAAAACACTTCTAATATTAAACTGAAATAAATATGAGCTATACATACATTTAAGAAAGATTAATAGAAACAAGTAAGATCATTTTTAACCTAAGTTTTGGCAAGTCAGCGAGTGACAACAGCCATAGGGATAAATGTTTTTGAGCAGAAATTAGAAGAAATTCTTCTTACCACCATGCACTAGTAAAAACAATCGCAAGTAGGGCAAGCTCACAGAAGGCTTTTGTACAGCATTATTTATTATTATGCATCTATATGATAGTAACACACTTAATGAATCTTTACTTTACAATTATTCATTCATTCATTCATTTTCTGACACACCTTTTCCAGTTCAGGGTTGGGGTGGCCAGGGCCTAACCAGGCAGCTCAAGACCATTCCGTTACAGGGCACACACACACACCCACACTCGCTCAGACTAGGACCATTCAGACACACCAATTAATTTAATGGAAACATCTTTAGGATATGGGAAAAATCCAGAGTACCCATAAAGAAACCACGCAGACATGGGGAGAATGTGTAAATTTCACATAGACAGTGGCTCCAGCTGGGAATCAATTTTTTTCCTCATAAATATTAATGAAACAATGTTGAATGAAACAACATTATTCGAGGACCTACGGTACTATGTTTGTTCCTGTCTTTGAATATACTTTGACATGAGCCCACAAACCTCCAAAGCAGGTGTATTTCAGGTTGGGATACTTGGTCTGCAGAACTTTAAATTTCTACCTATAATATGCTTGTTCCATCAGTAATGATTTTTACTTATCCATCATTTGTTTCCTTGCTTCGGAATAGTCTCCAAGAATGGCTCTGCCTTACTGCACAAATTTTCTCAAACCTATCTTGTCATTTTTCCCCAAGTTGTCCTACTCTAAGACTCCATTATCAAGGAAAAGCATAAGTATATTGATATAAGTGTTGATATCAGATGGGCCTAAGTTCAAGTCCTTGCTTCTCCAATTAATCAGTGTGCAATCTGGAACAAGTTATTTAACTTCTCTGAGTTTTAGTTTTCTCATCTTAAAAAATAGTAATATTTACCATGCAGTATTGTCTTGAGGGTTCGTTCATTCATTCAATCAGCTAACATTTATTGAGCTGCTACTTTGTGCTAAAGTCTAGGCAGTGGAACCACATTGGAGAAAACAAAGTCCTAATTTATACGGTTGACATTCTAGTAGTATTAAATGGGATAATGCGTGTTGCCTGGCATAACACAGGGATGCATTGAAATGACTCTTGTTTGTACTACTTCTGCAAACATTGTAAGACTTTCAAACTGGTTTCCCTATGTCTTGTCTCTCATGTTTTTAAGCCACTATTCATTTCCCAACAGTGTTATCATTCTAAAATATAGGTAGACTCTTATTTTCTTATTTATACCTGCAAAGTCTCCTTGTTGCTGATTATATATGAAGCCCAAATTTCTCAAAGAATTAATTGATAAAATTTAGTAGTCACTTGAGTTTTGGAGTGAAGAAGGCAGGATCCACTCTAAAAGTCTTACTCTAAGATTTCCATCCTAGGAAAATGGGAAGATGGTATTATGACTTACTGAAAGAGGAAACCTAGGAAAAAGAACAGGTTTGGGAGTGGAAAATACAGCTAGTTCTGTTTTAGAATTGTTGAGATCGTGGCCTCTGAGGAATATCCATGTAGAAATACCTAGCAGGCTGTTGAAAATACAAAGCTGTAATACCGGAAAGATAGAAAGCTAGAGATAAGAGTTTAGGAATCAATGATAGAATGTTAGTAGTTTAACCTACTAGAATAAATGTACCAGATAGTTTAGCCATGATGCTCTAAATTTAAAATAAACATTCTCAGTCTAAGCTGCCAAATTTAACGCAATCTAGCACCTTTCCTGAGGAAGCAATTGATCAGTACTTCTGAAGATGATCAATATCTCCTTCAGACACCTCTTTTTCATCTATCCTACACAAAATCCTGAGCATCTTTGGTTTGTACCAGCTCTTCCACTCTGTAAATACAGAGGCCACATCTATAAAAAGCAAAACCACATTTCATTCTTTAGACCTCATCTCTCTTAGGTCATTGAGTCCTGTGCTTCCTCAGTAATGTTATCTCTAGATTCCACTGTTTCTAAAGTAAAGATAGACTTATGTGGGTACTACAGAAGTAAATAACTAAACTCATAAATGTTAAAAACTCTCAGATCAAGGAGACAATGTAATAGAAAATGCCATTATATTCTTCATTCAAAACTCATATCCTCTCCTTGAAAAAGTATGCCTGTTGTTCATGACCAAATAAAACTTAACAAGCATTTAATTATATAAATAGACTTTGACGAGGCTAAACTGACAAGACCTACTTTCTTTAGGAAGGAATGGTGAAAAATGACAATTGTTGAACCCAAATTTTCGCTGTATTTAGGGCCATAAGTCTCACTGACAGTGAACTGTCCTGGCCCAATAATTAATGCACTGGGAATTCTCTAGGTAGACCATGATTTGGATATTTCATGGGCTATGTCAAGGATCCATGTCAGACAGGAGGCATACACAATGCTCTACAGAAAAATTATTGTCACAAGCAAAATTGGTGTTGTTTTCTATGAACTTTAAAAGTAAGTAAACCTAGAAAAAATATAGGACAGCATAATTGCCTTATATGTTTTAAGTGAAATGTGCCTTCATTTTTATTTGCCAATAGAGTATATCTTTAAATAGAAATATTATGCTTTTAAAAATAGATTATGTACATTTCTTACTTTTGGAATACACAATCTAATATTTGCCAACTTAACTTTTGTGAAGCTTTTAATTGCTATATTAAAAAGTAATTTACTTTTCTATTACAACTTTTTTTTTTTTTTTGGAGGCGGAGTCTCACTCTGTCGCCCAGGCTGGAGTGCAGTGGCGTGATCTCAGCTCACTGCAACCTCTGCCTCCCGGGTTCAAGCGATTCTCCTGCCTCAGCCTCCCGAGTAGCTGGGATTACAGGCACACACCACTATGCCCGGCTAATTTCTGTATTTTTACAGGGTTTCACCATGTTGGCCAGGATGGTCTCCATCTCCTGACCTTGTGATCAGCCCACCTCAACCTCCCAAAGTGCTGGGATTACAGGCATGAGCCACCACGCCCGGCCTCAATTACAAAATTTTAAATAGACATTATTTTTAAAAGACAAACATTTGTTGCCCATTCTGTTTTATTTATATATATATGTGTGTCTATATATATTTATTTATATATATATGTGTGTCTATATATATATACACACACACACACACACACACACACACACATATATATATATATATGTTTTTAATGTTCTCTCTCTCTCTCTCTCTTTAAAGGGATCCTCATCCCCGAAATTCCTGTGGAGTACAATGTCTTACTCAATGATGGAAGTGTAACACCTCTGGCCTTCTCCGTTGGTCATCATCAATCCACCCTTCTGGAAAATTTGACTCCATTCACACAGTATGAGATAAGGATACAAGCATGTCAAAATGGTGAAAGTCTTTCAGACACTTGGCCTGGGCTTTTATGAAAAAGTATTTCATTAAAAAATTTCATTAAAAAGGAATACATTCTCAGTCCAAATATAAAGACTAACGTTTCACTTCTTATTTGTAGTGGACTGTTTACCCAGAAAAATCACAGTCTGGCATCGAGTAAAGCATTATGCATTTCTGCACATTAAATCATAAATATTTAAATATATTAAAATGGTGGTTTTGCAAAGTCTTGTTTTATAAGGCCCTTTGAAAGAAAAACACCTAGCTCACATAAAGGAGTCTTTGGTAATATAAAACAAAAATGAGTATTCCAAATATTTCATAGAAAACATATTTACCTTGGCCTTATTTAAATTTTATCCAGGAGGAGGAAGTGAGAAGTTATTTAAGAGTTGAATTACACCCAAATGAATCCTATATATTTTATAGTGCTTCCTTGAACCCTATTCATATATACAAACTATCACCTTGTGTTTCATGGCTTAGGCTGTGGTCAGTGAAATTTTCATGTATCTGTGTTGTGTTAAGGAAAAGCCTCCCCCATTTCCTTTATCACTCCAAACGGATAAGTAGCTAAATGTAAACTGTGATTTAGGAGGGGAGAACAGGGAATCAAGAGAGCTATACATCATTTTATTTATCTCTTTTAAATTAAGTATAAACTTTAACAGATATGGATATGTTATATATGTGTATATCATATATAACATGATATATGTGTATATCATATATAACATATGATATATATGATCTCATCATATATGTTATATAACGTATAATACTCATTTGCTAAATAAAGAAAACATGTAACTTACCTTAGTATAAAAAACATTTTGCTTCACCTTAAAGAAATTTATCAGACTCAATGTGTAGTGGAAACTCCTGTATTGAATGTCCTTAGGAATTTCTGTTTCCAAATAGTGCTAGTTCTCATGGAGTTGGTTAGAATTATGAGTCTGCAATTTTGCTCTGCTGAACTCATCAGAAATGGCTAGTCAGTTTGTCCTTTTTTCTCTAAAAAATAGACCATGGCATTTTTGTTTGAGGGGTATTGCTTTCTCTGATCTGTCTTCACCTGATAAACGTGAAAATAATTTTAAATTAATGTTTTCTTGACTCAAGTACAAAGTCAACGTCTGCATCTCCGTGTCCCTGAAACTGTGCAATGGAGGTACAATATCCTTCAAATAGATTGTTTTATTCCTGTGTGTTTGAATAATGTTCATGAGTTTAAAATATTGGCAAAATAAAATATTATTAAAAGCATGCAAGATGTGTAGGTCACACATACACTTGTGAAATTCAAGTGCATTATCACTTTCTGGTTAGAATGACTATAATAAACTAGAGAAACTTGAGTTCAGACAAGTTTCCTTATTATTCCTTATTTCCAGACAATATGCCTTATTGTTTATGTCTATATAAATATGTGACTAATTAATGGGTTTTCCAAAAATAATTTTCTATTTAAATGTTCAAATCCCATAAAAATTTATTTAAAACACATGTACAAGTATATATGCAAAAGGACAGGTTAAAATAATTTTCATGATATCATTACCCTTCTGTATGAATATGTAGTTCTTTTCCTTGCTTGAAAAATAATAAAGACCTCAATTTTTTTTTTTTCAAGGAAGTTGTGGAGTTAGCAGTAGGATGTTTGTCAAAACACCTGAAGCAGCCCCAATGGATCTTAATTCTCCTGTTCTTAAGGCACTGGGGTCAGCTTGCATAGAGATTAAGTGGATGCCACCTGAAAAACCAAATGGAATCATCATCAACTACTTTATTTACAGGTAAGATTGGCTGTTACTATTATTTTTAGTTATTTAAGAATGCGTACTGCTCCAACACAGCAGAATCAAGAGCATTTTATATTTCCATAAGAGAATGAATGGGAATTCATGTTGTGTTTTTTTTTGTTTTGTTTTGTATGTTTGTTTGTTTGTTTGTAGCACCTACCAGTGAGGACTAAGACTGGTGCTCAAACTTTTACAAATTAACCAAGGAAAAAAGCCATAACTGCCATATAACATTTTTGATTGAGATCTGTTTGAAAACTGAGACCTTATAGCCCACATAGGCTTATATTTAGTGATGGGGCAGAACAGTCCTCTAAAGCAGGGGTTCCTAACCCCCAGGCCACAGAGTCCGCGGCCTGTTAGGAACCGGGCCACACAGCAGGTGAGTGGCTGGTGAGCAAGCATTACCACCGGAGCTTCACCTCCTGTCAGATTAGTGGTGGCATTAGATACTCACAGGAGTCCAAACCCTATTGTGAACTGCGCATGTGGGGGATCTAGGTTGTGCCTTCCTTATCAGAATCTAATGCCTGATGATCTGAGGTGGAATAATTTCATCTTGAAACCGTACACCCTAACTGCATTGCCCCAGTGTGTAGAAAAATTGTCTTCCACAAAACCAGTCCCTGGTGCCAAAAAGTTTGGGGACCACTGCTTAAGCAGCTCACTGACCAAGAAAACATAGTCTTTCCAGAGAGGAAACCAGATACAAGACAAGAATTCTAATATTTCTCATTAATTATTATGTAGAGATTAAAAAGTTTTTTCTCCTCCTCCAAAGATGGTGCTTTTCATAAGCAGAAAAAGGGGCTCTCCTCTCCAGTTTTCCTTCTGTTTTAATGAGCCTCCACTCCACTGGTTAGATGGTGTTATAGCAACTTGTTCCATCATGTGCAGAATTTATTAAGTGTACCTACCTAAAATAAAGAAAAGAGACAATAGGGAAGAGAGGAAGAGAAAGATTGAGGAAAAAGAGAGACAAAGAGAGATTGAGAGAGAGAGAGAGAAAATAATGGAAGAGAGAGATACACTATGAACATTTTGGTTTGAAGGATATTTTGCTCTCTGATCTAGTCTTCACCAGATCAACATGAACATTGCTTTAAATTAATGTATTCTTTAAATAAATAATGAATGAGGAGGAGAAGGAGCAGGCAAAGGAAGAGAATGAGGGAGAGATGGAGGGAGGGAGAGAAGAAGAGAAAAAATAGAGAAAGTGAGGGGAGGTGAGTAGAAAGTACAATGCAAAGAGCCAAGGGGGCAAATAACCTGTCAACTGATGGCTTGCTACTTAAGACAGAAAATACAATCATTGGTAGACATACAGGACTTGCAGATTGAAAAACCCAATCCCATTCTGAAAGCAATGTATTTCCTTTAGCGTACAAAGCAGAACACCCTTCTTCTCAGATCCTCATACCCCGCACCTCTTCAACATCCTTTGTTAGTGTCTCTAGCAGCCTCAGGCCTTCCCTTATTTGGTCCTATGCCCTGGAAACTTAGTGAAACTTACTTAGGCTCCTCTTATAACTTTAGATATTGAAATCCTTTGATTCACATCAGTCTTCAGTGATGAGCTAAGGGCTTATAGAAAAAAATTACGAAAGGAGAAAGTATTATTGCATTTCTGGTTATGTAAATGACATTACCAAAAATGAACAAGCCAAATTTCTTCTCAGCAAACATTAATTTGAAGAATAATATTTCTGATTCAAAAACACATGAACACGTAAAAATGGTTAATGTGAATTTCCATTTTACGCTAAGCACATTAGTGCAGGCTCTAAAATGTCCACCCTCTTGAAATAGTTTTCTTTCATCCACTTAATGCTAATTGCATGAGAAAAGCACATCAAATTCCTATTCAGAATAAAGGGAAATAGAGTATCTGTTATAGACCAGGACGTGGCTTCACTCTGTTGGTTTTGTAAATAAAGCTCGTGATTACAGTGCCTATTCCATGGCAGCTATAGAGAGGGAAAACAGGAAATATAATGCAGAAAGCCCGCTTCAATGAAAAATACTGTAAATTGAATTTGACAGCATTTGATGGCATCTGATTATTCTAATCACAGCCAAACAATGATATAAAGAGTAATATGAAACAGAATGTGTTACTGCCTAGCAGACTCAAAAGCAATAAACCTTCCTCCAATGTGACACAATCACTTCACAATCATAATTGTAGCCTGTTTGATACCTCTGAGTACAGCAGAAGGGCACTGACTGACATAGATACATTTTGTTTTTTATTTAAAGTGAAATGAAAATGGCGCACTGGGGCTCCAGATACAATCGTTATATTCACCTACATAGGCATGAATCACTTGGCAGTTATTTCAACTGAAGTTTAAATGTGCTTAGACAACAACAATATCAAATTTTTCTTAGATAGCTGCAAAAAATAATCAGAAATTTGTAAGGACAGAAATAGAATGGAGACACATAGTTCTTTTTCATTCTGAGACTACATAGAGCCCTTTATATAGTTATAGCCACCAGCCTGCAGTATTTCTGAGGAGGTTATGGCATGTAATTTCAGCTTCATCATTGGCCTTCTCTTTCTTCTATCGGCACCAAAGGAAGTACATTTAGCTCAAACCAAAGATAGGATTTGGCCTATGCAGATATTTTTATTAACTTGCAGGAAGCCCACTTGTAAATCTCATTTGAAATTGTTTGCCACTCTCTTCTCACCAAGACCCTGAATCATTTTCTTTTCTGTAACTGTCCTTTATTTTTTAAATATTTCCTCTAGATATTATCCTATTAAAAAATATCTGACCTAATAAAGACAGAAGATGTTTATGACTTCAAAAACAAAGCAAAATAACCTAAATATTATCCTATTAAAAAGCGTCTGCCCTATTAAAGATAGAAGAATGTTTATAATTTCAAAAACGAAACAAAATAACCTAGTAAGAACAAACTATTAATATGATTCCCTCTGCTTAGTTTATCTGTTTAAGCTATTTTGTTGACTATATATAAGTCACAAAAAAAGATTTGCTACAAAAAGTTTTGTAAAGAATAGAGACCAACATTTAAGTTAGTGTTTTGCAACCTGTTTATTGACTGAGTATAGACAAGACTGTCTTGGACATCTGCTTCCTCCTCTCAATGAGTTTGGCTGGTATGATAATGATTCTTCAGTATTCCCCCTTTATTTTATATCTGCAACCTTGCAAATGGCAAAAATCTCATCACTTACGTCTACAAAATCCATCAAACACATTAAATTGAGACTTTACAAAACATGTAATAAAATAATCTCCTCCCACTAGGTGCTTTAATTTTAATAGAAACCAAATTTCATGGGGTTTATTATTCTCATGAGCTTTCTCTTTAAATAAATAAAAAGATTTGATCAATGTGCACTGAGAGGCAAAACTATATACAAACACCCTGTAAATGCTGTAAAAATAGAAACAAATGATGGCACTTCCTTCTGAGTATTTAGTAAGATTTAAAGGATAAAATCTGAAATAATTTTGAAGACTGTATGATATGAAAGGGTTTTCAAAGCAGATAAGTGAAAACATTTTATAAAATGGATAATTAAGCTGATTGAATTAACTAAGAAAAGACGAGCATTGAATCAAAGGCAAAGGAATTTTGATGTAATTCAATTTGTATTGGGTGGAAAGATGGATATAGATATGAATATTTATATAGATAGATACAGACAGAAGACAGACAGACAGACATCTACCTATCCATACATGTACATATCTACTGAGAGAGACACAAAGATCTATGAGACCTAAGCCCTTTTACCAATGATCTTCACTACAGTGGGAGATATAAGACAGGCTAAATAAACAAAGAAAAGAGTAAAATATATAGTGGAAAAACAGAAATATTTACCAGAAAATTTAGAGAATAATTCTGTGTCTAGAATATTCATGGAACACTTCATCAAGTTGATGTCATTGAGACTAGGACTTATAAAATAAAGATTTAATGACTATTTAAATTGTAAGAGAAATACATTTGTTAGAAAAAATGTTTTAACAGTACAGAAGATTACTAAGGTTATTATTCATTCTTATGATTTACTCATGGCATATGTAATTTTCACTAATAGAAGTAACACTATTAATTTTAATATATTAACATTAATGTTTTCTATTTGTATTTTCTTCTTCATGAAAGAATTATATTGCCCATATTGTTCTGCAATTTTCTTTGGGCATTTTATATATATGCCCACACACATATACACACCTAATTTCTTTTAATGACTCATCAATATTCTGTTATATGGATGTGTATCATATATTATTTAGCCAGTACCCTGATGATGGCAAGATAGGTGATTTTCAAGTTTTCGTTACCACAGCAATTCTCTAATAAATATTCTTACGGTAAGTATACAGAGAATTATTCTTAGTACTAGAAGTACTGGGTCAATTAAAATTGTTGAGGATTTGTCTTTACTAGACCATATGCATTTAAAATTGTTGAGGATTCCTAAGTTGTCTTCCAAATATCATATGTAAGAATTTCTAATTCTGAAATCTTTTAATACAGGGTCAGTCTTCCAAATCTGTCAGCTCAATATTTTCATTTGCACATTTTTGTTGTTTTAATTCAAGTTTTGATGATTATAAGTAAGATTGTTCATTTACTTAAAATATTTATCTTCTATTTGGGAGGGGTATGTATAATATATTATAAATTCTTAGACTAATTTTTTCTACTGGATTATTTCTTATTGTCTATATTCTTTCCACATTAAAGAAAATCTCCCTTTCATGATCATATTAAAAATAACACATTAATTATTTCTTCCAGCACTTTTATGGCTCTACTCCTTATTTCTAAATATGGAATTAATATTGTTATTGGAAATTAGATAAGAATTCATTTTCTTAAAAAATGCTAACTAGTTTATCAACATTATTTCATAATCCACTGATTTGAAATGTCACTCATACAAAATTCCTATGTGCATCGGGTTCATTTTAGGACTTTGTATTCTGTTTCACTTGTGGTAAATAGGGATTTTAACAAGTACAGCCTGATGGTGAAGACATGATAAGTGAATAAAATCAATAGAATAAGCAAAATTTCCAACACATAAGCATAGGATTCAAGGAATGGTCAGGTTTATCTGGAGTCATTGCTATTAGTAGGGGACATTTAGAAGATCAGCTTAATGATAGATTTTAGATCTAAGGAGTTTAGGCTTTATATTCAGAGGCAATGTGAGCTGCTGAAGGTTTAGGGGGTAAATAGAGAAGCAATGTAATAAAGTGGAAAGAGTGTGGCATTTGTAGTCAGAAGATATGGCTTCCAGGGCCTGGCTCTAACACTTACTAGTTATATGACCTTAGGCAAGTCACTGTGTTCCCTAATTTTCCATTTTTACATGAAGTGAAGATAGTAAATATAAAAGATAATTAGCCTCTTGGAATTCTGTAAGAATTAAATAATATGTGTGGAATTACTGTTAAATGTGAAGCATGATAAAAATAGAAAGTTATCCTAGATATGTTGTCCAAAGCCATGTTTTAGAAAGACAAATCCATCTGGCAGTTATAGATGTACATTTAAAGTCAATGAAAGAGGTTCATGGTTATAAAAGTAGCAGCTTGCATAACAGTATGCCTGGTAGGATTCTGTTTTCCTTTAAATATATAGTATATTTTTTACATATATATGTATATAAAAAAATGTCTGGAATGTTAAACACCAAAATAGTGCTAGCAGTGCTTATCTCCAAATATTAGGCTATCAGTGATTCTTTTAAATACTTCTGCTTTTGTTCATCTGTGTTTTCTTATTAATTTTTATAGTCAATACATCATATGGTCTAGTAAAGACAAAATAATAAATTTGTGAGCCCAGATGCAAATCTATCATCACTGTCTCCGATTTTCCTATTTCCTTCTTTGTGTGAATATCACCATCACTTTCTGTAATAATCAAAGTCTGATCAAGAAAGAGGAACCACACTACTTACTTTAACAGAAGGAATTTAATATAAATAATTAGTAAGTAGTTATAAATTTGTTAACTAGGTAACTAAAAGCATAAAAAGAGAACTCTAAGATATCATGGAGGTGGCAACTACAGGAAACAGCTAGCACCTTTAGAACTGAGGGAACAAAGGGGAGTTGTTAGAATTATTAAAATGTAAATGCATAGAGGAGGGTGCCTGTGAAGCTGGGACTCAGACAGTTGAAGAGGGGTACCTGCCACTGGTGCAGTTGTATGGAGGAGGAAACATGAAATTAAGTTGGTTTTCCAAATGTCGGAAAAATTGCATGCTGCAATCACTTGCTCCCAAGGTATTTCTTTATTGCAACACAAGAACAGCCTAATACAGAAAACTGGCACCAGGAGTAGCGTGTTGCTATGAAGATACCTGAAAATGTGGAAGTGACTTTGGAAATGGGTAACGGGCAGAGGTTGAAAGAGTTGGGAGGGCTCAGAAGAAGACAGGAAGGTGAGGGAAAATTTGGAACTTCTTAGAGACTGGTTAAATGGTTCTCACCAAAATGCTGATAGAAATATGGACAGTGAAGACCAGACTAATGAAGTTGGAGATGCAAATAATTGAGAACTAGAGTAAAGGTCACCCTTGTTATGCCCTAGCAAAGAACTAGGTTCCATTACATCCATGCCCCAGGGATTTGTGAAAGTGAGAACTTAAGAGTAAAAACCTAGGGTACTGGTGGAAGAAATTTCAAAGCAACAAAGCAGCATTCAAGACTTTGCCTGGCTGTTTCTAACAGCCTACAATCAGATATGGGAGCAAAGGAATGACTCAAAGTTGGAACTTTTATGTAAAAGGGAAGCAGAGAGCAAAAGTTCAGAAAATTTGCAGCCTGGCCCTGTGGTAGAGAGAGAATTCAAGCAGACTGTGGAGTGACCACTTTCAAGAGAGACTAGCATCACTGTAAGGTAGCCAAGTGTTAATATCCAAGATAATAGGGAAAAGGCCTAGAAGGCATTTCAGAGATCTTACAGGCAGCCCCTCTCAACACAAGCCCAGAGGCCTAGGAGGAAAGAATGGTTTTGAGGGCCAGGCCCAGAGCCCTGCTGCCCTGTGCAGGCTTGCGAACTGTTCCCCACATCCTGACTACTCTTGCTGCAGCTGCAGCTCGAAGGGCCTCAGATACATCACAGGTAGGTGCTTCAGGGGGCGTACACCAAACCCTTGGTAGCTACCATGTAGTGTTAAGTTGGCAGATGCACAGAATGCAAGCATGAAGGAGGCTTGGCAGCTTCCCCCTAGATTTCAGAGAATGTATGAGAAAGCCTGGGTGCCCAGGCAGAAGGCTGCCACAGGGGTGAAGCCCTTACAGAGAAACTCTACTAGGGCAGTGCAGAAGGCAAGTGTGGTGTTGGAGCCACCATACAGAGTCTCCATCAGGGCGCTGTCTGTTGGAGCTGTGGGAAGGGGGCCACTTCTCTCTAGGTCCCAGAAACCATGGACAGCTTGTATCCTGAAAAAAGCCATAGGGATTCAACTCCAATATATGAGAGCAGCCACAGGGTCTGCACTCTGCAAAACCACAGGGTTGAAGCTACCCAAAGCCTTAGGAGTCAGTGCTTGCAGCAGTGTGCCCTGGAGTGGGACATGGAGTTAATGGAGACTATTTTGGAGCTTTAAGGTTTAATGTCTGTCCTACCAGGTCTCAGACTTGTGTGGGCCCTATAGGCCCTTTCTGTTAGCCAATTTCTCCCTTTTGCAATGAGAATGTTTACCCAATACCTATATCCACATTGTATCTTGGAAGTAAATAACTTGTTTTGATTTTATAGGCTTATAGGTGAAAGGAGATGAGTCTCCAGATGAGATTTTAGACTTGGTACTTGAGACTTGGGGCTTTTGAGTTAATGCTGTAATCAGTTAAAACTTCGGGGAACTATTGGGAGGACATGATTTCATTTTGAAATGTGAGAAAGAGATGAGATTTGGGAGGCCAGTGGTGGAATAATATAGTTTGTATGTTTGTCCTCTCTAAATCTCATGCTAAAAACAGATTCCCAATGTTGCAGATGGGGCCTAGTGGGAGGTGATTGCATAATGGGGTCAGATCCCTTATGAATGGTGTAGCACCATGCCCTTAGTGATAAGTGTGTTCTTGCTCAGTTTGTTCATGATGGGAGATCTGGTTGTTTAAATGTCTAGGACTCCACCCGCCCCCCGCCCCCCCGCCACCTCTCTCTCTTGCTCCTGCTCTCTGCACGTGATGCACTTGCTCTTTCTTCACCTTCCATCATAGTTGTAAGCTTCCTGAGTCTCTCATAAGCAGATGCCAGCATCATGCTTTCTGTACGCCCTGCAGGACTGTGAGCCAGTTAAATCCCTATTCTGTATAAATTAGCTTACCTCAAGTATTTTTGTAGCAATGCAAAAGGAGCCTAATACAAATTAGAAAAAAGAGGTAGCACATAGAAGGATATGATAACTCTTATTTGAGAGAAAAGCAAGGAAAAGACTTTCTGGAAAAAGTGATATGGGGCTAGAATTTTAAAAGACGAGTTGTAGTTAGTCTATAGAAAAAAGGAGAGGCCAGGTGTGGTGGCTCACACCTGTAATCCCAGCACTTTGGGAGGCTGAAGAGGGCAGATCACAAGGTCAGGAGATCGAGACCATCCTGGCTAACACAGTGAAACCCCGTCTCTATTAAAAATACAAAAAATTAGCCAGGCATGGTGGCAGGCACCTGTAGTCCCAGCCACTCGGGAGGCTGAGGCAGGAGAATGGCGTGAACCTGGGAGGCGGAGCTTGCAGTGAGCCGAGATTGCCCCACTGCACTCCAGCCTGGGCAACAGAGCAAAAAAAAAAAAAAAAAAAAAAAAAAAAGAAAGAAAAAAGGAGAATAAGAAAGAGGATTGGGAGGGATATTGCCAGAGAATTAGCAGATACCAAAGCCATGGAACCGTGAAATATAATGGAATATAAGAAACTATAGTCAAGCATTTGATGATAACTAGAATATAAAATGGGACTAGAAATTTCAGAAAGGTGAGTCCTTTTGAGAATCAGCAGATTAAGGATAAGCATAGGCCATTTTACATGGTAAATCTCTAAAGAATTTTTAAAAGGACTGTCTTAAAATTTTTGAAAGGTTTGTGATGTCTCTTCCCTCAACAGCCAAGTCTCTACTCACACCAAAAACTTGACGATTCAACCTTCACAAATCATTTTGTAAATCACCTGTGTTTCCATTTGTCCTCTCAGCAATCTAGTTCAGGGTCTGCATTTATTCTTACGTAAACTGTTGAGATGACCTCCTTGTTCAATGCCAGATGCACATCATCTCCATGATAACTTCATTCAGATCATGCATTACATTTTACCCAATGATTTTTATGTTTTAATTTTTATAAGAATTTTCAGAGGTTTGTTATACTCTATGAGGTTATTAACTCCACTTTACAAAATGAAATAGAAACTAGAGGACACAGACAGGCAAGTTCACCCAAGGTCATTGAACTAAGTGGCAGAGCCAGGACCTCCAACCTATCTCCTCTGACTACAGATGTTTCTGATTATCTATTTAAACTCAGAATATTTGTAATATTCTTCATGGAATGGGGTTGGCAGTTTCATAACCTCAAAATTGTTATGGTGCATTGGGTTCTAGGATTTTGTTTTAATTGCTTTTGAAAATAAGCAGTGACAATTGCTGGAGGGGAGAGAAGGAGTAAGGAGCTCCTAAAAGCATTGTACATTGAGACCACAGAAGTGTGACTGCCTTTAAAAATATATGGTTCCTAGTTTTTATACTTATTTTTGTTTTCCTCTTAGTGTTAGGCAACATTAAATTAACTCTAGTTGGAAAATTACATTCCTGAAGTATCTCCCAAATGAGCCTGAGCAAAGAATAACCATTTGGCTATTCAGAGAGAACTGAAAATGTGATTTCTCTAAACACAGGCTACTCAGGAGGAAACACTTCCAGTTAAATGAACAGGTGATGCTTAAATCTTAAATAATTAGGAATAATTGTGGTCTACTCAACCACTTCTGCTCTAAATGTATTCAGACATAAAGAGAGACTCTGTTTTTTAGCAGTGCAGATGGGACATGTACTTCTCCACGATATTAATTTTTCAAGGATTCAATAGCGATAAGAAATACTTAACCAGGCTGCACCTTTTAATTCTTTTGGTGAATAAACTTGAGGCCAACATAATACTCAATCTTTTAAATAGTATATGTATTTAAAACCCCACTTTTAGGCAAATTTTGTTAAGAATGTCGGCTTTATAGAAACCATGACTACATCTCAATTTGGGAATTCGTGAGAGTTTAATAAAAATTAATTGAATTGTCATGGAAAGGCTGAAGCTAGACAAAATAGAAAATGTTACTTCCCCATAGACCATCATAGGTTTGTTTGCTGTATTGTGTTCCTAGCAAACAACTTTTTAAAAATCACTGAGAAGAGTCCTTGGCTATGAGCCCTGCAGTTCTCATTAGAATGGATCTCTCCCAATGACACACCTGGTACCTGATATCTGTAGCAAGTACAAAGGCCAAACCCTGCAAACCTTCACTGAGTGCAGAATCTGGTTCACGCATGGTAGTGAGCAATAATGAGGTGGGCTGCCGAACCATAATTGCAGGTGACTGAGAGGTGTCTATGAAGCCTCTATAGCTTCCAGCATGAAGCTTGTCATTGCTCATACTTAGGTCATCGTGATTTATCAACTTAAGGATCATCAGATTCCCAAAGCCAAAGATTTTACATATTCTGCCTTTTTGTGAAAGGTAACTGTCATTCACTTTGTCTTAATAACCCTTTACATTTTGATGGAGCTGGTTAATCTGATATGGCAGCATGTGAATTTTTCAGCATCTGAAGAGTGTGTTAATTAAATACTTCTAACAGCCTGGAAAATATTACTGTATTCATCACTCTCTTCTCAACTAGAGAGAGAGCTGAAAGAGGAGGGTCAATGTCTTGGTTACATTCTCTCCCAACCTGGAATACTGCCCTGATAGGAAATAAGAGCTGATGGAGAAGAGGCAAAGATGCAGGGAAGTAATGGGATTCCATAACTTTTAGCCTTTCACTTGAAAAACATGATTGAACACTTACTGGGCTCAGATGCTGGGAATATAGAGATATGCCAACCACAGTTCCTCCAGAACTTTGCTTTCCATCAAACCTGCATCATGTTTTTACATCTGGATGAGAAAAGAACTGTTCCAAATGAAGTATCAGATATATAGGGCCGTCTCAACAACTCACCATTCCATTTCTCTTACTTCTATATTTAATGCTATATATATTTAGTACCAAAAGAGTATGCATTTGGCCCTAGTTTCCCTATCAACAAAATCTAAAGATGAGCCTAAACAATTCCATCCTCAGACAGTTGAAAGAATTTTGGGGTCATACTCTGCATTTTACCAGGTTTTGGGGAAGACATCTAAAAGGAATTTGACTTTTGTCCTTTAAAAATCTCTAAAGCAAGCCAGACATGGTGGCTCATGCCTGTAATCCCAGCACTTTGGAAGGCCAAGGCCAGAGGCTTGCTTGGGGAAGACCAGCCTGGGCAACATGGCAAGACCTCATCTCTACAAAAAAATTTTAAAAGTTAGCCAGGCCTAGTAGCACACATCTGTAGTCCTAGCTACTCAGGAGACTGAGGCAGGAGGATTTCTTGAGTCCAGGAGTTTGAGGCTGCAGTTAGCCATGATTGCATCAATGCACTCCAGCCTGAGTGACAGAGTGAGACCCAGTCTCAAAATAAATAAATAAAACAAAAAAACTCTAAAACAAATTCCTATTATATTACTTATCATGTTATTTTCATTAATCTGCACATAGCTCCATCTTCTCTACTCAGCTACCTATTCCTTTAGGTAAGGGGTGTGTTCATCTTTTTACCCTTGTTTCTAATACAATGATGGGCATATAACAGTGCTTAATAAAGTTGTTGATGTATAAGTACAATAAATGTAGAAAAAACAGTGGTCTTGATGTATAAGAAAAGATTGTCCATACTTTGAGAGGTTATGGTTTAAATTATAGAAGAGAAAATTCAAATGAAGAGAAATTAAGTGGCATCTAAGAAGTGAATTTAAAATACTTTGTAAACATCCTGGGAACAATTGCAAAAGAGCATTGTGCTGCATGAGAGAAAATAGGAACTGTGGACTTCCCTTCATAGTTCTTCATCATCCAGTATGCCAACCTGGGCTTTTTCACACAGTAATTTTATGGTCCTAAGAGCAGCAAAAGGATCATCCTCAATGTGCAAACACTTTTGAAGTCTCTGCAATCATCATATTTGCTACTGTCCCATGAGCCAAAAAAGTCATATAGCCAAGCTCAGAGTGAGTTTACGAGCATACTCGCAAAAGGCCTGGATACAGGAAGACAAACACATTGGGACCCTAGCTGCAATCCATTTATCATAGAAGGGTAAGGATTCCCAATAATAGCTTCTACTAATTCCATATCCTGTGGTTCCAGTTGTACAAAAAATAAAACCCCGATATAACTGCATGCATACATGCACACACACACAGACACATACACACAGATCTGGAAAATATATAAAAATGCATTAATAATGTTTAATATATGCTTCTGTATTTTTAAAAGATTTTAAATATGTTTGTTTTCTTGTATTGCATATGTATCTTGTTATTCAGCAAAAACATCTGGAAGATAATAAAATGTGATTTTGGATGAGGTTTCACCTTTTGTGCTTTTTATATTTCTTCTGTGTTTTCCATGTTTTCTACAAAGCATATGCACTCTTTTATAATCAGTCAAATACGTGTGTGTGTGTGTGTGTGTGTGTCAACTACACTTTAAAAATGATATGGAGTTAGGCCACTGGAGTACTTCTCCATCTGGTTTTTCTTTACTATGACACCAGGAAGAAACAGCTGAAAAGTTAAGTTGATAACAAATTCTAAAAAAAATGTTTTTACTCCATCTACAAACTTTGTTTTGAAGTGTGCAGCTGTCACTGGTTGCCTGCTTGGTTTCCTTTCAGACGCCCTGCTGGCATTGAAGAGGAGTCTGTTTTATTTGTCTGGTCAGAAGGAGCCCTTGAATTTATGGATGAAGGAGACACCCTGAGGCCTTTCACACTCTACGAATATCGGGTCAGAGCCTGTAACTCCAAGGGTTCAGTGGAGAGTCTGTGGTCATTAACACAAACTCTGGAAGCTCCACCTCAAGATTTTCCAGCTCCTTGGGCTCAAGCCACGAGTGCTCATTCAGTTCTGTTGAATTGGACAAAGCCAGAATCTCCCAATGGCATTATCTCCCATTACCGTGTGGTCTACCAGGAGAGACCCGACGATCCTACATTTAACAGCCCTACCGTGCATGCTTTCACAGTGAAGGTAAGACCCTTTAGAAAAGTAACAGACATGCAGATTATCTGGTGAATACGTTGAAATTAATTTTCTTGTCCAACTTCTCATTTTTCTTCACTTAGGGCTTAAATATATGAAAATCTTTCACTTGTGAAAAGTTGCAATGTAGTCACGGGGATAAGATACTGAACTGAGTATGAGGAGTATTGGAGACCAGTTTGTAGACCACGACTAATTTTGATTACCTCAAAACCAATAAATAAATTTTATTTATTCATAAAATTGCCTGATTTCCATTTTCCATATTTACTAAGTGGGAATATTTTTTTTTTGAGACAGGCTCTCATTCTGTCACCCAAACTGGAGTGGAGTGGCGTGGTCTCAGCTCACCACAGCTTCTGCCTCCTAGGTTTAAGCAATTCTCCTGCCTCAGCCTCCTGAGTAGCTGGGATTACAGGTGCCCACCACTGCCCAACTAATTTTTGTATTTTTAATAGAGAGGGGTTTTCACCATGTTGGCCAGGCTAGTCTCGAACTCCTGACCTCAAGTGATCTGCCTGCCTCAGCCTCCCAAAGTTCTGGGATTACAGGCGTAAGCCACTGCGCCTGGCCTAAATGGAAATAATTTAGTCTTGATTTCCATTTTCCATGTCTACTAAATGGGAATAATGTAATGCTTTCCTCCATACCTCATAGAGATGAGGTTCAGATGAAATTAGACAGAATATTTAATTTTCTACTTCCCCAACAAGCTAGTATAATATATAGCTATATATATATGTATATGTATATATGTATGTGTATACATGTTTGTGTATATATGTATTTGTATATATGTGTGTATGTATGTGTGTGTATATATGTATTTATGTATATATTTAAATATACACACACACACATACACAAAGTTGCATACACTATGGCTTACTGGTGATTTTTTTCAGGGATGGCTTCCTCTGGCCCATAGAACGACTTAATTCAGTTCACCTGAGCACTTAGTAGCTCCTGAGTGCTTTCTTTATGTCCAGCATAACCTCATGGTCTATGGAATATACAGAAACAGGATGGTCCTTGTCACAGGGAGTGTTCCGTTTTATAATATTGCAGAGATGAGAATTGCACATAAGGGGAAAAGAATGAGAAGCAGTTGAGTACAGCCTATAATGTCCACTACACTGAGACTTAGATCCCGAACTCCACTATCTACTAGCTTTAAACCACAGTACAAGAGAGAGTAACATCATATACCAAGTGTTAGGCAAGAAATGCTCTGGGAGATCAACTCTCAAACTGAAGATGCTTCATGGATAAGATTAAATTTTGTGGTCTTGGGAGTGAAATACAAATATGTGCCAAGACCTTATTAAATATGGAAAACCCTCAATAAGAACAAATAAACAGACAAACTAAAGCATTTATAAAAAAACCAAAAAACTATGTTTCTATGCTTTAAATCCTGGAAGGCCAATTTACATGAAGGTTATCTTATGGAGGATAACATTTATCAAAATATTTAAATTACAGTGAGCAAATATATTTTCATTAAACTCCAGAAGAGCCCTTTTAAATTAATAGTTTAAAGTACAATGTTTTCCCACTGTCCTCATGTTTAATTTTCTCATATGACTAAAAAATAAGCAATATGTAAATGAAAGGATAATTGTTTTATCTTCATTTTTATCTGTTTCAGAATTAGTACTATATTTTTATTAGATAGTAAATTATGTACTAGAGTCTTTTATATTATGTCTTCTAGTTCCTATATGATAAGCATTAGAAGCAGTGTTCTTAAGTGTAAAAGATACTTTTTAGTGGATATGTGATCCAGGAGGAAGTTCGTTACTTCCCACCATATCCTTCAAACTCATGTTCTAAACTTTCACCCTTAAAGTAAAACGTTTATGAGTATACTGAAACACCCTTGTTAATAGCTTTCTGAATGAGGCACCTTAATTTAAATATGTTTTTATTGAAGGCATCAGGATTATAATGATTAAACCTCTGATCTTTTAAAATACAACTTTCAGGGGTAGGAGCCTAATAATCATTTAGTCTCACGAAACAGTTCTATTGGAATTCCCTTGTGGAATAACCCTGTAAGTCATCCCTTCATAACCAGCTTCATTTTAAAACACAAGATTTAAAGTATATGATGAATCCATGAACTCTGTTCTTTATTTAATCTTCTAGGCTCTATTTTTATCACACTAAAAAGCTTCTGAAAAGAGGCAAGTGTATGGCCCCAAGCTTTAAGCGGCACAGGGCTCTTTGCACATGGGCCCTCCCTGATGTGGCTTTCATTTTGACAGTCCAGTACTGGTGTGCTTTTCTATTTTTCCAAAGATTTTTTTTCTTGCAATGTCGAATAGATTAGCCAGAATAATTTTAAAAACAATACTTCTGTGTCCTATTTTTGAATGTGTATGTGTGTATTCAAAGTGGCCTCCCAAAACCTAAATCTTTGGCTCTTAGAATTTCAAGAGAAGGCTTCATTAGATACACCAAGAAAGGTCCCACCTGATCTTTTCAAGCAAACAAGGACATCTTCCACAAAGCAATCTAGGCAAGTGTTCAGACCTTCTGGCCACTGGACCACGTTTTCAGGGCATCAGGGCAACTATGACTCTTTATGATCTGACACCTTTGAAGGAAGTCATCAGGAAAATGAACTAGTGTTTTTGTGTTTCACTTATTCCCACAGTCCCTGTGTAGGAGATTGTGTTCAATATTTTTGTTTAAAAGATATCTAGGCCAGACGCAGTGGCTCATGCCTGTGATCCCAGCACTTTGGGAAGCTGAGGCGGGCAGATCACAAGGTCAGGAGTTCCAGACCAGCCTGGCCAACATGGTGAAACCTTGTCTGTACTAAAAACACTATTTTTAGTATTTTTACTATTTGAGAGGCTGAGGCAGGAGAATTGCTTGAACCCAGGAGGCCACGGTTGCAGTGAGCCAAGATCATGCCACCACACTCCAACCTGGGCAACAGAGCAAGACTCCGTCTCAAAAAAAAGTAAAGGAAGTTCTATTACTTATCCAGGGTTCTATACTCCTCACCGTCACAGAAGAATGTTTCTTTTATCTCAGACAAATCCTGCCTCCTATAATTTAAGTCTATCTCCCTTTGTTCAGAGCAGCATGACTTCTCCATAATAGCACAAAGGGGCTTCAGGGTCCAACAAATTATTGACAATTCAATCTGATTTGGCAAATAACCATTGAGTACTATATTCAATATGTCAATATTGAATACCAAACTTAACTATGTTGTTGAAGTCTACTGTGAGACTTGGCCCTTGAGCAGAGCAGAGACTGTGAGGAAGAATGAGTGATTCGTTCTGAGGCACAGGCTATTACTGTTGGGCATTTTGGGTTTTTAAGCTTCTTGCAGCTGCGTTTCTGCTGCCCATGTTTAGAAGACCCCATTTCATTTTTATTTTTGTATAAACTTAATGGGTCCAAGTGAAGTTTTGTTACCTGGATATATTGTGAAGCAGTGAAATCTGGGCTTTTAGTGTAACCGTCGCACAAATAATGTACATCGTACCCATCAGGTCATTTCTCATCCCTCACCCTGCTCCCTCCCTCCCTCCCACCCTTCCGAGTCTCCAGTGTCTATTATTCCACACCCTATGTCCACATGTATATATTATGTAGTCCTACTTATAAGTGAGAACGTGCGGTATTTGACTGTCTGTGTCTGAGTTACTTCATGAGGATAATGGCCTCTAGTTCCATCCATGTTGCTGCAAAAGACATGATTTCATTCTTTTTTATGGCTGAGTAGTATTCTACAGTGTGTGTGTTTGTGTGTGTGTGTGTGTGTGTGTGTGTGTTTCACATTCTATATATATCCATATATATAATTACATTCTATGGTGTGTAAAATTATTCCTATTTAGTAAATATGGAAAGTGGAAATGGAAATCAGGAGATATATAGATATAGATATAGATGATATAGATATAGATATAGATATAGATATCACATTCTGTTTATGCAATCATCCATTGATGAACACTTAGGTTGATTCAATATCTTTGCTATTGTGAATAGTGCCGTAATACACATACGAATGCAGGTATCTTTTTTAATATAATGATTTATTTTCCTTTGGGTAGATGCCCAGTAGTGAGACTGCTGGATTGAACGGTAATTCTACTTTTAGTTCTTTGAGAAATCTCTATATTGTTGTATATTGAGAAATCTCTATAGGGGTTGTAGAAGACTCCATTTTAAATCGCATCCCAAGTACTTCCCTAGATCTACTTACTGTTTATCTAATTTCTGCACCAGGTAAACAACTTTACTGTCTTCTTTCCTTTCTGTGCCTGCTGTAGGAAATTTTTCAAGTTTTTGTTTATTGGCCACTCTGGCTAAAATTCTTCAGGGCAAAGGAACTACAGAACCTTCTCCATTAATGAGGCACAGAGTCCATCCCCACAACTGTAGGATTGCAGTTCAGTCCACAAACTCGCAAGAGGTACTGCTAATGCATTAGTCCCTTGTTTATTAAGATCTCATCTCTGCCCAAGGGGCCATCAATAAATTGCCCATGTTGTGGTGCCATCACTAGCTTGCCCCAAGGTCCCCCCAGAGTTGTTTATAGACAGGTGGATGTTGCTGAGAGAGCCACATAAAACAGGTGCAATGGAGGCATGAATTCTGCTTGTGGTGGCAGTGGATGGAGAACTGGCAGTGGGGGCCCTCCGTGGGGGTGAGAAGCGTATGTGTTGGCAGGAACAGCAGCAGCGGCAGCAGCAGCAGAGGCAGCAGGAGCAGAGAAATGGAAAGAGTGTGGGTTTTAATGCATCACTAGCTGCTCTCCCAACCTCATGAAAAGTTTCACCTCCCTACTCATCTCTATGTAGGTCTTTCTAAGGAAGAAAGAGGGAGATCAAGATTCTTGGGGTCTCTTTAGACCAATACCTTCCATTATTGAAAACAGCTTTAATTAGAAGGCCTTAAACTCCCTTCCCAATTAGCTCTGTGATGAATTGTGCGGTGTCAGGAAAGAAACTGTATTTAGCCTTGCTTGGCATGCAGGAGTTCCATGGTGGTATTTACAGGGAACACTCCTGGCAAGGTTGGCGATATTGCTACCACCATTTGGGTTTGTTTGCTTTTTCTCACTGGCATCTGCCATTGTGCTGGCAGAAATAAATCTGATAATTTGGGATTTTAAAGAAAAAGGTGGTTTACCTATTATCTGTGCCCTAACTATATCCTTGCTTGTTCCACGGGGTTATAAAACGTCAAGCCCAGATCATGCATTTGCCCAGTATCCTAAAAGATAAATGGTACTTCACTCTGTGTAGAATCAAGCATAAGGTGCTGAGAAATAAGCAAATTATATGGGTCACTAAAAATTGGCTTCCAATCTGGGAATAAAATCCAGAATTACTAACTCTAGTTTCTAGATTCTAGTTGCCAGGCTTCCTTTCCCAATGTCAAGGAGGAGGTAGTCAAAATTTCCTCAAGGGTTTGTTTCCTATATCTTTACCATTAAGTAGATATGTGGCAAAAATAATAACAATAATAATAAAATAGATATTTCACAATTGCCATGTTATGAAGAGTGTGTGAGTAAATTGATAAATTTATTTTTAATCCCATTTTCATTTTGGCTTAGATAACATAAAATATTACTGCTCTTTACATATGATCTTAAATTAGTTTCAACTCTTTTTAATTTGATGATTCTTAGCCTTTTCTCCCCAGACACATTTATTAGACAACAGAAATACTCTGGGAGATGTAGCTTTCTAAAAGGACTCCTTTGGTGACTATCTTTCTAATGTGAAGAAAAATTCAGTAATAAAAATAATTATCATATTTCCTGGGTCGGTTCTATAAACTGAGATTTTCACATTTTATAATAAGAAATAACTGTGTCATTCTTCTATATAAAAGATAGAAAACATGGGTGAGTAAATATCACACAAAACAATGAATATTTGTCGGCCTAACCCTTTTTTTTTTTTTTTTTAAAGAGACAGGGTCTTGCTCTGTCACACAGGCTGCAGTGCAGTGGCACCATCATAGCTCACTGCAGCCTTGATGTCCTGCACTGAAGTGATCCTCCCTCCTCAGCCTCCCAAGTAGCTGGGACTATAGGTGCATGCCACCATGCCCAGCTAATTTTTTAAATTTTTTGTAGAGATTGTGTCTCACTAAATTGCCCCAGCTGGTCTCAAATTCCCGGCCTCAAGAGATCCTCCCGCTGCGGCGTCCCAAAGTGTTGGAATTACAGGCTTGAGCCACTGACCATGGCAAAACTTTTTAGTTGTGATGATATTTTAGCTTTAATATCAACTTTTCATTTACTTGCCTTACATAATCTTTAACCCTTTTGTCTAATTTGGGCTAGACAAATTAGACTTTCAGACAAATATGTATTTGTCTGAAAGTCATAAATACATATAAAGAATCTACCTTTTGCTCAACATTATTGGGGATGAAAACCATGTAAGTCTTTTGAAATTTATGTAATTACATCTTTGAAAGAGCCATATTTTTCTCCAACCACTTTATCCCAGCAAGCTCCATCAGGATTCCCTTGCTCACCCATCAGTAACATCTAAGGCAGGTCCCATGATTTTCCAGTCACTTTTCAGTGGCAAGGATCAACGCAACTGGTGATTAAGACTCATTCCAAGTGTTTTTTAAAAACTTCAGTCTAGACTGGGGGCGATGGCTCATGCCTGTAATCTCAGCACTTTGGGAGGCCGAGGTGGGTGGATTACCTGAGGTCAGGCGTTCGAGACCAGCCTGGCCAACGTGGTGAAATCCTGTCTCTAGTAAAAATACAAAAATTAGCCAAGCATGGTGGCTGGTGCCTGTAATTCCAGCCACTCTGGAGGCTGAGGCAGGGGAATTTCTTGGACCCGGGAGGTGGAGGCTGCAGAGAGCCGAGATTGCACCATTGCATTCCAGCCTGGGTGACAGGGCAAGAACCTGTCTCAAAAAACAACAACAACAACAACAAAAACTCCAGTCTAAATTAAAACCTGATATGTGCTTAAGGATCTGCAGTGGGGAAAGAGGGCATGGTCATTTTCCTCTTTCTTCAGTTCCCTCTTCTCTTATTTATTTCCCCAG
The DNA here is from genome assembly GCF_000001405.40 of Homo sapiens. Lineage (NCBI taxonomy): Eukaryota > Metazoa > Chordata > Mammalia > Primates > Hominidae > Homo > Homo sapiens. Next base: position 215,720,955 of record NC_000001.11, on the reverse strand, counting down.
GATCATGGCATGAAAAGAAAGAATTAGACAAAAAGGAACAGAGCTTTACTCAATAATATTGCTCTAATTAATCTTCTATTAATTTTGAGGGGGCAGATGCCTCATGGGATTTTCTCTGTGGGTTATATAGGGGTCCCCATAGGAAATTCCATGCCTCATAGTCCTCTGATGCAGGCAATACACTCTCTGGCTAATTTCTTACTATTTGTTATTGTCCAAGAGGTCCACCCTACAACCTTTTTTTGCCTCTGGGGGCCCTTCTCCCAAGCAGGCAGCCAATATCAAGTCCTATCACGTTGACAAAACTCATTCCTTTCTTGGCACCCACTAGGATTGCAGAAAACTTTGGTTTCACCAAATAATGAAGGTACAGCTTGTCCAGTACTATATTCTCTGCTTGACCTATCATGCTGGATGAAACCTAGCCAGTCTCCTAACTTTGGAATTCATTGACTAAGACACAGGTATTAGCTTCTGTGCTAGCCTATTATCCCAAAACTATGGGATCACTTAAGGATTTCAGAAGACCCTTTTGACTCTAGTCATTGCATCAAAATTGTCCTATGAATTTCATCAGTGCAGTAGGAAGCCTCTTGCCAAGACCAGACTGTTCATCTCACTTTTCTGGCAACACTCCCAATTTCTTCAAGAGCTTCTCTTGGATATTCCTTGCATGCCTTGAAAGGGGAGTGTGGAGAAATCCCATTCCCTCCCTGAAGTGGGAAAGATATAACCAAAGCCTCTTTCTTCTCCACTGAATCCCCTTCTTTAATTTTTTTTATGAACTTGGATCTTCTCATATAGGTTGTCTACATAGATCTTCATAGGAAGATGGATCTTGAAGTCTGTTTTTTCCATAAGTCATGCAGTGATATGTCTAGCTGTTCCAGTAGAGTTACTTACCACCTATTTTTCTAAATCATACTCATTATTCTCCAATACAGTTCTGTTTCACATCCTATTATATAACTAAATGGCCCTATCATCTTTCTAGTTGCACAAGCCAGATCATTTTTGAGTCCTCTCTCTTCCTTACTTCCATATCAATTCTTCACTAAGTGCTATTGATTCTATTTCCAAACCATATCTTAAATCCTTCCACTTGAAGACAACATTAGGATCTTCACACATGTTAATCCCTCCTCCTGGAATGATGGCTCATTCTCCTATAATTCATCTGTCCTCATTCTTACTCATCAAGTCTGAACTAAAATGTTGCTTATCTCATAGGGCTGCTGCAATGACTAATAAATTAATGTATATGCAAAGTACTGTAAAGGGCAATATAAATAGACTATAAACCTTTAGCAGTCCTTCTTTTTGAAAAAACAGAGACTGGAATAAATTAGCAAATGTAGATAAGGTTCTGGTTTGTCTAGGCAACTGTACTAATTTGGTCATGAGTGAAAAACCTTATGTTTTATACATTTTAAGTGTTCCTCACCTTGCAATAAAATTCTGAGCTTGCAAATTTACATGTTTCCTGATACCACATTGTTAATTTCCCTGTAATTTTCCAAATACTGGATTAGGTTCTATTTCCTTTCTAAACTGCCTGAAGCAAGAACATGCTTTTTTTTTTTTTTTTTTTTTGTCTCCTGAGGTTTATTACGGTCTTATCCCTGGCCCCCCTGCCCCAACAACATCACATACCTGCCAGTCTAAGAGCCCTCCTCAGGAGATTTCCACCCTATATGTAGTTCTCTTTACCTGACATGACACTCTTAGGACCCTACCCTTTCCCTTAGATCTGGGATTATATCAGCAGAACATGATGAGGTATTTTAGTCACACACACACACAGACACACACTCTCACACTTCTCAAATCATACAAATGGATTCTGCCAAATTGGCATCTACCTACTTCCCCTATGCCAAATAGTAGTTTATCAGTACATGAGGGACAGTTAGTTGGTGGGGAGACTGTTTGACCTGTGAGTCAAGTATGTTGCTATTTTCTGGCCTTTAACCAACTTACAAGGAAACCCTCTTTAGACACCTAAGACTCCCGTGGAGCCTTGTCAAAAATGTCTGTGAAAGTAAAATGAACTAGTCCACATACTAACAGGCCCAGGCCATAAATTCAGAATATATGCCATTTAGCAGAGACAGCAAGCTGTAAATGGCAGTGAAGGGCAGAAGTTAATTGAACTACTCTGCTCTTGTCACAGATGGAAAGTAGCCACTACCTGAGACAAGATGGCTGCCCCGAAGTACCCTATTACAGCCAAGAGATCATATCCTTAGCTCTGCAAGGGCTTATGGGTGAGGGGGAAATCATACACAGATGACCAATTTTTTTATGGTTCACAGCCGATAAAAGTGAAATTCAGCAGCTGTTCAGGACAAGTGACCACTGTAACAGCTGTAATATAACCTACTAAATAGAGAGGGAATTGCATTAGAGCAAGAGGTTAGCTGTGATCATCGGCAGGTGAGTGCTTTATTGAAGTTGAAAGACCATTAACATTGATAGAGTAATTATTTCAACTTGAAAGTAATTACCTTGATGGGTGATAACTTCTCTAGTGTTCCCAGATTTGATTGGGCCAAACAATTGTGAGCTCCTGAAGCCTAGAAAAATATTACAACAATACTGTGATTTTTAAATTACTGAAACCACTGTTGGAATATTCTAATTATGCCGAACAGTGAAAAGATTTTGCCTTACACAAGCTAGTGACCTCTCATGTAGAGAGAGACATTTGCTTTTTAATCCAAATGCAATGACCCACACCCACCACCTGTGAATACATATGTGATGGGTTTGCAAATGAATCTTTTTATCTCAATATAATTTTTAAGGTGAAACATCTTGTTAGTGCTGTGCCTGGGTAATAGTAAGCTAGAACTGCTGACATTTTTGATCATATCTATGGACTTGAAGTCTCCAGAATGGCAACTATCTTCTATCTTTGTCACAGAGGGTTTAAATTTGTATAAATTAAATATTTTGATAATGACTACACATAAATTAGAATTTCTGGATGCCACGTACTTTGGATCCCAAATTTCAGATATTATCTAGTTACATAATCAGTTGTTTAAATAACTTTCTCGCCTGATGTTATGCAACTCCACTACAAACACTCCATTGTCAGGGTATTTTCCGTTTACCTACACTGGACATCAGCAAACAAAATTAAAGTTGAAAACCTGGGCTATTGCTTCTCTGTAGTCTCATGAATATATGAAAATTGCAAGTTATTTGCAATTGAGGGCCAAGACACATCAAATCTAATTCAGTGATCAAGACCAAGAAATACAGGGCTCTTCCATTAATCAGTTTTTCACCATATTTCTCTTTTGAGAATCTACTTGGTCCAGAAGCTATAACAGATACAAACAAACGAGAAATAGTCTTTTCTCTCTGAAACTCGTCGTGTATTTGGAGAAACAATAAGAAAAGAGACAAAATACAATGTAATAAGCAATCATTTTGTCATGCATGGTATTGATTGTACTTATAAATAGTTACAAGAACCTAGGAAGACTCTAGCCCATACTCCTGAATCCAAACCCAGCACTCATTCTATGGAACCACAAACCATTGACAGAAAAAACACAGGCATCATGATTCTTAGTCATGTTGTCAGAAAAGATGAATGTGACATCACCTTAAAGTTCCTGGATGATTCCGTAGACCTTTCTATCATCTTGGCAGGGTTTGATCAGATGATCAGCCAATGAATGACTATCTTTTTGGCGGCACTTCCCAGGAGTTTTTTCTAATCAAAATCTCAGACTCTCCTAGGGACAAAACAGGTTTCTACTTGTTGTCTAAGAGCCAATAAGGAATGTTTTACCAAGCAGTTAATGGGTTTCTTTCATCTCTCCATCTCGGCTCTGAATTCCCCTCCATAGACAAAGTCTTTGGGTCTCTGTTTCAGAAATTACCGTAGGGTAGAAATCTCTGCCAAGCCAGAAGACATTTGCCCACTGGAAAGTAATGTAACTGGCTTGAATTTGGTAAAAGAGTGAAGGTTTGAGACAAAAACATACCACTTGGGAAAGTGATAAAAATTTATGAATTGAATTGTAAATCTTGCCATTAAGCCAACCAAAGAGTAACAAAATCTGACCAATCTGACAGCACATCAGAGTTCTTAGCACAGCAGGCTCACCATGTGTCATATACAGCCAGGCTAAAGATTGTATTAAGGACCCCCTTAGGTACTCTGAATTTAAAATAAGTGTAATAACTCATTTTTAAACATTTTATATGATACTTGAATTATTAAATATTCACATTACAAAATCAGAGAATTTTAATCCATTCAAAAGGGTGGGTTGTCTAACACTGAAAGATAATGGTCATGTCTAGATAGTAAAATTACAGTATATTTTTAACGGATGTACATGTTACTTTTTGACAAGACACAAGTAGTGAATTTTATCGTACAAATTCCTATTGGGTGATTATGATACAGAGTTTTATTTTTGCTAAAGCAATTACTAATGTCATGGCTGGATACCTGTGCCCATTAGTGGCTGGTTCTGTGTTTTTTTAGGATGGTTATTGATCTCTTGCTGAGCTGAGATTCAGGTTTTATGCCAGATAGCTTGATTAATGGGTTGGTTTCTATAAGTGGACTGAATGGGGATAGAAAGCAGGGGCAGCCTGCTCTGCCAACCCCAAATCCGTCAAGACGCATAGCTCATTATGAAACAGTTATCAAGGATACATGAAAAATTAATTGGGCTCAGTTTGATTCTGAAAAGAATCGGCTTTCTACTTGGCGGGCCCCCCCGCCCCCCTTCCACTCTTTCCAGATGTTCTGCACCAGCCCCTAGAGAAACAGCAAAGGGAGACGTATTAATACATTGTATTGATTAGATCAAGACCCCTGACAGTTATTTGTAGAGATACCATCTGGCTGCTGTTCGAATTCCTTCACCAAAAACAGGACGTGACATGTTATTAATCTCAACTCTCTAAGTATAGACAGTTGCCTTTTCTGCTAAACCGCATTTTACCATTCCGTAGGAGATGGAGGAAGACCTGAAGGGTGCAGAAATTAAGGTTATTACACAAATTGAGCCATATGGTCCAAATATTTCAGCAAGAAAATTGCCAGGCAATAAAAATTGCTCCTGCCTTCCTAATGGTGTAAATTACAGTTTAACCATGGCTCTAATGATGTCCTTCTGCCGCGCTTAACTACTGTTACATGAAGGACATTGTTTTAAAAATATAAAAAACAAGTAAATGCCAGCAGCGTGTTTTACAATCTGTTAGTGTGTCATTAAGAACACTGTCAGAATTACATAAACATAATGGCAGGCAACCCAGCATACAAAGGAACTCGTATGGAAATAGAAAGTGTCTTGAAAACTCTCTTCATTATCTCTGAAATGTCAAGAGCACTGTCCCCTCTGGAAGTTTTCTAGGGAGAAAAGACCTGTCCATCTAGTGCTTTATTCTAATTCTCATGTGTGTCCCAACAGCAGTGTTTTCTAAATCAAGTGTCACAACCCATAGTGAGACTAAGTACACATCTGGTACCACAACCCTGTCCATATACAAAAAATGAAGCAGACAAGGTGAGGAGACAGCTAATGAATTCTAAACAAAATGATAGACGTTGACCTTTTGAAGTATTTTTGTTTTTGGGGAAAACAGTTAAGACTCCACTATCTTCCTTGATGATGACATCAACAATTAAAAGTATAATTTCTATCCTCAGCAAACTAACCTGGCAACAGAAAACCAAATACCACATGTTCTCACTTGTAAGTGGGAGCTGAACAATGAGAACACATGGACACAGGGAGGGGAACAACCCACACTGGGGCCTATTAGGGGGGTGAGGGGAGGAAGAGCATCAGGATAAGTAGCTAATGCATGTGGGGCTTAATACCTAGGTGATGGGTTAATAGGTGCAGCAAACCACCATGGCACACGTTTACCTATGTAACAAACCTGCACATCCTGCACGTGTATCCCGGAACTTTAAATTAAATTTTAAAAGTATAATTTCTGTCATCCCTATTTGGGGCATGATATTAAGAGGAAGCTTACTTAAGATAATCAAAAATCTTTGGGAATTACAATAAAGACCATTAATATTTGAGTAAGACTTGAACCCTTCAAATATTTTTAGACCTATTACACCAAAAACACCTCGGCACTTAAAAATTCCATATAGGTCATATTGATGTTTTATTCTCTAAAACTGCACAATCCTCCAAGCTTTTTGGTCTTCTAAGATGTTATAAACACAGTTTGTTAAAGGAAAAGTCCAGATAAACGTTTGTAGAAAAATTTGAAGGGAAAACTACTTTTAATTCCCAGAGGAGAGTTGCCTTATCTTTAAGCCCTTTTTCCTTCTCCATTTCCCCAAAGGGAGAAAGACCAGGATATAAATTGCCCTTTAAACTAAAAAAGAAAAAAGAGAGGGAAAAAACCTAGGAAACCAAAAAATTATTCTTTTTGCATGCATGCATTAATATTAATGAGAACCCATTAAGTTATTATTTCCTCATGGCACAAATGGCAAGGCTAGCAATCTATTGACTAGAGCATCTTCTGCCTGGAAAGCTCTTACCCAGGTGTCCCCATGGTTGGCTCCCACACTTTCTTCTGGTCTTAAGTGAAAAGTTACTACCACTAAAGCCTTACCTGGCCTACTCAGCTACAATTTCACTCCACTCTCCCTCACACACACTTTCTATTCCTCTTCTGTCTTTATTTTTCTCTTTAATATTTAGCTTTTATTTCTGGTTTCTTGCTAACCTGTAATCATATTTCAGAAATTGTTTTTCAAATGCTTTGTTATGCTTCTTATTTCACCTAAAAGGAAATCTGTATGTTCACAGCTAAATCAAACTGAGAAAGCATCATTTATATGTTCCAATTTCAATTTATAAGCTGACAACTTCCACATAAAACATATTATGGGCACTTTACACATGCCATCTTATTTCACCTCAATAACCAATCTGTGGAGTATTATTACCTAAATTTATTAATGAGGAAATGGAAACTCAGAGAGGTTAAGTAGCATACCCAAGGTCACACAGCTAGCTGCAGAGTTTGGATTTGATTGCAGCTCTCTCAGCTTCTAAAGCCTTTTCTTTCTGTTATCCAGTATTGCTTCTTGAGTTTCAGCCTAGTGGAACAAGATGTTATTTATGAAAAGCTAAACATCAATGAAAGCCACAAATTATAGTTCAATAGGACAAAGAGATGACACAGAGCTTGATATGATTCATTGCCTAGTATAAATATAGAAAACAATTGATAAAAGTTTCAAAGAATTAAAAGATCACTTGGACTGGAAAAGTTCAGAGAAGGCTTTTGGGAGAGGTCTGTGCTTTGAACAATGGGTGAAATTCAAATAGAAGAAAAGTAGAACAGATATTACCTTATTCAGGCAAAGAAACAGAAGCCTGGTTTTGAAACATCTGATGGCAAGTCTCTGCTTCAGGAGGTCACATGGGGAATATTTTTCCAATATGCCCCCATTAATTGGGCTGATATTAAAACAACTGATTTAAAAAAAAAATCAAAATACTCCCAAGAGATGCCTAGCAAAGCTATTGAGTGAGGTGGTTAGCAGCATGGGTCTGGGGTCAGGAAACATAGATTAGAGACTGGCTTTGGCTTTTTTACTCATTGTATGCCTTCAGGAGGTTATGCCTAATAGTGCCTCCCGCAGAGAGGCAGCACCTCTTAGAGTCGCAGGAACTGAGACGGCACTCAGTAAATAGTGGTGAGTAAGATTCAAAATAGGTTTTCAGAGAAGAAATCAGCACATGAAGATATCATGGTGTCATAGTGTGTTGACAGGGTCCTGTCTGGAGATACTAGTCCAGAATTTCAAAAAAAGGAAAAGTTTTCTTCTGGCCGGGCGCTGTGGCTCATGCCTGTAATCCCAGCACTTTGGGAAGCCGAGGTGGGCAGATCACCTGAGGTCGGGAGTTTGAGATCAGCCTGGCCAACATGGCAAAACCCCATCTCTACTAAAAATACACAAATTAGCCGGGCATGGTGGTGGGCACCTGTAATCCCAGCAACTTGGGAGGCTGAGGCAGGGAGAATTGCTTGAACCCAGGAGGTGGAGGTTGCAGTGAGCCGAGATCTGCCACTGCACTCCAGCCTGGGTGACAGAGCAAGACTCCAAAAAAAAATAAAAGAAAGAACAAAAGAAAAGAAAGACAGGAAGGAAGGAAGGAAAATTTATTATATTTTCTTGTTTCCCCTGCATTCCCTAATACCCCTTTCCCAAAAGTATGGATTTCTTCACTAAATATGTTAGTAGCAGAATGGTCTTGTGGCAGTTGACCCAAGACTCCAGGTAGAGCAGTGGGGAAAGAAAAGACAAGGCCAGCCAAGAGGCCAGCCAAGAGGACAAGCTCCTCCAAAGGTTGACTTGAGATATTAAACTCATTGAAAAAGTTACTCAACATCCACAGTGTTCTGGTGGTACCTCACTTAGTCCTGGACAATGAATCACAGCCCAAGCTTCATCATTGAATTGGTGACACTGCCGAGGGCCAACTCACCAGCCTTCAAAAACGACAGTGCTGCTGACAGCAAAGGCGATGAGGACACACATGTGCATCCACCCTTGAGATGCTAAAAGAGGCAGGAAAGAACTTGAGGGAAAGAACAAATCACTCTTCTGAGATTGTCCTATAAACTTTATACCAGGACCTATGCTATCATCCTCCTTACCTAATCATGTTTAATATCTGATTTATAAGAATCTAAATGTGTACCTAAAAGTAGCTTTCTAAATATTACTGGGCCACATTAAACTGTGACCAATTTTCTTCCTTCCTGGCCTACCACATTTTAGAAATATGATAGCATATTTGGGTTGGGAGTCGCTAAAGGCCTCAAGAGAGTCCATCTCTTTGTCCTTTCTGACTAGGAAGACCTGGTCATCACGCCACAAGCCTTGGTGTCTCGTTTTTAACAGAGCAATAATTATTTATTAGTGGAATATATGCTTATTATATCCAGAAATTAAAGTTGTTAGGGGACATTTGTGTATCCAGGTCCCTGTGGCTGGGTGATCGCATCTGTTAGAAATAAATCACTTTAAGAAAATTATATTAGCCCCACAGACAGTCAAGAATGGAGCAAAGGGAGGGAAGTGTGAATAGGGTGAGGAAGCTTGATTTTAAATCTTGTGAAATAGAGTGTGGTCAATATGTTGTCAGCACATTACAGTGTGCAGACATCAACTCCATTTTTCCCCTCTTTGAACCTCAGGTGGCCAATTAACAGTATATGCTATTTATTCATTACAAAACAGGCAGGACAAATTGAATGGTTAGAATGACTAATAAGAATTCTTAGCAAGGAGTAAAATAAAAAATGATACATAAGGAGAGACCCCCCAGAAAAACTTTAGGGATTTCCAGAAAAAAAAGTCTTGAGGAGTTTTCCTGTTAAATGTATCTAGAATTTCTACTGACATGAGGAAATTAAAATGGAAAGATTCTCTTTGAATACATTTTCTTCCTAAAATATGTTCTCTTCAATTCCCTCATTTGTATTTCCTTAGAGTTTCATTCCTTCCTAAAGCAGAAAGACAGTTTTAAATTACTTCTAGCAATTATAAGTATCATTAGGGTGTTTTGATGCTGCATTTTTACAACAAGCACTGTGCTTGCCTTCCTTATTTGTCTCTCAGTTCAACTCCAAGTCGCAACACAGGAAATGAAAACCTTGTAAATTGACTTGATCTTATGAATACTCACTTTTGCAAATATGAAAGAACTTAAGAAGGGATTATAAAATACTCCTTATCTATATAATTAAAATTCAGTTGAAATATATGAATTCAATATTTTAATTCATGCATTTCATTTTGCGGGCATTCAAAGATTATATGCTTCTATATGTCTGCCATTGATTTCTGTAAATAACATTATCTCTCTTATTGCAAAACGTACATCAGAAGAAGTTGGAAGAAAGCGAGGGCTTGAGGGATGTTAAACTGAAGCAGCAGTGACTTACTATGCAGTGTTAGTAGATTGCTTGCCTTGAGGATCTAGAAGCCGATAGAAGAAATGGAGCCAGCAAATAAGAAATTTCTTATTTCTTATTCCAGAAATAAGAAATTCTGAACTTTTACCTTCAAAGATCCAAAAAGAACATGCTAATGTTCTTTTTTTTCTAACTTTTGAGTAATTTAGTCATTCTCGTTCAGAAAATTAAGGGTCTACATCTGGCAGCAACTGAAATAAATGGCTCAATTGAGTACACACTTGAATGTCAAATATATCACTTTAAAAGTCAATATTTGTTTCAGCTGTAAATGTTTCTGAACGGAAATGATGCTTTTAGTGTCTGTAGTCTAAGGAGTAGTTTTATTTTTGAACCCTCAAATTGAGTGCTCCACCTAGAGCCGTAGGACCCTTTCCTTTCCATGAGGAGAGCGCCCTCTACTGGGTATGTTTACTTACCACGCATGACTGTTAAGACCCTGAGCTAAACGTATGAGCAGTTGAGATGTACATAAGAAAGAGTTTTTGGAAAATCTTTGCCCCTGCTTGTACTAGAATGATTGCAAGTGTGGAAGTAGCCATAGTTCACTGTAGTTTTCTTTTTACTGCTGTATTATTGCACCCTGTTGGGGGATACATCTGAGCATTTCATGTGTCCTACTTTTAAAATGCCCAGATGGTGGCTACGTGCTTTGGTTTGAATTGGGCAGCCCTCATCTTTCATGCTCTGTAGTCTGCCTCGTTATCAGAGAGACATGAGACAAGGAAAATTCTTCCATTTTTCAGCTCCTCTTCATCTGTTTCTAGTCACCCACAGTGAATGATGCACTTGCACAATTGTTAAAATGACAGTCACTGTGATAACTGAACATCACTTCCCTGGGATGGGGAGTTCCCTATGTACCCATAGCTTCTTGATTCCTTCCCAATACAGCACCTTTTTCAGTGTAACTGATCACTTGCAATCTTGTAAGTAACACAGCAGTGAGAGGCAGTGTAAATATTTTATACCTTGCCCCAATCACTTGTATGTGCATCGGTCTTCTTCACTCTAGCCTTTAAGCTTAACAGAGATTTTAAATCAAATCATTCAACCCTAGAAATAGTCAAAAGAATTAATAAAATAAATGAAACAGTGTAACTGGTTAAAATAGCCCCAGTGCACAATACAGGTTTAGTATGATTTTGTGACATACACATTTTATAGGGCTTTTGTCTCCAACTACATTCTTCAAAGAGCCATCTGGGCAATGACCATAGGTATCATTTTTACCAATAATAGTCAGCACTTCCCACTGGGAAATTAGTCAAGGGAATGAGTTTTTTTTTTTTTTTTTTTTTTTTTACAAATTATCTTCAAGCATCTATCTTCCAAAAAGTATTACTGGACTTTGTCCATTACAAGGCAACAACCTAAGTGAGTTACTTGTGCTCTTATTTTAGAACTTTATTCATCAGATCATTGTGATCAAACTCAATTTCATTTTCAAAGAGGAAAAAGATTTTGCTCTGTTTTTCTTCTTAATAATAGGTTTGCTGAAGGAAGAACATTAATACAGGTCAGCGATCTCCAAACTTTTTAGAATATTCACTTGTAGAAATAATAATTTGGGGAGCACACATCTGCATAATATGTATATTTACTTATTTGTAAATTATAAAATATGTACTAGTTAAATAGTATCATTTACACTATAGAAATAGACATTTTTAAAGGAGTGGAAATAGATAAAATTATCAAGAAAATATTTTATTATGAGCAACTACTATCAATAATACCTCAAGGCACAATACACACTGAAAGATTAATCATTAATGATGCTGAATGTCAATCTCTTTCCTGAGTGTTCTTGATCATTTCAAAATTTTGTTGACACTTCTGATCAAATACAATTGGACCATTCATGTTTATACCTCATGCTGTGGTTGATAAGGAGCTTGAAGGAAGGAGAATCAGACTGGCCATTTATTTGTTCTTCATTTATGTTTGTATTGTTAGTGTTATATTTGAATCATAAATTTGAATTCTAGGAATTTTGAAAGCCATTCATGTTTCCAAAGTTAGTATACTTAAAACCAGATAATATAATCCATAAACCCCCTTAGCATAGAACCATAAACTACAATATGTCACTTGACACAAGGGGTCCAGAACCCCGGGGACGCAGACCAGTACTGGTCTGTGGCCTGTTGGGAACCAAGCCACACAGCAGGAGGTAAGTGGAGGGTGAGCCTCACCACCTGAGCTCCACCTCTTGCTGTGCTCCACCTGAGGAGTGGAGCACAGATCTGCTCCACAGATCAGCTGTGGCAATTGCTTCTCACATAGCAAACCCTATTATGAACTGCGCACGCAAGGGATCTAAGTTGTGTGCTCCTTATGAGAATCTAACTAATACCTGATGATCTGAGGTGGAACAGTTTCATCCTAAAACCATCCCCACCTCCCCCTTCCATGGAAAAATTGTCTTCCATGAAACGGATCCCTGGTGCCCAAAAGGTTGGGGATCACTGCTTTGCACTAAAAGCAAACAAATAGATGAATATTGTTAGCTCCTCGCTGTAAAACTCCCATTCTTCCTTTTCCAAGGACAGATACAGAACTTAATTGATTCATTCATTCACTCATCCAGTCAGTATGTGTATGCATCTAATATATGCCAACTGGGTATATGACAGTGAATAAACCAGACAAAAATGCTTCCCTCTTGAAGCTCTTACTCTAGTGGGGAGATAAAGACAATAAACAAGATAAGGAAATAAAATATATACATACCATACATAAGCTAAGGGCAATGGAGGAAAATAAAGCAGATTCCAGAGTCTCCATTATAAAAAATACAACTTTTGCAAATTGGTCTTTAGTTCTTATTGAGTTTAAAAGGATGTTTCCCTTCCACATCCTTCTTCCCACTGTCTTCTGGGATTTTTGCTTCAGATATGATGGTCAAATTGCTTATTATAAATTCCCTTCTAAGATTCTATGAGTTTTAAATTTGTTTTAATTGTTCACATGTTGCATTGAATGATGCAATTGTACTCTTCTAGCACACAGAGCTAGTAAATTTCCTATATATTGATATTTAAAGCCTGTCCTTTTATGGAGTATTTTGTGACCACCTAAACCCATGATGATTTCTTGTGTATACACCTTCAGTGCTTGGTTCCCATGTATTTCTCTAGTGGTTTCAGAAAGGTGAGTTTTACATTCCTAATGGATTACAGTTCCTAAAATCCAGTATGTTCATACTTTCTACTTTTATTCCTTTCCATTTAGTGCCTAGAACCATGCCAGAAAAAGACATAATTTGACTGTGGATTTAACCCTCAGATCACAAACCAATCTCAGAGCTTTATTTTTTTGCTGAGAGTTTTAAATAAACTATAAAGTCAAATTTAAACAATTATCCTTTGGAATCAACAGAACCCCACATTTCCTTAGCTTTCCTTAGCTGTTCCTATTCCCAAGGATCACATTCAGAGCACTCTTCTTGAGTGACAGTGATGTGCCAGGTACTTCACAGAGGTCATCTGTTTTAATTGTCACAAAAGCCCAAGAGAAAGATACTAACTGTTAGAAATCTAGCTCAGAAAAAGTAGATGATTTACCTAAGGTACATCTAGTGTGAGTGACAATCAGAACTTAAACTCAATTCTTCTAAGTTGACTGCTGTTTTGATTAAAGCGCCTGGGCTCTCAGAAGTGGACTCTTCCTGGGTGTTAGTCACAAGGGCTTCTCAGAATTTTTCTCCTACATATGAGACAGCAGATCATTTCTGCCTCTCTGCTAAGATAAGCCAAGCAAAATAATAGATTGTAGAACAATTAATAATGCATTCAAAATGCCAAACTCAGCACACTTTCTATCCTTTGTGAAAAATTTTGTTCCCATTTTGTCCAAATGTCTAATAAAAATGATTGTGGAAAAATAAAAACAATCTTTGATCTGCCTAAATGAAAATAAGAACCACAACTTCTAGCTCTCAGAACAAATCAAAGTTGTTTTTATTTTTAATTAAGTATGCTAAGCTTAAGTACATTTTCTCTTAAGGTGTAATTACTAAACCATGATGATTTCTTTTTGTTTATTCATTTAAAACACAAATAAAAGCAGATAATCAATAGATCATAATCTAAAACTAGAGGATTTACAAGTTAATAAGCTTGAGTCAATAGATATTCCATAACAAAGCTTTCAATGCTGAACCTGACATAATTTGCTTTGCACTAAGCTGGTTGACTTAATGCTTTAATTTAATTCCAATATTAACTGAAAAATCCAAAGAAAAGGGGAAAATTTAAATCCTATTATACTGAAATATGTTCAAAGCAACAACTCAATATCCTGCCACAACTGCTTAAGTGTGCCACCAAATGTCTGCTTAATCACCTGGTTTCTGATTGGTGATAACCAGTTAACCCGTTTGGAGCCTGGTACAAGTGAATTGTGGAAGTTTCTCAGTGGTCCATTCATGCAATAGCTTTTATCTTAGCCTCAACAGTCATCATATTTTCATCTCATAATGTCTACTTTTCCTGACTTATGGCCAAATTATTGGAGTTGTTTTTATTTGAAAAGCAATTTCTCCTTGTCTCTTGAGATTACCATCCAGCCTGACCTCCCAAAAAGCAGAACAGTAGGCAGGCCTAGGTCAAAGAACAGAAGAAAGCCTTTCTTAGTTCCCTGAAAGGAAGATGTAAGAAGCTATCTGTATGAAGAAATAGCATTAGATGGCATCCATCATGCAAAGTCTGGTAGTACTAGTAGAGGTAGTGAGAGGGATGTGAGGCAATATCCAGCATACCTTCAAGGTTATGAGCACAGACTCAAAAGACAGGATCCCCCCAGGCAAATCCTGGTTCTTCCCCTTACAATTATATGACCATGGACAATGTGCTTCGACTCTCTTTTCATCCATTTCCTTATCTGAAAAATGAGGGTCATAATAGTGTCTATCTCATAAGGTTGTTTTAAGGCTTACACAATTTAATATACATAAAGTACTTGAAAAGCACTCATTGTTATCATCCTTTGAGATACTCTTGAGGCATAAGGAACTTATGCTAAGAATAATTTTGAGAACAGCAGCATCAGTCACTGAATATAGTAGTCAGATGTGTCTTTCAGAAGAGTTATGTGTGCACGGCCAAAGTCCTAAATATTCCATTTGTTACCATCCTTAAAATATCATTTGTGAATTTGTAACTGGTTTTTGCTTTGTGTCATTGCTGGTCGACTGCAGTCAGGGTGGCAGTGTTTTGGCTGCCCCCTACCATCTTTAGTTTTCTGGTCCCATTAGTGTTGTGACCAAGAACAAGTTAGTGCCCTTTGCTCAAGTAAATGGGCTAGAAGTTAAGCACTGACCTTTTACCATAGGGGACCCTTTTCTATTCTGAAAGAGAACTTAGAAAACAGAACAGAAATCTCATTGATTTTTACAATGCACATTTTTTCATATTTCTCCGTCTCTGAAATTGCATGCATCTAACAATCTTATAATCACTGTAGATGGCAGTTGTTACATACTTGTCATTTCCTGTGCCTGCACAAACTCTCGTCACTTCACTTGAGTTCTGTGCACCGTTGGTACGACACACACATTGAGTTTAATTGCCACTTAAAATGGCTTCAAAAAATCATACTATGATTTGGCATTAAAATAAAAAGTATACACAAAAGGCACAGAAACAGTCACTTCATATAAAACTTAAAAAGAAAAAACAAACTATGCCCATGCAAGTCTAAAGAAGTCTTTCAATAAGTATAAAATACACATCTAAGTGATAAAGGAATCACTGTGTTCTTGTTGAATTAGCAGCATATTTTTCTCTTTCTTAGGGATACATAAAATAGTTTTTAAAAAAATAACAGTGTGTTTAAATAGATGAAATCCTGGACCCCAAAAATAGGTGTGTTTTATAATAAATATTTTTAAAACAGCTAGCATATTGCCAATAAGATAATGTATTTAAATAAAAGATAATTTATTCATTCCGCAGACATCTATAGAGCACCCATATGGTGCCAAACATATTTTGTATCCCTAGTCCCTGTCCTCTAAGAGTTCAAGGTCTAGTGGGGAGAAAAGGCAGGTAAATAGATCAATCTAATATAAAAATGCCATAAACAGCAGAAAGAACAGAGAAGAGAGACAAGTAACTCAGTCTGGGGAGTCAAGACACTCTTCCAAATGGAGATGACATTAAATTTGTATTTTCAAGGATGGAAATACATCCTTTCCAGGCATAGAAGGGCATTCTAAGAAAAGAGGAAATCATGAACAAAAGCGCAGCCTCATTGAAGAGTGTGTTGTAACTGGGTCTGAGTCATGAGTCTAGGGACAGGGTGTGAATGAAAGAGGCAGACCAGGGAGAGGCTAAGGATGTGCCCAAAGAGACAGGCTGCAGGAGATTTTGCTGGTAAGGGCTGGCAATCAAAACCACCCTGCTTCCTAACCAGGTCTAGGCTCTGGCATCACTCTGACTTTTAAATTAGGAAAGTTAGAGCTTGATTCTTGCACTTGACTCTGTCAATGCATTAGGATCTAGGAGAGATGGTAAGTGATGTTGGAAAGCAGTCCAAAGTTCATAAGCAGTTAGCTATTTCCATCCAAGGATGCCATGATTTCCTCTCCTGAAACTAAGTGAACAGCCATGGGTAAAAATGAACTGAAGGCAGAACATGGGCCTCTCATGTAAAAGCAGAAGTAGGGGATTCCCAGGCAAGATGGCCAAATAGAAACAGCTCCAGTCTGCAGCTCCCAGTGAGACCAACACAGAAGGTGGGTGATTTCTGCATTTCCAACTGAGATACCCGGTTCATCCCACTGGGACTGGTTGGACAGTGGGTGCAGCCCATGGAAGGCGCAGAAGCAGGGTGGGGCGTCGCCTCACCCGGGAAGTGCAAGGGGTCGGGGAACTCCCTCCCCTAGCCAAAGGAAGCCTTGAGGGACTGTGCCATGAACGACTGTGCTATCTGGCCCAGATACTACACTTTTCCTACAGTCGTCACAACCCACAGACCAGGAGATTCCCTCAGGTGCCTACACCACCAGGGCCCTGGGTTTCAAGCACAAAACCAGGCAGCTGTTTGGGCAGACACTGAGGTAGCTGCAGGAGTTTTTTTTTCCATACCCCAGTGGCACCTGGAACCCCAGCAAGACAGAACTGTCCACTCCCCTGAAAAGGGGGCTGAAGCCAGGGAGCCGTGTGGTCTTGCTCAGTGGATCCCACCCCCATGGAGCCCAGCAAGCTAAGACCTACTGGCTTGACATTCTTGCTGCCAGTACAGCAGTCTGAAGTCAACCTAGGATGCTTGACCTTGGTTCGGGGAGGGATGTCCACCATTATGGAGGCTTGAGTAGGTGGTTTTCCCCTCACAGTGTGAACAAAGCCACCAGGAAGTTTGGACTGGGCAGATCCCACCACAGCACCGCAAAGCCGCTGTAGCCAGACTGCCTCTCTAGATTTCTCCTCTCTAGGCAGGGCATCTCTGAAAGAAAGGCAGCAGCCCCAGTCAGGAACTTAGAGAAAAACTCCCATCTCCCTGGGACAGAGCACCTGAGGGAAGGGCTGGCTGTGGGTGCAACTTCAGCAGACTTAAACGTTCCTGCCTGCTGGCTCTGAAGAGAGCAGCAGATTTCCTAGCACAGCACTTGAGCTCCGCTAAGGGACAGACTGCCTCCTCAAGTGCGTCCCTGACCCCTGTGTCTTCTGAAAGGGAGACCCATCCCAGAAGGAGTTCATAGACATCTCATACAGGAGAGCTCCAGCTGGCATCCGGCAGGTGCCCCTCTGGGACAAAGCTTCCAGAGGAAGGAGCAGGCAGCAGTCTTTGATGTTCTGCAGCCTCCACTGGTGATACCCAGGCAAACAGGGTCTGGAGTGGACCTCCAGCAAACTCCAGCAGACCTGCAGAAAAGCGCCCTGACTGTTAAAAGGAAAACTAACAAACAGAAAGCAATAGCATCAACATCAACACAAAGGAAGACAATGAAACAACCCCATCCGAAGGTCACCAATATCAAAGATAAAGGTAGATAAATCCATGAAGATGAGAGTAAACCAGCGCAAAAAGGCTGAAAATTCCAAAAACTGGAATGCCTTATCTCCAAAGGATCACAACTCCTCGCCAGCAAGGGAACAAAACTGGACGGAGAATGACTTCGACAAACTGACAGAAATAGGCTTCAGAAGCAAGGTAATAACAAACTCCTCCGAGCAAAAGGAGCATGTTCTAACCCAATGCAAGGAAGCTAAGAACCTTGAAAAAAAAGGTTACAGGAACTGCTAACTAGAATAACCAGTTTAGAGAAGAACATAAATGATGGAGCAGAAAAACACAGCACTAGAACTTTGTGAAGCATACACAAGTATCAATAGCCAAATCAATCAAGCAGAAGAAAGGATATCAGAGATTGAAGATCAACTTAATGGACCAGTGCAAGAAGATTAGAGAAAAAAGAATGAAAAGGAACAAACAAAGGCTCCAAGAAATATGGGGCTATGTGAAAAGATCAAACCTACATTTAATTGGTGTACCTGAAAATGGCAAGGAGAATGGAACCAAGTTGGAAAACACACTTCAGGATATTATCAAGGAGAACTTCCCCAATCTAGCAAGACAGGCCAACATTCAAAGTCAGGAAATACAGAGAACACTACAAAGATACTCCTCAAGAAGAGCAACCCCAAGACACGTAATCATCAGATTCACCAAAGTTGAAATGATGAAAAAAATGTTAAGGGCAGCCAGAGACAAAGGTCGGGTTACCTACAAAGGGAAGCCCATCAGACTAACAGTGGATCTGTCTGCAGAAAACCTACAAACCAGAAGAGAGTGGGGGCCAATATTCAACATTCTTAACGCAAAGAATTTTCAACCCAGAATTTCATATCCAGCCAAACTAAGCTTCAAAAGTGAAGGAGAAATGAAATATTTTACAGATAAGCAAATGCTGAGAGATTTTGTCACACCACCAGGCCTGCATTACAAGAGCTTCTGAAGGAAGCACTGAGTATGGAAAGGAAAAACTTCTACCAGCCACTGCAGAAACATACCAAAATGTAAAGACGATCAACACTATCAAGAAACTGTATCAACTAGTGGGTAAAATAACCAGCTAGCATCATAATGACAGAATCAAATTCACACATAACAATATTAACCTTAAATGTAAATGGGCTAAATGCCCCAATAAAAGACACAGACTGGCAAATTGGATAAAGAGACAAGACCCATCAGTGTGCTGTATTCAGGAGACCAACCTCACGTGCAAAGACACACATAGGCTCAAAACGAAGGGATGGAGGAATATTTACCAAGCAAATGGAAAGCAAAAAAAGCAGGGGTTGCAATCCTAGTCTTTGATAAAACAGACTTTAAACCAACAAAGATCAAAAAAGACATAGAAGGGAATTACATAGTGGTAAAGGGATCAATGGAACAAGAAGAGCTAACTATCCTAAATCTATATGCACCCAATACAGGAGCACCCAGATTCATAAAGCAAGTTCTTAGAGACCTGCAAAGAGACTTAAACTCCCACAGAATAATAGTGAGAGACTTTAACACCCCACTGTCAATATTAGACAGATCAACGAGACAGAAAATTAACATGGATATTCAGGACTTGAACTCAGCTCTAGCAGATCTAATAGACATCTAACAGACCTAATAGACATCTACAGAATTCTCCACCCCAAATCAACAGAATATACTTTCTTCTCAGCACCACATCACACTTATTCTAAAACTGACCACATAATTGGAAGTAAAACACTCCTCAGCAAATGCAAAAGAATGGAAATCATAACAGTCTCTCAGAACACAGTGCAATCAAATTAGAACTCAGGCTTAAGAAACTCACTCAAAACCACACAACTACATGGAAATTGAACAACCTGCTCCTGAATGACTACTGGGTGTAGAATGAAATTAAAGCAAAAATACATACGTTCATTGAAACCAATGAGAACAAAGATACAACATACCAGAATCTCTGGGACACAGCTAAAGCAGTGTTTAGAGGGAAATTTATAGCAATAAGTGCCCACAAGAGAAAGCAGGAAAGATCTAAAATCAACACCCTAACATCACAATTAAAAGAACTAGAGAAGCAAGAGCAAACAAGTTCAAAAGCTACCAGAAGACAAGAAATAATTAAGACGAGAGCAGAACTGAAGAAGATAGAGACATGAAAAACCCTTCAAAAAATCGATAAATCCAGGAGCTGGATTTTTGAAAAGATTAACAAAATAAATAGACTGCTAGCTAGACTAATAAAGAAGAAAAGAGAGAAGAATCAAATAGACACAGTGAATAATGACAAAGGGAATATCGCTACTGATCCCACAGAAATACAAACTACCATCAGAGGATACTATAAACACCTTTACATAAATAAACTAGAAAATCTAGAAGAAATGGATAAATTCCTGGACACATACACCCTCCCAAGACTAAACCAGGAAGAAGTTGAATCTCTGAATAGACCAATAACAAGTTCTGAAATTGAGGCAGTAATTAATAGACTACCAACCAAAAAAAGCCCAGGACCAGAAGGATTCACAGCCGAATTCTACCAGAGGTACAAAGAGGAGCTGGTACAATTTCTTCTAAAACTGTTCCAAACAATAGAAAAAGAAGAACTCCTCCCTAACTCATTTTATAAGGCCAGCATCATCCTGATACCAAAACCTGGCAGAGACACGACAAAAAAAGAAAATTTCACACCAATATCCATGATGAACATTGATACAGATATTCTCAATAAAATACTGGCAAATCAAATCCAGCAACACATTATAAAGCTTATCCACCACGATCGGGTCAGCTTCATCCCTGGGATGCAAGGCTGGTTCAATATACCTAAGTCAATAAACATAATCTATCACAAAAACAGAAACAATGACAAAAACCACATGATTATCTCAATAGATGCAGAAAAGGCCTTCAATAAAATTCAGCACCCCTTCATGCTAAAACCACTCAATAAATTAGGCATTGATGGAATGTATCTCAAAATAATAAGAGCTATTTATGACAAACCCACAGCCAATATCATACTGAATGGGCAAAAGCTGGAAGCATTCCCTTGGAAAACCAGCACAGGACAAGGATGCCCTCTCTCACCATTTCTATTCAACATGGCATTGAAACTTCTGGCCAGGGCAATCAGGCAAGATAAAGAAATAAAGCATATTCAAATAGGAAGAGAGGAAGTCAAATTATCTCTGTTTGCAGATGACATGATTGTACATTTAGAAAACCCCATCATCTTAGCCCAAAAATGCCTTAAGCTGATAAGCAAATTCTCAGGATACAAAATCAATGTGCAAAAATCACAAGCATTCCTATACACCAATAATAGAAAGAGAGCCAAATCATGAGTGAACTTCCATTCACAATTGCTACAAAGAAAACAAAATACCTAGGAATACAACTTACAAGGGTTGTGAAGGACCTCCCCAAGGAGAACTACAAACCACTGCACAAGGAAGTTAAGAGAGGACACAAACAAATGGAAAAATATTCCATGCTCATGGATAGGAAGAATCAATATCCTGAAAATGGCCATACTGCCCAAAGTAATTTATAGATTCAATGCTACCCCATCAAGCTACCATTGACTTTCTTCATGAAATTAGTAAAAATTACTTTAAATTTCATATGGAACCAAAAAAGAGCCCATATAACCAAGACAATCTTAAGCAAAAAGAACAAAGCTGGAGGCATCATGCTACCTAACTTCAAACTATACTACAAGGCTACAGTAACCAAAACAGCATAGCACTGGTACCAAAACAGATATATAGACCAATGAAACAGAACAGAGGCCTCAGAAGTAACAACATACATCTACAACCATCTGATCTTTGACAAACCTGACAAAAACAAGCAATGGGGAAAGGATTCCCTATTTAATAAACAGTGTTGGGAAAACTGGCTACCTATATGCAGAAAACTGAAACTGGACCCCTTTCTTAGACCTTATACAAAAATTAAGATGGATTAAAGATTTAAACATAAGACCTAAAACCATAAAAACCCTAGAAGAAAACCTAGGCAATACCATTCAGGACATAGGCATGGGCAAAGACCTTATGACTAAAACACCAAAAGCAATGGCAACAAAAGCTAATATTGACAAATGGGATCTGATTAAACTAAAGAGCTTCTGCACAGCAAAAGAAACTATCATCAGAGTGAAAAGGCAATCTACAGAATGGGAGAAAATTTTTGCAACCTATCCATCTGACAAAGGGCTAATATCCAGAATCTACAAGGAACTTAAACAAATTTACAAGAAAAAAACAAATAACCTCATCAAAAAGTGGGCAAAGGATATGAACAGACACTTTTCAAAAGAAGACATTTATGCAGCCAACAAACATATGAAAAAAGCCTCATATCACTGGTAATTAGAGAAATGCAAATCAAAACCACAATGAGATACCATCTCACACCACTTGGAATGGTGATAATTAAAAAGTCAAGAAACAACAGATGCTGGAGAGGATGTGAAGAAATTGGAACACTTTTACACTGTTGGTGGGAGTGTAAATTAGTTTAACCATTGTGGAAGACAGTGTGGTGATTCCTCAAGGATCTAGACCCAGAAATACCATTTGACCCAGCAATCCCATTACTGGGTATATACCCAAGGCATTATAAATCATTCTAGTATAAAGACACATGCACATATTTATTGTGGCACTATTCACAATATCCAAGACTTGGAACCAACCCAAATGCCCATCAATGATAGACTGGATAAAGAAAATATGGTACATATACACCATGGAATACTATGCAGCCATAAAAAAGAATGAGTTCATGTCCTCTGCAGGGACATGGATGAAGCTGGAAACCATCATTCTCAGCAAACTAACACAGAAACAGAAAACCAAACACCACATGTTCTCACTCATAAGTGGGAGTTGAACAATGAGAACATATGGGCACAGGGAGGGGAACATCACACACTGGGGCCTGTCAGGGGCTGGGGAGAAAGAGGAGGGGTAACATTAGGAGAAATACCTAATGTAGATGACGGGCTGATGGGTGCAGCAAACCAGCATGGCACATGTATACCTATGTAACAAACCTGCATGTTCTGCACATGTATCCCAGAACTTAAAGTGTAATTAAAAAATAAATAAATAAAAGCCTGGGTGTGGTGGATCATGCCTGTAATCCCAGCACTTTGGGAGTCCGAAGTGGGCAGATCACCTGAGGTTGGGAGTTCAAGACCAGCCTGACCAACATGGAGAAACGCCATCTCTACTAAAAATACAAAATTAGCTGGGTGTAATGGCACATGCCTGTAATCCCAGATACTCGGGAGGCTGAGGCAGGAGAATTGCTTGAACCCGGGAGGCGGAGATTGCAGTGAGCCGAGATCGTGCCATTGCACTCCAGCCAGGTCAACAAGAACGAAACTCCATCTCAACAAAAAAAATATAAATAAAAAATTTTTTAAAAGCAGAAGTAGGATTACAGAAAGCAGAGAAGCCCAAAAGATTTGAATGTTCACTGACAAACACAGCAATAAAGTATTTGATATTGCAGGCTTCATTTGAAGTAAAGCTTCAGGAATACCTGGAAACCAAGCTACAGGTGGCACTCAGCTCCCTAACCAGCCTTTGCCAAGAGGAGGGGTCTTTCCAGAGACAACCATAGAGAGTAATCTTTAGCCATGTTATCGTCTAATATCAAAAATAGGGGGCAGGCCAGGTGAGGTGACTCACACCTGTAATCCTAACACTGTGGGAGGCCGAGGCAGGCAGATCTCTTGAGCTTAGGAGTTCAAGACCAGCCTGGGCAACATGGTAAAACTACATCTCTACAAAAAATACAAAAAAAAAAATTAGCTGGGCCTGGTGGCACATGCCTGTAGTCCCAGCTACTTGTGGGACTGAGGTGGGAGAATTGCTTGAGCCCAGGAGGTCAAGGCTGCAGTGAACAGAGATCATGCCACTGCACCCCAGCCTGAGTGTCAAAGTAAGACCCTGTCTCAAAAAACAAACAAACAAAAAAAAAAGAGGGTGTAATGGAAGTGTTTTAATATGACCACGGCATCCTCTCACTGAGATCTGCTACCATTTATTTTATTTTGTTTGTTTAGAGACAGGTCTCACTATGTCACCCAGGCTGGAGTGCAGTGGCTCCATCATAGCTCACTGTATCCTTGACCTGGGCTCAAGTGATCCTCCCACCTTGGCCTCCCAAAATGCTGGTTAGAGGCGTGAGCCACCATGCCCCCATTTGTAATTTAAGCTGATAAATGAGAGCAGGGGCACAAGTCTGTATCCGCTAACTCTTCAGCAACAGCTGACCCAAGGCCAGCAAACCCATTGCATAGCCAACAACCAACCAGATCCTGTCTTTCTGAAGACACACAGAGACAGTAGTCAGATGGTTATGACTAATAAGGCTGTAAGGTTGTTTAGACTGACAATTGGTAGCCATGCTGGGCAAAAGGGAAAGAAAGAAAATTAAGAGAAAGGGAAAAGAGAGAGAAGTGCCATGCAGCCCCTGAGTGACAGAGAGAGAAACTCAGTTCTGACAGTTTTCCAGTTTCAAAACCCAAACCTGTAAAGTTGACCCTTGAACAACACAGGTTTGAACAGGTCCACTTACCCATAGCTTTTCTTCTGCCTCTGCCACTCCTAAGACAGCAAGAGCAATTCCTCCTCTTCCTTCTCCTCCTTGACCTATTCAACAAGAAAATGGCAAGGATGAAGACCTTTATGACCTTTCTCTTCCTTATGATTTTCTTAATAACTTTTTCTCTAGCTTGCTTTATTGTAAGAATGCAGTATATAATACATATAACAAACAAAATATGTGTTTGTTGACAGCTTATGTTGTTGGTAAGGCTTCTGTTATTAGTATCCTGTTAGTAGTTAAGTTCCGGGGGAGTCAAAAGCTATGTGTAGGCCAGGCACAGTGGGTCATGCCTGTAATCCCAGCACTTTGGGAGGATGAGACAGGCGGATCACCTGTGGTCAGAAGTTCAAGACCAGCCTGGCCAACATGGGGAAACCCTGTCTCTAAAAAAAAAATACAAAAATTTGGGTGTGGTGGCACACACCTGTAATTCCAGCTACTAGGAGGCTGAGGCAGGAGAATCCCTTGAACCCAGGAGGCAGAGGTTGCAGTGGCCAAGATCGTTCCACTGTACTCCAGCCTGGGCAATAGAGAGACTCTGTCTCAAAAAACAAACAAACAAACAAACAAACAAAAACAGAAAGTTATGTGATATGTAGACGTTTGCCTGTGTAGGACATTGGATCCCCTAACCCTTGCATTGCTCAGAGGTCAGCTGTAGCTTCTGTACAGGCTTGGGTTCTATACTTGCCTTTTCTCTTCCTTACAAAACCAATCAAAATGAGTTTCTTTTCCCTGTAACTAAATTTCCTTGACTAGAATATTGATTACTGCCAATTCCCACCTTTCCTGTAAGTTGTAAGTTTTAGAATCTGGTTGTTTTTTTTTATTGGGAAATACAATTGATTTTTGTATGATCCTAAAATTGCTGAACTCTATAATTGTTTATTTTTAGATTCTGTGGACCTTTTAGGTAGTTAATAATCATATCTCATGCTTCAAAACCCATGTACCTTGTGTTAGAATAAGATAGGATAGGATAGGCTCTGGTAACAAATAAAATTCCAAATCTCACTACCTAATGCAATAAAAGTGGGAAAGTCAAAGGTGGATTTGGCTGCCCTTCTCCATCTTATATCAGTGTCAGATCATGATAGGGGAAGAGCATGCTGCAGAGTTCTGCAAGAAGCTTTTAAGGTCCAGACCTGGAAATAGCTGACATTCCTTCTTCTCACATCCCATTGATAAGAATGTCTCATAACCTCTCTATTTAGGGGCAGGGAAACTAGCAACTGCGAAAAAAGTAAAATAAATGAATATTTGGTAAATTATAATAATCTCTGCTGCATAGCTCTTTTTATTTCCTTATCTTACATTGCCTAGGATTACCACTACAATAATAAATAGAATGCATCTGTCTTATTTGTTATATTAACAGGAAGACTGCTAAAGTTTTATCATTAAGTATGATTTTGCTATATGAGTGCTGAATTTTTCTCTTGAGATGATTAAATGTAAAACAACTTTTCTAAGGGCTAAATCCTATATGGTCATTGCTCTGGACTGAATGCAGTTGCCCACTCCCTTTCCAAATCCTTACAATGAAATCCTAACCCTCAATGTGATGTTATTAGGAAGTGGTAAGGGGACAAACAAGTGAAGAGACAGATACACTAGAGTATAAGATCTATCAAGTAATAAAGGTGGACCTGTGAGTAAATTCAAACCATTTTTCTCTCTTGAGTAGCCATGCTTATGACAAAGAAATTTTGAATGCCTTGTGGGTTGTTTGTTTGTTTGTTTTGAGATGGAGTCTCTCTCTGTCACCCAGGCTGGAGTGCAGTGGCGTGATCTCGGCTAACCGTAAGCTCCGCCTCCCGGGTTCACGCCATTCTCCTGCCTCAGCCTCCCGAGTAGCTGGGACTACAGGTGCCCGCAACCACGCCCGTCTAATTTTTGGTATTTTTAGTAGAAACGGGGTTTCACAGTGTTAGCCGGGATGGTCTTGATCTCCTGACCTCCTGATCTACCCGCCTTGGCCTCCCAAAGTGCTGGGATTACAGGTGTGAGCCACCACGCCTGGCAAGAAATTTTGAATGTCTTGTTTTCAACAAATAGTTTTAATTTAAATCGAAAAGAGTGTGTAGGTATGAGTTGCGAATTTGTAATTCATTTGCGATTCTGGTATTGATGGATTGTCTTATCTTGTACAGGTCATTTGGGCCCTATGGACTTTAGGCTCAACAACAAAATCAGACAGTTGGAGTACAGTGCCAGTCACAATTTTTAGACTGTTTAACCCTAAATGTCTTTCTAATAGGCCTTATTTATATGAGAACATTTTATAGTTAACCACAAATATTTTGTCTGTGTTTATCAAGAGTTACAAGCATAGCAGCCCTTTCTTTACTGAATAAAAGTTCAAACAAATTGGATTCATCTTTATTTGGAGCTGCCAATTAAAGTGGGATATAGTATAGTTAAGCAGTACTCAACATGTAGGCCACTAATCTCTTAGGGTCCCAAACACTCTTTCAGGGGCTCTGCCAGGGAAAAACTATGTTCATACTAACAGTAAGAACTTACATGTCTTTTTCACCTTCATCCCCTTCATGAGGGTACACTACAGTGGAGTTTTCCAGAGGCTCCATGATGTATGAGGATGTAGTCACTCTGCTGGCTAGTCGTATACATGTCTCAGTATTCTTTTCCTTTAAACACTTCTCTACTTTAATTTTCAATATGGTACTATTGATCGATATAAAGATCAGAAACAAAAGTTCTTTGGGATCTTCAGTTGTTTTTAAGAAACAGGGGTCTTGAAATGAAAACACTGGAACTACTAATACACTTCACAAGTACATTTTACCTCCACATAGCACAGAAATAAAATCATAACCCTGTCTCTTGTCAGCAGTATGACTCTAGGTAAGACATTTAACTTATCTAAGCCTCAATTTCCTTATGTATAACAATACAAATCTCCTAGCTTCATGTGAAGATGAAATGGGATACACCAAGTCTGACATAGTAGGAGCAAAAACTTTGCTCACAAATAATCTACCTTAGGAAGGATAGACAAGAAAATGGTAAACTGGTTGGGTGCAGTGGCTCATACCTGTAATCCCAACAATTTGGGAGGCCAAGGCAGGTGGATTGCTTCAGCCCAGGAGTTCAAGACCAGCCTGGGCAACTTAGTGAGACCTTGTATCCACAAAAAAAAATACATATGTGTGTGTGTGTATATATATATATATATACACATACACACACACACACACACATATATATATATATATACACACACAAAAATTAGCTGGGCATGGTGGCACACACCTGTGGTGACTCAGGAGGCTGAGGTGGGAGGATTGTTTGAGTCTTGGAGACAGAGGTTGCCATGAGCCAAGATCATGCCACAATACTCCAACCCGGGCAACAGAGTGAGACTCTGTCTCAAAAAAAAATTAAAAACGAAAAGAAAATGGTAAATAAATAACTTTTGTTACCATAAGGGAGGAGAACTAAACAACTGGGGCATGGGGGAGGAGATGGGGAACTTTTCATTGTTGCTGCACCCTTCACTTAGAAGGTCCAGTTTATGAAAAGTAATAATTTAGTTAAAACCTTCAAAAATGATTTTTAAAGAATTTCCCTGCTCCTCATAGATATAGCCTGGTAGTTTACATACCACTTCATTTTCTATGAAGTACTGTTGTTGCAAATTTATCTATGCAAAGAGCTAAGCATGCAATGATTGTTGCTGTGGGTATAAAATACTGCTTTGCTAAGGATACTGTAGCTAACTCACAGTTAATTGGCTGAGGCCTGAGCACACCCATATCAGTTTGCCATATACAGATTTTTGGTTAACTTGATTTCCATATGCAAAGTGAGAAGAAAGTTCTAATTCATATATATATATATATGTAAAATATCTTTCTCTCCTGAGTCATCAATCTCTACCTCATTATTGAAAAATTGCCATCAATATAAAAATATACTCCTGGTATCTCCCATTTTTTAAATATGTGACTCCACGGGCCCCTCCAGCTACCATCTCCTGTTCCTGTTCCCCTTTACAGTTTACAGCCAAACTTCTCAAAAGAATATATTACTATTCCCTGTTTCTACCTCTACACATCTGTTCTCCCTTCCACCCACTCCAACCAGGTTTCTGTCCTTATCACTCCATTAAAAGGCTCATATCAAGACGATTTGCCACGAAATCAAGAGCTCTTCCTATGCACAGCTTCCTTAACATTTCAGCAGCATTTGACACTGCTTACCACACTTCTTTAAAAAATACCCTCTTCTCTCAGTTTCAAGGAGAACACACTGTATTGGTTTTCTTCCCTTTATTGTCCTGGTCTCAGCTTCTATTACTGATTTCCTTTCGGCTGCTGTCCAAGTCAGCCTCATCCTGCATCTGCCACTGAGTTTGGTCCTGAGCTCTCTCTTCTACTTGACCTACACTCTCTCCTTAGACTATTCCTAGACTCATTCAAGTCTACTTCTTAGACTTCACTCTACATTCGCTTCTTCACCCCAGCCCTTCAGCTTAAATTCTGTCCATATTCACTGATAATACAAATACTTTTGAACACTTACTCTAGCCCAGCCACAATTAGAGGCATTTGGGGTTTAGAGAGAATGAAGTAGATGCAGGCCTTTGACTCTGTGGAGTTTACATTCTGGCAAGGAAAGACAGACAACAAGCAATAATCATAAAAAAATATGGTATGTTAGAAGGTGATGAGTGCTTAAGAAAATAAATCAGGATAAAAAGAATCAAAATTGGGAGGAGACAGGGAGGAGAGTGGGTCAGTTGCAGTTTTAAAGAAGAGTGGCTCATTGAGAAGATGAGCTGAAGTTACTCATGCAAACCTATGCATAAAGTGGGTTGCAGGCAGAGAAAACAGCCAGTACAGAGGCCTCAAGGCACGAGCTTGTTTAGTATGTTTTAAAATTTTCAACAAGACTAGTGTGGCTGCAGTGCAGTTTTCCCAGGGGAAAATGATAGGAGACAATGTCAGAAAGGAAGTGGAAGGGTGGGCAGAAAGAACAGGCTTTGATTATGAATAACTTGAGGAACTAGAACAGGGTTTTGAGCAGAGGAGTGACATGATCTGACTTGTGTCCAAAATACACTTTTGCTATGTGGACAATGAGGATTTAAGGTTAAAAATAGGCTAACTGGCTGGGCACGGTGGCTCACACCTGTAATCCCAGCACTTTGGGAGGCCGAGGAGGGCACATCACAAGGTCAGGAGTTCGAGACCAGCCTGGCCAATATGATGAAACCCCATCTCTATTAAAAATACATAAATTAGCCTGGCCTGTTGGTGCTTGCCTGTAGTCCCAGCTACTCAGGAGGATGAGGCAGAAGAATCGCTTGAACCTGGGAGGTGGAGGTTGCAGTGAGCCAAGAGGCTGCACTCCAGCCTCAGTGACAGAGCGAGATTCCATCTAAAAAAAGAGAAAAAAAGGCAAACTGAGGCTACTGCAGTGCTGAGAGTGGGAAAGTATGGCTTGGATCAGAGTGGTAGTAGTAGATGTGGTGTGAACTGGTAGGATTCTGGATGTATCTTGAAGTTAAATAAATCCAGTCCTATTTCCTAATGAGTAGAGTAGATGTGAAAAAAAAGAGAAAATGAATCCAAAGTTTTTGGCCTAAACAACTGGAAGAATGAAGTCGTCATCAACTGAAAAAAAGGGAAGACTGCAGGTGAAGCAGCTTTTCTAGGTACATCAGAATCATTTCAGTCAGGGAGACTGAACACTATGGGTTTTGAGATAGAAAGTTTATTATTATTGTTCATTAGAGACAGGGTCTTCTTATGTTGCCCAGGCTACACTCAAGCTTCTGGGCTCAAGCAATTCTTCCACCTTAGCCTTCCAAATAGCTGGGACTGCAGGTTTGCATCACCACACCCAGCTAAAGATGAGCGCTTTCTCTAGGAATTAGACCTTACGCAATTGTGGGAATAGCTGGGAAAGTGAAGATTTGGGGAGGAGAGTAAGAAGATGGGTAAGGGAGTTGCCACCATGCCCATTCAAGAAGCCAAGGATGGCCAGCCACCTTAGTGTCCCTACCACAGATGCCTATGGAGAGGTCTATGGAAAGCAACTCCTCTGTTTAGCTACCATCTCTGTGGGGCCAGCACTAAGTGTCAGGTGGTAGACCTGGGCCACTATTGGTTAAAGAGTCAGCAGCTGGAAAGAAGAGTCAGATTGGAGTAGAGGAGAATGAGGACAATCTGGAACCCACTTGCACCTCTGTGTCTATTCATCTTCACATCTAACTTCAACCAACTTCGAAGAGTAATGGCCACTGATTTACTTTCATTCTCCAAATTGTATGTAAATGTATCTTTAATCCAGAACTAGATAGAGAAGATATATTACTGCTATATATAACAAAGTACAACAAACTTAGTAGCTTAAAAACAATTTCTACTTGTTATCTCACAGTTCCCCTTTGTCAAGAGTCTCAGGCCTTTTGTTCGAGGTCTCATAAGGCTACAATTAGGGTGTCTGTTGGGCTGTGTTCTCATCCGGAGGTTTGAATGGAGAAACATTTACTTCCAATCTCATTCAAGTTGTTAGCAGAGTTCATTTCTCTTGTGTGGGAATGAGAGGGAGGCCCTGGCTTCCTGTTGGCTGTTGGCCCTCATGTCCTAGAGACCACCTAGTTCCCCTCCACAGGGGTCCTTCACAGGCCCTCTCATAGCATGGCAGTTTACTTCTTAAAGACCAGCTGAAGGATTTCACTTTCAGTCTGCTGAGATGGTGTCTGCCATATTTATGGCAGTGACATCCTAGAGTTTTGCCATTTTCTATTAGTTAGCAACAAGGCATAGGCCCTGACTGCACTCAGGGGGAGGGAGAATCACACAAGGGCATGATTCATTGCAGGGGTCACCTTAAGGTGTGTCTCCCACAGAAGGAATTCTGAGATATGCAGTTTCACCTTAACCAATCTGACATAATACAAACTTCAAAAAAGGGAAAATCAAGAGATCATATGGAGACTTGTTAAGTTTCAGATGTATTAGACATCCAAATGAAGAGGTTAACAAGACAATTGGATACAAGACTGGATTTTGGGAGATATGTCCAAGGACCCTCAAATGTGTATTCCTAATTCAGTCTCTTCCCAAAACTATAGTTTCATTGGTCTGTCTACTTGACATCTTGAACTTAACAAGACCAAAGTTGTTCCTTCCCTTCCCAAATCTGTTACTGCTCAGACTTCTACATCTCATTAAATGGTACCCTCACCTACCCTTTCTCTCAAGAAGAAAAACCTAAGAGTCGTCCTTCATTCCTCTCTTTCCCTTGCCTTCTACATTCAATCCATCATAATTCTATTGGTTCTACATTCAAAATATAAATCTATCCCCTTAATTCTATGTCTACCATTACCACCCTAGTCCAAGCCACTATTACCCCTTCCTGGCCTTCAGCAAAAGCCTTTGAATGTCTCCCCTCCCTCTCTTGACCCATGTTATGAAATGGATTGTGTTCCTCCCAAAATGCATACACTGGAGCCCTAACCCCCAAGGTGACTGTATTTGGAGATAGGGCCTCTAGGAAGGTAATTAAGCTTAAGTAAGGTCATAAAGATGGGACCTTCATCCTATAGGATTAATGTTCTTATAAGAAGAAGAGACACCAGAGATATCTCTCTGCATGCACACAAAGATGACACGGAAACACATCCAGAAGACAGCTGTCTATAAGCCAGAAGAGAGGCTTCACCAGAAGCCAACCATGAAGACACCTTGATCTTAGACTTCTAACCTCAAGAATTGCAAGAAAATGAACTTCTGTGTTTAAAGCAACTCAGTCCATGGTTCTTTGCTATAGCAGCCCGAGTAGACAAATGCAATGGCCTCCATATATTGTTCACACATCAGCCAGAATGAGTTCTTCAAAACCTAGATTAAATTGTGTCACACCCTTGTTTACAGGCCTTCGATAGTTTTCCACTGAAATTGGAATCAGACTTGAACTCTTTACCTTGGCCTCCAGGATTGATACCATCTAGCTCCTGCTCATCCTTTTGACCTTCTCTTGGGCCATTCTTCTCTCCATCACCCAGCTTGGTCGCACTAGCTCCTTTCTGTCAACAAAAACACCAAGTCTGTTCCCATCTTAGAGTTTCTGTTCTGCTCTTGCTCCCAAAACTTTGTCCCCTGATTCTTCACACAGATGGTGTTTTTCTGCACTCTTGCCTAAATGTAACTTCTTCAAGGACCTTTCTTACCCGCCCTTGTAATCAAGAATTTCATTCACTCTTCCCCAATACCTAAGCCCAAACACTAATTAGTGCACCACCCTACTTATTCCCTTCATAATTTACCACAATTTCCAATTCTCTCTCTATGTCTTGATCTCTCTATCTCCCTCTGTTTATATATTGCCCATTTGTCCTCCTTTATAATGTAAAATTCGGGAAGGTAATGACCTTGCCTCCCTTGCTTTCTATTGTATCCTCAGAGATTAGGAGCATGCCTAGTGTATAAGAAGCTCTCAATACATGTGTGTTTAATCAAGGCTTAAATAAATCTAAAGCTATGGCCCAAATGAAAATTTTTATATGAGTTTTAGTACAGTTTTGCCACTATTTCCATAGAATAGATTATCAGAGTGAAATTGCTGGGTCACAGTGTATGCACATTTTTAATTTTGATAGATCAGAAGTACTGCTTTTTAATATTTAGTGTGACTGATTTGCCACTTTAAAATTTAATTATCACAAATTTAATTTTTTTCCTCTTCTCCTTTGAAAAATGAGGCATTTCAAAACCATTTTTCCCCCAATGTTTTTATGGTAACTGAAGCATCATTGTTCATTTTGCAATAACTCTAGCTTTTGCTTTATAGGTTAAATTGATACAGCCAATTTGTCTATAAAGAAAATGTCTGTGAATTGAGTCTTCTTTTTGAATTGACCCCTCCATTACAAAATGAATGATGTATTCTAAAGAGAGGAAAAAAAAAACCTTCTCCCTTTTCACGTATCATTCTTCTTTTCTGAGTGTAGAGAGTTGTTGGAGTAAAAGCATTAAAGTGATCCCAGTGTTAATATGTGGATCCTCCAAGCTGAACATTTTAAGTTTGAAATTTACAATTGTTATAACAATTGTCCCCTGCCTAATCCATTAGGTGACAGCATTAGCTAGAACCCAGAGCTAGGAATGCTTTAACACTTATGAGTACATTTGAGTTGGCCTCATTGTTACCCAGTCGTCAATAGTGTCCTTAACATTTCCAGCTGCCTCATCACTGTTTGATATGTACAAGGGGCTGGGACAAGGGTGTAGAGGGTTCCACTCAAACATGTCCCCAGTATCAGGAGAAAACACACTTCAGGAAGGCATGGTTCTGATAGTGGGTCAGGAAAGAAAATAGGAAAATTGGTTTTAACACCATTCAGTTATTATACTTCCTGCCTCAATTGAAATCAAAAGAAAAATCCTTGTGTCTAAAGAATAATTACAAATTTTGAAATAGAGTGAACGTTCCATAAAGAAAATTTTAAATCTTTTTTCTAAGAAAATACTTTTCCTATTACCTTGTGCAAATGGCAATCTATACTTATTGGCTGAATAATAATTGAGTTAATTAATTAATTCCTGGCAGATTTATTATTTCATTAGTCACTGACCATGATCTATACCACGATAGGGTGAAATTTAAAAGTTCTTCCATTATTCCTTCAAATTGCATTGCAGAGCTCTTCACACATAATTAGGTCTTAAATTTTTTGCCTAATGTTACTTATTGTTTCCTAACAAATGCAGTTCAAAAACTTTAGAGTGACATTCACAGCCCTCTTTAGTCTTATCACAATCCCCTTTCCAGCCACAATCCCTACTATTCCCCTGCAACCATCACACTTCTGCTTTGTTGAACTGCCACCCAGGTATCTCCAGAACTTTCTACTGTTCCTTCTTCTAATCCTTCATCTATTTTTATCTGCTCAAATTCTACATCTTTCCTGACCTGGATCAAATGCCACGTCTCAATTAAGTCTTCCCCAAGTCCTCACCCCCTTTCTTCTGAATAACAAGTATTTCCTTAGTATTTCTCTGGTGCTTATTATAGCACTGCCACACTGAATTGTGTGTATGTATATACATTATTGATTTGCTCTATTAGATTATAAGTTCCTCAGAGTCAAGAGTCTGTGTTACCCATCTTGTATCTTCCATTGCAATTTTATAGAGTCTTTTGCATAAAAGATGCTCAAAAATGTTTAAAGAAGTAAACCAGCTGCTGAGAAACTGCTAAATGTTTGCACTGAGCATTTTGGCAGCTGTGTCATCCCACTTGGTGATGCTGCCTAGCACATACACACTAAAACAATAGGCCTGAACACTAAACAATAGGCCATGGTCCTAAAGGGTATTTTGTTCTACCTTTCTTGTATTGTGAGTTGATCTTTGATTCCGGAGCAACTCTGCATGTACGTGTTTGCTGTCAAAATAAATGTCTTTTTTGTCTCACCAGCTGAGATACATTTAGGTGAAGATGGCACTGGTAAAGGAAGTGTGCAGGTGAAGTTGGTGAAAATGTTCTGACAATGTTTATATTTTGCAGGCTTGGAAGTCTCATGCCAAGTGAACCATGGATAAGTATTCAAGTTTGATATTTGCCTAATGCGTGGTAAAAAAATAATAATAATAATTTCTGTATCAAGACTGATTTGATGGCCAGGCTCTGTGGCTCATGCCTGTAATCCCAGCACTTTGGGAGGCCATGGCGGGTGGATCACCTGAAGTCCGAAGTTCAAGACCAACCTGGCTAAGATGGTGAAACCCCGTCTCTACTTAAAATACAAAAATTACCTGGGCGTGGTGGCGGGTGCCTGTAATCCCAGCTACTCGGGAGACTGAGGCATGAGAATCGCTCGAACCCAGGAGGCGGAAGTTGCAGTGAGCTGAGATTGCGCCATTGTACTCCTTGCATTTCAGCCTGGGCGACGAGAGTGAAACTCCATCTCAAAAAAAAAAACAACAACAACAAAAAAAAAAAACTGATTTGAATTTTGCAAAATAGTATTAGACATAAATATGTTGATCAACTTTTGGGGAACTTAAAGGTTAACTTTATAAATGGAGAGGAAAAATCGTCCTGCAGAATCCACGCCTCAAATTATCTGGCTTTCAAAAATCTAGAAAAATATTTTGTGTTGATTTGTCTACATTACGACATATAAAAGTCATCCAATTGCCTGGATGTACTCTATCCAAAGTCATGGCTTTTAGATAACAGTTAATGGGAGCTCGAACTGCTTCTCACATTTTATTTGTAATCTAAATCAGAAACTCTAGGTCTCAGGTATAATCATTCCTTATCATTAAGACAAAATAAAATATAATTAATGATAAAGGATCTCGGCAGTTCAACTTAAGAATACAGAGGTTAATATACTTAAATCTAGATTCTTCTGAAGTTCTCTTTGCACAAAAAGGTGAATTTTTGATGTGACTTATTCTCTGGTTCTTGGTATTCATCATAACTAAGGAGGCAAGGGAACCCCGTGACTTGGTTGGGATGCAGAAGCCAAAACTCATCCATTTCAGGATAAAGAGCCCAGGATAAGGGAGAATCATAAATGAAAGACAAAGCCAGAAGAAATCCCACTGGCTTAGAATGAAGTTGATGGTGACCAGGAAGATTAACCCTTTCCAAAATATAATATGGACACGTAATACTCTGTTGATGAACACAAGAGTGCCTATACATCATTGTTTTGGTTCATTACTGGGAGCAGGGTA